>NC_000004.12:15572916-16197916 GCF_000001405.40 Homo sapiens
TCTAATGTTTGAGGGCAGGAAGCATCCAGCATGGGAGAAAGATGAAGGGGGGAAGACTCAGCCAGTCTAGTCCTTCCACATTCTTCTGCCTGCTCTTCTCCTAGCCATGCTGGCAGCTGATCAGATGGTGCCCACCCAGTCCACTGACTCAAATGTTAATCTCCCTTGGCAGCACACTCACAGACACACCCAGGAACAATACTTTGTATCCTTCAGTCCAATCGATACTTAACCACCATAGTGCCCAAGCTGAGAAACCCTGTCTTAAATCCTTATACTTCAAATCTTCAAAAATGGCACACATTCCTTCCTGTGTCATCTATTTTACAGAATAAACAAGCTCGGTTATTTCAGCTGTACTTTCCATGCCATAGTTTTTTGTTTTCGTTTTTGAGACAGAGTCTGGTTCTGTCATCCAGGCTGGAGTGCAGTGGCGCCATCTCGGCTCACTGCAACCTCCACCTCCCAGGTTCAAGCGATTGTCCTGTGTCAGCCTCCCAAGTAGCTGGGACCACAGGCGTGTGCCACCACACCTGGCTAATTTTTGTATTTTTGGTAAAGATGGAGTTTCACCTTGTTGGCCAGGCTTGTCTCAAACTCCTGACCTCAAGTGCTCTACCTGCCTCGGCCTCCCAAAGTGCTGGGATATCTGGCGTGAGCCACTGTGCCTGGCCTGCCATCGTTTTTATACTCTTGTTTTCCTGTATCCTTAGATAACATTTGATCTAAGCTTTGGAATATAATTAAAATTCTGAAAAATGGAGATGGGAAGTTGGGCATTCTAGAAATGGGGAATGGCCAGTAGCCAATATTTATTGATTGCTTACCATATGCTGGACATTTTTCTTAGTGTTTTATATCTATTCATTCACTACTCATAACAACCCCACAAAGTAGATACTATTATTGTCTCTTTTTACTAATGAGGAAGCCTCAGATTCCTCATTTGTAAACCAAGTTTTGAACCCAAAACTGCGTTTAAACCAAGACTTGAACCTAAGCAAATTGTATATTCAGTACACCCTCTGCTAAACAATGAAAAGAAGGCAAGGAAGTACAGAGCCCTTTCTGGCGAGTGCTTAGAGAGATGAGATTAGAAAGATGGGATTGGCTTTGAATGCCAGTCTGAGCAATTTTGGTTCAATTTATTAAACAATGAGGAGTTGACACTTGCCTCTCAACTTCTGTTGGAAAAAGCATCAGGATGTTTACCAAGTCATATTTTCTTCACAGATTGATGGAACATTTAAAATAGATATTCCCCCAGTTCTTCTGGGCTACAGTAAGGAGCGAAATATGATTCTTGAGCGGGGTTTTGATTCTGTCCGAAGCTTAAGTGAAGGCTCCTACATTACCCTCTTTATTACCATTGAGCCCCAGCTGGTTCCTGGAGAGTCCATTCGAGAAAAGGTAACTACTTATAGTTTGGAAACCCATGTCTATGTTGATAAAACACAAGAAATGCTTGCTAGGCTATACTTTTATGAACTTTTTCCTACACAAACAGAGCCTTCCTTACTTCAATCTCCATTTATTATTCTTTCAGTTTAGATAGAATGGTGGTGAGAAAACAGATGTGTGGGTTTGTACTTTCACTGAACCAGTAATCGGGTCAATCAGCAATATGTTTATATTTATCTTGCTTTGCCTAAAACTTAAGACTTTTAGTCAAAGCAAGACAAATATAAACATGCTCTACTTCTAGAAGAATGTTCTCAATGTGAAGAAAATGAAATATCACAAACTAGAATATCAGATTGCTCTTTTATTTGACAAGTATTGGCAAGAATACATTTCCATGTCTGATCTTACATCCTTGGCTATGGTATGCATTGAATCAATTCATAGGATCATAAGACTAGATGACCTTCATGAGTCACCTCAATTCATTTCATGAAATAAATATATGTACAAGTATGCTTTTAAACAGCTCTAGAAAAGAGTTTCCAGAACTTTCACTGGTTAGCAACTGTCCCTGAACCTTCATTAAACCTATTTATGCCTAGTGTTCCATTACTGGAACGCTACGCATGTGGGAGTTATTTATATCCTACCTCTCAAGGTCATTTCCAAGGTCTGATTGCAAAAATTCAAAAAATTGCAACCTCAGGCATAAATGTGTTAAGAAATAAATGTCTTCCTGTAACATAGTTGTATAGCATTTATACATACTGCCCTCATTGGATTTGGGAGAATATATTGATGGTGACCTCTTATTCATATGTAAACAAATACAGTAATAACATCAACAACAACCACCATGATGTACTGAATCCGTACTCTGTCCTTAGCACTATGTCAAACCTTGGATGCATGTTCTGACCTGAATATGCATAGGTGTCTTGGACAAGGGGTCTCCAACTTACAGAAGAGGAAAATAAGCTTCAATTTATGCAGGGTGACATAGGCAGAGGTAACACATGTCTGTCTGACTCTAAACTGTACATATTCAGCATATATTTACTGCACATCTTCTGTGTGACAGACATTTCTTAGGCACTGGGAGTACAGTAGGCTAGAAAAGCAAATAAAAATTCCTCCAAGCTTACATTCACATGTAAGCGTAAGTTGTTAACTACTAACCTATAGTGCACAGATTATTGTGCTTACTCTAGTCTATCCATTATAATTAAGACTTAGATAGAGATGGAAAAAAACAAACATACTCCTTTTTTTCCAGTATTACAATTTGGTTCCCAGAGAAAAATATCATCACTATCTCCCATCTGCAATGCACTGAAATTTAAATTAATTGTATATTTTGTCAGTAAAACAGTGCTTCTCTAGATATATGCATTTCAAAATATTTTAGAAAGGGAAAATATATTCTGAATGTTTGTCTTCATGTATAATATAAATTCAAATGAACGCCAATAAACATGTTTACACACAAAAATACTTCCAGACAAAAGATGATTTTGCTGTTTCTATGTATATGTAACAGAAGAACAGGCAGTCAGCTAGGACCCCACCTTGGGGGTGTGTTTCTAAAACACGTGAAAGCAGTCTATCCTGGCAGAAAGGATGAAAGCCCAAGACTCCTCCACACTAGGCATCCCTCACGGGCCCTGACTTCTTACTGCAGGACTTTAAAGAGGCCTCCAGGGCTCTGAACCACAGTCCTCAAGTCCTGCAGCCTTCCTTCCCTAAAGCTATTAAATGGCAGTCAGATTCTGCCTTTGGTGGCAGGTCACTACCGCACTGTGGCTGTAGAAAGCATTTATCTTAGACCTCTAAAATGAGGGCTTAAAAAACCCCTATGGAAGGCAGATTCTTTGTGGCTGTTTGATAAGGAAGGCATGTTGATTGACAGAACCCTTATGTCCAAAAGAGGCAGTGGCAGAAAACACTGCTCAGTGATTCACTTGCAGACAATTCAGGAAAGAGAAGGTCTCATCCTAAAATTATAGGGTCAACAACCTGGAATTGTTTTTCCACTTACAGCAATACTTCCTGGATTAGCAGATTAGAGTCTCTCCTCTACCACCATGCCATATGGAACCATTCCATAGGATGTTTTAAACATATTTACCAATGGAAAATTTTTAAAGATGGGTAGAAACTCCTGAAACTCTTATTTTAATATCACTTACATGATCTTGTTAAAAATGTTTTTTTAAAGATTATCTCTGTTACTAAAGCCTGCCTCTTGTTTCTTTTTCTTTCTTTCTTTCTTGCCTCTGATAGATGAGTAACATGCTTAAGAAGGTACTAAGTATTTTGTTTTACTATTTTATTGGTCAATAGTTATTAGGCTTTAATTAGCTGCTTCTGTCCACTGCCACCTGAGGGACAGGTGTTATGTCCTAACGTATGTGTAATGCCTGGGCATTGAATTACAGATGTCTCCAGTTCCATGAGGAATGTCCTGCCTTATCTTTTGGCCCATTTCATTTTACCAGAAAGACTGTTAGTTAGCTTTGAATCTAAGAAGTCATCAGTCTGAATGTCACCTGCATACTGGGAGCTAGCTCTACTCTTTGCAAATCTATAAAACCCACGAGCTGCTTCTTACAGTGTATCTCTGAAAGTTATTTCTGGTGGGTTGGGGCTGTCTCAGTACAGCTTTTCTTTTTTGTTGTTGTTTTTTGTTTTTGAGAGAGGGTCTTGCTCTGTCACCTAGCTGGAGTGCAGTGGTGCCATCACAGCTTGCTGCAGCCTCGACCTCTTCAGCCCAAGTGATGCTCCTACCTCAGCCTCCCAAGTACTGGGACCACAGGCATGTGCCACTAGGCACAGCTAATTTTGTTTATTTTTTTTGTAGAGTTGAGGTCTCCTTTTGTTGACCAGGCTGCTTTCAAACTCCTGGGCTCAAGTGATCCTCCGGCGTCAGCCTCCCAAAGTGCTGAGATTACAGGTGTGAGCCACTGCACCTGGCCAGTGTAGCTTTTCAAAGGCAACATACACCCATTCAGTTTTTTATAAATGTTTACATTAGAGGCCAAAGAATTGAGCCAGTCAAGAACCTTTCAAATTTTCTGTTGAATCAAACTGAAATTTGTCAGCTCCACCTTAATTTGTTTCATCATAAGTGACCCAAATTCTTTCAGTATTTAACTTCTCCTTGGCACTTCTTAGATCACTAACATAGCATACTACTAATCCTTAAATTCCTGTTTCACACCATAAAATGGCATCTTGGTGGCCTAGACAAGTATTAAAGACTAAATGCTTACCATGTGTATGCTAGGTGTACATAAGGAATATTCAAACACAGGCCTCAAGAAGGACTGCTTATAGAGGCAAGTGACTCAACAGAACATTCCAATGAAAGTGGTAGAAAAAGCTTTAGACACACTTTTTTTTTTTTAACTTGGAAGGCCAATAATCAGTACTGATTCAAGATTGTTGTTGTTCTTTTGGACAGTGCCTATAGCTGCCTCTCTTACATGCTCCCACAGCACTGTAGGTCTCAAGTCCCTGATTGCTTATTAATGTTCCCCTGTAGACTAAAAGTTCTTTTGGAGGATTCTTCCATACTCATTTATCCAGAGTGCCTGGAATTTTTCAGACTCCCAACATTTTTCAAAACTTGGATGAATGAGTAAATGAAATAGTTTAGAGGAACACAGATGAATTCAACTGTGTCCTTTTTTGCACATCATTCTTGTTTTATAATTCTCCATTTTTCCACAATTACAATTACTCCTGGACTGACCATTCTACATTAGAAATCTGTGATACACCTACACCAAAGCTGTATGAGCTTACCTCTTTCACTTAGTTACATATTCATCGTAACTTTTATTAGGTAGCTACTGTCTTGGCACTATGCTCAGCAGCAGGCAGTTATGACTGTGATGATGTTAAGATTTAGATGTCAAGGGACATTTTATGAGAATATATAGGAGGCTTCTGGAGATATCTCCATCCTAAATAACCCCTACAACCACTACTCCAACTTCTTAGGGTATAGTAATCAAATCTGGAATAGAAGCCACAGTTCAGCCCCAATATAAGGGGCAGACAAGAACAATTGGGATAATCTAGATTCTATTTGAGGTCATAAAAAGTAATGAAATGTTTTCCATTGCCTCATTCATTCACTCATTTGTTAAATACTTACTATGTGCCAAGTAGTATTCTCCACACTGGAGATAAAAAAACAAAATCCCTGAAGTCAGGAATCTTACTTTGTGGGAAAGACTGAGAAAACAAATATATCACAATGTCAAAAACATTTTCAAGCACTGCCTCTAAATTCTGTTTTAAAATTATTATTCTTTTTTAACAGAGTCTCACTCTGTTGCCCAGGTTGGAGTGCAGTGGCTCAATCTCAGCTCACTGCAACCTCCGCCTCCCAGGCTCAAGTGAGCCCCCTACCTTAGCCTCCCAAGTAGCTGGGACTACAAGCACGCATCACTACACCTGGTTTGTTTGTTTGTTTGTTTGTTTGTTTGTTTTTAATAGAGACAGGGTCCCATTATGTTGCCCAGGCTGGTCTCAAACTCCTGAGCTCAGGTGATCCTCTTGTCTCAGCCTCTCAAAGTGCTGGGATTGCAGGTGTGAGACACTGTGCCCAGCCCCCAAAATTAATTTTTAAAATAAAATTTTCAATTTGTTCTGAAATCCTTTAAAATGTAACCAACTATGAAAATATTTTTATACAAAAAAAATTTAAAAATATTTAAAGACCCACTCTTTTTCATGTTATTTTTGTTAGTAGCAGCTTTAGTGGGGGAAATGACAATATGTGTGTAAAGGAAATCTACATTTGTTCTGTTTCATCTGCTTTGAGTTACTTTTTAAAAGTCTGGGAATTGGTGGCTGGATGTAGTGGCTCACGCCTGTAATCCCATTGCTTTAGGAGGCCAAAGTGGGAGAATCACTTGAGCCCAGGAGTTTGAGGGTACAGTAAGCTGTGTTTGTGCCACTGCACTTCAGCCTAGGTGACAGAATAAGACCCTGTCTCAAAAAAAAAAAAGTCTGGGAATTGTTTGCTCATCTTGGCTCAGAGAACCAAGATGAGCAACCAGTTATTTAAAATAATTCTTATACATTTGATGTTTCTAGTTCTGCCTCTTTTTTCCTTTGAGATCCATTACTATTAGTTATTTCACTGCTTATGGACTTGAAACATTTTAACACATTGATATAGATCCATAAATTTGCTGCCCATTTAACATGAGTTGCTTAAGATTTACATATGAGATGTTAGATTTTCTGGGGCCGCCCCCCAGCCTGCACACTTAAAACCACCATCAAAATACACACAAAACTCTACTGCCTAATTCTAGCCTCATCAATCAGAATTAGTACATCACAGTTTAATTTTCATAGATTATTAATGTAGTAGTTTCCATATGGCTGCTTACCTGCTACTTTATTTCAATCCTGTCAAATATATTTTAAGTATTTAATGAGTCGGTCTAATTTTCAAACTACAAATTTAATTTAAATAAAGCTGCAGGGACACCAGGACATGACAGCTTTGTAAGGAGTCAGTCATATTCCCAAACCATACATTTCCTGCATGTTGACTGTGGAATCTGAACACGTACTTTCTCTCTTGTAATCATACATAAACTCCATGAAGTCTTTCTTTTTGAAGTTTGAGTCTCAGGAAGATGAGAAATTACTTCAAGCAACTGAGAAGTTTCAAGCTGAATGTGCCTTAAAGTTTCCAAATCGTCAGTGCCTTACAACAGTAATTGATATAAGCGGAAAAACTGTTTTTATCACACGTTATCTCAAACCTTTAAACCCTCCTCAGGAGCTCCTTAATGTCTACCCCAATAATCTACAGGCAACTGCAGTAAGTATTTCATAGTCAATAAGTGCTGTGCTAAAACTGTTTTCACATTTCAATATATTGCCATTTTAATTACCATATTTCATAGTGCTTAAGATGTTAACTATATCGAGATCATTAATGACAAAAGTAATGATTAAAACATTTTTATTAACATGAGGTTTTCTTCCTTTAGAAAAGTCTGAAGGCAGCCAGGCAGTGGCTCATGCCTGTAATCCCAGCACTTTGGGAGGCCAAGGCGGGCAGATGACTTGAGGCCAGGAGTTTGACACTAGCCTGGCCAACATGGCGAAACCCCATCTCTACTGGAAATACAAAAATTAGCCTGGTGTGGTGGTGCATGCCTGTAGTCCCAGCTACTCGGGAGGCTGAGGCCTAAGAATAGCTTGAACCTGGGAGGCAGAGGTTTCAGTGAGCCAAAATTGTGTCATTGCACTCTAGCCTGGGTGACAGAGCAAGACTCTGTCTCAAAAAAAAAAAAAAAAAAAAAAGTCTAAAGGTACCAGGGATGACAGTTTCCATATGTTGGAAAATTAACATATGGAAAATGCTTTACACTTCCAAAATGTATTACATAAACATGTTTTCATTATGTATTCTCAATCACTTTGTTAGGATTTGAACTGATGCCTCTGACTTCAGAAGTTATACACATTCAACTGTACTAAGATAACTATCCAGTATTACGCCTAATGCTATATGCATCACTGAGTTCAAATTAAGCAAAATTTATTTCAAATATTTAAGTATTTTCAGCATTTAGACCATCATTCCAAAGTACTTCCACACTGGGCCATTAAATATGCATGCACCATTCTCTGGCTTCAGAGCACCATACCCATCACAAACTTGTGTGAATCAGAAGGCATATGTTAACCAGGCTAATTTTATGTGGATACCATAACCCATAACTGCCTTTGGAGAGTGGATAATATAGGAAGTTATTGCTACTAATAGTCACTAATATACTAATTTAGAAACAAGGTAATGATATATCTTTTTGTAGATATAGATGTATCAAAAAAAACCCCACTTTGTGTTCTACATTTCATTTGCTTTTTATATTACACAATTTTTATAGAAAACAATAATAGGGACTTCTATTCTACCTAGCATAGTAGATGTACAGAAAATTTCTCCCAGTAGAGAACACTTAAGAGTGATGAATAAAATATCTAATAAGTCATGGCTGAAATGAAAGTAAAGTGATAGGGAAAATATAAGAGACAAGAAATAAGAAAGGAAGATTCTACAATGATGAAAGCTTGAAATAGTGTTTGCTCTCAGGTCATCTGATAATTCCTAATGACTATAGCTGGGTTTCAATGACCACAAGGCTGTGGGACACAGGGATAATGCATGGGGCTACAGCAGCCTGGAAGACTGAATTAGAGACTCAAATGCAGAGTTGGGACTCTTCAGGATAATACCATCAATGGATAAACTAGGAAATGCCCTGTCTAAAGAAGGAACACTGCCTGTCTCAGTCTTGACTTTGGATGGAAGAGAAAAAAAGAAAACTTTCTAACACCTACTCTGTATTTACTCACATTTGAGACTGGAATTTATACTACCTGTATAACCCAAAAAAACTTCAACTGAAAATCTAGTTGAAAGTATTTCCTGTTGGTAATGCCCCTAGATCCCTGTTGAAAGCAAACATAAATACCACAAATATTCCTAGAAGAATGCCCTTCTAACTCAGCCTCAAAAAAATTCCACAGAAAAAAATTCCAAGAAACATGAACATACAATGAAAGATCATCAATGAAGAAGTAAATCACCATAAAGAAGGTAAGAGTTCATTCACAAAAACAACAAACTGAAGAATCAGGCCATAGTAACTCCAGACAGGAGAATTATTGGATGTAAAATATAACATAGACATGTTTAATATATTTAAGAAATTTGGGGAATTTAAAGTATAATTAAAAAACAATAGAGCATTGGAATTGACAGGCAGATTTTTTAAAGTACCAAGTGGAACTTATAACAATAAAAGATATAATAGTTAAAATTAGAAATTAAACAGGTTAAACAAAACATTGAATACAGTTAAATAAGAGGTAAATTACATACAGTTAAATATAAAGAGAATTATTGAACTAGAATACACAAGCAAAGAAATTATTTGGAATACAGCACACAGAATCTAAACCCAAATTAAGTAGAAGGGAAGAAATAATAAAAATAAGAGCAGAAATAAACAAAATAAAGACTTAAAAATGCAAAAGATCAATGCAACAAAGAGCTGATTTTTAGAAAAGATAAACAAAATCAACAAACCTTTAGCTGGAATAAGAAAAAAGAGAGATGACTTAAATAAAATCAGAAATAAAAAAGGAGACACTGCAACTGATAGCACAGAAATGCAAAGGATTATAAGAGACTTATTTGAACAATTATGAACCAAATTATAAAACTTGGAAGAAACAAATAAATTCATGAACATATACAACTTACCAAGACTGAATCATGAAGAAATATACCTGAACAGAACAATAACAAGTAATGAGATTGAAGCTGTAATGAAAAGTCTCCTACCAAAGAAAAGCCTAGGACCTGATGGTTTCACTGCTAAATTCCACCAAATGTTTAAATAAGGACTAACATCAATTCTGCTCAAACTATTCCAAAAAAAATTAAAGAAGAGGGAACTCTGTTAAAGTCATTTTATGGGCCAGCATTATCCTGATACCAAAACCAAAGGCATAACAACAATAAAACTACAGGCCTATATTCTAGGATAAACATAGCTCTAAAAATCCTCAACAAAATATTGCCAAACAAAATTCAATAATATATTAAAAAAATAATGCAACATGGTCAAGTGGGACTCATTCCAGGGATACAAGGATGGTTCAACACAGGCAAATCAATAAGTGTGATATATCACATTTACAGAATCAAGGACAAGAACCACTTGATCATTTCAACAGATGGTGAAAAAGAATTCAATGGAATTCAACATCCCTCATGATAAAAACTCAATGAATTGGGTATAGAAGGAACATATTTCAACACAATAAAGGTCATAAATGACAAACCCACAGCTAACATCATACTGAACAGTGAAAAGTTGAAAAGTTTTCCTCTAAGATCAGGAACAAGACAAGGATGCCCACTTTCTCCAACTCTATTCAACATAGTACTGAAAGTTCTAGCTAGAGCAATGAGGCAAAAGAAATAAATAAAGGGCATCCAGATTTGAAAGGAGGAAGTCAAGTTGTTCTCATCTGCAGGTGACATGATCATAAATTTAGAAAACCCTAAAGACCCCATCAAGAAACTGTTAGAACTAATAAATAAGTTTAGTAAAGTTGCAGGAAACAAAATCAACATCGAAAATTTAGTAGTGTTTCTATAAACCAATAATAAACTAGCTTAAAAAAATCAAGAAGCAATCCCATATACAATAGCTACAAAAATTTATAAGATACCTAGGGATAAACTTAACCAATGAGGTGAAAGATCTCTGCAATGAAAATTACAAACACTGGGCTCAGCGTGGTGGCTCACGCCTGTAATCCCAGCACTTTGGGAGGCCGAGGCGGGCGGATCACGAGGTCAGGAGATCTAGACCATCCTGGCTAATATGGTGTAACCCCGTCTCTACTAAAAATACAAAAAAAGTTAGCCGGGCGTGGTGGCGGGCACCTGTAGTCCCAGCTACTCGGGAGGCTGAGGCAGGAGAATGGCGTGAACCTGGGAGGTGGAGCTTGCAGTGAGCCAGGATCGTGCCACTACACTCCAGCCTGGGTGACAGAGCGAGACTCCATCTCAAAAAAAAAAAAAAGAAAAGAAAAGAAAATTACAAACACTGATGAAAGAAATTGAGGAAGGCACAAATAAATGGAAAGATATCCTGTGTTCATGGATTGGAAGAATTAATATTGTTAATATATCCATATTACCCAAAGCAATCTACAGATTCAATGCACTATCAAAATACCAAGACATTCTTCACAGAAATAGAAAAAAAAAATCTTAAAATTCATATGGAAATAAGAAAAGATCCCAAATAGCCAATGTAACCTTGAGTAAAAAGAACAAAGAACTGGAAGTATCACACTACCTGTCTTCAAAATATACTACTGTAGTAACTAAAACAGCATGGCTGTGGTCTAAAAACCCACATAGACCAATGGAAGAGGATAGCAAACCCAGAAATAAGTCCATGCATTTACAGCCAACTGATTTTTGACTAAGGCACCAAGAACACACATTGGGAAAAAGGACAGTCTGGTCAATAAATGGTGCTGGAAAAATGACATCCACAGGCAGAAAAATAAAACTAGAGCCCCCATCACTCACCATATACAAAAATCAACTCTGAAAGGATTAATGAATTAAATGTAAGAACTGAAACTATGAAACTATTAAAAGACAATACAAGGGAAGTACTTCATGAAATTTGGAGGGGATTTTTTTTAGTAAGACCTCAAAAGCACAGGCAACAAAAGCAAAAACAGACAAATGAGATTACATCAATCTAAAAAGCTTCTGCACAGCAAAGGAAACAATCAATAGAGTCAAGAGACAACCTACACAGAATAGGAGATAGTATTTGCAAGCTGTGTCTAACAAGGGGTTAAAATCTAGAATACGTAAGGAACTCAAACAACTCAATAGCAGAAAACCCCAAATAGTTTGATTTAAAAATTAGCAAAAGAGCTGAATTGGTATTTCTCAAAAGAAGACAAATGTCCAACAAACAAATGAAAAAATGTTCAACATCACTAATCATCAGAGAAATGCAAATCAAAACCATGAGACACCACCTCACTCCAGTTAAAATGGCTCTTTTCAGAAAGACAAAAAATGACAAATGCTGGCAAGGGTCTGAAGAAAGAGGAACTCTTATACACAGTTGGTAGGAATGTAAATTAATACAGCCAATATTGAAAAACAGTATAGAGGGTCCTCACAAATTAAAATCAGAACTACAATGTGATCTGGCAATCCCATTACTAGGTATATATCCAAAGGAAATGAAATCAGTATATCGAAGAAGTATCTGCACTCACACGTGTATTGCAGTGCTATTCACAATAGCCAAGATATGGAATCAAGCAAAGTACCCATCTATGGATGAATGAATAAAGAAAATGTGGTAAATATACACAATGGAATGCCAATCAACCACAAAACAGAATGAAATTCTGTCATTTGCGACAACATGGGTGAAGCTGGTGGGCATGTTAAGTGAAATAAGCCAGGACAGAAGGACAGAGACAATATGATCTCATGCATATGTGGAAACTAAAAGTTTATCTCAAAGTAGAGAGTAGAATAGTGTTTACTAGAGGCTGGGGAGGGAAGGCAGGAGTGCAGATGGAGAGAGGCTGTTCAACAGGTGCAAAGTTACAGTTAGGAAGAATGAGTTCTGGTGTTCTATTACACAGTATGATGAATACAGTTAATAATAATGTATAGTATATTTCCAGCTAACTAGAAGAGAGGATTTTGAATATTATCACCGCAAAGAAATGATAAATGTTTAAAGTGATGGATATGCCAATTACCCTGATTTCAACATTATACAATGTGTAAATGCATTGAAACCTCACTGTTTTGGTTCCCAAGTACTATTGGGAACCACATGTCTTGGTTCCCAAGTACTATTACCCTCTCAACCAGGGCTCCTTAGAGAAATGACTGCTTTCAAGACTGGGCCAAGTGAAAATGCAAGATGATTCTAGAAAGTCTTTTTATATCAGAAAGTAAAGTAGTGCGAAATGAAAGAAAATTAAAAAAGACTTGTCAAAGGGACACAGTTTCTTCATCTGTAAAGAATGGGTAATAACAATAACCTTCCATATAGGATGTTTGGTGAGGATGGAGATATTAATACAATATTTAGTGAGCATTAGTTTCATTTTGTACATGTAAATGTTTGTAATATTTGAGATTTAAGAAATGAGGTAGGGGATGCAGCATTCTGTTTTATTATAAATTATTTTTGTAAAGCTCATTTTGATTATACAGGAACTGGTGGCTCGATATGTGTCCTTGATTCCCTTCTTGCCTGACACTGTCTCATTTGGTGGTATCTGTGACCTCTGGAGCACATCTGATGTAAGTAGTTCTTCTTCACAGATTTAGAAACTTGAGCTGACTTAATGAAATATTAGCTAACTGACTTGCATAATTTTAAATTGCAACATTCATTAGCCATAAAAATCTAATTGGCTGTTTAGTAATATGAGCTAAATTTTGAAGTATTTTTTCTTCCTGGTTCAATTTTCTCAAGGTTCAGAAGTTAACAAAAAATTAATTACACAAAAAATTTAAAAGTAACACTTCAGATGTCTTAATGCTGATTTACCCTCCCAGTATTACTGTAAAACTTCTTGGTTTTGTTCATGAAAAATACCAAAATTACATTCTATATTATAATTAGAAATGATATATTCCTTAATTTGTGGGCTTTGTAAGGCATGGCAAATTATTATTTATTCAGTATGTACTTCTTGGTCACTTACCACATACCAGATGCTGTACTAAATTCTGGCTATAAATGAAATAAACATAGTCTCTGCCCTCATGGAATTTACAATCTATGTATGCTGCATAATCTCTCAAATATATCATAGGTAGTATGAAACAAGCATATATTATCACAGGTATTAATTCTACTTCTGGATCTCATGTTGTACTGCTTTTGCATAAAACTGAACTGTATTATACAACTTCCTTTGAAGTATAGCCCTAAATTGAAGAAATTTAAGTGCACTTTAAATTTTTTGTTCCCCAATACATTTTGGCAACATAAATGTTGACAATTTTAGAGATAAAATTTCTACAACTTTGAGACATCTATAAGAAGTTACTGAAAGACTAGAATTTGTGTACTCTAGAGCAGCAGTCCCCTTTTGGCATCAGGGACTAGTTTTGTAGAATACAATTTTTCCATGGATCAGTCAGAGGTGGAGTCAGGGATGGTTTCGGAATGAAACTGTTTCACCTCAGATCATCAGGCATTAGATTCTCATAAGGCCTGCACGACCTGGATTCCTTGCATGTGCAATTCATAATAGGGTTTGCACTCCTATGAGAATCTAATGCCCCCACTGATGTGACAAGAGGCAGAGCTCACGTGGTAATGCTTGTTCACCTGCTACTCACCTCCTGCTGTGCAGCCTAGTTCCTAACAGGCCACAGACTGGCACTAGTCCACAGCTGGGGGACTGGGGACCCTTGCTCTAGAGCTAGACTGGCTTTACTACTTCCTAAGTGTTACCTTATTAATCTGTACCTCAACTTGCTCATCTGTAAAATATGCAAATTGTTCTAGAATTAAGTAAGTTTAATGAAGTAATGTGCTTTAAAGATCGTTTAGCACATGAACTATATATACATTAAAAATAAAAACGAAACTTTGAAATTTTTCTCCCCGACCCTACCACAATCATAGTGAGTATTGATTCTAGAAATCCACATCATCAATGTCAGAGAAAACACCATGCCCACTAAAAGTGGTTTTTTAAAAAAATGAATTATCAACATAGTATCAAAATTTCGGGCAAGATTATAGGTCTTACACTTCAAGACACTAACCTCTACTATGACATATTAGAATCCTGCACAACCAATCCAGAATAAAGCATTGAGTCATACAACATAATTTTTTTTTCTTTTTGTCAGCAATTTCTTGATCTCCTGGCAGGGGATGAAGAAGAACATGCAGTACTATTGTGTAATTACTTTCTGTCTCTGGGTAAGAAGGCCTGGCTGTTGATGGGCAATGCTATTCCTGAGGTAAGACCACATAGGCTGCCTTTAACAGAGGAGTATAGTTGTCTAATCGAGTTGTGTGTTCCAGATCACACACAGGACATATTTTCATAACGATCCTTTGGGTTGCTAGGAAAGTGGCCCACAGATGCCGTAACGGGCAGAGAGAACTACCAGTGATAAGACATGAAATGGTTTTCAGTGGTCCTCAGGGCCCCATGCAACACTTCAGATTATTTTTTGGCAAACCCGAACCCTTTACCATCCAAAGCCCCCACCTAGCTCTGTCCTTTTAGTATGGGCCTCTTCCCAGCCATGTTCCCAAGAATTCAGATTCCCTTAATGATGTGGTAGTCTTCATGCTTTGCAATGAAGAGGATCCAAAGGAGTGTGTGTGGTAAGGTTAGAGATCTCTCCTTTCATGCCTACTGCTTCTATAGGTATCTGCTGCTAGCCTGGCATGCAAAGGGGAATAAGCCAGATAAGGAGGAATGAAAAGAACGTTAGCAGCTTTATTTTTATATTAACATTGTTATTTTTATTAGATTGGAGACTATTAGAATTTTTCCCTAGCCCACTACAAATATCCCTACATTTGTGATGCAAATAGGTAAGTTTAGAAAATTCACATACATTAGAGCAGTTTATCCAAAGAGGCCACAAGGCTCTAGGAATCCTTGGAAATTCGATAGCATGAGTTGCTGCAAGGCAGGTAATAAAGTAGTATCATATTCATATTCAAATTCATTCTCCATCATTATCTCCCAGATAGTCTGGTCCCAATAAAAGAACACTGGGCTTGGAAGTTATAAGGCTGAAGTTCAAGGTTCTGTGCCCACTCCTCATTAGCTGTGTGACACTAAGTAGGTCACTCCACAACTCTGGGTTTTATAGAAAAGTGGGATAATTTCTGCCCCGCCTTCCCCAGAAAACTGTTGTGAGCATCAAGTGAAATCATACAGGGGGAATAAATGATAACAATAATAAATAAATAATAATTTAAATAAATAATAAAAAAATTCTCATTGTAAAAATAGAACCTAACAATACGTAAGTATTCTGTGTAAAAAGTAGAAGTCCCTTGTCAGAAGATCCAGAATACCTTGACAAGGGACTTCTACTTCCCCAACCCCCAATTCCACTCCCCTCCCCAGGTACAGTCATTCTTAACTGTTTGGTACATATCCTTCCAAATCTACTATGCATTTACATAGTTACAAATGTTTATCAAATATAAATTACTATATTAGAAATAGAAATATTTCTATTCAAACATAATCAGCCTTCTATAGACTTAAATGGCAGTCTTACTGACTCTAAGAAGAAAACGCCAGTGACTGCTTATTTCCACTAATAATAGTTCTTCAGCCAATCTTAAGATATACTGGTTGAGTAAGATGATGACTGTCCTTTTTTGGTCATTGTACTAGTATCAGATGCAAGAATTTTGCAAAACTAAGCATTCGACTTTACTTTTTAAATTCAGCATAACCTAGAACTTCAAAGTAGTTTTCACCATTAACCATGAAATTTCAGAAATTAAGGGTCCAAGTAAAATAATGAATTGTCTGTGCAAACTACTATTGGCCTTCACTGCATAAATAGTTGAAAACTAGTTTTAATGGCCATCTTCTTTCAGGGTCCAACTGCCTATGTGCTAACTTGGGAGCAAGGTCGTTATTTAATATGGAATCCCTGCAGTGGACATTTTTATGGACAATTTGATACATTCTGTCCCTTGAAAAATGTGGGCTGTTTAATAGGTCCTGACAATGTAAGTATTAACATTTCTTCTTAAATATGGTTAGCTGTCGTTTCTTTTAAATAACTGACCTATTGATTTAAATATTTTATGTAACCAAAATATTTATATAAATGAATATATATATATATACACACATATATATATACCAGTTAAAAGAAATGCAGTGTCAAGCACAGTGGCGGAACTGTGCTAAATACAACTTTTGGTTCAATTAGTCACCTGACCTGCCCGAGAAGCAGAATGACAAAGCAGAATAACAAAGGAATACAGGATTTAGATTCAGAGGACCTGAGTTTGTGTCCTGGGTCTGTCCTTAGTTTTCTCATCCAAAATAGAGTTTACAATTTCTAATTCGTAGTGTTTTAAGAACTGAGGCAAATTTGTCACCTGAACAGATTGGGTTTCTCTGTCTCTTTCTCTCTTTCTTTTTTCAAAGGAGATTCCCAGGTCTCACCTGGCCTGCAATATCCCCAGGTAATTCTAGTTGCGCCAGTTTTGAGGGCTGCATGATTTTATTGTGAAGGGTACTAAATAAAGTAGTGGTTAAAAATATAAGTTATAGAGCTGGGCGCTGTGGCTCATGCCTGTAATCCCAGCACTTTGGGAGGCCAAGGTGGGTGGGTCACCTAAGGTCAGGAGTTCGAGACCAGCCTGGCCAACATGGCGAAACCCCGTCTCTACTGAAAATACAAAAATTAGCTGGGCATGATGGTGTGACTCTGTAATCCCAGCTACTTGGGAGGCTGAGGCAGGAGAATTGCTTGAACCCAGGAGGCAGAGGTTGCAACGAGCTGAGATGGAGCCACTGCATTCCATCCTGGGCAACAGAGCAAGACTCCATCTCAAAGAAAAATGAGTTATGCGATCAGACTGCCTCAGTTTAAACTCCAATTTTATCATTTACTAGTTGTGTGGGCTTGGGAAAGTCAATCTCTCACAGCTTCAGCTTCTTCGCTGGTAAAATGGAGGTAACAGTAAAGTCACTACTTTATAGAATAGTTGTGAGAAGTGAATGAGATTATTAATGTTAAGCACCTAACAGAGTAACAACTCTTTAATTATTTTTTTAATTATTATTTTTCTTTTGAGATAGTTTCGCTCTGTCGCCTAGGCTGGAGTCCAGTGGTGCCATCTCAGCTCACTGCAATCTCCACATCCTGCGTTCATGCGATTCTCCTACCTCAGCCTCCCAAGTAGCTGGGATCACAGGCACGTGCCACCTTGCCTGGCTAATTTAGTAAGAGATGAGGTCTCACCATATTGACTAGGCTCATCTCCAACTCCTGGCCTCAAGTGATCCACCTGCCTTAGCCTCCCAAAGTGCTGGGATTACAGGCGCGAGCCACCACACCCAGCAAATTATTGAATGATTGTTTTTATGTGCTTCTGTCTATAAAAACTGTTTGCACATGCATCCCCAACATGCATATTTTTATGAATTATATATATTTTCGTATCAATATACCAAAAACTACTTTAAACATGAAATCTATTTTTTTTCTTCCCATCCTCCTGGGGTATGGACCCTTCTCTGAAGACCATCAGTCTATTTTTTTTTTTTTTTTTGAGACGGACTTTCACTCTTGTTGCCCAGGCTGGAGTGCAACGGAGCGATCTCGGCTCAACGCAACCTCCGTCTCTCGGGTTCAAGCAATTCTCCTGCCTCAGCCTTCTGAGTAGCTGGGATTACAGGCATGCACCACCACACCCAGCTAATTTTGTATTTTTAGTAGAGACGGGGTTTCTCCATGTTGGTCAGGCTGGTCTTGAGCTCCCGACCTCAGGTGATCTGCCCGCCTCAGCCTCCCAAAGTGCTGGGATTACAGGCGTGAGCCACCGTGCCCAGCCCCATCAACCTATTTTTTTTAAGCATTACTGCTAAAATTAGAGATAATATATGCCAAGCACGCAGCAAAATATCTGTCCTTCATGTGTTCAGCAAATAGCAACTACAGCACTATTAATTACATATGTAAAGAGCACTGTGGAACACCATTCTCATGTTAATTATTATTTTTAATAAAAGTCATTATAATGAAAAGTGATCTGCTAAGCCTCATCTACATTTAGAGGATCATTTTAAGGTCATTAGTAATCAAGCAGGGTTAACAGGCACTGAAAAAGCCTTCAAATAACTCTGTTATCTGTCAAAATTATTACCAGCTCTCAAAACAATTACTATATGGTTGACTAATTCTCATAATGCCAAGGTTTTGTGAGGAAGAAAGAACATTCTTTTCTCCTCTTCTCTGAGATGGGTAATAGTAGCTTATGATGTTGTGCATCCCCCATTGTAGCTCTTCTAAACCTGCTCTAAGCCTTGGCCACTCAGCAGAGGACCTCCTCCTGGCTTTGTTGTCCTGGCACTCTGAAACCTCAACTGCCCTCTACTCCACCACACAACTTCTTTGGATGTCAGTCTTTTTCCTCCTGTCATTCCTTTTCCAAGGAATAAGTCTCTTCCCTTTCCACTGTGCTTGTTTCCATTCCCATTCCATGCTCCACTATTCCATCCAACTAGCTCCTCTATTTTTTCTCTCTCCTCCTCTATCTATTGATACGCTCAGGGGTCCAACAATTCTAAAATACCCTTTTCCCAACCTGGCTATACACCTAAAACTACATTGCCTTTCTTCCCTTTCCTCCCCAAGTTCTTCAAATACTAGTTATATCTCTTGCTTTCACTTTATAAGCACACTCAGACCTTAACCTACTGTAATCTAGCTCTTCCTTCCTGACCATACTGCAGAAATTAAACTCTGAGAAGCACCATTGTCTTGCTAATGAATAAATAAATCCAATGGCTGCTTCTCATTTTCACTCCTCTCCTTTTCTGTCATTTAACATAAAAATCACAACTAATGTTCTTCATGAAAAAACACTTTCCCCCTCCGTAGTTTACTGATAAAGGACAGTTTGCTCTTCATTACTCTGCAGTTGTTTCTTATGTTTCTTTCAATGGCTCTTCTTCCCACCCCTTAAAAATAGAAGTTCCTCAAGATTCTATATTTAGATTCTTCTAGGACCACACCTATTATTATTAATTGTGGCTCTATCTAGTTTATCCTGGTAGAGAAGTGATAAATCTGTAACCAGCCCCAGAACCTTTGTCTTGAATTTTCAGCTGTTTGCTAGACACCCAGGTGCCTTATCAAAATCTCACACAGCACATGCAAAACTCAAATCATTTTCCCCAAAACCAGCTCCCCTTCCTGGCTTCCTATTTCTATCAATATCACTTATCCTGATTCAAACCCTCGAATTATTCTTGATTTTCCCTCTCCCTTACTTCATTCTACTTCAATCCTAATTATAGAGGCCAAATCATACAGATGCTATCTCTGCTATTTCCCAGGTCATGCCATTATTGTTTTGCCCTACATTTCTATAAATAACTAACTAAATAGTATCCCCAATTAAGTTCACTTTTTGATACACGGATACCTGATTAAGCTTTCATCACTTTCTGGCTCAGAAAGTACGAGGGGAACTTCACTGCATACAGATTTAAGAGTAAACTTTCCACCTTGGATCTCAAAGCCCTATGTATGCAGTGCAATTTCCCACTACTTTTCTGAACATTCCCTACTCTATAGCCAAATTGTAGTTCTTAAAGATCTTGTCTTGAGCCAATTTTCTGATTTGGATTCCAAGTCAAGGCCTCCTACCTTACTGGCTTCTACTTCTCTATATCCTTTGCTACTTTTTCTGTATTCTCCAAATTTGAAACATTAGAGATCCTCAAAGTTCATCAAACCTCTTTTCTACCTATAATTCCTCCCAGGGAATACCACATATATGCCGATGATTCCCAAGTTTATATCTCCAGCTCACCTAGCTCCCCAGAACTTCAGACTCAAATATCCAATCACCGACTCAACATCCTCATTTGGATGTGAGAGAGACATCTCAAACTTAAGATGCCCAAACTCCTGATTCCCCTTTGCAGTCTTTCCCATCTCAATAAATGTCAATTTCATCAGTCGGTTTTTTGGCCAAAATCCTTGGAGTCATCTGTGATTCCTCTCTCTCCTATATCCAAACCAAATCCTACTGGTTCCACCTTCACAGTATACCCAGCGTCCAACCACATCTCTCCACTTTTACTGCTAGCATGTTCGTTCAAGTCACTGTAGCTCTCACCCAGATTATTCAAAACAAGTGTCCTAACTGAAGGTTTCACCATTTAACCCTACCTTCTTTTGTCTAGTCTCAAAACAGCACAGAAAATTCCTGTTAAAAGGCAAATTGTCACTCCTCTACCCAAATACTCCAGTGACTTCCTATCTCACTTAAGAGTCAAAGCCTAAATCTTCATAATGGCCTACGGGACCTCCATGATCTGATACCCACCCTACCCACCTCTCTCCCCCTTCCTCTGATAATGTCACCTCTTACTTGCTCTCTCCAGCTTGCTCACTCTTTAAAACTACTTCATATTCCTTGCTGTTCCTCAAACATAACAAAGCACACTTTACATTTGTTGTTTCCTAGGCATAAATGACCACTGCCCCCTTACTGGATATCATCATAGATTTCTCCCTCACTTCTTGCATTTCTGATGAAAAGTGATTTTTCCAGTTAGAACTTCCCTGCCTGCCTTAAAATGCTCCATTTTTGTTTTCTCCACAGCCCTTGCACAATTAACTACTGCCACAATAAAGACAGTAAAAACCCACCCCCAAACTAAATGGCTTCAAACATTTATTCTCAGGGATCTGAGTCAGCTGGGGAGGTTCTGCTAATTGAGGCTGGGCAACTCTGCTGCAAGTTGTGGTAGCAAGACAAGCTCTGCTTCTCACAGTAGATCTGTGGGTCAACTGGGAGAGCTCAGCTTCAGGTGTGTTTATTCTGGGATGCAGTGCAATGACAATGGCAGAGGTACAAAAGGACAAGCAGAAGCACACAAAGCCTCTTAAGGGTAGGCTCAGAAGCCATACACTGACTTCTGTCCCAGTCTACTGGCCAAAAGTCAAGGAGTGCAAAAGTGTATTTTTTCTCTTTTAGTGGGAGGAACTGCAAAGTAACACGAGAAAGGGTATGCATATAGAAAGGAGTGCAGAATTGGGGCTAATGATACAATTTACCACATCATGCAACATCATCTGTTATCCCATGTGTCTACTTGGTTTTTGTTGTTGTTGTTGCTTTAAACAGGAACTTGCTGTCATCCAGGCTGGAGTGCAGTGGTGTGACCACAGTTCACTGGAGCCTTGAAATACTGGGCTGAAGCAGTCCTCCCACCTCAGCCTCTCAAGCATCTAGGACTATAGGAACACACCACCACGCCTGGCTACTTCTCAAAAAAAAAAAAATTTTTTTTTAAGAGATGGGGGGTCTCACTATGCTGTCCAGACTGGTCTTGAACCCCTGGCCTCAAGTGATCCTCCCGCTTTGGCCTCCCAAACTGCTGGGATTATGAGTGTGAGCCTGCCTGTTTACTTATTTGTTTGCTATCTTTTCTTATTAGATACTCTGTAAGGGTAGAAAATCTGTTTCATTCACTGCTTTATCCCCAGTAATTAGAACTGAGCCTCAACATAGTAGGTAGCTGATTAAATATACTGAATGGACAAATTCATGTATATAGTTACTCAGTATGACTACTGTATGCCAGGAGCTATGCTAGGTGCTAAAGATACAATGGTAAATAAGGCACATAGTGAATGTCCTCAGGACAAAAGTCTAACAGCCTAATGTGGACACGAATAGACAGGCAATTATAAACAATGCTAACTAATAATAATTTTAAAATAGCTAACAATTATTGAGCACTTACTACATACCAGGCATTTTTCTAAGAGGTACAGATTAATTAACTCACTGAATCAACTCAACCTTGAGGTAGATACTATTTATTATCCCACTGTTAAACAGAAGGAAACCGAGGCATACAGAAGTTACATTAATCATCCAAGGTCACACAAATAGTAAATGTTGGAGCCAAAATTAAAACACAAGTGGTCTGGTTCCAGAACCAACATGCTACGCTGCCTCACCAACACAAGGGCTATCTCAGAGAATGCGCATTGCTGTGGATGCAGAGATGAATGGACACTCAATTCAATTAGGAGGCTGGGAAGAGAAAGGTCAGGAAAGACTAGCCTAAGAAAGAAGTGGCCTTGGTTTTTATAACAAAAAACAACCTCACTTTTTATCAAATCTACAGTCAACACTAAGGTACACCCCCAACTTCAGATAAAAAATGTGAAAAAATGGCCAATGACAACTCTATGATGCCACTGATTGTAAAATACACACAATTTTTATAATCAAAAAATGACAAAATGTATGCGGCCTATATGAACACTTGCTGTCTCTCTGCTGCCTCTATGCCACACATACATCCATGCACACATACATGTGCATGTATACATGCTAACATATATGCTAATGTAGTCTTGTCTTTCTTAGATTTGGTTTAATATTCAACGATATGAATCTCCACTAAGGATAAATTTTGATGTCACCAGGCCCAAGCTATGGAAATCTTTCTTTTCAAGAAGCCTTCCATATCCTGGCCTTTCCAGTGTTCAGGTATAAATCTTTTATTAACAGTTAAATGTAGACAAAGTAAAAGATAGGAAATTATACTGGGTTACAAGATATTTTTTACCCCTGGGTAGTCTAGAACAGTATTTGTTTATCAAACGCATCTGAGCTCAACTCACAACAAGAAACAGATATATACGTTTACATATATGTGAAAGGACCAGTATACACATCTTACACACATGTGGAAGAAAAAGTTTTGATATAAAGTTTCATGACATAAAAAGTACCACAAAATGTATTCCATCTAAATTTTTTAAATGCTCATCTCAATTCACTAAATAGATTTCATAACTTTTAATGAAACATCAAGTTAAATTGCAGGGTATGATCCACTAGGGGCTCATAAAATTAACTTACAGGGTCCTGACCAGTAGTAGATTGTAAGTAGTAAGCATAAGCAGTTTACTAAAAGTTTTGTTTCATTTGATAGATATATGTATGTGTGTACTAGGTTTGTAATGAAATGTATTTTATACTCCGGATCTACCTTTCAGAAAAAGCTTTGAAGAACATTACCCTAGAGAAATTCTCCCATATGTGTATAAGGTGATATATACAAGATTTTTAGTAGGAGCATTGCTTGAAATAGCATAAGAGTTGGAATGACAGAAGAGAAAAATTATGTAACACGATGGAATATTTTACAGTAGTTAATCAGCATTAATGAATCTTAGTAAGCCCTCTAAAAATATGTTTGTTGCTGCCACTAAATATAAAGTTAAGGGAGAAAGCACAAGTTGCATGTTCATAAAACAATTACGTAAAGTTTAGAAAACATGTGAAACAATAAAATGTTGTTTAGGGGTACATGTATCTGTAATAAAATCATAAACACATTGTGTTAATGAAGACAGGAATTTTTTTTCATAGCCAAATCCCTATCCCTCTCACCTATGAAAGTGCCTAGCACACAGCAGGCAATCAGTACTTGTTGAATGAAGGGGTGTTAAAACAAATTCAGGTCATGGTTACTTCTGTGGTAAGAGAGAAGAAAAATGAAATTGGGAAAGAACTATATTATGATGTTTTACTTTTGGTGGGTCATGGGTACATCAGCATGCATTATATTATTTTCTATATCTCGATGTCTGAGATTTCATTGATTTTTAAGATTTTTAAAAGGATGTTCAAATTAACTGTAGGTGATTTTTATACTTTCTGAACTATTTTCTCTTCTATAGCCTGAAGAGCTAATTTACCAGCGCTCAGACAAAGCAGCTGCAGCTGAGCTACAAGACAGGTAACATAACATCCATAAATCCACATGTAATCTGTCACTAGGAGTATAATACCAAACTTTAAACCACTGTCAGCCTGGATGAATGTGAAACAATTTAGGCAACTTAACTTTAATTCATGTTTATAGATTCCAAATACAGATGTGATCTCTAAATCCCATGGCTCAAAAGGAGCCTTTAGCATCAGCATGCTGTGGAACCAACCAGAGTGGAACACCAGTAATACGTACTTCTACAGGGACTTCACCTTGGATTGGAGTTTAACATCATGTTATAGGTGTTGTTGAGGCACATCATAAATCTCAGCTTAAATATACCTCTTCTGTCCTATTGAACTGCAGCTAGTTTATGGACCTAACACATGGAGAAGATCAGTAAGAGCCTGTATGAGTCTCTGTAATTCTCATAACCCTGTAAAAATAGAACTTATTCTCCTGGTTTCACAATGTGAAAACTGAGGCTCAGAGAGGTCCACATACTTGTTTAAGTGTTAAAGGGGGCTTCTGAGCCCAGCCCAACCTTTCTGATTTCAAGACATGTGTACTATTTCTACTGTATTAAGCTGTGTGACCCCTCTTGAGGCATTATTACTAGAAAATATCGGTTTACACTCATTTACTCTCAATTTCTCCATAATGCCTTATTCAAGATCCCCAACTAGAACAACTAATCTCCAAACAACCTTTTTGTTTTTTTCTGATAGCTTCAACATGCTATCGATTGGACCCAAGTCATTTATTTCTCCAATATTAAAATGCCTGACAATTCGTCCATACTTTCGTGCGCAGACCATCTTGAAATCCAAAACAAAGATGTGCTAAGCACCAAAAAAGAAATGATCCCTATGACTACTGAACAATGAGAAGCTAGCTAGGTCTCTAAACCCATGCATTTAGTTAGGCAATGTACAAGAGGCTTTAGAATCAGCAGGGTTTCAATTTGAATCCAAGCTCCTTTGCCTTAGTCAAATCACTTATCCTACCTCAAACTGTCCCCTCATCTGTAAAATCAGGACAATATCCCCTACCTCGTAAGGTTATTATTGAGATTAAATAAACATCTACAAAAAGCACTTAGCGCAGTATCTGGTAAATAATGGCCCAATAAATAGTAGCTATCTTCCTTCATTCCATGCTTAAACTTCACACCCTATGAACCCAATACCTGTACTTATCACAAACAGTTTCAATGATGTTGGTATTTTAAAGGCAGTTTTAAGGCAATTTAGAAAAAAATTAATCATCATGGATAGAATTCACTATTCATGATGTGAATAAATCACGAGGCACTAAGAGCTCCACAAATATTTGAGGCTTTCAACATAAGCCCTACTTCTTACGCCTGTGTCTAATTCATCTGTCTGTATATATACTACCAATGAGTATAGTCATAACATTTCAAAAAAACATTTCATGGCCAAGCGCAGTGACTCACACTTGTAATCTCAACACTTTGGGAGGCCAAGGCAGGCGGATCACTTGAGCCCAAGAATTTGAGACCAGCCTGGGCAACATAGCAAGACCTTGTCTCTATAAAAAAGAAAAAAAAATTAGCCAGACATAATGGCATGCACCTGTGGTCCCAGCTACCAAAGAGGCTGAGGTGGGAGGTTCACTTGAGCCCGAGAGTTGAGGATGCAGTGAGCTGTGATTGTACCACTTCAATCCAGCCTGGGCAACAGAGCAAGATCCTGCCTTTAAAAAAAATTAGTAATAATAAACTTTTGCTGCATGTATTGAATTCAGCTATCCCCAAGTCATTCAGTACTCCCTCTTCTGTGTTACATTTCAAGCATCTGTTATAGCTCTTAGGATACACATACTTTCTATTTATAGGACTATTTCCCATCTCAACTCATATACAACCCTTAAGGACAGGACTGCATGTTAATTTTGAATCCCCAGGGAGTAGCCCATTATTAGACATTAACTATGCCTGGATAATCACAACTCCATCAACAAAAATATAGTTATACAATCATCTGAATCCCCACTACATACTACATACATTTTTTAACAAGGGAAAAGTGAGTCACCAAAAAATGGAATTTATGTTTTGTGAACAGGATTGAAAAAATACTAAAAGAAAAAATCATGGACTGGAGGCCACGCCATCTGACTCGGTGGAATAGGTATTGTACCTCTACTCTGCGTCACTTCTTGCCTCTGTTAGAAAAAAGTCAAGGAGAAGATGTAGAAGATGACCACAGAGCAGAACTGCTAAAACAGCTGGGAGACTACAGGGTAAGTTACAAATGGATCCTAAACTGACTGTGGATTTCCTTGTTTCAAATTGGAAATTAGCCAATAATAGGTTTCTGGAATCAAAAGACCCACGTTGCTCCCAGAAGTACATATTTAAAGCAGCATAAACTAAAAACTGTGATCATAAGTTTTAAACCTCAATAATCATGAAATAGCAAAATACCACCATTTTTCATATAAGTATCCCATGAAAAATACCTTTTATGAAATACATTTACGTATCAAAAAAATGAAAACATCTGGCTAAATCATGTTAGACACAACTGTGCATAAGGATCAAAACACTCTAGAGCAGTTTTTTTAAGGATATGGTTTTATACTGATTGCTTTTCATTGCTAAGAAAGGTGGTTATTAATAGACGATATACCCTCTTTACTGCCTGCTGCTATGTTCACATGCTATAGCTGGATAATAAAACCTACAAAGCAGGCTCGTAACTAAAACTTAACAGTAAGCCTTACTAGCTAAACAGTGTGAAGGTCAAATTAGATCACTCACTGAGTAAAATTTATCCTTTAACTTATAAGGCAGGTTCTCAGCCAGGATATTTTCAGTTCAAGTGTCAGAAAACTCAAAAAGGCTTGAGCAATAGAGAATCTACTGGCTTAAGTAAAGCTTAGAGGGTAGCTATCAGGGCTGTCCCACTCTTTTGCAAGTCCTCCCATTCTGCCCTCCTCTTCCGTATGATGGCATCATCCTGAGACTGGGTTTCCTCATGGAAGCAAATGCTGGAACACTTACAGAATTCACATCTGCGCACATACTACCCAAAGCAGGAGAACATCACGTGCCATTATTCCTAACAAGTTTCCCAAGATTCCCTCTGAGACTCCCTTTGATCACTTGCCCATCCCCGTGGATCAATCATTGTAGCCAAGGGGACGAAAATTATTGTCGGGCGCTATGGCTCACACCTGTAACCCCAGCACTTTGGGAGGCTGAGGCAGCGGATCGCTTGAGCCCTGGAGTTCAAGATCAGCCTTGGCAGCATGGCAAAACTCCATCTCTACAAAAAATACAAAAAGTAGCCAGGATGGTGGCACTTGCCTGCAGTCCCAGCTACTCAGGAGGCTAAAGTGGGGGGACCATTTGAGCCCAGCAGGAGGCCGAGGCTGCAGTGGTGAGCCATGATCATGCCACTGCAGTCTAGCATGGACAACAGTCAGACCTGTCTCAAAAAAAAAAAAAAAAAAGAAAAAAGAAATGTATTTGTTAGTTTAACCTATGTATCTGGAATTACAATGGTTACGATGCATACTAGGTACTTTCAAAAAGAGGGAACAGTGATGGAGTGACTAACAGGTGGCTTATACACCTATATGCAAGGAAAACAAAATGGATATTAAGCAGCTCTCGATTTTCTGTATTGCTAATAAAAAGCTGAGTAGAAAAACACAAGCAAATAACTGAGATCCAGAACACTTATCTTAATTGCATACATTTACGTAGGAAAAAATGTATTAAATCTTCAAACTTCACTAATGACTACAAATGTTTTTTCCCTTCAGTTCTCTGGATTTCCTCTTCACATGCCTTATTCTGAAGTGAAGCCTTTAATTGACGCTGTGTATAGTACTGGAGTACATAATATTGATGTTCCTAATGTTGAATTTGCTTTAGCTGTATACATACACCCATACCCCAAAAATGTTTTGTCTGTTTGGATCTATGTTGCCTCTCTTATACGCAACAGGTAATTTTTTTCACTGTACTTTCTGTATCATGTAAAAACTACACTTAGGATATGAGAAAATTTTAAATTATATGCATCACATCAGAAGAACATATTATTGGCAAATAATAAAATTATCAACTGTTTTCAAACTGTGCAAAGTGTTCTATTTAGCAGTCTGCCTTGTGTCTGCTACTTGACCCTGAAATTCAATTGAGACTACCCACAGTACGATATATTATGAGCTTCCTGCCTCTATTCCTTTGTACTTACTTACCTTTTGCTTGGGCAAATATTAACAGCAATGGAATGAAAGTGAGAGAAACTTAACAAGTTTTACCTTAGAGCAAGGTAAAGCTTTAAAGAGAGCATCATTAGAGCCTTTAGAGTTCCTCCTCCTTTGCTGTGTTTAATTCAAATATTAGTTGAAATAAAAAGCAGTAGTGAGTTATATTCCATCAAATGATTCTTCATCTTTAGAAAACACTAAGACAATTTGCCTGAACTGAATGTTTACCAGTTTTTATTGCTACTCCTCCTCCTCTCTCCAAATAAACAAAACAAATAAATATCCAAGACTGCAAGATTACTTCATCTTCCACAGGTTTGCATGTACAGGCATACCTCGGAGATAGTGTGCACTTGGTTCCAGACCATTGCAATAAAGTGAATACTGCAATAAAATGAGTCACACCAATTTTTTTGGTTTCCCAGTGCAAAGTTATGTTTACACTGTATTATAGTGTATTAAGCGTGCAAAAGCATTATCTCAAAAATGTACATACCTTTAATTTAAAAATACTTTATTGTTCAAAAGTGCTAATGATCATCTGAGCCTGCAGTAAGTTGTAATTTTTTGCTGATGGAGGGTCTTGCCTCGATGTTGCTGGCTGATTAGCAACTGGTGGTTGCTGATGGTTGGGGTGGCTGTGAGAATTTCTTAAAATAAGACAACAATGAAGTTTGTTGCATTGACTGACTCTTCCTTTCATGAAAGATTTCTCTGTAGCATGAAATGCTGATAGCATCTTACCCACAGAATCTCTTTCAAAACTGGAATTAATCTTCTCAAACTCTGCCACTGCTTTATCAATTAAGTTTATGTAATATTCTAAATCCTTTGTTGTCATTTGACAAATGTTCACAGCATCTTCGCCAGGAGTAGAGTCCATCTCAATAAACTTTTTTGAGACAGGGTCTTGCTCTGTCGTCCAGGCGGAGTGCAGTGGTGTGATTATGGTTCACTGCAGCCTCAACCTCCTAGGCTCAAGCAATCCTCACACCTCAGTCTCTCAAGTAGCTGGGACTACAGGTACACGCCACCACACTCAGCTAATCTTTTATTTTTTGTAGAGACAGGGTCTCACTATGTTGTCTAGGCTGGTCTTGAGCTCCTGGACACAAGCAATCTTCCTGCCTCCGCCTCCCAAAGTGCCGGGATTACAAGAGTGAGCCACCGCGCCCGACCAAGAAACAAATATTCTTTGCTCATCCATAAGAAGCAACTCTATATCCATTCAAGTTTTATCATGAGGTTGCAGCAGTTCAGTCAGATCTTCAGGCTCTATTTCTAATTCTGGTTCTATTTTCACCACATCTGCAGTGACTTCCTCCACTAAAGTCTGGAACCCTACAAAGACATCCATTGAGAGTTGGAATCAACTTCATCCAATCTCTTGTTAATGCTGATATTCTGACCTCCTCCAATGAATCACGAATATTCTTAATGGCACCTGGAATGGTGAATCCTTCTAATTGAATCCTTTCCAGAATATTTTCAATTTACTTTGCCCTGATCCATCAGAGGAATCACTATCTATGGCAACTATAGCCATACAAAATGTATTTCTTAATAAGACTTGAAAGTCAGAATTATTCCTTGATCCATGGAGTAATTCTGCATGGAGCTGCAGAATAGATGTTAACAGGCATAAAAACATTAATCTCCTTGTACATCTCCACCAGAGCTCTTGGGTGACCAGGAGCCTTGTCAATAAGCAGTAACGTTTTGAAAGAAATTTTTTGAGCAGGTCTCAACAGTGGGCCTAAAATATTCAGCAAACCATGCTGTACACAGATATACTATCATACTGACTTTGTTGTTCCATTTACAGAGCACAGAGTAGACTTAGCAATAATTCTTAAGGGCCTTAGGTTTTTCAGAATGGCAAATGAGCATTCTCTTCAACATAGTCACTAGCTGCATCAATCTCTAACATTAAGAGTCCGCCTGCCCTTTTAAGCCAGGCATTGATTTCTCCTCTCTAGCTATTAAAGATTTAGATGGCATCTTCTTCCAATAGAAGGCTGTTTTGTCTACACACTGAAAATCTGATATTTAATGTAGCCACTTTCAAATCAATGACCTTAGCTAGATCTTCTGAATAACTTGCTGCAGCTTCTATATTAGCACTTGCTACCTCACCTTCTATTTTTATGTTATAGAGAAGGTTTCTTTCCTTAAACCTCATGAATCAACCCCTGCTAGCTTCAACCTTTTCTGAAGCTTCCTCACTTCTCTCAGCCTTCATGTAATTGAAGAGAGTTAGGGTCTTACTCTGAATTAGGCTTTGGCTTAAGGGAATTTTATGGCTAGTTTCATTTATCCAGACCACTAAAACTTTCTCCATATCAGTAATAAAGCTGTTTCACTTTCTTATCATTGGGTGTTCACTGGAGTAGCACTTTTAATTTCCTTCAAGAACTTTCCTGTTGCATTCACAACTTTGCTGTATGGCACAAGAAGCGTAGATTTGGGCCTAAGTTTTCGACATGCCTTGCTCACTAAGCCTAATCATTTCTAGCTTTTCACTTAAAGTGAGAGACATGACTCTTCCTTTCACTTCAACACTTAAAGTCCACTGCAAGGTTATAAGCTGGGGCCTAATTTCAATATTGTTGTGTCTCTAGGAAGAGGGAGGTCTGAGGAGGAGAGAGACAGGAACCACTGGTCAGTGGAGCAATCAGAACATACATAATATTTATCAATTAAGTTCTCTGTCTTATTAGGGCACAGTTCATGGCATTCCAAAGCAATTACAATAGTAACAACAATCACTGGCCACAGATCACCACAACAGATTTAATAATAGTGAAAAACTATGAAATACTCCAAGAATTATCACAATATACGAGACATGAAAGGAGAAGTTTTATTGGAAACATGGCACCAATAGACTGGCTCAACGCAGAGTTGCCATAAACCTTCCATTTGTAAAAAATGCATTATTTGCAAAGTGCAATAAAGCAAAACGCAATAAGATGACATATGCCTGTATCTGTATCAATAGGAGGAACATTGCCATTTTCTTCTACATGACATAAAATTGTACTAAAAGGCACTAGTATGTGCCTTTCTGGGTGGCAGGCCTCCACTCTCATGATGTTTTAACAAAGCAAAGTAGATATACTTACGGATTCAAATTTTGACTACTGAATAACTCATTTCAAAAAGAAAATTCAGCTCAATAAAATTCAGTATCTGTCTAAAACTATTTGTCAGGGTAATAAGTTCATGGGAGGTCCAAAGACAAAGTATGTAGTCCTATTCTATACTAAAGTAAACCTGGATTGAGATTTATAATAAAAATCACAACACAACAGTATTACTTGGTAAAGTCCTCAAAGTAGATTTTATTTATACATTTCTTCAAATGATTGTGGTATTTTAAAAAATCTCTCCCAAATTTGATGACATAGGGACAGTGGTGAGAACAAAGTATCCCTAAAGGAAACAAATATCGATTGGTGCTTTCCTAGCTCACTGAGCTAACACTCAGAAGCCAATTTATTCTATAATCCTAAAGAACCTTAAATGTGGGTTTGTTTGAATTGGCCTTCTGAGAATCATTGAAATAAAGGAAATATTACGGAAAAGAGATTAGTTTCCAAAAATGTGCTGTCTTTGAAAATAAGTCTTCAGACATGTGTGTCGGAAAAGATCTGCAAAGCTTGGTACAGTGTTAATGTGTAAAGAGAACCAATCACCTCCATGGACTTTAAAACTCAAAATTATCTATGAAATACTTTAAATGACATGGCATTACCAACATTCTTTAAAGCATTTCATTTAAAAGAAAAATGTAAGACTGTTCTCACCCTTTTGAAAAGACCTAATCCCTTTCTAAACCAAAAGTATAATTTGCAAGAGAAACAACATTACAATTCACTGGTAAATTAAGATTTCTGAAGTTGTAAGAAATGGGGCCAAAACAAGTCACGCTCAAAAAGGGATGGTTAACACAAGAAATGTGCTATGAGTAAAGTGCATGAAAGAAAGCCTGCTCAGCTAAATGAAGTAGACAAAGATCAGAAGTCAAGGGTCATTCGCCAGAGCGGCAGCAGGCTCGAAAACCACACTGCAAATTCTGGCATCCACTGGCGGTATCAGCATGAGGACCTGTATGAAAACAGAAAAATGTGAAAGGAGGAATTTCTTAGAGATCACATAAAAATAATTTTGCTTATGAAGGAGTTAAACATTCATTGGTTTTACTAGCAGTACTTATATGATAGAAGTAAATCTCATGATAAGTGTATAAGAAATTATTCAGACACAAAACTCAATAGCAGCTTGACTTTAATTAATATATCCTTCATGGTCCAAAAGGTAAGTGGAAGAAGGGAAAAAAATAATTTTTAGCAACAACTTACAATATAAAAATCCAAAATGGAAATGAGACAATCCACAGAAGCAAGATTGCCAAGCTAACTTATAAAAAGATTCTTATAATCTGAACATCCTCCCTAGAAATGTAATAAAGGCAAAAAACAGCCCTAACTATAATCGATCAGCTAAAGAAGTCAGTATTGAGCAATTACAATAAATATTATCTTCAAATTTTAAAGCAAAATAAACTATATAGACAAAGATTTAATATATTTGCCATATTTTTATTTAGTATTTGTAGCCAAAAATATCTATATATGGTAGGGTTAGATGAAATTATTTTCCAAAATTAAATATATAATGAGTGATCAATTAAACTGTAGCCATAGTAAAAATTATCATTCACTTACAAAGAATAAAAAAAAATCTGTGGAATAACTGACATTTTATCCCAGTCACACTATGCTACCCAGGCACTAGATACAAGACCCATTAGGGAACATAGCTGAGAATTAGAAAATATCAAAGAAGAAGTTTCACAGCACATATTCAAATGTCAAGTACTCTGAATGAATGATATTTTCATAAAAGCAGGCAAATGTGGAAAAGATTGTTTCAACTATATTGAAGTCTTTCATTATGTCTATACCATGAACAAATAAGGAGTAGTTAATTTGTTCTTTACATATCAACAAGAACAACCAAAATACTTGCAATTGTGATATAAGGAACAATACAAAATGAAAACTGTACATGAAATATAATTTTACTGCAGAATATATCAAATGGATTGTAACTGAAAAATCACAGTACTCTGGGGTGATATCTAGCTTAACTCAAAAACACATTTTAAATTTACTTTTTATTTTCTAAAACAGCACTCGGCTGCAACAACAACAACAAAAAAGCAAGTAAGCTAATACTACCATAACAATTACTTCCAACTAAACACATAGAACACATTAATTTCCAGAAATTTAACTTTTCCTTATATTCCCCAAATGGCACATACAAAATACAAAGGGCAAATTTCTTAAGACATACAGTCTTAGGAAAGAAACTAATAAACATTACGCAAATATGTGGAACTACAACAGCTTATGCTTTCAGTCATATTAATTTTTAAGTTGATATGACACCTGTGATTAGCTTAATGGCGGAGTAGATATGGGAATGAGCAATGGTATAGATGAAAGGAGACTGCCCACAGGTTTATAACTGCTGAAGCTGATGGTACATGAGGATTCGTTGTATTATTCGATGTTAAATTTTTCCATAACAGGAAGTTTAAAATTATTTTAAATATAAAGTTGAATTACTAAAGCCAATTTTTATTTAATCAAAATAACAATCTTTTCTGGTCTTTAAATGAGAAGTTAAATATGTTAAATATTTAAAATTCACAAAGCAGCATTTTGTTAAAATTATTTTCCCTTAAAATAAGAAACAATGTTAATCATCTTAATCACAAACTCAAGATAAAATGTTTTAGTATATATTGAATACTTATTAAAAATGCCCTGAGAAGCAACCCTATGATCTGAAATTCTTCTCCCACTGCCAATCTTTAACCAAGTTTTTCCTTTGAATATAATGCCAGCTTTACCCACTGTGCACCACCCAATCCCCATTATTCCCCTTCTTAGCTTGTCTTTCCTCACCCCTTACACTGCCCACTGTTTTGTCTACCAATCACCTAGTGCCTCTCCTCAAGACACAAGCCCTGCCTCACTGCCATTCTCCTGCTCTGACCCTTAGGTCCATCATGAAATGCCAGATTCACTGGGTTTTGCCAAAATGGATCTGATTATCATTTTATCAGATTAAAATTCCATTCTAAATTTTTTTAAAGAAATAAGAAGAGACATGAAGACTCTATACAATTTTTCCAAACTGCAACTCCCTCAAATATTTCAAAATGTCTATACCATTAAGTCCTCACTTAACATCGATAGGTTCTTAGAAACTGCGACTCTAAGCAAAATAACGTATAACAAAGGTAGTTGTTTTGTTTGCATCATTATAATGAAATGACACTATTTGAGGACTTCCTGTATGTTTTCTTTAAAGTCAGTTTCCAAAAACATACCACCGACACGGAGGACTTACTATAGTCCTATTTTTTTAAAAGGACAGAAAGGTAAGGGAGAAATATTATGCTAAATTTCAACAGTAGCCTAAGAAAAATATGCCATATCTGGAAGCAATGGAAGTGAAGTATGCAATTGGTTTTCAAAGGATAAAGTAAAAGGGAGACTCAAAGGAGCAAACAGATCAAAAAAGCTATTCTCCTAGAGATTCAGATCTAACCTGACATGACACAGTTTTTCACCACCCTCCCCAAAAGATGTAGGGTCCACATGCTCAGTTTCCACCCTAGCTACCTGGGTCATTATGCTCCTGAAGTCTAAGGGATGGTGGCAGAGATAATGGGGGAAGAAAAATGTAGAAATAAAAGTTTTTACCCTGTATTAGGTAAAAAGCACAAACCTACTGTCAGCATCTCCTTATTTATCACAAAACAAAGTTCCTGCCTATATTCATATAAAATGTGTCTACTCAGTGAGTAGACACATTTTATATGAATATAGGCAAGAACTCTGAATACATTTTAAGTTCACCAGAATTGAGTTTCAGTGAGATTCTAAGTATACAGAGTGAAGAGAGAGAATATATTGTTTTCAAATTTGAAAGCAGAATCTGTTTAAAGAAGGCTATATGAACTTAATCAGTAACTATAGTATTAAATGACTCAAAACTACAATCCTATGATAAGGTAAATAATAAGAGTAGTTACTGGTATTTGATCCCAATAATCATGAAAGTGACAGCACCCATTAAAGGATCTGCTGAAGGCCTGAGCCAAAACAAAAATGAAGACAAGCACTGTTTTAAACTCAGTATCACATTGTAGAAAACAGGAGACTAACACCTTCCAAAGCATGGAAAGTATAAGCAACATTAACAATAAAATCCTTAAGTAACACAGAAGGACTGTTCAGAGAAGTGAATAAATGGACAACAGAATAAATGGACAACAGAAAAGGTGAGGGAAAACTAGAAAGAAATATGACTAAGATATGATGGATTGCCAGGTAGACAGCTATGCTTTAACAGACGAAGATAATTCACAAGGTAGTTCCCTTTAAATATTTGACTTATCACCAGCAAACTTCCATCTCGATGTAGGACACAGAACCCAAATGGTTAAGATATATAAAGCCTAAATTACATTAAGGAATAATAAAGAAAATAGAAAAATATAATTGAATAATCATTAAAATATTTAAATGCGTGGTAAAGAATAATCTTATAAGAAAGCATTTTTAAGTATCAGATGATAGGAAGTATAAGGTTAGCTATTATTTCTCCAGACTTTTATTATTGAATAACTTGTTTTTACTGAGTTCTAAGTATATTACTTATGCTGTATATCTGCACTTACCTTCACTTACCTTTAATTCCTCTTTAACTTAAATTAGAAACATAAAAGAGCACATCATCTGAGACTGTGTCACCTCCAAAACTATGAGCTAATCTATCTTAATTTATAAATTATACATACATTGAAATGCAAATCAGTAAAAAAGTTTATTTGCTATCATTGCTCAAATGTTCTTCACAGCTCTACAACTATGCTATTCCATTTAACACTTCTTAAATGTTAAAGAAATTTTTTAATGTTATGGCTAAGAAGACTTTTCAAATCTTATCAAATAAATTTAAAAGTCATAAAGAATCATTCAGAAGAATCTAGACTTGCATTTTATATCAAGACACTTTATGTACAGTGTCTTGCACTGTACTGGGCACTGTTTGAATATATGATAACTAACTTATTATCTCCAAAATCTCTGCTAATGCTTGGAAAATAGATCATTCTGCTTTACTTATCATGTATTACTTAATGACTAATGTTTATCAGTATTAACTTCTTTTACATTTAGTAACCTGATAGTTAACTATATATGTTTTCTTTTAAAAAATATATTTTTAGCTAAACGTCACTTTCAAATATTTGAAATATAATTTGTCACCTAAATACACTTCTCCATTGCTCTAATACCACGTATTAAAACACACTACTTTCAGAAATAATAAAAATAGTAACAAGGATGCCCCTGAGCATTCACTAGATATCTACTGTACAAGCTGAGCTGTTTTGAAAGATACTGGAACAAGTGTCATCTTGCAAAACTGGATACAACACAACTTCTTTCTAACACTTTCTAGGTTGTCCACATATCCTTTTAAGGAAAAGACTATGAGAGAGCATTGCTTTAAGAACAACCTATGTGGAACTCAGACACAAGTTATTTAACAAGTCACCCTGTAAATTTTAAAGGCTTTCCATTCCCCCAAATCATGCTTCAATAAGCTATAAAAGGAGAGTTAATATTGGATTATACAAGCACTGAAATTTCCTTTCAAATCTTTCAAAGTCAGATATCTTCATCACAATTCATTTATTTTAAAAAATCAATCATTTATCCAAAAAAACTTTTACATTCAACAAAAGGAATATAATAGCTCCTCTGAAACTATATATTCAAAACAAGTTTAGAGGAAATGCATAAGGACAAAGTGCAAAAGATTTTAATTATTTCATTTTATCCCATCATCTAAATTATTTCAAAGTTTAAAAACATACAAACATAAAACAAGTAAGCATAAAAACAAACTGAAACCCAGTCCCCTCCCTCTACCCAATAACATCTATGAATCCAAAAATAAATATAATGAATTCAATAGTGAGATTTATTCCAAAGCATAACCTATGCTGAAATCAATATGAAAAATTCAAATGCAACATACAAATAAAATTTTTTCTGATAAAAAACAATTGCTTATTAATTACTCTTGATAATATGTCCTATAAGCCTTAGGAAGTGGAAGTATAGCACTAAACCTACAATAAAATAACTTTATGTTAACAAAACTCCGTTCTCAAATCCACAGCATCCACAAAAGTAACAGCTTCACTGCATCAATCAAACTTTGTTTTCATAGGCTTAGCATGTTGCAACTACAATGACATTCACTTTCACCAACTACGATGACATTCACTTTCACCAACTATGATGACATTCACTTTGGCCATTCCTTGATTATACACAGAAGGCAACAGAAAACAAAGAAATGTCCAACTTAGTGCTGATATATCAAGAACATGGGAGGTCATCTCCTGCATAACAATGTGATTCCTGAAATAAGAGAGCTACCATCTCCAGTTTCCTCTTATATATTTTAAGGAAAACCTAATCTCGAGAAATAGCAGTTTTCTCCATTTTGCGGTATGTCATTACTCCCTCTGGTCTTCCTGACTCCTGTCAATTGTTCTGCCTGAGAAAAATTTTGTTGATTTTCCTGTCATCTTAAGGTGAACTGGGCACTCAAAGACAATAGGGCGCAGTATAAAAAGACAGGTACATAGTAGTCTGAGCCATCTAAAATTTTCTCCAGTTATAAATACAGGAGGTTGATTTGCTTACTAATAACAGAAGAGCAGCTTTTTATGCTTCTGGGAAATTCAGTCTCTACCAGTGACTATCAAATGTGCAAAAAGGCACTGAACATACTTTGAAAAAGCATGTTCAATAAGACCACTGTAGGGTAGAATATGTTTAAAAGAACAAAATCAAGAAGTATTTCTTGTGATTTTTGAAAGTAGGTTCAGGAATCAATTTCCAAAATACTACAGGAATTCTAGTCATGTCTAAAGCATCTCAGACTCTTCTCAATACTACATACTGTCCTCTCCCCTCAATCTTTGCTAAGAGTTGTCATCAGATCCAGAAACTCTGGAAGTCCACATTACCAAAGTCCTCATTTTTCTACATTTGATAAAGCTGTCTTACAAGAAATAAGACTCTATTATCCCTAAGAAATCAGTGTATCTAGAACATAAATAGTTCTAAATTCTTAATGAGTGCTACAAAACTCTAGAGGAATACCTAAAACTTTTAACAAGAATTTTAGTATTTCTATTAACTTACCATTTTTGATTACACTATTACATCCCTCAAAAATCTGACACAATGGATATTTAGAATATACATCTGCAAGAAAAACTTACCTTTCAAGATGTTAATTAATGAAAATGTAATTTTAAAATTTTATCAAATTTAACTAAATCTGAAAGTAAGATAGTCTGGGAATTAGAAATCTAGAAAACTAAATGGAAAAATTATTAGAACTGCTAAAAAAAATTTTAAATTAATTCCTTCAAAATTATCGCACTGTTAAAAGGCATTACCGTTAATGTTGTCACAGTAGTAAAAGTATTCATCATTCAGAGAAGGACATGCTGAAACCAAATCCTGCAGGCCTGCACCAGTTATAGTAAGACAACCAGAGAGATTAAGGTGCTCCAAATAAGGCAGCCCTCCTCCCAGAGTCAAAACCCTGTAAGAAAAATAATTTGACAATTAGAAGATACTAATCTATAAAAATGTTTGTATTCCTATGGTTCACTGAACCACTATTTTACATACTTTTCAATATGGTAATGAGAAAATTTAAGAATTTCTGTAAAACACTGATAACTAACCTCATCCTTAGGCAGAAATACATTTAACTCAGAAAATGTTCAACATTTTTCCTAACAACATTCAATAAAGAAATCTATAAAACTGTTCTTTATAAGAACATCATGGTAACTCAATTCTTAGAGGAAGTACTGAACCCTGGAGTTGTAATGTTCATTCTCCTACCCAACTGTATTAGTAAGTAAAAATTATCAAGAAAATTACTGAAGCTTAAAACCTAATAAGCAGTTGGGCAGTTTCTAAAAAAAAAATTATAGATACACCTAGCATATGATCCAGCAATTCCTGTCCCAGGTATATACCCAAGAGAATTAAAACCATGTTTACACAAAAACTTGCACATGAATGTTCATAGTAGCATTATTCATAACAGTTAGAAAGTAGAAACAACTCAAATGTCCATTAACTAATAAATGGATAAATAAAATGTGGTACATCCATACAATTAAATATTCTGCAGCCACAAAGTACTGACACATAGTATAACATGCATAAACCTTGAACACATAAACCTAATTTTAAAAAGCCAGATACTAAAGGCCACATATTGAATGATTCCATTAATATTATCATTCCAGAAGAGGTAAATCCACAGAGACACCAAGTCGATTCATGGTTATCAGAGGCTGGGGAAAGGGGGAGTGAGAAGTGACTGCTAATAAGTATGGGGTTCTTTTTGGGATGATGAAAATGTTTTGAATTAGTCTGTGGTGGATGGTTGAACAACCCTGTAAATATACTAAAAATCACTGAATTAATCGTATACTTTTAAAAAGCAGTAAATTTTATGGTATGTTAATTACATTTCAATAAAAAATAAAACCTAATGGCACACCCTAGAAGAATAAAAGCAGTATTTACATAAATAGGATAAAATTAAAAGGTGGCTCCTTGTATTTGGATGTTTAAATCTCTAGGAAGGCCAGAGAAGTTTTCCTTGATTATTCCCTCAAATAATATGTTTTCCAAACTTTTAGAATTCTCTTCTTCCTTGGGAACACCAATTATTCTTAGATTTGGTCATTTAACATAATCTCAAACTTCTTGGAAGCTTTGTTCATTTTATTTTATTTTTTATTCTTTTTTCTTTGTTGGGTTGGGTTAATTTGAAAGCCTTGTCTTCAAGCTCTGAAGTTCTTTCTTTTGTTTGTTCAATTCTATTGTCAAGACTTTCCAGTGTATTTTGCATTTCTCTAAGTGTGTCCTTCATTTCCAGAAGCTGAGATTGTTTTTTATTTATGCTATAAATTTCTCTGGGGATTTTCCCATCCATATCTTATAACTTTTGTTTTTTTTTTTATTTCTTTAAGTTTCTATTCACCTTTCTCTGGTGCCTCTTCCAGTAGCTTAGTAATTGACCTTCTGATTTCCTCTTTCCGGCAATTGAGAGATTTCTTCTTCATTTGGATCCACTGCTGGTGAGCTAGTGTGTTCCTTTGGGAGTGTTAAACAACCTTGTTTTGTCATATAACCAGAATTGTTTTTCTGGTTCCTTCTCATTGGGGTAGACTATGTCAGAGGGAAGATCTAGCTCAAGGGCTGTTATTCAGATTCTCTTGTCCCACAAGCATGTTCCCTTGATGTGATGCTCTCCCCACTTCCCCTAGGGATGGGGCTTCCTGAGAGCCAAACTGCTGTAATTGTTCTTTTCTGGGTCTAGCCACCCAGCAGAGCTACTGGACTCCAGGCTGGTACTGGGCAATGTCTGTGATGAGTCCTGTGATGGGATCTGTCTTCAGGTCTCTCAGCCATGGGTACCAGCACCTGCTCCAGTGGAGATAGGAGGGGAGTGAAGTGGACTCTGTGAGGGTCCTTGTTTGTGGTTTTCTTTAGTGTGCTGGTTGGCCTCCAGCCAGGAGGTGCCACTTTCAAGAAAGCATCAGCTGCAGTAGTATAGGGAGGGTACAAGTTTGCCCTGGGGTCACCTGGGTAAGTATTCAGGTTTCTCAGGCAGTGGGCAGGGCCATAGAGCTCCCAAGAGATTATGTCCTTGGTCTTTGGCTACCAGGGTGGGTAAAGACCATTAGGTGAGGGCAGGGTTATTCATGTCTGAGCTCAGACTGTCCTTGGGCAGGGCTTGCTGCGGCTGCTGTGGGGGATTAAGGTATGGTTCCCAGGCCAGTGGAGTTATATTCCCAGGGGTATGGGTGGAGTTATGTTCCCACAGGTATTATTGAGAGGTGACAGCACGCTGGCAGTCCTCACAGCCCTCGCTTGCTCTCAGCACCTCCTCTGCCTGGGCCCCCACTTTGGCGGCATTTGAGGAGCCCTTCAGCCCACCACTGCACTGTGGGAGCCCCTTTCTGGGCTGGCCAAGGCTAGAGCCCACTCCCTCAGCTTGCAGGGAGGTGTAGAGGGACAGGCGCAAGTGGGAACCGGGGCTGCGTGCGGCGCTTGCGGGCCAGCTGGAGTTCCGGGTGGGCGTGGGCTTGGCGGGCCCCGCACTCAGAGCAGCCGGCCAGCCCTGCCGGCCCTGGGCAATGAGGGACTTAGCACCCGGGCCAGTGGCTGCGGAGGGTGTACTGGGTCCCCCAGCAGTGCCAGCCCACCGGCACCGCGCTCGATTTCTCACCGAGCCTTAGCTGCCTTCCTGCGGGGCAGGGCTCGGGACCTGCAGCCTGCCATGCCTGAGCCTCCCACCCACTCCATGGGCTCCTGTGCCGCCCCAGCCTCCCCAACGAGCACTACCCCCTGCTCCACGGCACCCAGTCCCATCAACCACCCAAGGGCTGAGGAGTGCAAGCACACGGCGCGGGACTGGCAGGCAGCTCCACATGCAACCCCGGTGTGGGATCCACTGGGTGAAGCCAGCTGGGCTCCTGAGTCTGGTGGGGACGTGGAGAGTCTTTATGTCTAGCTCAGGGATTGTAAACACACCAATCAGCACCCTGTGTTTAGCTCAAGGTTTGTGAGTGCACCAGTCGACACTCTGTATCTAGCTGCTCTGGTGGGGCCTTGGAGAACCTTTATGTCTAGCTCAGGGATTGTAAATACACCAATCGGCACTCTGTATCTAGCTCAAGGTTTGTAAACACACCAATCAGCACCCTGTGTTTAGCTCAAGGTTTGTGAATGCACCAATCGACACTCTGTATCTAGCTGCTCTGGTGGGGCCTTGGAGAACCTGTGTGACGAAACTCTGTATCTAACTAACCTGATGGGGACGTGGAGAACCTTTGTATCTAGCTCAGGGATTGTAAACGCACCAATCAGCGCCCTGACAAAAAAGGCCACTTGGCTCTACCAATCAGCAGGATGTGGGTGGGGCCAGATAAGAGAATAAAAAGCAGGCTGCCCAAGCCAGCATTGGCAACCCGCTCAGGTCCCCTTCCACACTGTGGAAGCTTTGTTCTTTCGCTCTTTGCAATAAATCTTGCTACTGCTCATTCTTTGGGTCCACGCTGCTTTTATGAGCTGTAACACTCACCGCGAAGATCTGCAGCTTCACTCCTGAGCCCAGCGAGACCACGAGGCCACCGGGAGGAATGAACAACTCCAGACGCGCTGCCTTAAGAGCTGTAACACTCACCGCGAAGGTCTGCAGCTTCACTCCTGAGCCAGCGAGACCACAAACCCACCAGATGCAAGAAACTCCGAACACATCTGAACATCAGGAGGGACAGACTCCAGACGCGCCACCTTAAGAGCTGTAACACTCACCGCGAGGGTCCGCGGCTTCATTCTTGAAGTCAGTGAGACCAAGAACCCACCAATTCCGGACACATTATGGCTGCCTCTGCTCTGTCATACAGGTCACCCGGGAAGTGGGGGAAAGCTGGCAGTGACAGGCCTCACCCAGTTCCCACACAGCCCAAAAGGCAGGTCTCACCCCCAACAGCACCATGCCCCCTCAACCAGGCAACTGGTGAGCAGGGCTAAGATCTTGCCCAGACTACAAGCCTCCCCACTGAGAAAGCAAGCAGGGCTTTCAAGTTTCATGCCTGCCCATCTGCCATGGCTTCTGTGCTCGTATCTGAACTCCCCTTTCATCCCTTCCCTCAGATTCTGTCCAGGAAACATCCCATTCAATTGAAACTGTTACAACAAAGTTCAGCTGGACGTTTCCTTCTCCCTATGGTCTTTCCCCAATTCCAGTGACAGCCCTCCCCAAGGACCTCTGCAAGAAAAAGTCAGAAATGACTTCCCTGGGGACCAAGAATGCCCACAGGGATCTCCCCACTGCTTCCTCTACCCCTGTATTTTGCCCGGCTCTCTAAATTCATCTCAGCTCCAGGTAAGCTCAAATCCTTCTCCCGTTATCTAGACCTTCAGGTTCCCCAGTGAGGATGTTGTGTTCAGAGGCAGACATTTCCCTGTCACACTTTGGGCACTCAGTTTTTCAGCTGTCTCACAGAGCCTGCAGTGGCAAGCTGCCTCTTTCCCAAGATGGCTATTGTTAAAAAGTCAAAAAAACAACAGATGCTGGCGAGGTTGTGGAGAAAAAGCAATGTTTTTACACTGTTGGGAGTGTAAATTAGTTCAACCATTGTGGAGGACAGTATAGCAATTTCTCAAAGACCAAGAAGCAGCAATTCAACCCAGCAATCCCATTACTAGGTATATAACCAAAGGACTATAAATCATTCTATTATAAAGACATATGCATGCCTATTTTTATTTCAGCACTATTCACAATAGCAAAGACATGGACTCAACCTAAATACCCATAAGTCATAGAATGGATAAAGAAAATGTGGTACAAGGCCGGGCACAGTGGCTCATGCCTGTAATCCCAGCACTTCGGGAGGCCGAGGCAGGTGGACTGCCTGAGCTCAGGAGTTCTGGACCAGACTGGGCAACACGGTGAAACTCCATCTCTACTAAAAATACAAAAAAAAAAATTAACCAGGTATGGCGGCATGAGCCTGTAGTCCCAGCTACTCTGGAGGCTAAGACAGGAGAATCACCTGAACCTGTGAGGTGGAGGTTGCAGTGAGCCAAGATCGCACCACTGTACTCCAGCCCAACAGAGTGAGACTCCATGTCTCAAAAAAAAAAAAAAAAAGAAAGAAAACGTGGTACATATACACCATGAAATACTATGCAGCCATAAAAAGGAACAAGATCATGTACTTTCCAGGGACATGGGTGGAGCTGGAACTAACAAACTAGCAAACTGGTAAACCATCCTTAGCAAACTAACACAGGAACAGAAAACCAAATACCGCATGTTCTCACTTATAAGTGGCAGCTAAACGATCAGAACACATGTACACATGGAAGGAAACAACACATACTGGAGCCTGTCAAATGGCGGTGGGTGGGAGTAAGGAGAGGATCAGGAAGAATAGCTAGTAAATGCTGGGATTAATACGTGAGTGATGGGATGCTCTGTGCAGCAAACCACCATGGCACACGTTTACCTACGTAACAAACCTGCACATCTCACACAGATACCCTGAACTTAAAAGTTGGAAGTTAAAAGAAAAAAAAGGAATTAGAAAAAGGAAACATGGACTAAATCCAAAGTAGCAGGAGGGGAAACAATAAAGATGAGAGCAAAAATTTTTTAAACGACAAATACAAAACTAATGAAGAAAAACAAAACCAGAAGTTTGTTCTCTGAGAATTTCAATAAAATTGGCAAAGCTTTAGCTAGATTAAGAAAAAAAGAGAAGACACAAATTACCAAAGTCAGAAATGAAACAGAGGATATTACCACTAATTTTATAGAAATAAAGATCATAAGAAGCCAGCATGGTGGTGCATGCCTGTATTCCCAACTACACTTTAAGAGGCTGAGGTGGGAGGATTGCTTATACCTAGGAGTCTGAAGGCAGCCTGGGCAACACAATGAGACTAAATATAATAATGATGAAAATAATTAAAAGATCATACTCTCATAATCCAGAAACTCAAGAAATACCCAAACTGATCAAGAAGAAACAGAAAATCTGAATTGACTTATAAGAAGATGAATCAAAACCCTCTCAACAAAGAGACCAAAACAAAATAGTTTCACTGATAAATTTTACTAAACATTTAAAAAAGAATTAACATTGGCTGGGCGCAGTGGCTCACGCCTGCAATTCCAGCACTTTGGGAGGCCAAGGCAGGTGGATCACCTAAAGGTCAGGAGTTCAAGACCAGCCTAGCCAACATGGTGAAACCCCGTCTCCACTAAAAATACAAAAATTAGCTGGGCGTGGTGGCACGTGCCTGTAATCCCAGCTACTTGGGAGGGTGAGACAGGAAAATCGCTAGAGCCCAGGAGGCGGAGGTTACAGTTGAGCCAAGATTGTGCCATTGCACTCTGGACGACAGAGCAAGACTCCGTCTCTAAAAAAAAGAAGAATTAACATCAACCTTTCTCAAGCTCTGCCAAAAGAGGGCTGGGTGTGGTGGCTCATGCCTGTAATCCCAGCACTTTGGGAGTGCTTGAGCCCAGGAGTTTGAGACCAGCCTAAGCAACATGGTGAAACCCCATCACTACCAAAAATACAAAAATTACCTGGGCATGGTAGCACACGCCTGTGGTCCCAGCTACTTGTAGTGGTGGGGCAGGGGGGTGCTGAGGTAAGAGGATCACTAGGAAATTGAGGCTGCAGTGAGCCATAATAGCACCACTGCATTCCCAACTGGGTGACAGAGTGAGACCCTGTCTCAAAAAAAAACCTCTTCCCAAACACGTACAAGAAGGACAAATATAAAATTCATTCTATGAAACCAGTATTATCAAAGCCAAAAACACAACAAGAAAATTACAGGCCAATGTCCCTTATGAATACAGATGCAAAATTCCTCAGCTAATACCAGTAAACTGAGTTCAGTAGCATATTAAAAGGACTACACACCCTGACCAAGTGGGTTTTTATCAACTTTCAGTATATGAAAATCAACCAACAAATCACACATTAATAAAGGAAAAAAATGATCATCTCAACTGATTGAGAAAAAAACGTGACAAAACCCAATATTCTTTAAACTAGAAATAGACAGGAACTTCTTCAACTTGATAAAGGCCATATACATGAAAAACTCACAGCTAACATCATATTCAGTGGTGAAAGATACAAGCTTTTCCCTTAAGATTAGAACAAGGTAAAAATGTACACTATTATCACCTCTAATTATCACAGTACTAGAAGTTTTAGCCAGAGCAATTAGACAAGAAAAAGAAATAAATGACATCCAAATTGAAAAGGAATGTCAAGGTGGCACATGCCTGTAATCCCAGCTAGTCAGCAGGCTTAGGTGGGAGGATCCTTTGAGCTCGGGAGTTTGAGTTGAGCCTCAGCAACAAGTAAGACCCAGTTCCCCCCACCCTCCCAAAAAAGTAAAAGGAGTAAGTAAAATTATCTCTATTTACAGATGATAAGATCTTCTATACAGAAAACCCTAAAACCTGTTAGAACTACATAAACTCAGCAGGCCAAGTACACATGCCAATAGTCCCAGCTACTAGGGTGGCTGAGGCAAGAGGATCACCTGAGCTTAGGAGTCTAAGGCTGCAGCGAGCTATGATCATGTCACTGCACTCCAGCTTGGACAACAGAGCAAGACCCTGTCTCAAAAAAGAACAAAAAGAAAATTCAGAAAGATAAAGAGTCGACACACACAACACTCAGTTGCATTTCTATACATCAACAATTAACAATCTGAAAAATAAATTTTAAAAAATCCCATTTAGAATAGCATCAAAGAAAATAAAATATTAAGAAATTAACCATAGAGGTAAAGGACTTGGATACCAAAAACTACAAAAGACTACTGAAAGAAATTAAAAAAGATCTAAACAAATGGAAAGATATCCCACATTCATGGGTTAAAAGACTTAATACTGTTGTCAATTTTACCCAAAGGGATCTACACATTTAATGCAATCCCTATCAAAATCTCAATGGCATTCTTTGCAGAAATAGAAAAAACCGACCCTAAAATTCTGATGGAATCTCAAGGAACCCCAGATACTAAATAACCTTGAAAAGGAAAAACAAAGTTGGAAAACTCACACCTCTTGATTTCAAAACCTACAACAAAACTACAATAATCAAAACAGTGTTGCCACTTCTGTTTAACATAATGCTGGAAATTCTAGTCAGAATAATTAGACAAGAAAAATAAAAGGTCTATTGTTGGGAGCAAGCCCCCCAAAATCTGGCCATAAACTGGCCCCAAAACTGGCCATAAACAAAATCTCTGCAGCACTGTGACATGTTCATGATGGCCATAACGCCCAAGCTGGAAGGTCGGGGGTTTACGGGAATGAGGGCAAAGAACACCTGGCCCGCCCAGGGCGGAAAACCACTTAAAGGTATTCTTAAGCCACAAACAATTGCATGAGCGATTTATGCCTTAAGGGCATGTTCCTGCTGCAGTTAACTAGCCCAATCTATTTCTTTAAGTTGGCCCATCCCTTCGTTTTCCATAAGGGATACTTTTAGTTAATCTAGTATCTATAGAAACAATGCTAATGACTGGCTTGCTGTTAATAAATACTTTGGTAAATGTCTGTTCAGGACTCTCAGCTCTGAAGGCTGTGAGACCCCTGATTTCCCACTTCACACCTCTATATTTCTGTGTGTGTGTCTTTAATTCCTCTAGCGCCACTGGGTTAGGGTCTCCCCGACCGAGCTGGTCTCGGCAGTCTATTTTGGAAAATCAGAAATTAAATTATCTGTCTGTAGATGGCACGACCTTATATGTAGAAAACCCTAATGAATTCACAAAAAAAATGTTAGAACTAATAAATTTAGCTGAATAGTAGGATACAAAATCAACATGCAAAACTCAGTTATACTTCTATATACTAGCAATGAACAATTTGAAAAGTTTAAGAAATAAAATTGTATTTACAATAGCATCAAAATGTGTAATATTTAAGAATAAATTTAACCAAGGACTTGTACACTGAATTAAACAAGAAATGGAAACAAGAATTCAAGTAAATATTTATATGCCAACATTCATAGCAGCATTATTCACAATAGCCAAAAGGTGGAAACAACCTCAGTGTTCATCAACAGATGGATAAACATAATGTGGTATATAAAAAGGAATGACGTTCTGATACATGCTACGATGTGAATAAACCTTGAAACACACTAAGTGAAATAAGCTAGATACAAAAGGACAAGTATTGTATGATTCCACTTATATGAGGGGCCCAAAGAAAGTTAAAAATTTAGATAAGAGGCTATTTTTAATTAACAGCCAAGATTTATTTTCATTCCTATGAAAGCCAGAAAATAATGTATTAAGACCACAAATGGCCCTATCTGTTCCCTATGGTTTCAAACTAACTAAAACCTTATCAATTTAACATTCTCCAGTCAATGCTCCTTCTTTTGAGACAGGGTCTGGCTTTGTTACCCTGGCTGGAGTGCAATAGTGCCATCTCAGCTCACTGCAACCTCTACCTCCAGGGCTCAAGTCATCCTCCCACCTCAGCTTCCTGAGTAGCTGGAACTACAGGTGCATGCCACCATGCCTAACTGATTTTTGTTTTTCTTTTCGGTAAAGATGTAATTTTGCCATGTTGCCCGGGCTGGTCTTGAACTCCTGGGCTCAAGTGATCCTACTGCGTTGGCCTCCCAAAGTGCTGGGATTACAGGTGTAAGCCATCACACCCAGCCTCAATGCTCTTTTAACAAGCTCCACATTACCAACTTGTCAAAACTCATGCTACTCATCCTGAATAAACATAATGACTAAAGCAGGATACACTGAATGCTCCCAACTGGTATACCTGAACATTTCTATTCCTATAAATTAAGTTGTATGTTTACATGAGTTGTATTTTTTCCTCAAACCTACTGACACAAGTTGTACTTACTGTAACTGGTTGACTGAAACACTTTTTAAACCGATACAATGAATGCAAAAAGAGTTGCTTCTAAAAATTAAATTTTTATTTTCTATTTCCTCAGTCTCTCAGGAAATGTACACAGAATGCCCTAATTTTATCTCTCTCTCTACTCAAATGATGCCTGTTTCTTTTCAAAGAAGCCTTTCCTGGTTCATTCAATATGAAGTGGCATTCTCTGTATTCTTAAGTAAAGTACCCATACTTTACTTTTCTTCAGAACATTCAGTCTGATACTATGTTTTCTGTCTATTTCTACCATTAGATTACAAACTGCATGAAGGCAGAGAATTGTCTTAGTTACTCTAGACCTCTAGCAATTAGAACAGTGCAAGAAATGTAGTAGGTGCTCAATGAAAATTTAAATGTTTAGAAAGAATCCTTCAAGATAAGGTTTAATTAAAATGAGGGAATCTGCACTCAGACAAGACTTTTTCAATTAGCCACAGATAAGACAGATCCTACGTGTTCCCTTGTTCCCAAAATGAATTTTTCCTTCAATTCAAACGCAAACTTTCTTTTCAAGAATACCTCACATGCAAGCTCTTCACTACTACTCAGGAAAACCCTAAAGAATAAGTGCAACTTATTTCCAATCCCAACAGCAGTAAATTATCCACTTTGTTCTAAGGTTGATAATATCAGAATTTGTTAATGAAGTGCCAAAAATCATACCCTAAAATAACAACTAAAAACCTTTTCTCTGCTTTTCTTCAAATTTCTCTTAAGAAATTAACTCTCTGCCTTTTCAGGAAGTGGGGAGGGAAACTCTTTGGTATTCAAACAAAACGTTACAATTCTGCTTTTAAATAAAGTGTGCTCCCTTCTAGTGTTTTCCAAAACCTTATACTAGAAGAGTTTCTAAATACTTTGAAAGCAAAAAAAACAAAATTTTGATTCATCAAAATTTTGACTGCCCTTGAAATCAATTTTTAATTATATAAAATTTTAGTAAGTTCTGGGTTTTTTAAAACATCCTAAAAAACTAAAAGATAAGGAAACTGCCACATGGTCAGAAGTCATTGCGGCTCTGAAAGGTCACATGTATTACTTCATTCTTTGAAAAAAACACAAAAACTGGTCATACTGAAAATGCAAACTGAATAGAGCTATAAATAAATTTCAATAAGGTATGACAGTAATAAAAAAATGACAATGAAAAATGAATTACGAGGTTTTAAATTGAACTAAAAATTGCTTTTACTTTCTAAAATCAAGTTGCATTCAAAAACAAAATCATATTACAGTTAGGAATACAGACATGTAATAAAAATTTTTTAAAGAATAAAACTCAGAATAAAGTTATCTTTGCTTATGTTCTTAAACTATAACATATGCCCTTGGATTTGAGAAAACAGAAAATTAATGAAATGATTCACAGCAGCCAAACCACAGTTATACCAGTTACCTCGGGGAAAACACTTTTGGTTACTGTATATGACTTATGAAAAAATTTTACAATAGTTTTTTTTTTTTTTGAGACGGAATTTCGCTCTGTCGCCCAGGTTGGAGTGCAGCAGCATGATCTCGGCTCACTGCAAGCTCCGTCTCCCGGGTTCACACCATTCTCCTGCCTCAGCCTCCAGAGTAGCTGGGACTACAGGTGCCCGCCACCGTGCCCGGCTAATTTTTTTTTTATTTTTAGTAGAGATGGGGTTTCACCATGTTAGCCAGGACGGTCTCAATCTCCTGACCTCGTGATCCACCAGCCTTGGCCTCCCAAAGTGCTGGGATTACAGACGTGAGCCACCGCACCCGGCCTGTAATAATTTCATATTAAGTATCTTTTCTAATGGTAGGGAGTATTAAGTTTTATGCTGGAAGAATTCTTCATTATAAAATATCTGACATCCCATTATCAAAGAAAAGCATGTATCCAATTTCCAAAGGCTCATGTCAAAGATAATCGATTACTGCACATCAGTTTCCACTTATTGAAAATCTATTGTGTATCATTGTTAGATGCCTTATATATATTCCTCTTACATAAGCCTCAAAGTATAAGGTTAAGTATTTTGCACAAAGCCAGTCATACAGAAAAAAGCAAAATCAATCTACATCAAGTCTGCCATGCTCCCAAGTCAGTGCACCATGGTATTTTCTCCAACAGTGCATACTCGTAACCTAACAAATCTTGAGGTGGGTCCTATAAAACATATAGAACCTAGCTGCTGAAAAGAGCTACCTGTCTGGGCTGACACATGTGTCACCTTCAGCCCTTCTTTCCTCTAGGAGGTTAAAAAAAAAAAAAAAAGTCGGTTTAATCTGCTGAAGATTATGCTTATTAAAAAAAAAAACAGAAAAGAAAATGTAGAACTTCTTCCACATGTTCTCTTTATGACTTAAAAAAGCAACAGAAGGTAAGCTGATCATGATCAAAGACCAAAATTTCTAAACTCTAGCTACATATGAAACTCTAGCTCAGCTTTGGCTTTTGTAAACACTTAACAGCCGTGTAGTCAGACTAAATGACTTCCAGGGACAGCCTACGTTTTCCAAAACCCTCAGTATAAAACTATAACATACAGAAATAATACACAGCAACAGAATATGCATATTTTCTTGTTACATGTTCTTGAGAGTAAAAATTGTACCTTCTTCATCCACTAAAGTACCTTAAAATATGTGATGTAGCCATTTACTAAGTATTTATTAAACTTTAGAATTTATGTTCTTCCATACATCACAATGGATTTGAACTGACAGAAATGAAACTTCATACTGATAACAGAAGTTACACTGCTCCAAAACTCTGAAGTAGGGCAGATCTTGGTTAATCCTTTTTGCTAAGTAAATCAACTGAAAAGAATGACTTAGATCAAAATTTTTATATTCCATTTGGAAATGAGAACACGTCTATTTCTTAATATTCTGGAACTGATAACTCACCTGAGACCATGGTCTGTGATCTGATAACATCCAGATAAACTGAGAAACAGAAGTACACGTCCAGTCTCTTGATCAGATTTTTCACTCCCAAAGTAAATTAAGTCTTTTCCCCTAGGCAATCTAGTCCTTGCTGCTTTTCTACACATTGCAGAAGATTCTGGGAGTGATGACATAGTTCTTAAAGCTGTTCCTGTACAACAAAATGAGTGACCACAATACGCAAAGGCTGGAGAAGCACAATGCTGCTGCCAACAGACACTAGTCCTTAGTCCAACAATGTCCTTACTAAAACAACCAGAGGTGGAACAACTAAAGTTGGATGCTGTTTCCATTACACAAAGACTTTCAACATTTCTATGTCTCCATTCCACAGTATCTTCAATATCAGCCAAATCTTCAGCATCTAACATCCACACATAAGGAGAAGTGAAATTCTCAGAAGAAACAGGCTTAGTCCAGGGGTGTTCATTATCTATTTCTTCTCCAATGCCCTTGTTAGTTAAATCGTGCAAACAGGCATACTGCTTGGTGGACTGCATGGTAATGTCTTTATTTTTCCACGCAGTTGAAGTAATTTTGCTTGTAGATGTTTTCAAAAAGCCACTTTGATGAGATGTCAGAATTCCAAGAGCTCTGGAAATCTTCTCTAGGGCCACATCTGTGATTTTCTCACAACCAGACAGATCAAGATGCCGAAGACTCTGGCAGCAACCAAGCCAAGACCAACTATAATTAAAAGACAAGACTATTAATGAATATTGTTAAATTTTTCAAAAGCATTTGACTATATGCATGTAGATGAAAACCAGAAGAAAGATTTGACATCTAATATAATCACTTAAGTATTTAGTGAATTATCTATTGTTAAGGTACTATTCTTGATGCTAGGGATACAAAAACTCAATGAGAGTAATAAGGAAGTCAAAGTATTCCTAACCTAACAGAAGGGTAGGATTTGAGAGGCGTAAGGATTGGAAGACTTAAGTTTATTATCCTAAAAGTAGTCAGCAGAAGTAAGGCTGCAAACACATGAAAGAAAGAGAATAACCGACGGTTAATGAGGAAGATCCATAAGAAACAAGCTCTAGGAAGATGGAGCATTAGCTTTAGCCCGAGAAGAGTATACCTCTTCCTCTGCAGCAGGAAAAAAGGTGCTGATATAAATAGTTGGGTGGGAAAGAGGGAGTGAGCAATAATACAGAGAATTGGTGGTCAAGGAGATATACTCTGGGAAGAAGGTGGCTTGAAGAAAGTTACACTATACTATTTCAGAGTAACTGTGAAGAATCTAAGAGGGAGCTTTGCCAAATGGCACTTAGAGCCCAACTAAAACTAAAACTTCTTAAAAACATATAATACCAATCTACATGGTTGCACAGCAGGGCTCAAGGGCCTAGACAAAATATAGGACTACAGAGATTGCAAGATAATACAGATGGGATTTTTGGATCAGCTGGGACCTATGAGTAAGAAGTGAAGAACTGGAGGGTGCTATCAAATTATACTCAGACATGACTGAGATTTGATAGTAAAAAATAATAGTATGATTAAACTGCAATTACATAAATGAAACCTTATAAAATAGTTTTTCATTATATTTAAATTGTTTAAAATAACTAACCTGTCAAATGCAGAATCTGAAATGTCAGTCTGGGTAAGATCCAGATGCTCCAGGTTAGGACAAAGCTCTAAAATCTGCCTAACCTAAAAGGCAAGAAATTGTCACTGTAAAGATCTGCAGAACTTCAGTTAGCTAAGTAACAGATGACTATTAGTAAACATAATCTAGTTCACAAACTTTTGTGAATATAAAAAAAAATCACTTGAATACTTGAAAAAAGTATAATAAAATATTCTGGGCTCAAATCCCTGAGAATCTCTTTTTTTTTTTTTTTTTTTTTGAGACAGAGTCTCGCTCTGTCACCCAGGCTGGAGGGCAGTGGCAGTATCTTGGCTCACTGCAACCTCCGCCTTCCGGGTTCAAGCGATTCTTCTGCCTCAGCCTCCTGAGTAGCTGAGACTACAGGCACACGCCACTACATCTGGCTAATTTTTGCATTTTTAGTAGAGATGGGGTTTCACCATATTGGCCAGGCTGGTCTTGAACTCCTGACCTCATGATCCACCCACCTCGGTCTCCCAAAGTGCTGGGATTACAGGCATGAGCCACCGCACCCGCCCAAGTATCTGTTTTAGCAGTTATGAGACTAAACCAGGATTTTTACATTTTTAAGGAACACTCAAGATTCTGATGTAGGAAGTCGTAATATCCACTTTTATAAAACAGTGATTTCATCTCATTTGCCCATCTTACCATGCCTTACATATTATTTAAAAAATCACATAAAACTGGGCTTTATCACTTAACATCTGTGAAACTGAATAAAATGTTTAACCTCTTCTAGTCAGTTTCCTCATCTGTAACATATAGGTAATGATAATTATGCTACAAAGATTGTTGTGAGAACTGCAATGAAATAATAAGTAACCTAGCAGTGTATGCCTACCCATAGGAAGGCACTCAATAATCATTTTTGGGTTTGTTTCCCCTTAATTAAACTCAGGAATGAGCAAACCAAACTCTTATCATGCTGTTTTTCTTAATACCCAAACTAGTGTTAATTTAAACATACCATTTTGCTGGAAACTGCAGAGCTGTATGCTAATACTAAGGTTTTTACAGAAGTACCAACATATGGTAGAACGTTATGAATTAAGCCATGGAGTAAACGTTTTTCCATTTGTGCAATGCTGATAGCAATTGATTCCTCCGCAGACTCTTCTGTAAAATGAATTCAAAAGTCCAAGAACTTGATAAACTGATAATAATTAAGCTACTCAAGCGCTCACCAAATTGTTAAATATGACATACTTTGTGCTATCCTTATACTTTCTTATGTAAACCATCCCATTTTTAGGCAATGAAAAGGTTTTGGAAAAAAATGTGAAAACTGAAAAGAACAGCAAAAGTTTTCAAGAGAAAAGAAAATATGATATCAAAAGAAAAATGATCCATAGTAAAACGTACTATCACTGATTCCACATAACTAAAAAGGGCACAAAGCTAGAAAAGATTTGAAACTCAACTAAATTAGCCTGATCATAATGAATCAAGCAAAGGAAGGTACTTTAGAATTTCTAAGAAGCTAAAAATGAGCATGGCTTTTGGTTTTACTTAATAACTTCTGTAAAGCTTGGATGTTTACAACAGAATGTACTACTGTAACATCCACCATGAAAACACCATAAACTCCAATTCGAAAAAAGGAAAAAACACACTACACTAAAAAGAATGAATAATTGTATTGTATTACCTTTCTCAGGATCCTATTGTTATTATTCTTACCTAAAGACCAATTTGAATGTCTTTAAACATAAAATGATTTAACAGAATAAGTTAAGGAAGTCTCATTTAAAACAAAACTAAGTATAGCAGACAAAAGGATATCAACTAAAAGAATTTGTTACTCATGGTTCCTTGTTTAGATATTATCCTAAATTCCTCCTTTAGCCAGACACAGACACACACACACACACGCACACACACACACACGAAGATAAAATATAAGGAGATAAAAATTACTTTAGTGAGCCCTACTATAATTTTATTCCCAAACCATTCTTTTGTTTCTGTGGCCCTCACTATCTAAATGTATACTATTTACTGTGAAAATTTTAAATTTTTAATTTTTTATTGATATACAATAATTATGCATATTTTGGGGGTACATGTGATACTATGGAACCTGTATACAATGTGTGATGATTAAATCAAGGTAACTGGAACTGTGAAATCTTTAAGAAAGTTAAACATTCTATGAAAAACAATAACTTCTTAGGACAAGTAAAAAGACAAGGCAGCCAAACCGAAAAAAGCACTGAAGTAAATGACAGTTTAGTCTTTAATAATCAACAGATATATTATCTAAAAAGGCTCAATCTTTACAGCGTTAACTTTTCCTTTTCAATATGAAGGAAATTGAGTCTTTCCTCTGGCTATCTTCAAGTATGGAGACAAATACACTGAATTTGTGAGAACCTTCAACATTCTTACCACGGGTATTATGAATTAATTTTCTAGAATGAATAAACTGAGACTTCCTTAAGTTGACATCTGAGCAAATATCTCATCTCCTTCAGGTCTTTACTCAAATTTCCCAAAGGACCTTAACTAATCGCTCAATTTAAAACTGCAATTTTAAATTCTTCTTGGCATGTTTTCCTTGTCTTATTTTTCTCTACAACACTTGTCACCATCTAATATGGAATATATTTTACCTGTATTTATTGTTTGCCTCCTGTCTCTAAATTTTAAGCTCAACAAGCGCCAGTTTTGTTTTGCTTTTTTCCATTTTGTTCACCATTAGATCCTTCATACCTAAAACAATGCCTGCCACAGGTAAGCACATCACCAAATCTATCAAACTAGAATAGACCTTTTCCTTATATAGGACATTTTGAATCTTTACATCAAAATGTGGCACATCTGCGTTTCATAAAAATAAACTACTTTAGCTGCTGATACAACAATCTTTATACTTACACTGTTACTTTCCACGTGTCTTTTTTCCACATTTAATTCTTTCGCCAGACCAAATTACTTTAAGCAAGTAACTTTATAAATAAAATTTCCTATAGTTTCAGTTTTACCAACTAGAAGAATGTCTCATCTGTTCATTTTTTACTATTTTACCATCTTTTAATAATTATTATCTAGAATATCCAAGACAGAATTTGTTTTCCTCCTCACACTTCCAAATAGCATCTCTCTGCACAAGTATGACAGCATTTTTCCATCATATACTTTAAATTAAAAATTATGTTTTCTAAATTCTCTCTCATTTGTGAGTTGTTTGGAGTAGCGATGAAGTCTTATCCATCCTTGAACTCTCCCACAGTGTTTAATGAATGGCTACATTAGTTTTTGTAATCCCTTACCATTTACAAACAATATTTATGTATATTACTTCTTAATTCTACAATAACCTTATTAGGCAAGTATTAAGACTATCTACAAACGAGTAAGTCGACTCAACAGTTTCATCCTATTTCCCTCAAGCCATAGATGACTCAATAGATGCTGTGCAACTGATCACTTGAAGTGGTGCTAAAATCACATTGTAAACTACAAAGCACTATAATAAACGTACATTATTTTCATAAGAAAAAAGGTACCATTTTCTGATTTTTGATTTTAATATAAAAACGAGAAATAATCCTATGCACTCTTTAAAGTACTTCAATTAATTTAAAATTTCATTATTATTCCTTCAAATTTTAAAAAGTAGTAGGCTTAGAAACACCAGTTTCTTTAGAAAACACAAAATACATAAATCTAATACCTAATAATTATAAGTACTTAATTATCAATTATTAAAACACTATGTAATAATTTTAATTCCAAACAAGCTTACCAGATTCATCAATGTCAGCATCTTCATCCCACTCATGAAAAGCACGACTTTCATCTTTCCTATTTTTCACCCATTCATCATCAGGTTCAGTATCAAGTTCAGTTGCGGGACCACTATACCAGTCACCTACTCAATGAATAAACAAGTAAAAGGTTCAAAATAATATCAGATTGCCTGCAATTATGAAAAACTAAGCTATTTACGATAAAAATCTCTACAAAGAGAAAACATCTGAGCCCTAGGCAATAAGCAACTGTTTTTTTTTAATACTTTTAAGTTCTACGGTACATGTGCACAACGTGCAAGTTTGTTACATAGGTATATATGTGCCATGTTGGTTTGCTGCACCCATCAACTCATCATTTACATCAGGTATTTCTCCTAATGCTATCCCTCCCCCAGTCCCCTACCCCCACCACAGGACCTAGTGTGTGACGTTCCCCACCCTGTGTCCAAGTGTTCTCTTTGTTCAATTCCCAACTATGAGTGAGAACATGCGGTATTTGGTTTTCTGTCCTTGTGACAGTTTGCTAAGACTGATGGTTTCCAGCTTCATCCATGTCCCTGCAAAGGACATGAACTCATCATTTTTTATGGCTGCATAGTATTACATGGTGTATATGTGCCACATTTTCTTAATCCAGTCTATCATTGATGGACATTTGGGTTGGTTCCAAGTCTTTGCTATTGTGAATAGTGCCACAATAAACGTATGTGCGCATGTGTCTTTATAGTAGCATAATTTATAATCCTTTGGGTATATACCCAGTAATGGGATGGCTGGGTCAAATGGTATTTCTAGTTCTAGATCCTTAAGGAATCGCCACACTGTCTTCCACAATGGCTGAACTAATTTACACTCCCACCAACAGTGTAAAAGTGTTCCTATTTCTCCACATCCTCTCCAGCATCTGTTGTTTCCTGACTTTTTAATGATCGCCATTCTAACTGGTGTGAGATGGTATCTCATTGTGGTTTTAATTTGCATTTCTCTGATGACCAGTGATGATGAGCATTTTTTCATGTGTCTGTTGGCTGCATAAACGTCTTCCTTTGAGAACTGTCTGTTCATATCCTTCACCCAGTTTTTGATGGGGTTGTTTTTTTTTCTTGTACATTTGTTTAAGTTCTTTGTAGATTCTGGATATTAGCCCTTTGTCAGATGGGTAGGTGGCAAAAATTTTCTCTCATTCTGTAGGTTGCCTGTTCACCCTGATGGTAGTTTCTTTTGCCATGCAGAAGCCTTTAGTTTAATTAGATCCCATTTGTCAATATTGCCTTTTGTTGCCATTGCTTTTGGTGTTTTAGTCACAAAGTCCTTGCCCATGCCTATGTCCTGAATGGTATTGCCTAGGTTTTCTTCTAGGGTTTTTATGGTTTTAGGTCTAACATTTAAATATTTAATCCATCTTGAATTAATTTTTGTATAAGGTGTAAGGAAGGGATCCAGTTTCAGCTATCTACATATGGCTAGCCAGTTTTCCCAGCACCATTTATTACATAGGGAATCCTTTCCCTATTTCTTGTTTTTCTCAGGTTTGTGAAAGAAGATGGTTGTAGATGTGTGGTGTCATTTCTGAGGCCTCTGTTCTGTTCCATTGGTCTATATCTCTGTTTTGGTACCAGTACCATGCTGTTTTGGTTACTGTAGCCTTGTAGTATAGTTTGAGGTCAGGTAGCATGATGCCTCCAGCTTTGTTCTTTTGGCTTAGGATTGTCTTGGCAACGCGGGCTCTTTTTCGGTTCCATGTGAACTTTAACGTAGTTTTTTCCAATTCTGTGAAGAAAGCCATTGGTAGCTTGATGGCAATGGCACTGAATCTACAAATTACCTTGGGCAGTATGGTCATTTTCACGATACTGATTCTTCCTATCCATGAGCATGGAATGTTCTTCCATTTGTTTGTGTCCTCTTTTATTTTGTTGAGCAGTGGTTTGTAGTTCTCCTTGAAGAGGTCCTTCACATCCCTTTAAGTTGTATTCCTAGGTATTTTATTCTCTTTGTAGCAATTGTGAATGGGAGTTCACTCATGATTTGGCTCTCTGTTATTGGTGTATAAGAATGCTTGTGATTTTTGCACATTGATTTTGTATCCTGAGACTTTGCTGAAGTTGCTTATCAGCTTAAGGAGATTTGGGGCTGAGATGATGGGGTTTTCCAAATATACAATCATGTCATCTGCAATCAGAGACAATCTGACTTCCTCTTTTCCTAATTGAATACCCTTTATTTCTTTCTCCTGCCTGATTGCCCTGGCCAGAACTTCCAACACTAAGTTGAATAGGAGTGGTGAGAGAGGGCATCCTTGTCTTGTGTCAGTTTTCAAAGGGAATGCTTCCAGTTTTTGCCCAGGCAATGGGCAATTTTTTAGAAATATTTAATTATGGTTAAAAAAAGTTACACTGAAATAAGCAAAGGATTCCATTTCAGACACACTGAGAAGAACTATGACAGGTGGGTTCGATTAACGATAATAATCAATTAACCAAAGTTCATATTTTCCCAAAGTAAATCTTTCTCTTTCAAACTATGGAAACAGAATAATAACTACAAAAATGTACAGAGTCTGCTATGTACCTGCTATGTATCTACTTTCTATACAAAAAGTTTTTCAACTTTTTTATAGAAATAAGCTTAATGATTATCAAGTCTTGCATAAAATTTTAGAAATCACGATGAGCAAACAATTTCCCCTGCTGTCATTTCACACTGGTTCCCACAATAGCCTCATTATGATAACAGCTAATAACTAAAAGGAAGCAGGATTGTCTACTCTGTAGTCAACCAGTCAGCAGTTCAGAAGTAGATGGGAACAGAAGCAAAGGGAAAGATTAATGTAAAGCTAAACTATAAATTTATAGATCCTGGAGAATGTACTGCAACTAAATTATATGATCATGAAATGAGAGATTATGCGGAATCAATTTACTGAACTCATTTTTCTGGAGACAGAGTCTCACTCTGCCGCCCAGGCTGGAGTGCAATGGCACAGTCTCCGCTCACTGCAAACTCTGCCTCCTGGACTGAAGTGATTCTTGTGCCTCAGCCTCCAAGTAGCTGGGATAACAGGAATGCACCTCCACACCTGGCTAATTTATTTGTATTTGTATTTTAGTAGACAGAGCGTTTCACCTTGTTGCCCGGGGTGATCTCGAACTCCTGAGCTCAGGCAATCTGCCTGCCTTTGCCTCCCAAAGTGCTAGGAGATTACAGGCGTGAGCCACCGTGCCTGGCCAATTTACTGAACTCTTAACATTACATCTAAATTAAGGCTTCTCAACCTTGACAATACTGACATTTTGGGCTGGGTAACTGTTTTTGGGTGCTGTCCTGTGGATTATAGGGTGCTTAGCAACAACCCTGGCCTCTACCTACTAGATGCCAATATGATACCCAAAGATGGGGCAAACAAAAATGCCTCCAGATATTTCAAATATCCCCTGGAAGGGGGAAAAATCAATTTGATTGAGAACCACTCAAAGCACATACTATAAATAAATAAAAACCGATTTCTATTGATTTTTTTTTTCTTTTTAAGACAGAGTCTTCCCTCTGTCACCCGGATTGGAGTACAGTGATGTGATCATGGCTCACTGCAGCCTCGACTTCCCATGCTCAAATGATCCTCCCTCCCACCTCAGCCTCTCAAGTAACTGGGATTACAGGCATGTGCCACCATGTCTGACTAATTTTTTTTCTTTTTTGTTTTGTTTTTTTTGAGACGGAGTCTCACTCTGTTGCCCAGGCTGGAGTGCAATGGCACATCTCAGCTCACTGCCACCTCTGCCTCCCGGGTTCAAGCAATTCTCCCTGCCTCAGCCTCCCGAGTAGCTGGGATTACAGGTGCCTGCCACCACACCTGGCTAATTTTTGTATTTTTAGTAGAGACAGGGTTTCACCATGTTGGCCAGGCTGGTCTCAAACTCCTGAACTCAGGTGATCCACCCACCTCAGCCTCCCAAACTGCTGGGATTACAGGTGTGAGCCACTGTGCCCGGCCATTTTTTTTATTTTTTTAGTAGAGATGAGGTCTCTGTATGTTGCCCAGGCTTATTGGAACTTTTTGTTTAACATATTAAAAACAGAAAAAAGCAGTATATTTGAGATTTAGGTGAATTTATGAAAGCACAGCATTATCACATTTGACATTCCTATCAAATCGTGACATAATTCTTAATAATTCTTAAAAATTAAAAATTTTTAAGCCAGAAAAAATATTTTCTGCATCCATGTTTGCCTTTTTACTAAATATTTCATTATCCTACAACAGAAAAAATTATCCCACATAACAACTAATTATTTAGACGATATAAGTCTACCTAATATTTCAAATAGCTTCATTCAAAAAAATATCTAACAGCTTATTTTAAAAGTACTATACGTGGCCGGGCACGGTGGCTCAAGCCCGTAATCCCAGCACTTTGGGAGGCCGAGACGGGTGGATCACCTGAGGTCAGGAGTTCAAGACCAGCCTGACCAACATGGTGAAACCCCGTCTCTACTAAAAGTACAAAAAATTAGCCAGGCATGGTGGCGGATGCCTGTAATCGCAGCTACTTGGGAGGCTGAGGCAGGAGAATCGCTTGAACCTGGGAGGTGGAGGTTGCAGTGATCCAAGATCGTGCCACTGAGCTACAGCCTAGGTGAGAGTAAAACCCCATCTCAAAAAAAAAAAAAAGTGCTATACATTATTATAATGAATAAAATTGCTTTTAAATCAGACTCATGATTTAAATCAGACATAAAGTCATAAACAGAAAACAATTTTTAAAAATTATGTAAATTTTGAAGCTAATATTCCCCTGGGCCGGGTCTGGTGGCTCACATCTGCAATTACAGCACTTTGGGAGGCCAAGGCAGGTGGATCACCAGAGGTCAGGAATTCGAGACCAGCCTGATCAACATGATGAAACCCCATCTCTACTAAAAATACAAAATTAGCCAGGTGTGGTGGTGCACGCCTGTAATCCCAGCTACTTGGAAGGCTGAGGCAGGAGAATCACTTGAACCTGGGAGGCAGAGGTTGCAGCGACCCAAGATCGCGCCATTGCACTCTTGCCTGGGCAACATGAGCGAAACTCTGCCTCAAAAAAAGAAAAAAAAAAAAAAAAAACTCACCTAGCAGAAATTGTTTTAACTCAGTGACAGAAAAAATGTATGCTATATTAGTTGTATTTAACCCATAACTGCATTATATGTTGATGAAAAGAAAATTTTCTTTAACTGTTCACATGTGAAAGTAATTTACTATAATGATATTAATATGAAACTGTGATTCAGAGAATGTGGCATTACCAATCAAATAAAGATAGGTCAAAGGCAAAAACAGATTCACAATTATTTTGAGCCATCACCAAAATGGAGCCATAATGGTATATCACCCTTAAATTTTATAGAATTTATTCTGTATTTTAAAAATATTCATATAATTATTATTAAACATAATTATTTAAAGCAGTTTTGAAAGCTTACTAATTGAATTTTTAACTTTTAATTCTGAAAAACAGTCAAAAGCAGAACTAGTATAATGAATCCCCATGTATCTATCACTTATCTTCAATAATTATCAATTTTGTCAATCTTTTTGCATCCCCTCCCACAAATATATTTTCCTAATTTTTTTTAATTACAGACATCATTATAATTTACCCATGAATTTCATCACTGCTAGTTTTCCAAAAATATATACCACCAAAACATCATCTAACTATAAAATCTACTTTTTGATTGACCTCTCAGAGTTTCTCTCTCTGGCCTTGCTCATTAATGTAAATGAATATTCATCTAGAAAAATACATGAAAATATTTTAAAAACCCATTTACCTACCTCTGGCCCAATGAACAGGGTAAAGATGTTTCCAAAGCGATCCCGTTTTTGTCAGCTGAGACCATTTCATGCTTACTTGACTGCATCGACATAACTCTTGAGGATTAAGATAGCTGAAAATTGACAGCATTACCTCAGGAGGAAGATGGGTTATACCTGTGGAGTGTTCTGACACTTCTGCTTCTGAAATAAAAAAGAAAAACTTTACCAGTAAAGGCTAAAGAGCATATGCAATAAGAAATTACAATTACATTTCTATAAACAAAATCCAGTGCCTGAAGTCAATTCCTTCCTGCTTGCAAGATGTGAAAATGAAATAACATGTATTAGAGGTAACATGGGGATGTTAAACTTGTGAAGAACCAGTAGGGTTAAACTATCATGGCCCAAATCATACTTCATCAGTGGGAGCTACAATAATGAACACAGAATTAACTTCCTCTTACAAAGGCATCACAGAAAAAACAATACTCACTTTGTAGCATTAAGCAGCATCACTTGAAAAAGGAACAAAACAGGTTATACAGCTTTAAATCAACAAGTATAGAGTCAGCCAGATTATGAGATCTCCAAGGCATTTTTAATGACACACACAAATCTCATGACCTTTTCCATTTATGCATTATGACTCCTGTCAATAATCTTGCTTGTATTCCCTCTTTGATTTTCACATTTCATACAAGAGGTCTGCGAAATCTGACTGCCTTAACCTAGAGATGCTTTAAACTACTTCAGTTATTTATGTTGCAGGTGAGACGACAAAATGTAGATATTTCTGATGTTCTTTCACATTGATAATGAAACTTTTGTCAGCAACTATTGCAGGAAGTACTTATGGATGTATAAACCTATAATGTATTATTTCAGTAATAATTTCCAAAATAAAAATGAAAATGAAGTGTTACAATAAAAAATATAAAAGATTCATCACTAAAGTCCTATGAAGAATTTGAGTACTTTATATATCTGATTTGTTTCACAAAGCAACTTAAATATAGAAATGCTATGATCACATTCTTTAAACTACCACTTTTAAACTGCCAAATATTTTAAATATAATACAGCTACAATTTGCTTTGAAGGAGTGGGAAAATAAAATGTAATAAGTGTGATGCTTTTAAATCCCATGTTATAATTACAATTAAACCAGACATAACAAGTCTTAGCTTGGTATCTAAAGCACAAGCTACATTTCATAGTAAGGCATATAAGCTTTACGGGATTAATTATAGCTTAACTTGTAAAATTATTTTAGTTTCAACATGCATTTCACCTACTTTGTTAAATAAAAATAAAAGGACCAATTTCAAAAAACTCCAAGCTATTTTAACAGAAATCCCACTGCTGCCACTAATCTTGAAGAAGCAAAGCTACTGAACATAAATAATTACTGAGGAACTAGTTTTTTTAAAAAAAAAAAAAAAGGCAGCACGTTTTATTTGCATTTCTCATTTGTATTCTCAGAGTAACAATACAGAAAAACTCTGCCTCTAGTACTCATTCCTCTGAATATTACTGGATACAAGCTGAAAAAATAATACATAGGAAAGGATGAAAATAAACTATAAACATAACTAATTTTGAAAACCAATGAAAAAAACACAAGGAAAGAGAAAAGCAGCCACTATGGTCAATAAAGCTCAGGAAGCAGGATGATATCGCAAAAGTGCTCTGTGTAATGGTAGTTTTCAACAATTTTGACTGATCGATTTTGAGCAGGCCAGTGCTCTGTACTGGTGGTTTTCAATAATTTTGATTCATTCATATATAAATTTATTCAAGAAACACTACACTGAATATGTCCCAAGTATATGTTAAATTATCATGCACAACACTAAATTCTAAAATGAGAACCATCGTCTTCAATTAAATTGATACATGAAAATAATGCCTTTAACTGACCACAGTGCAGGCCTAACTTGAATTATTCCTCAACCAAAATCTACAGTTCATATCAGTAAGATGTCAATGACCTTACAACTAATAAATTGTTCTTTATATATATGAATCTCACCTTTATCTGACTTTTCATCCACGGAATATTTAAAAAACTTCTGTCGCTCTTCAGCATGATTCCATAGGCTAAGACCTCTAAGGAGTTCTGCAGTATCCTTCTGAGAGCAGTGTTGTGCAATCACTTTCTTTTTAATATCCTTAAGCTCTTCATAGGTAAAATATTCCATTAACATGGGCTGAAAAACCTAAATTAAACAAAATATTCACGAGGAAAGATGCTTCATTCGTGTTGATTTACTCTAAACCCTTTTAAATTATTAATGGCTCGAATGTCGTATTATGACCATATATCTCAAAAAGATAAAAATTTTAGCTGTCACCACTGAGTTAGTTTATCTAAAAATTGCAGAGAAGAGTACACCAAGAAGATCCTGGCCAGGCGCGGTGGCTAACACCTGTAATCCCAGAACTTTGGGAAGCCAAGGCGGGTAGGTCACCTGAGGTCGGGAGTTCGAGACCAACCTGATCAACATAGAAAAACGCCATCTCTACTAAAAATACAGAAGTAGCCGGGCGTGGTGGCGCATGCCTATAATCCCAGCTACTCGAGAGACTGAGGCAGGAGAATCACTTGAACCTGGGAGGCAGAGGTTGCGGCGAGCCGATATTGCGCCATTGCACTCCAGCCTGGGCAACAAGAGCGAAACTCTGTCTCCAGAAAAATAAATAAATAAAATAAATCCTTCTTGTTATGGTTTCTCCAGCTAGTAAATCAATCCAAAACAATTTTAAAGCATAAGGACCAGAAGGCTTTCCCTTTATAGAATTTGTCACTCTTAATCATTCTGTTAGATGTTTAGGTCAGTTAACTGCCTTCTGGTACTAGAGTAACTGAACTCCACCCAAACAGGGCCTCTGCCTCACATGAGAGTAGTACCCAGTGTAGTGGAACCATAAAAGTCAGAACTCTACTGAGACATTTAACTTTTCAATATTGTTTCTGGATTTTGGAAATGTTCCCTCAAATCATTATTTTAGAACAGTGGTTCCTACAAGAATTATCTATGGAGATTTCTTCTGCTAAACAGATGCTTAGTCTCAATCTCCAATTTACAGAATTAGAATCTTTAGAGGTTGGAAACAAGGCTTTTTTTGTTTTGTTTTCACTTCCACAGATAATTGTGATGGATATCATACAGTTAAAAAACACTGGTCAGTCTAGAAATTCAGTGGTTTCAACACTGGCTGTATATTACAATGAGTTGGGGGGCCCTGAAAAAATACCCAGGTCAATGCATGTCCTCTGATTTAACTCTGATGTAATTTGTCTGAAAAGGTCTTAAAATACTATCGGGGTTTCTTTTGTTTGTTTGTTTAAATATCAATTTGATTATAAGGTGAAGCTATAGTTGAGAATCACTACAATAACTGATTTACAGCTGAACAGGTATTCCGTTCCTCATAAAATAATTTATCTATTTCTTACTCTGATATTCATCCCATATTAGAGACAGAAGAAAAAGGGAAAACGTTTTGCCCATTCATTCAATGATACCCTAATACATGTACAGTAGGCTTAAGATAATAAATGTTTTTGTTTATTTGTTTGGAGACACGGTCTTGCTCTGTCACCCAGGCTGAAGTGCCATGGCGCAATCATGGCTCACTGCAGTCTCAACCTCTTGGGCTCAAGCAATCCTCTCACCTCAAGCTCCCAAGTAGCTGAGATGACAGGCACATGCCACCATGCCCAGCTGATTTTTTTAATTTTTAGCAGACATGAGGTCTTGCTATTTTTCCCAGGCTGGTCTTGAACTCGTGAGTTCAAGCAATCCTCTGTCCTGCCTCAGCTTCCCAAGTGCTGGGATTATAGACGTGAACCACCATGCCCAGCCAAGACTAATACATTTAAAGCCACCATTTAAATACTAAACTACACTACTGAAAAAAAAAAAAAAAAACATGAAAAAATCTTTAAACATAGCATGAAAACAAAAAAATATTTAAAAGTTTAAAGAATCCTCTAAAGGTTCTGAAAAGACATTAGGGTAGCATAAGTTATTAATATTTAAGACAGAGCCATTTACAAAAAAGAAAATTAATATTTCCTGAGTAAATTAATTAAATCATCTATTCAATGAAAAGCAACAACCTTTCTGAGAAAACAAAACAAACGTTTTTTTTTTCCCTTGGGTTTTCTTTTTTCCCAAAAAGAACTGCGTTCTTCTCTCCATCAACCAGATACATCTTCCTATGCATTATTTTGAAGAGTCTCTAAAGCAAAATAGTATTTTAAGAATGTTATAAATCTAAATCACGAAAGAAAAATTATGCTTACCTCCTCTTCCTCTTTCATGTGAGGAAGAAAATCTCTTGTAAAAGCCTCCAATCTCTCTTTCAGTTGTTTTGCATAATTTAACTGTTCATATTCATTCTGGAAACCAAAAAAAAAATACATTTTTATAAAAGTTTCGCTTCATTAATTATGTCTGGTCCCAGGAAGTTTAAAATGTGACATAAAACCTCCGGGGAAAAAAAAATAGACAAATTGCAAAGTGGTCTCTGTACTTTTAACATAAAAGATACCCATAAAACAGTAAGCTTTGAATTACTTTAGTAATGTATGTAACCCCATATTTTTAAAATATCATAAAAAGTCTAAAAATAGCACGTATCTGCCCACAGCTTTTATTGATGTATATATAAATTATATACATTTATATAATTTCTACATGTCAGTTCTCTTAATGTATCTCCAAGCCTAATGGACTGTATCATTACAGAATCCCTTTATGGTCATCTAGTGTCTCCTCCACTAAAAAACTCAGAATATAGTTGACCCTTGAACAACACAGGTTTGAACTGTGCGGGTTCACTTAATTACCGATTTTCTTCTGCCTCTCCCACCCCTGCAACAGCAAGACCAACCCCACCTCTTCTTCCTCCTCAGCCTACTCAATGTGAAGACAATGAGGATAAAGACATTTATGATGATCCACTTCCACTTAATAAATAGTGAATAGATTTTTTTCTTCCGTATGATGTTCTTAGTAACATTCTTTTCTCTAGCTTACCTTACTGTAAGAATCCAGTATATATATTTTACATATAATACATGAAATAATTGTTATTCGATTGTTTTATGTTATTGGTAAGGCTTCCAGTCAACAGTAGTAGGCTGTAAGTAAAGTTTTGAGAGATTCAAAAGTTATACGTGGATTTTCAACAGCACAGGGTGTTGGCAACCCTAATCCCCATGTTGTTCAAGGGTCAACTGTACCTGTTAACATTATCCTGCCAGGCACGGTGGCTCATGCCTGTAATCCCACCACTTTGGGACGCAGAGGCAGGCGGATCACCTGAGGTCAGGAGTTCAAGACCAGCCAGCCCAACGCGGCGAAACCCTGTCTCTACTAAAAATACAAAAATCAGCCAGGTGTAATGATGGGCACCTGTAATCCCAGCTACTCGAGAGGCTGAGGCACGGAGAACTGCTTGAACCTGGAAGAAGGAGGTTGCGGTGAGCCGAGATTGCACCACTGCACCTCAGCATGGGTGACAGAGCAAGACTCTGTCTTAAAAAAAAAAAAGAAAAAATTATTTGATGTAAGGTCATATATATCAATATCAACACTTCTAAAGGCAAGGTGCTCACTATATCTTGAAGTAACTCATTCTAATTCTGGGCAATTCTAAGGAGCTATAAACTTCTTCCTCATAACCTAAAATCACATTTCCCCACTTCTATATCAGCCCTCTCAAAGCATGTGGAAAATTTATAAAATAATGAAAACTTTTTTTTTTTTTTTTAAGACAAGCCTTGCTCTGTTGCCCAGGCTGGAATGCAGTGGTGCAATCTTAGCTCACTGCAACCTCAGGTTCATGCGATTCTCCCACCTCAGTCTCCTGAGTAGCTGGGACTACAGGTGCCCATCACAACTCCCAGCTAATTTTTTTGGTATTTTTAGTAGAGATGGGGTTTCACCACATTGGCCAGGCTGGTCTCGAACTCCTGACCTCAAGTGATCTGCCCGCCTCAGCCTCCCAAAATGCTAGAATTACACGGATGAGCCACCATGCCCAGCCTATGAAAACTTTTAAAATATGAAAATATTTTATCTCTGTTAAGTCTTCTCTGGTCTCTTTTTCCAGAACTAATTTATTCAACTGCTTCCCAATATTCAGTCTAATGTCCTGTTCTCTTACGACTTTACACATTTTCCCTAAGCATATCCACATGGCTTCCATTCCTACTTATATGCTAATAATAACTATCAAATTTGCTTTTTCATACTGGGTCACTCTTCTGACCATGAAATCCATCTTTACCACCTCCTATTCATAAATGCCCATCTGGATTACACAAGCAGTTCAAACCTAATCTGTCAAGAATGAATCTTTTTTATTTCCTGACCCTCTTCTATATACTCTAGAAAGTCAGGCTGAATCCTCATTTTTATTTCTTTTCTCTTCTTTCATCCTCCCTTTAAGTATAATCACTACATTCTATCAATTTTATTTCCTACATAATTCTCAAGTCTGATCCCCTCCCCTTTATTTCTACTAGTCATGACTTTAGTTCAGATTTGTCGAAGGTGTATTCATGTGGCAATACATAATATGATACAAAATTCAAAGAATACGAAAGAATATTCAATAAAAAAGTAAATCTCCCTTCTATTAATATTACTATCTAGTACCCTACCCCAACCAAACCTCCCACACCTCCCCACCAAGTAGCTACTAAGTATTCTTCCAGAAACTATTAGAATAATTTTTTAATAATGGTCTTCCTCCTTTAGTCTTTTCTTTATCTTTAATCCATCCTCCCTAAGCTGTAGAACAGCCTTTCCAGAACATAAATCTCCAGGTGAGGAGCACATGGTGGCTTAACAGAGTTGTAACTTAAGCTTACGCTTCACCAAGCCAGAAGGGAAATAAACTAAGATCAAATTTCAAAATCCTATAATATGTAAATGTAATTAAGAAGAAAGTCTCTCTACATCATTATCCTAAACTATACCCAGTAATATCTTTAGCTCACTGCAACCTCCGCCTCCCAGGTTCAAGCAACTCTCCTGCCTCAGCTGGGATTACAGGCGCCTGCCACTATGTCTGGCTAAATTTTTATATTTTTAGTAAAGACAGGTTTTCACTATGTTGGCCAGGCTGGTCTAGAACTCCTGACCTCAAGTGATCCACTAGCCTCGGCCTCCCAGAGTGCTGGGACTACAGATGTGAGCCACTGCACACTGCACCTGGCTGGTATTCAATTCTAAAACAAGTAAAAATTTATAAAATTAAAGTGTTTATTCATTCTAAGTAATAATTATACCTTTGGTCACCATTAACTGGATAGCTTTCCTTTAAGAATTCAGCAAATGTTAACAGAATGTAAAAATTTTATAATTAAAACTTCGACTTACAAAAACAGCTTTCAGACTTGGTGAGTAGCATTCATTATAAAATTTTATTAAACAGTAATAAAGAGGTAACTGATGAAGACTCTCACCAAACCTGAGTCAGGCTCCTCTGGGCCCTCTTCTCAACTTAGGCCTGACCTTATACTCTGTTCTTGTTCGGCTTAGTCCAGTTTCAGCAAAAATCCTGCTGAATTGGTTTAGTGAAAAATCTCTCAGCCTTAGTATCTGATCTGCATCTACATCTAATCAAACTACTGATCCTTCAATATGTTACTATCCTCTTGCCTTCAGCAAGAATTTTATAGTTAGTCTAGCAAGAATCCCCTTGGCCTTGATGTTTCCTCAGTAGTTTTCCATCCACTCTTCCCACTTTGCCCCTTGGATATAAATCCCTACTTGTCCTTACTGTATTCACCGTCGGGACTGATCTCTCTCCACTACTGCAAACTCCCCACTGCAGTAGTTCTTTTTAAATAGTCTTCCTTGCCATCTTTAACAAGTGACAAAATAATTTTTTTCAACATTACATCATTTACTATAAAACAGTGACAAGTTTTGCCAATGATATACCAGAAGATGGCACAAGTTTTGACAGTTGAATATCCATTTTTGCAACTTACCTTAACATTCTTCAGTCCCTTTTCAAAGAGGCTAAGCATCTCGGAGAGTTTATTGTCAGAATGTACATTATAAATGGTCTGGCTGCGTTGTTGAAGCAAACCAATAATGTATTCATTTTCAATCTGCTCATGCATTTTGAACTCCTTGAAAGTAGCATACAAAGACTGCAGAAGAGCACGGAAATCGTTGTTGTTGGAAAAATTGGTTTTAGAAAGCTGAATAAAAATTTAAAAAGAAAAGTGTAATAAATACGTGCAAATATGCACAAATAAAAAATATTCAAATACATCCCTATTCACTTTTGCACACAGCATACTTCCCTTACACTTGGTTAAAGTACAAATAAAAGAAATTCATAAATTAACAAGTTATAATGGTATAATAAAAAGTGCACTAGGCCAGGAAGATGTTGGTTTGCATTCTGGAGGGCCTGGTGACACAGAAAAATGATATGTGCACAAATCACGGTTTCTTTAAAGAGAAGAGATTAAACCAGGCCCCTTCTAAACCTAAAATTTCATTACTCTATATGTATGCTAAATACAGGCAGGCAGAAATTTTAAAGAGGGAAACTTGATTAGGTTAAATACAACAGACGGGTAGATGAAAGGGGAAAAGCTACTAACACCATACCTCCTAGACTTGCTTTCTAAAGTATCTAGTATTCCTAAAATGGAACATAATCTAAGCTGTCTTATTGCCTATTATCAGCAGGAATGACGGTCTGATGACAGAGCATCAAAACAGATGACATAGAAGCTCCTAAAACAAAATTATTCCTACTATACATAACAGAATTAACTATCTTCTATAAAAAGTAGTGCGGATTATGCATTTTAAGAGTCATAGTGAACCAGTTTTAAAGTCACATTCTCTAGGATGGGATACCAGTTCTACCATTACTTAACTGTGTAACCCTGGGTAAGTTACTTTTCTTTCTTTCTTTTTTTTTGAGACAGAGTCTTGCTTTGTCGCCCAGGCTAGAGTGCAGGGGCATGATCTCAGCTCACTGCAGACTCTGCCTCCTGGGTTCAAGCGATTATCCTGCCTCAGCCTCCTGAGTAGCTGGGATTACAGGTGCTCGCCACCACGCCCGGCTAATTTTTGTATTTTTTAGCAGAGATGGGGTTTCACCATCTTGGCCAGGCTGGTCTTGAACTCCTGACCACATGATCCACCCGCCTCGGCCTCCCAAAGTGCTGGGATTACAGGTATAAGCTACCACGCCCGGCCTACTTTTCTTTCTTAATGTGTTAATCTTGATGTTAAATGGATATAATAAAACATCTGTATTTCACATGGTTGTTAGTACTCAATAAACATTAGCTATTATCATTTTGAAAATTAAATATTCATTTTTTATAAATTCATACATTTTTTACTCTATACAAATATTTACTGAGTAGCTATGATGAGGCAGGCACTGTTCTTTGGTACCTGGGATATATCAATGAACAAAACAAAGATTTCTTGCCTTTATGGAGTTTCCATTTCAGTGAAGGTAAATAAGACAATGAACAGTTAACTGCAATACATAAGTAAATAATCTAGAGCAAGAATTGGCAACTTTTCTATAAAAGGACAGGTAATAAATATTTTAACTTTTGCAGGCCATGTGGTCTGTAGCAATTATTTACCTCAGCAGTTGTAGCACAAAAGTAGTCATAGACAACATGTAAATGAATGACTGTAGCTGTATTTCCATAAAACTTTATAAACACTGAAATTCAAATTTCATATAATTTTTCACATGTCACAAAATACTATTCTTCTTTTGATTTTTTCCAACTATTTAAAAATGTAAAAGTGATGCTTGGCTCTTAAGCCACACAAAAAACACAGGCAGGACATACTTGGTTAAATACATATTATAGATTTTTTTTTAAATCATAAGAAATGCCCCACAAGATTACAATAAAATCTATTGGTGGCTAATCTCTGCAAACACTATCATGTATCATTTTTTGGAAAAAAAAAAAAAGGCAAACTTAAAAATAGCCTTAGTAGAAGCAGGGTACAAAATCAAAAGAAACCATTAATGCTAAATATTTTTTATTATTATTATTATTATACTTTAAGTTTTAGGTACATGTGCACAACGTGCAGGTTTGTTACATATGTATACATGTGCCATGTTGGTGTGCTGCACCCATTAACCCGTCATCTAACATTAGGTATATCTCCCAATGCTATCCCTCCCCCTCCCCCCACCCCACAACAGGCCCCGGTGTGTGATGTTCCCCTTCCCACGTCCATGTTGTTCTCATTGTTCAATTCCCACTATGAGTGAGAACATGCGGTGTTTGGTTTTTTTGTCCTTGCGACAGTTTGCTGAGAATGATGGTTTCCAGCTTCTAGATATTATTTTTTTAATGGCAAAAAGTAAACACAGTCAGCCTCCGTGGGGATGCAGAAACCACAGATTCAACCAACTGTGGATTGAAAAAGGCTGGGCATGGTGGCTCACACCTGTAATCCCAGCACTTTGAGAGGCTGAGGTGAGTGGATTACCTGAGGTCAGGAGTTCGAGACCAGCCTGACCAACATGGTGAAACCCCATCTCTACTAAAAACACAAAAATTAGCAGGGAGTGGTGGTGTGCACCTGTAGTCCCAGCTACTCGGGAGGCTGAGACAGGAGAATCACTTGAACCCAGGAGGCAGAGGTTGCAGTGAGCCGAGATCATGCCACTGCACTCCAGCCTGGGCAACAAAGCAAGACTCCATCTCAAAAAAAAAAAAAAAAAAAAAGAAAGAAAATGTTGAAAAAAATAAAAATAAACAACAACAACAAAAAACAATATAACAACTACATACATAGCATTTTCACTGTATTATGTATTATAAGTAATCTAAAGATGATTTAAAGTGTATGGGAAGATATGTGTAAGTTACATGCAAATACTATGCTATTTTATCTGAGGGACTTGAGCATCTATGGAGTTTGGTATTCATGGGTGTCCTGAAAACAATCTCCCACAAAATAGGAGGATACCAAGGGAAGACTGTAATGCCCTAACATGAGTTAAGAAAAATAATATATTAAAAGACATACAGGGAATTTTGCATATATTCTCATTAGACTATTAGAAATTCTTTTAGATCTAATAACACATTAAGGTAAAGATTAGTTTCATGCCACAAACTGACAGTCAAATTAACTATAGTAACTATATAAAGAGACTCTAAATTACAGGTAGAATCTATATCCAGCTAACCTAGCACAGTAGTTAAAAGCACTGACTCTAGGGCAAGATTGCCTAGGTGTAAATCCATTCTACCAGCAAGTCATTACATTTCTTTGTACCTCAGTTTCTTCATCTGTAAAACAGGGCTAATAATATTAACTACTTCACAGAGTTCTTGTGAGAATTTTTTTGAGACAGGGTCTTGCTCTGACACCCAGGCTGCAGTGCAGTGGCATGATCATAGCTCACTGCAACCTCAAACTCCTGGGCTCAAGTGATCCTCCTGCTGGCCTCAGCCTTCCGAATAGCTGGAACTACAGGTGTGGTGTGCACCACACCCAGTTACTTTTTTATTTTTTAGAGACGGGGTCTCACTATGTTGGCCAAGCTGGTCTTAAAGTCCTGGCTTCAAGCGATCCTCCTGACTCAGCATCCTGAGTTGCTGAGATTATAGGCACAAGCCACTGCACCTGGCTACCTGTGATAATTTAATAAGTTAATATAAAGAACACAGAATATAAGCCCTACCTAGGCATCTGTAAGGCTTATTTAGTAGGCTTTTCTGTTATTAATTCTGTATTCAGACCAAAATAAAATATCATTAGAAAGGAATTGGTACAGCCATTATGGAAAACAGTATGGAAATTCCTCAAAAAATTAAAAATGTAATTTTCATAAGTTCCAGCAATCCCATTCCTGAGTATATGTTCAAAGTAAATAAAATTAGGATCTCTAAGAGATATCTGCACTCCCATGTTCAATGCAGCATTATTCATAATAGCCAAGATATGGAGCCAACCTGAGTGCTTGTCCACAAATGAGTAAAGAAAATGTGATATATACAATAAAATATTATTCAGTCATAAAAAAGGAAATCCTGTCATTTGCAACAACATAGATGAACCTGGAAGACAGCTAAGTGAAATAAGCCAGAGACAGAGAGATAAATAATGTATGATCTCACTATATATGGAATCTAAAGTAGAACTCACAGAAGCAGAGAATATGAAAGGTGGTTGTTGGGGCAGGGGATGGAGAAAATGGGGAGATGCTGAAAAAAGAACACTAACTTTCAGTTCTAAGATGAGTACGTTCTGGGGATATAAGGTACAGTATGGTGACTATAGCTAATAATACTGTATTATGTACTTGAAATTTGCTGAGAGTACATCCTCTGTGTCTTTACCACTCCCACACAAAGGGTAATCGTTTGTGGTGATGGATGTGTCAATTTGATTTTGGTAATCATTATACAATGTACATGTATATCAAAGCATTGCATTGTACACCTTGAATATATACAATATTTATTTGTCAATTATACCTCAATAAAGCTGGGAAAAAATGATCAACAGATCAACAGATCAAGTTAAATTCTTGGTGGAGAATACAAAATATTTTGTACAACAGGTTGAAGAAATAAGATTTTTATCTATATTAAATCCTCAACATGTTTGTTGATTTGATGAAGTGAAAACAAAGCCAAAAAAAAAAGAGCAACAGAGAGAAAAGTCCTTAAAGATACTACCCAACTCAGTTTTTCTCCACATGAAAAGTGCAAACATTTTTAACCCGGTACCTAAAGTTAGTAAATTTAGCAGTTAAAAGAATAACCAGGGCCGGGCACAGTGGTTCACGCCTGTAATCCCAGCACTTTGGGAGGCCGAGGCAGGCGGATCACAAGGTTAAGAGATCTAGGCCAACATGGTGAAACCCCATCTCTGCTAACCTCTACTAAAACTACAAAAATTAGTTGGGCGTGGTTAGCACACGCCTGTAGACCCAGCTACTCAGGAGGCTGAGGCAGAAGAATTGCTTGAACCCGGGAGGCAGAGGTTGCAGTGAGCCAAGATCACACCACTGCACTCCAGCCTGGAGACAGGGCAAGACTACGTCTCAAAAAAAAAAAAAAAAAAAGAAAGAAAGAAAAGAATAAACAGAATATACACAATTTAACTTTTTTGAAATCTGTTTATATAAATAGTTTTTAAAATTGTTTGCCTTCACATATAGACTTTATGGAGAAAAAAAACCTGGACACTAATGGTTCTAGGACATACGGAAGGAAGCCAATGATGTGTGAGAAATTACCCTAGTGTTTTTATATATTTAATTCTTAAAACAACCTAAAAAGTAGATATCAAAATCCTCATTTTACAGACTAACAAACAGAGTCTCAGGAAGAAAATTTACCCCACATCATACAACTAGTGAACAACAAAACCGAGACCAAGTCCCTAAAACTCTAACATCTATGACTTTTCTACATACACAATGTTAGTCCCATTAATAAAGCTATCTTTTCAGATACAAGAGAGTAAATTGTCAGAAAGAACACTTGCTCTAAAGCAACAGCTCTCACCAAGGCAGTAATTTTGCCACCCCACTACCCATCCCCCAGAGATAAAAGGCAAGATCTGGAGGCAGTTTTGGTTGTCACCACCGGAAATGTACTACTGACACCTAGTGGATAAAACCCAGGGATGTGGCTAAACATCCTACAACGCACAGGACAGCCCCCATAAAAAAGAAATCATCTGCCTCAAAATGTCAATAATGCTTTGGTTAAGAAATGTTGCTCTAGAAAACTGTTTTTCAAATACTGTTAACCATGACCTTCAGTATGAAATATAGTGCAATCCAGATTCACACGCATCACAAACACTTCAAACAAATTTCAGGGAACAGTATTTCCCTCTCTTATCTGTGATGTACTCTAGTATTTACTTTTCGGTTTAAATTTTTAATGCTGTTTCGGACCCACAAAAGAGATTTATGACCTACTACTAATAGGTCACAGGACACATTTTGAAGAGCACTCTTCTACAGTAAAATATAAAGGTTCCTAGTGACCTATAAAGTTATATACTCTGATGCCTCACAAATTCAACAAAGAACTTATATATATAAAAGGACGCACATAATTAACAAATAGTAACATGATATCTTCCACATTTTAAAAGGATTTATAACTGACTTTCTTTTTTTTTTTTTTTTTTTTTTTTGAGACAGAGTCTCACTCTGTCGCCCAGGCTGGAGTGCAATCGCCAATTCCAGCAATTCTGCCTTAGCCTCCTGAGTAGCTGGGATTACAGGACCCCGCCACCATGCCCAGCTAATTTTTGTATTTTTAGTAGAGATGAGGTTTCACCATCTTGGCCAGGCTGGTCTTGAACTCCTGACCTCATGATCCACCTGCCTCGGCCTCCCAAAGTGCTGGGATACAGGCATGAGCCACTGCACCCAACCTATAACTGACTTTCTGTCTCAGACATTCTACAGTGATAAATCAAGTATTACAGCCTGGTTTCAAACTGATTCTCAAAAGTGGTATGTCACTTAAAGACGATACAGTACATTCAAAAATAGATAAGAAAACGGCATAACAAAAACACATATATTATTCCCCCAAATACATTTTTACTTTGTCTACTCACTCAGACAATGCTTTAATTTAATCAAGGGAGACTTATACTCAGTGAAGAAACCTTAGTAAGTAGCTGATCAAATTTACAGATGGAAAAAATGATGACCCACAGGTAAACTGTTTTGCATAAAATCATAGAGCTACCAATAAGTAGCAGAACTAGTAAGGTAATGCAAAACCCATGGGCTTCCGAAGGGGAAAAAAAATCCTAAGATTAAAATTCAGGCTCTACTAATTACTAATTGAATGAGTTGGGTAAGTTACTTAACCACTAAGACTGTTTCCTCAACTTTAAATGAAGGATAATATTTGGCTTAAGTAGTTCGTGAAGATTAAAAGAAACAATGTAGACATGTAGTAAGAACTCATTAAATTCCCTTTTCCTTCTTCCACAGGTCTCAATTCAATATTTTCTCCACTAAGCCAATCTTCTCAAATGCCAGTCAATAAATTGTTACAGGTATGCAGAAAAATGGCGGAGGGGGGAAGGAAAACTGACAATAAAGCTATACTCACTCATTTTTTAAAAAAGGATATATTCAAATTACTCTAAGCTTCTTCCCACTTAAGAGTTTTGGGTCATAAAATGTCCTATCTGTATAAATAAATGTATAAATAAATTCTTTCATAAAAGTAAACAGCACTTTTAATACCCTTACCTGAAAAATTTGGGCACACCTTAAGGCCTCCACCACTTGAGTTTTTAATAACTGGTTTATATATAAGCCTGGGAATCTCTGAACTAACCACATCCTGACAACCACAGCCTACTCTTCTCTCAGAAATCAATTCAAAGAGACCACTCCTGACACTTTAATGTGGAGCTGACCGTGTAACTCCCTTTGCTCCCACTATACCCTATTTGGATTTCCATCCTAGCATAGATGTTATTACATACTGGACTGTAAACTTTTTGAGACTAGAGACCACATGTCACATTGCCAACGTCTTTCTGTAGTACAAGCTACTACAGAGTAGACGGTAGAAACTCCAATGCTCACTGACAGAATTAATGGAGTTAACCTTGGAGAACTGGAGAAAAGACTGAGAAATTGAAGTAAAATGGAAAAAGGATGTCATTCAATATAAATATTTACTAACATCATCCCAGTCTGAAAGGTCAGTGAATTAGCAGGAGATTTCTTAGCAGATTGTTCCCAAAAAAGTAAGAAACTACTATGATTTAATATAAAGAAAATTAAACTAGGAATCCTAACAATGACTTGGGTTTCCATCTGAATCTACCACTAGCTGCTTATGTAACCTTGGCCTAGCTAATCTAGGCCTCTAAGTCCCCAGCTATAAAACAGAAATACCTTGTCTTTACATAACTCAAAGCACTGTTGTCTGGATAACAAAGGTGAAAAACCTTTCCATAAAACTTTTTACAGATGTAAAAAGAAATCCATGGGCAAAGTATTAAATCGGGTATTGTACAGCAATATTTAAAATGGTCTAAGACATACATCTGTCAGCTTTTGAAAATTTATTTTCTCATCCTATTCACCTTTATACCTAAAAAATAAGTAGACTAACATAACTTTGGAATACATTATACTAACTGGCTTAAGCATATAAGTGGTTTACTTGATGCTAGTAAATAAATGGATGCTTCTAAAATACATTCTACTTGAGAAGTTCAATATTGAAAATAGTAACTGACTTCTTGATAATAACTGGGCATTCAGAGCCCAAATTTGTACAGTGAAATAACTATTTTGTACCTTTTTAGTCTGAGCATAAAAACTAGTTCTCATTTTATATAGTTTTATTGTAAACTGTTTGGTTGGATATCCTTGGTCTATACAACCAAAGGATGGCAAAACGTGAGATGATAAATGGATAAAAACAAACAAGGTACTCTTCCTTTAATTCCTTTAAGATTACTGAACCATTACAAAATACTTATTTTCCACTCTAGCTCCCAAAGGACATCCTAAGAGAGATTTCCATTGGCTATCAGTATCAAGAAGAAATCCAGATGTAAAATTCCTATGCATTTTTTTTTCCCTAAATCGCCTCAGTTTCAGTTCAGAAAATTGGACTTTTAATCTTCGTGATAAACGTATACAACAATCTCATTAACTATATCTAATTAATTCAGAATTAGTAATAATTTTGACTTACACCATGTCAAATTGAAAATGCTTTATTAAACTAGTTATGCAAGTGGGAACATTACTGAAAAGACTCTTGGCTCAGATATCTTGTAAAAAAGCAACTGCATTTTCAAAATTTGTTCAAATACTCTCAACCACCAGGAAGAGACAGAAAAAGAGCGACTAACTTCTTGAAAATTTTAAAATAAGGCTGCTTAGCCTTAGTCTGCAAGTAAATTAAATTGTGATTCTTTATTTTGGGAGGTCACAATCATCTGGAAATCGATGAAAGCTACAAACACCCTAGGAAAATGGACACACGCACAAAATTTTCCATATAATTTCAGGTGATCCTAGGCTACCTCTCCACAGTCTAAAGTGGAGAGAAAACCTTGGATTCTGTTAGTCTTCACTTCCACTTTCGATTTTTGAGACCATTTTTTTTTTCTTTCCTGCTATTAAAGAATGGTGTCTGAATGAACGATATTCAAAAGCCAGAGAGGATAAAAACACTATAATACTGCTAAGTAAAAAATTCAGGGATATACCCTCTTGCTTAATGGCTTAACCATTCCTCATGCTTCTCCTAGATGAGTGGTTCTCACCCTCAGCTGCATACTGCACTCAAATGGAGAGCTTTAATCATTTATACCTGATGTCTGGGTGAAATCCTAATTTTAGTGACCTAGACATCAGGACTTCTAATAGTTTTTAGTTTAAGGCTAATAAGCAACCAAGGTTGCAAACCATTGTCCTAGACAGTCCTGGTGTTTCCAACTCATGTGAACTGGGTGTTTCTAAATTTTCAGAATGGAGGGAGGGAGAAGATGGAGTGCTAAGATTTGAAATTCAACGTCACTGCTTTAAATTGCTGGTCTTGAGTGTGGCCTAACAGTGAATACCCTGGGCATCCTCCAATCGCCTGGCTGAGCTATGAAACACCCCTCTTTTCTGTAGACAATGGTTCTGCATAATGCTATGCAATTTCTGAGAATTCCTAAAAGTTGATTTCTATGCTTAAACAGTAGTCATTTGAATGCTTTATTTAGTTGGATCATTTCCACAAGAAACGGGACTGCCTGAGGTTTGCAGATATCCATGACTTTCCCCAACATAAACTGACAAATACGTGGAATGTTAATATTGTTTTAAAATCACTAGCAAAGGGCCCTGAACCATCTCCACAAAAGTGCCTCTTCAGCTTATGCTGCACCAATTATGGGCCCAAAATGGTTCTCACAGTTAAACCAACTTTTCCTGAGGCCCCCTTTATTCGAGCTCATATAAAGAAATCCAAGAGAGAATTGCTGTCTTATAACAAAATCTACATCCAGTAAGTGTTCAGGGCAATAAAAGTTGCAAGGAAAACGATAACGACACATGAAGAGTGAAGGTTCTTCAGTTCTAAACTTGGCTTTTCTCCCAAATCAAACCAGTGAAGAAAGCCGGGGGTAAAAGGAACCGGGTAGCTGGGAGACGCTGCAGTTCCAGCCAGGAAGCCAGCGAGAGGTGCAGAGGATGGGTGGGTGTCTGCACGGAGAGCCCCGAACAGGCCCGGGGGAGTGACGGGGGACGGGAACAACTACTCGGTGCAGATGGGAGTCCACCGCAGGTGGCCGGCCGGGGCACCCAGGGCTTCGAGGAGGTAGGGCCGCTCTCCTTAGAGGCAGCAGCGGGAGTCCCAGCGCGGCGGTGGGGCCGGCCCGAGGGCGGCCAGTGACGCCGGTAGCGCCCCTCCTCAGCCGCCAGGCCCTCGGCAGGGGACGCCGCCCGCCCCGAGAGCACGTCCGAGGCGGCGGCCAGGCCGGCTCTGCGAAGGCCTCGCAGCGGGCGGGCAGGCTGCGGGAGCGGGCGGCGCTGACAGCTGCGCAGGCGGCTACTCGCGCGGCGACGGCACGGGGCTGCGGGCGCGGCGCAGGCCAGGCCGCCCCAAGAACCCAGCCCGCTCCCCATCGCCGCCCGCACCGCCCACAGCGGGAGGCTCAGCGCTCCGTTACCTTGTCGCAGTAGAGCCCCACCAGCTGCTTCATCCGCCAGTGTGGGGCGGTGAAGACGTCCACTTCTTCAGGAAAGGGCGCCATCGCCACTGCCTCAGCCTCCGCCTCAGCAGCCGCGGCCGCCGCCTCTCCATAGACACCCTCGCCGCGGGGCAGAGGCGGCGCGCCCCCTTGCGCATGCGCCCGCCCCGTCGGCGCGCGCGCCCGGTCGGCTTGGCCGGCGGGGACGCGGGGGCGCGCAGGCCGCCGCCATGCGATCCCTGCGGCCCACGTGACCGGGCGCGCGCAGAGGCTCGCGGCTTCTGCCTCCCGCCCCCACTCTTTTCGTTTTTTGTCGTCTTCATAAGCCGCAGAAGGAACCCAAACCTTTTCCCTGTTTCTTTCACTACATGAAAGCACAGTAGCTGAGGGTAGGGGAAAGTCGTTGCAGTGGCGCTCTCGGCGCTTCTCCCGTTGCTGCCCTGCCCACCACGGCCTTGAGGAGAGGCAGCCAAGCACAATGGCCGCGGTCAGGGCCGCGAGCTCTGCTTGTGCCCACGCCCCGACGCCTGCTTGGCCTGGGTGACCAATGCTTCTGGCCAGGACCTCCGGAGCTGCCCTTCGCCTCCCTGCGATTGGCCCGTGCCAGATTTTTCCTGGGGCCGAGCGCAGACCACCCCGGCCGCCACTCAAAGGCCGGGCCTGGCTCCCACCCAGCGGTTGGTGAACCAGAGCTGCGGGCTCTGAGAGCTTCGGTCCCGGGCGGCAGCCCACAGCGGGCGCGGGGCCTGGGTGCGAGGGGCGGGGCAGAGACCGCGAGAGAGAGTTCTCGTGAAATTCGGGAGACTCAACGTGGGGGAAAAACAGTATCTGGGGATCCAGGTGCGGAAATGCACCTCAAGTGCAGGAACGCGGGTCAGGGATAGGCCCGACGGGCCTTGGGGGTGGGGAGAAGGGTGAATAATGGAAGGTTGGTGCGGGAAAGAACCTTGGTACAAATCCCGCCATTTTAAGCGGAGGTTCGGAGAGAAAACAAGGTCACTAACCCAGGAAAATGTCTGCCTCTTTCCCATAAATCGCCTGGCCCTGGCCACAGACCTCCTGGAGACTCTGTTCTCTGCTCACGCCGGTCAGTCTTAGATTGGTTGGCTGGAGTACTGCTGGACAGATAGAGAAATAGGAGAAAACAGGGAAGCCTGAGAACCTTGGGAGGAATTGTTATTTGCTTAATGGCCAGAACCTCCAGGAGGGCAAGAACCAGATATGCTGTGTTCACCCTTGTTCTCTATTATCTATCACAGTTGCAAGACAACATGGGGATCAGTAAATAGTCAACAAATAATGGAGTAGAAGAAGGTGAGAAAGAACTTTGCAGTGGAATGCACCCTATTTAGTTCTAATCTTATATTACTATATGCTATTATAGACAGTGTGAACAGTGGTTAAACCACAGACTCTGGAAGTTAAGATTCCTGGTTTTGCCAGACACTAGCTATACAACCGTTAACAAGCTATATGACTTCTTTATGCCTCAGTTTGCTCTGACATGAAATGAAGCTAATAATACCTACCTCAGAATCTTTATGAGGATTTATATATTTGAAGCACTTATAACAGTACCGTCTGTAAGCTAGTAATACTTTTTTAAAGCAACTCTATGAGGTAGTGCTGCAGGAAATTAAGTCTTCAAGACATTCTAGTAGTTGCCTAGGGTCCCACAAATTAGTAAGTCAAAAATCTGTCATATAAATCTGGATCTGACAGTACCCCCAGAGTCATTGCATTAGTTGGGATACAGAGATGGCTTATTCACAGTCTGTCTTAAGAAGCAGGAATAAGGCTTAAGAAATAGAATAATAATAAAATATTTGATAAAGATTAATTTCTCTCTTCCTCCTTCTCCCTTTCACCCCGTTTCTCGTTCTTTTGCCAGGACTTTGCCTCTATATTTTTTAATAACCTCCAGAGAGCATTTTCTTATTTACCCTCTATTTCTTTACCTCATACTAATCTTTCACTCCAGCTATCTTGGAATGCAGAATCAGACCTCAGGTGAACCAGTTATATAGAGAAATGAGCTCCATGAGAACATGCACTTTGTTTTATCCTCAGCACTTAGAATGATGTCTGTCATAAAGTGAGTATTCAGTAAATATGTTGGAAAAAAGAATGAGGGTAGTTCATAGCACTGTGTAATTTCCTCATTTTTACTAATGTTTAATATGCTATGTTGTCTTGTCCAATCAACTGTTTGTGTCTGTGCTGTTCACTAGTGTATCCATCTGTAGAACCAGACACATTAAAAAGGTATTTGGCAACAACAACAAAAAAAGTCCATCCACACAGTTTCACTGTAACCCAGATTTGAAGCTCTATAATCAGCTGAAAAGTAGTAACAGCCACTTTGGACACTGGCCATTTCAAGGAATTTGTTTTAGATGACAAAATGAAAGAAAGTGATTTTAAAAATAATCCCTGTGAGTAATTTTTCCCATGGAAAGCTATTAACATTAGCTCCATATGCTGAATTATGTAGCAATTAATCACCTGATATATCCAAAATAAATGACTGACTTTACTGAACTTTAGCTCTAAAGAGGTCATTGATCAGTGTAGTATCATTACCATAGGTTACTGCAACTACAGCAGATTTGGGAGGGTTATTAAGACCAAGGTTGTCACTTTACCTCTCTGTGAGACCTTTTTGGATGTATGACAGCAGATAATTCCAACAGACCATCTAGCAATTGACCACCACAAGAAGTCTGAATAAGGCATGTGAACAGAGCAGTGAAAACCCACATTGTAGAATAACTGGTAGAATTGGTCGTTTCTCTTACCTACTCTCATTCTCTCTCTGGCAACCTAAAAATATAACTTATTCTGTTATCAATAGGCCTCTTCTATAGTAGTTTCCAAGCCTAATTTTGAGAACCCTGGAAAGGGTTATTGGCCAGGGAGGGTCAATTCTAAGGCATTTCACTCCGTTTGAGTATGTGACACAGCACTTTCCCTAATAGGGGATTAGTTGTGAAAACAAGCAATGAAAGAATGTTTACGTTTTGACCCAGTTGGAATCATAGTCCTCACTCAGTACCAGAGTTGATCCTTACTGTCCATCAAAATAGTCAATCAACAACTGCTGCAGCAGGCTGATTTAGGAATTGCTGTGGTTTGAATGTTTGTCCTTTCTAAAACTCATGCTGAAACTTAATCCCCAATAAGGCAGTATTAAGAAGTGGGGCCTTTAAGAGGTGATTGGGTCATGAAAGTTCTGCCCTCATGAATGGCTTAATTCATTCATGGATTAAAGGATTCATGGGTTATCATAGGAGTGGGACTGGTGGCTTTACAAGAGGAAGAAAGACCTGTGCCAGCATGCTGAGTCCCTCGCCATGTGATGTCCTGCACTGCCTTGGGACTCTGCAGAGTCGCCACCAGAAAAAAGGCCCTCATCAGATGCAGCCCCTTGACCATAGACTTCTCAGCCCCACACTGTAAGAAATAAATTCTTTTTCTTTATAAATTACCCAGTTTCAGGTATTCTGTTATAAGCAATAGAAAACAGACTAAGACAGGCACATACAGGATGATGTCTTAATCTACTTTCTCGATAGCCACAGAGGGCTTTCTGGTAGAAGTGGCCCTTAAGTTCAGCATTAAATATTAAGAAAAATTATCCATCTGGGACTCCAGAGACTTAATTTTTTCATATTCAGCGTTAAACTGGACACCCAATATGCAGCAGGAGCTTGAGATATAAAGTTGAATAAATCCTGATTACTGTTCTTGGAATTTCCCAGCTTTTAAACTCAGTTTCATACTATCCACCCCATCCTTAATCAGCTGCAGTGATCAATGTTTCTTCCTCATTAATTTCAGTCCCTCCTGTGCTTTAACTAAATAATATATTTAATGACAAAAAATCAGAAGAATGTCATAAATGGAAGGGTACCCAGTAAAATAATTAATTTCTTAGCAGTTTTAAGTACCTGACATTATGTAATAATGTTTATCTACATTCCCTGAACAAGTAGTAGGCATACATAGTAGGCATAAAATATTTCTTGCTGCATGAATGAGAATTTGAAAAGTTTTTACAAACCAAAATACTCCTGTTATTCAGTAATATACATATATGGTTTTTAAGAAAAACTAATCCAAACAAGCTATATTTAAAGTCCTAATTTCAACAATTGTTACCCTCCTTTAAAGGGTTCTCATTTTGACCTCATAAGCAAAAATTGATTCCTAAACTGGGTACTGGGTAAGATTCAGTTCTGGGAATCTCTTTACTCAGATTTCTAATTCCTTCTACCAGGAGAATGTGAGCTGCACCGCAAACTACGTTAACTGTCCAAATATAGAGTAGTCCCATTCCTTAGATCTCCTTTTGAAGAGAAGTTTAGATAATACTAAAATCATAGTCTCTTTCATTTTAAATCTGGAGATATAATGTGTATAGTGGTCCATAAAGTTTCCTTGCAAAATTTTCAGACAGAGAAGAGCCTTCCATTTCCCAAATATACCTTTATGTCACCTACCTTGCGTCATTTACCTCTTAGTAAATATTGCCAAGTGAACACCAAAATCTTGATTTTCAACCAGAGGCTCTATTATGGGCTGACTTGTAGGGAGAAAGAATGGTTCCATGTGTATGGCCTGAGGGAAAGGTGGCTACTCTCAGGGACAACTTGACTCAGCTGTTTGCACCATGTAGTGAGAAAGTATCACAAGTTTCTGGAATGGAAAGAAATGATAAGTTCCTGTAAAGTGTCAGAGTTACATTCATTGTAGTGATGAAATCTGGCAGGCAGTTGCTTAATCCCTGCCTACAGAGAGGGGAAAAAAAAGTATTAGGAAAGTATCAGTTCTGTTTCCTTCCTCCCTACCCCTGACATTTTTTTTTTTTTTTAAAGAGGGTTTCACTCTGTCACCCAGGCTGGAGTGCAGTGGCACAAACATAGCTTACTGCAGCCTCAAACTCCTAGGCTCAAATGATCCTCCTTTCTCAGCTGCAGAATAGCTAAGACTACAGGCCCGTGCCACCACACCAGGCTAATTTTTTATTTTTATTTTTTGTAGAGGTGCAGTCTCATGATGTTGCCTAGGCTGATCTTGAACTCCTAGCTTCAAGCAATCCTCCCACATGGCCTCCCAAAGCACTGGGATTACAGGCATGAGCCGCCGCACCCAGCCCCGACATTGTTTTAAAAACTCAAAACAGAGTACCAAAAAATCCCCAATTACACAAGACACCTCCTAAAAAATTTAAATGCTGAGAGCTACCTAGAAATAGAGATGTCATGTATACATCTTATTTGTGTTCACTGACCAATAGCCTGGCTAATACACGAAACATTGATTTGAATTCTAATCCCACTTCTCACTACCTACCTACCCACAAGATCTAGGGCAAATCACTTGGCCATTCTGGAGCCTTCATTTCCTCGACTGTAAAGACTTGGTCTGGGACACTTTTGAGTGATAAAAGGTGCTAGATTATTAATACATATTAATTAATCTACAACATGTGTAAAAAGGACTCTCCCAGGCTGACTTGTTAAGGGAAATCTGTCACCAGTCATCCAGATAAGTCAGTCTAGAGTTAGGTGGCCCAGCACGGTGGCTCACGCCTGTAATCCCAACACTGGGAGGCCGAGGTGGGCGGATCACTTCAGGTCAGGAGTTTGAAACCAACCTGGGCAACATGGCGAAACTCCATCTCTACTAAAAATACAAAAATTAGCCGGGCATGGTGGCACACGCCTGTAGTACCAGCTACTGGAAAGGCTGAGGCAGGAGAATCACTTAAACCTGAGAGAAGGAGGTTGCAGTGAGCCTAGTTTGAGCCACTGCACTCCAGCCTGGGTGACAGAGCAAGGCTCCATTTCAAAAAAAAAAAAAAGTTAGGTAACCTTTAACGAATCATTATTTTATTTGTGTAACCAATTTAACTGTGATTAGTTCCATTCACTTTCCCTAAAATGTCTCTACCAAGGTGATTCTTTGGACTACTATAGGTGTTTCCCCTGTGTGCAAGGTTGTAACAAAACTTTGGCATGTGCTTGTAATTGCACTGTTTTAAAAGTGTTCTTTTACAGTGAAGAGACAGTAAAGCAAAATGGGTTGGAGTGTGGAACCAGTATTCTCATCTGTAAAGGGATAGTGAGTCTCCAGAGTATCCTGAGAACTAAGTGTTTTATGGAATTTAGCAGAGCCTGGCATGGGAAGCACTAAATGTTAGCTATTTTACCTGTAAAATGAGCAGATTGGTCATGATGTTCTCTTTGGTCTCTGCCAATTTTCAGTGTTTGGGAACCTTAGGAATAGTATTTCAAAGCTGTTTCTTTAGGTTAATTCTACAAATTAACTGGAGAAGGGACTTGTCACATTTAGTTGTAAGTGACAGAAAATAGAAAATAACAGTGCCTTAAGCAAGATGGGGTCTTTTTTTTCTCTTTTTCTCATGTATTAGTTATCTGTTGTTGCTTAAGATTAACCCAAAACTTGAATGGCTTAAGCACCCTTTAAAACTTAAATGGCTTTATTATTTCAGTTTTTAAGGATCAGGAATTACAGAGTGGCTTATGGGGTGGTTCTAGATCAGGTTTTCTCATGTGGCTGCAGTCAGATTGGCAGCTAAAGCTGCGATCATCCGATGACATAACCTAGGACTGAAGGATCTGCTTTCAGGTTCTCTCAGGTGGCTGTTGAGAGGCCTCACATCCTCATAGGCTGTTAGAATAAGGACCTCAGGTCCTCACCACATGGTACTCTCTATGGAGTTACTTATAATATGGTAGCTTGCTTTCCTCAAGGTGAGGGCCAATAAAGAGAGAGAGCAAATGATTTCAAACCCAAAATAAGTCAGTCTTTTATAACATAATCTCAGAAGAGACATCCCATCACTCATGCCTATGCTACTGGTCATACAGAACAACCCCAGTACAGTGTGGGAGGGGATTGCTTACACAATGGTGTACCTAATAAACGAAGGGATTAATTGAGGGCCATCTTTGAAGCTGGCTAAACGTGGTCCAGAACTGGTTTGACAGCTCTACTTTATTTAGGGGCATAGGCTCCTTCCACGGCTCTACCAACTCTAGAGGGTAGTCTTCATATTTAAGTTCAAAGGTGGTGGCACTTGTGTGACCCAGGGCAAATCATCTATTCTGAGTTTCTAGGTCCTCACTTAATAAACTATGAAAAAGAGTAAAATATACTTCATAGTGTTGTTGTAAAGATTAACGGAATAAGTGTAATAGGCTTTCACAGTACCTGGCATATTAAGCATTCAATACTATCTTTTAATATTGCTATATACATTAAATAATGAGACTATCCCAAGAGATCATCAGATATGCATTGTTCCTTGAAAAGGTCAAGCTTAGAAATCACTGGTAATAAAAAAGCTCTACTTGGATAATTCAAGTGAGCCTCTCGTCACCATTCCCAGCCCAGAAATGGTGAAGGATAAAAATTGTTTTTTTCAATATCATTCTAGAGGTAGTTAAAATTGAATCAATCCATTCAATCCATTATCTTTATGTAATCTACTCCTAGGTAGCTGATACTATAGTAAGATGTAATTTTTTTTTGTCTTTGCAAAGGTGTTCTTGTTGCTGACAAGGAACAGCAGAATAGTGAACAAGTTTGTGGCTAAACATTATTCCCAGATTTTAAAAAATGTTCAGTGTGCACAATTGTTACTACCAGATCTTTGTCAGAATAATCTTTCTGTCACTGAATAACTGACCCATAAAACAATAGAGCATATTGACCTAGTGTGCAGGGTAAGCAATGAGTAAATAAGAAATGGTTGTAAAATATTTACCAAATGTAACTTTCTAATTTGGGTAGCTTTAAGATGGGTCAAAATAAAAGGAATGCTATTATTTGTGAAGAATTACAAGTTTACATATGTTTATTCTTGCCAGTCTTTTACTGAAAATTCCTAGAAATGATATCCTTTCCTTTATATATACCATAATATTTGTATGATATTCCTCTCCAAAGATAGGGGTAATATTATACATTGATAATAGTCATTCATTATTGAAAAACTAACAATACACTAAGTACTCCACTGCATGGGACATAGTAGCCATTCAATAAATGATAGGTATCTTTATTATTAGACACCTAACACTGTATGAAATAGGATACCATAATAGACTCTAGTCTCAGTATCTCTATTAAGATATTAGGGGCCAGAGGTTTCAAAATGGTTTGACCTGTTGTAGTGGTTCATTCAGCACACTGGAGTTGGACTGATTGTCTGGGTTCAAATCTCAGCTGGTCCACTTTCTTACTTACTACCAGCAGGGTAAAACAGAACCTCTTTTGCCTTCTGGGAATGAGGACTTTGCTACTACCGTTAAGCCACAAAACTGTTCACTATTCTGCTCACTCATCTGTGAAATGGAAATACTACTACCTATTCTAGTGGACTGTGGTGGAGATTAAATGAGATTATATAGTCAAAGAGCTCACAACAGTACCTGTCACATAATTTTTTTTTAAAGAAAAATCTGCTTATTTCTGTCACTACTCAACAAACACTAGGTGACTATCATTTGCCAGAAGCTACAGATTCAGTAAGTCCAAAAGTGAACTCACCATTTTCTGTCCTCTGAGTTTGCCAAGGTTTCTGTATTCTCATCTCATTTTCATCACTGTTCATTGACTTACCCTGGCTAATATAATGACAGCAAACAAACCTGAGTGCAAGTCACCAATCTAAAGACTTTTTGGTTTTAGAGTATTTATATTCACAGAATGACTGCATGAATTGTAGGCACTCTTATCCTGATTTTTCAGATGAAAAACTTAAAGAAGCTACATAATTTGCCCAAGACTACCCCATTAAGAAATAGCAGAGCCAAGATTCAAACTTAGGCAGTCTGGCTTCAGAGCTTCTATCTTTTTAGGTAACACACAATACTGCTTCTAGAGATTTTGGAGTTATCTTAAAAGCTTTCATTTTTCCATCACTCAGTATCTTAATAAGACACATAGTCCTCTCAAACATCTCTAATTCATCCCTTCTCTGCTTACACTAATACAGACCTAGTATGGGCCCTACTTACCTTCTCCTTGAACTACTGGTTTCCCTGCTTTCAGCTTCTCATTTCAATCCTTGCACCAAACCAGCTAGTCAGCAATGTTTCTAAAACAAAAAATCTAATGACTCTCCCTCAGTTAAATCATATTGGCACACTAATTCCTATTGAACAGGACCCAGGCACTCTTATGTGTCATCTGATGAGGTACCTAGTACAGTACCTCACTTATAAAGTTAAATATACTGTTTATTTTATTGACATAAACATATCTTTTTCCCCCACCAAAGTGGGCCCTCATCCTTTTTTTTTTTTTTTTTTTTTTTTGAGACGGAGTTTCACTCTTGTCACCCAGGCTGGAGTGCAATGGTACGATCTCAGCTCACTGCAACCTCTGCCTCCCGGGTTCAAGCAATTCTCCTGCCTTAGCCTCCCAAGTAGCTGGGATTACAGGCGCCTGATACCACGCCCGGCTAACTTTTGTATTTTTTAGTAGAGGCGAGGTTTCACCATGTTGGCCAGGCTAGTCTCAAACTCCTGACCTCAGGTGATCTGCCCACCTTGGCCTCCCAAAGTGCTGGGATTACAGGCATGAGCCACCACTCCTGTCCTGCTCATCTTTATATAACCCTTATTTCTGCAGTCCCCAACAGCCTACAGGTACAAATGTCACAATATCATTAATATGTGAATCTTAATGATTCATTAAGTTTAAGGTTGAAGTTTAGAACCTAAACTTCAGCAAAATCTCCCCACCCTTAATGCAAAGGGCTTCTGAATTATCAGGAATGTTTTTCATGTGCTCAGTCATAAATTCACTCCCACTACAGCTACATTGCTACCCCAGATGAAAACTGAGCCACGTGTCTCTCCCATTCTTCCTCGAAACCTCTATTTTCAGGTAGCCATTATGAGCTTAGCTGCCAATGTAGGAAAGAATGCCTTTCTTATTTGTGACATATTGTTAAAAGGGTTCCAGTGGCGGGTTGTTTCAACTCATGTGTTTACGTGAAGTAGCCGTCAACCATATTTACTTAGAGCCCCCTACCTCCCTGGGCATCAGATGCGGTGTCAGGCATCTTAGCCAAGGCAAACTTGAGGTACAGCCATACCCCTATAATCAGAATCCCTCCTTCTCTCCAACAACGGCTTATTATTAGTACAGCTCATTTCTTCTATCCTTAGGATGGTCTACCTTGCAGGAATTACCCCAACCAATTCAGTAAAACTTAATTTGGGACTACCTTACAAATTTGCGAGATGTATCTAAAATTACTTGAATGCTAAACACCCACAGCTAATATTCAAATATAACCCAAGTTTATATTTGTTTCACTCTTTCCCACTCTTCTTCCCAACTCCACTGCCTAGCCTAGAGCATTGTGCATACTAGAGCCCCGACATGTTTTTAAATATGTAATAAAAAATAAAATTCTATGCTAGTTGAGCAGAAATAACGTTTATCTGAGAAAAGAAACACAAACTTAGGATGAGAATATCTGGCCCCCAGTCCAAAATTCTTAAATTTAAGGGAAAAAAAGAACCCAGTAAAATACATGGCTCTCAACTGAGACAGATTTGGCTGTTGGTAGGAATCCGATGATTAGTGTACCTGCACCTGTTCTGACACCCTCCAAAGGAATCTGGATCACAAGTGAACTGTCCAAGACCATAAGCCACACCCTTGAGCTAATGCAAGAGGAAGCTGAATCACTTCCTTGAGGCCAAATGCATACAAACAGAATTGCCTCAATTTCCTACTGACAACCTTTTTTTAAAAAAAAAAAAATGACCATTTCCTCATCTTGTTCTTGTAATACAAACCTTTTAGGGTGACTTGGCTTTTCAGTTTAAAAATATGAATTTTGGGACTGGGCACGGTGGTTCACACCTGTACTCCAAGCACCTTGGGAGGCCAAGGCAGTAGGATCACTTGAGCCCAGGAGTTCAAAACCAGCCTAGGCAACATAAGTAGACTCCACCACCACAAAAAGTTAAAAAATTAGCCAGGTATGGTGGTGCATGCCTGTAGTCCCAGCTACTCAGGAGGCTGAGGTGGGAAGATTGCTTGAGCCCAGGATGGTCCAGCCTGCAATGAGCCATGATGGCGCCACTGCACTCCAGCCAGGGAGACAGAGCAAGACCCTGCCTAAAAAAATAAAATAAAGACACATACCACATGATCTCACATTTGTGGAATCTAAAATAAAGTTAAACTCATATAAGTAAAGAGAGGATGATGGTTACCAGAGGCTGTGGGGGTGGGAATGAGTTGTTGATCAAAGCATGCAAAGTGTCAGGTAGACAGGAGGAATAGGTTTTGAGATCTATTGGACAGCAGGGTGATTACAGTCAATAATAATAAATATTTCAAAATAACTAAGAGAAGCCTGGGAAACATAGTGAGACCTTGTCTCTACTAAACATCAAAAAAATTAGCCAGGTGTGGTGGTGTGTGCCTGTGATTCCATCTACTCGGGAGGCTGAGGCTTGAGCCTGGGAGGTCAAGGTGACAGTGAGCTGTGATCCCAACAATGCACTCCAGCCTGGGTGACAGAGCTGCTACCTGTCTCAACAAACAAAACTAAACTAAACTAAGAGTAAATTTCAAATGTCCCACCATTAAAAAAAAAAAGACAGGCAAATGGAGTGCTAAATGTGTTAATTAGCTTGATGTAATCATTCCACATTGTAGACATATATCAAAACATCACATTGTATCTCATAAATGTATACAATTATAAATTATCAATCAAAATAATCGTAATTTTAAAATTACTGGATGTTGCATAGTTTCTAGTTTAATGTAAACATTATAAACCATATTTGTACCCATTACAAATTGCAGCTATTAAATAATCTTGAAAATCACATCCCACCTTTAATGATTTGAATCATGGGACAGTGCAAAGGGCACCTGAATACACGTCGTAGTACTTAGGTTCTTGGCTCTTTCACTAAACAGCCACATGATCACGGGCAACCTCTTTAACCTTGATGGCAGTCCATGAGAAAACATGTACAAGTACCTAGTCCAATGCTTGGCATATGATATAGGCACTCAACATTTGTTAAAATTGAAGTTTTAACTCATATTAAACAATTTCTATTTTTTAGGAGTTACATACCAAGTTGCAGTACCCTCTTATTTGACATGTAGATCTGGAAATATTCATTTCATCCAAATGAGACTAAGCAAAATCATATATTATCTCAAAACACTGAATCAAATGGAATAGTATTCCATTTGAATACTATTAAAAATAGTATTAAAAAATAGCTCTTTTTAACCCACAGATCACAGGCAAACTATAGATTGAAACAGGAGATCTTTTTAATAGAAAAATGCCACAGCAATTTAATCAAAGTCTGAACAAGGACTTTGCCTGCTGCCACAAATACCATGACAAACTGTGGCATTATGAGAAGCAATTAATGATGAAGATATGATAAATAAAACATGAGTTGGCCAGAATATTTTTACTGATGTCTTCTCATTTGACTTCCTGGTATAAGATGGTCAATTTATCACGCCTGTAATCCCAGCACTTTGGGATGCCAATGTGGGCGGATCACCTGAGGTCAGGAGTTCGAGACTAGCCTGACCAACGTGGAGAAACCCCGTCTCTAATAAAAATACAAAATTAGCCAGGCGTGGTGGCGGGTGCCTGTAATCCCAGCTACTCGGGAGGTTGTGGGAGGAGAATCGCTTGAACTCGGGAGGTGGAGGTTGCGGTGAGCCAAGATTGCGCCATTGCACTCCAGCCTGGGCAACAAGAGCAAAACTCTATCTCTAAAAAAAAAAAAAAACAGATGGTCAATTTAACTATCAACTTAATCGAAAAGCCAATGATTGTAACAATTAAAATTTTGGTTAATAAAATTCAATTATTTGTGACTTAATGTGTGAAGGATTTCATCTGCTACTGACAGAAGTATAAAGACAAAAAAAGTATCAGTTGTAAATGGTCAGTTCATTTGTCAAAACACATTATCTAGTATGGTATTTTCAAATTTATAACTTGTAACATTTTAATCAAACTACAAATTACACTTGAACCACATTTTCAAAAATAAAAATAATCAAGAATGATGAAGTAAAAACTGCTCAAGTTCAACTGCTGGATCTGGGATGTAAAATAAGTGACAAAACAGAGAAAAGTGTTGAGTTTTTAAACAGCAGATTTTGACTTTATTCAAATCACATTCTTTTATTTTTTTTTGTACTTGGTTTTTGTATTGTTCTTTGTACTTGGTTTTTGTATTGTTCTTTGTTTATTTCAAACCAACAGCCAACATCGTACAAGTCACATTCTAAAAAGAAAAAAGGAAGTATAAAAGATTATAATGAAGATAATTTAATATGTGCATTTATCAAATGTGTCAATGGTATTCTTGAAATAAAGGCTTAAAATCTTCAAAATTAAAAAAGCTATTTGGATATAAGATGCTGAACTCACTGACAAAGGAAAAAAATACATTCAAGTTCCCAGACTAATTTCTTAGTTATTGCACTATTGTTAGTGATAAAGCCTTATTATCATCATTAAAGCATATTGTGAGACAGAAAACAACTCACATATTTTCTTCTAACATGTCTGGATATGGTATGTATAACTTTAAATCTCAGCTAATTAATTAAAAACTATCCAGAGTGACAACACAGTAGCTCATTTACTTTTTACCACTGCAGAACATTTGGAAGCAATAGTTACTATAAGTCTGTACAGACTTCATAATCCACCTTGTTGAAAATAAGCTGCATAACACTTGTAGAGAAATGTAGGAAGATCGGTTAGTACAGGATACACCATGTTGTTTAAATATAACCTCAGACACAACTGAATTAGATATATAGTTGAGTATTTGTTACTTGACAACAGGGATACATTTTGAGAAATCTGTCACTAGGCCATTGTCACTGCCCAAACATCTGAGCATACTTACACAAACCCAGATACAAACTACATACTTTGGCTATATATACAGCCTCTTGCTCCTAGGCTACAAACCAGTACAGCATGTTACTTTACTGTAGGCAATTGTAACACAAAGGTTAAGTATTTCTGTATCTAAATGTATCCAAAACTAGGAAAGGTAGAGTAAAAATACAGTATTACTTCATGGAACCACCATCATATATGTAGTGTTTTGTTAACAGAATGTCATTATATATCAAACAACAGAAATGTATTTTCAGGAATAGAATATCTATTGCTAGATAATATAATTTTTTTAAACGTTGTGCTACTGCATTCCAGCCTTGGCAACAGAGACCTTGTCTCAAAAAAAAATGCTTTATGATAAAAAATTTCAAACAAACATAAAAGTAGAAAGAATGATAATAAATACTCCCCTTTTACCCAATACTTGGCTTCAATGATCATCAACCCACAGAAAATGTAACAAAACTCTGGCATCCAAAGACAGTCTGCTGATTTCACACTATGAAAAGTTATTTTTATTAAATACTCAATACTAGTTGGTCAGTACTTTTTTTCTTATTGAAAAGCAATTACTATTTGGCAAACATTTCCAAAGACAATATCTAAGTAATAATACCACATATTTTACTGATATTTTCAGCATTTTTTATGAACTATATTTATAATTACAGGGATTTCAACATTCCAACTTATCCAAGGGTTCCAAAAGACATTATTGTTAAAGGGGCGGTAATCACCCTAGGTACTATATGCTCCTGAAATTTTGCAACATATGGAAAAGGACATTATTATAGAAATTTTGAAAGAAATAAAATTAGAGCTACTGTATTGTTATATCTCACTTCCTGACTCAAGCTTTTAACAAGCTTTATGGAGGTGTACCTTGAAATGAATTGCATGTGTGTATCAACAGTTCATTCTTTTTCACTGCTAAGTAGTATTCTCATATGTGTTCCATTGTATTCCAGTTTATTCACCTGATAGGCACTTTGGTTGTTTCTAAATTTTGGTCATTACAAATAGAGCTACAATGGACATTTGTCTTTGCATGAACAAATATTTCATTTTCTCTTGGGTAAATACCTAGGAGTAGAAAGGCTAGATCATACGTATGATAGATACGTTTAACTTTACAGGAAACAGTCAAAATATTTTCCAGTGGTTGCTCCGTTTTGCATTCTTCATCCTTGGCAGTATTCTTTGCTCTAGAATCTGCTTTGTCTAATAATACAGAGATTCCAGCTTTAATTGGTGTTACCATCATATCTTTTTTCATCCTTTTAACCTATTTGGGTTTTTTACATTTAAAGTGTGTGCCTTATAAGAGGCATAAAATTGGATCTTGTTTTATCCAATTCAACAACCTTTAGCTTTTAACTGGGATGCATATATAGCCAGTGGTTCTCAACTGAAGGCAGTTTTATGTCCCCTGCCCCTGGGCCCCTCCCCCCACAAAAGAAACACTGGGCAATGTCAGGAGTTATTTTTGGTTTTCTTTTATAACCCTTGAAAAAAGGAAAAAAAAAAACATTCTTAGCCTGCAGGCAGTAAAATAGCAGCTTGCAGACCATGGGTTTCTGGTCCCTAGTGTATTTCTACCTGCCTGACTTAACTTCCTTTAACATTTCTGGTACAACGGATCTACTGATGAATCCTTTCAGTTGTTGTCTGAAAAAGTATGCTGCTTTTGTATTTCAAAGACATTTTCTCTGTGCGTAGACTTTTTTTTTTTTTTTTTTTTTTTTTTTGAGATCGAGTCTCACTCTGTTGCCCAGGCTGGAATGCAGTGGCGTGATCTCGGCTCACTATAACCTCCGCCTCCTGGGTTCAAGTGATTCTCCTGCCTCAGCCTCCTGAGTAGCTGGGATTACAGGTGCCCGCCACCACACCCAGCTAATTTTTGTATTTTTAGTAGAGATGGGGTTTCTCCATGTTGGCCAGGCTGGTCTCGAACTCCTGACCTCAAGTGATTTGCCAGCTTCAGCCTTCCAAAATTCTGGGATTACAGGCGTGAGTCACTGCACCTGGCCTGGGCATGTAATTTTAGGTTGACAGGGTTTTTCTCTGTTTGGTACTTGAAATATGTTGCTCTACTGGCTTCTCAAATTGTTCCCTATAAGAAATGTAACTTCTTACCTTTGTAACTATTTCCAAGTCACTTGAAAACAGTACCTTTTTGCCCCTAGTCCATTTAAGATTTTATCTTTATCACTGGTATTAAACAATTTGATTATGGTGTACTCTGGTTTGGGTTTTTGTTTAAGAGACAGGGTCTCTCCACATTGCCCAGGCTGGTCTCAAACACCTGGCCTCAAAGCAATCCTCCTGCCTCAGCCTCTCAAAGTGTTGGAATTACAGGCGTGAGCCACCACGCCTGGGTGGTGTGGTTTTTTTATGCTTCTTGTGCTTGGAGTTCATATCTTCTTGAATCTGTGGGTTTATGGTTTCCATCAAATTTTTAAGCTATCATTTCTTCAAATACTTTGTATGCTCCCTTCCCCTACTCCCATTACACACTAGGGTGCTTAAACTTATGCACAGCTCACTGATAGACTATTTTTTTGGTGTGACTTTGATTAGTTTCTATTGCTATGTCTTCTTCAAACTCATGAATCTTTTCTTCCACAATGTCCAATCTGCCATTAAACCCATACAGTAGGTTTTACATTTCACACACTGCAGTTTTCATCTCTAGAAGTTGGATTGACATCTATCTTCCATGTCTCTACTTTTTGAACATATGGAATACTGTCTGAATTCTAACATGTCACTTTTTATCTCATTATGGGTCCTATTTTCCTGCTTTTCTGCATCCTTGCTAGTTTGGAGATTACATTGTGGATTTTACCTTTCTAGGTGCTGGATGTTTTTGTATCCCTATAAATCTTCTTGAGCTTTGTTCTAGAATTCAGTTAAGCTACTTAGAAATAGTTTGATGCTTTCAGGCCTTGCTTTAAACACTTGTTAGGCAAGACAGGGACAGTGTTCAGTCTAGGGCTAATGGTTTCCCACAGCTGAGGCAAGGCCCATTCTATGCACTCTACCCAATGCTCCGTGAATGAGGCTTTCCAGTCTGTCTTGTGGAAACAGCCAATATTCCCAGCCGTCTCTGAGCACGACACAATTACAGTCATGTGTTGCTTAATGACAGAGATATGTTCTGAGGAATGCACCTTTAGGTAATTTCATCATTATGTGACCATCATAGAGTACTTACACAAACCTAGATGGCACAGCCTCCTACACACCTAGGCTATATGGCACTGCCTATAGTTTTTAGGCTACAAACCTGTACAGCATTCAGTTACTGTACTGAATTTGTCACACAATGGTATTTTTGTATCTAAACATAGAAAAGTTATAGTAAAAATACAGTATGAAAGATAAAATGGTATACCTGTAAAGGGCACTTACCATGAATGGAGCTTGTAGGACTAGAAGTTGTTCTGGGTAAGTCAGTGAGTGGTGAGTGAAAGTGAAGGCCTAGGACATTATTATAACACTACTGTAGACTTTATAAACACTGCACACTTAGGCTTAAATACATTAAATTTATTTTTAAAATGTTTTTCTTCAACAGTAAATTTTTATTTTATAAACTTAAAAATTTTTTTAAATTAACTTTTTGACTCTCTTGTAATAACATTTAGCTTAAAATACATGTTGTACAGCTGTACAAAAATATTTTTTATATCCTTATTTTATAAACTTTATTTAAAAAATTTATTTTTACGAGACACAAATTAGCCTAGACTTACACAGGGTCACAATCAACAGTATCACTGTCTTCCACTTCCAGATTTTGTCACCCTGGAAGGTCTTCAAGGGCAATAACATGCACAAAGCTGTCATCTATGATAACAATGCCTTCGTCTGTAATACTTTGAAGGATCTGTCTGAAGTTGTTTTACGGTTAACTTTTGAAAATATACATAGGTAGAAAAAGTATACTCTAAAATAACAATAGGGCAGGTGCAATGGCTCACACCTGTAATAAGCACTTTGGGAGGCCGAGGTAGCTGGATCGCTTGAGCCCACAAGTTTGAAACCAGCCTGGACAACATGGCAAAATCCTGTCTCTACAAAAAATACAAAAAATTAGCCGGGTGTGTTGACCCGTGCCTGTAGTCCCAGCTACTTGGGAGGCTGAGGTGGGAGGATCACCAGAGCCCAGAAGGTCGAGGCTGCAGTGAGCCAAGATTGCACTACTCTACTCCACCCTGGGCAACAGAGTGAGACCTCATCTCAAAAAAAATAAAGATAAAATAAGGATAAATGTATCAGCAAGACAGTAGACCAGCATCACCACAGACACATAAGACATCATCATTGAGATCTATGACATCACTAGGTGGTAGGAATTTTCCAGCTCCATTATAATCTTATGAAGTCTATCATTGAACAAAATGTCTTTATGTGATCCAAGACTGTACTGTAATATTTTTGGATGATCCTTTCCTTGGCCTCAGGTCATTTCCTCACATGCATACAGTGATCAATACTTACCTGAAGAATCAGGAGAGATTCATTCCAGATCACTAGAATTCTCTCTCTATGCAGCTCTCTCCCTTCTAGCAAACTCTGGCTGCACTGGTTTCACCAGGCTCCAGGCTCTATCAACAGAGGGATTCCACTAGGCTGCATATGTTCCCCTCTCCCTGTACTATGGCTTAGAAATTCTCCCAAGGCAATAAACTGAGGCAATCATAGGACTCACTTTGTTTCCTATTGATCAAGGTTCACTGTCCTTCATTGCCTGATATCCAATATCTTGGAAAACATTGTTTTATATATTTTGTCCATTTTTTATTGTTTCTGGCCTGTATCAAACTTTTAACCATTACATGCCAGAACAAAAATTGATACATTCAAGGAAAAAACTGGATAGATTTGTTTTCCAACACTCTGAATCAAAAACTGAGTTATGCTTGGTGCCTGCAGAATAGGAAATATTGTAGCTTACTTCTCTGGAAATACTAAAGAATGATTATGAAATATCAAATGCATCGTGTTTTTTTTTTTTTTTTAATTCTCTAGCCCTATGTCATAATGATGTATCATTCTTTTGGAGGAAATAGGATTGTTCATTGCTAAGTGGCATGAATGTAGTACCGCTATTGGTACTTTTAATTCTTAACCCATAAAAACAAAGAAACAGAGTTAACACTGTACTGGGTATGTGAGAACTGCACTTGAGATCCCAAACTGAAATCAACTTATGAATACATAGCACACTCATCACTTTAAATAAAATGTCCCCCAATTTTTATTATATTGTATTTATTTGGGATTATTTCTCCATTTTACGTTTATATATTAGTGAAATTATATGTAATCATAACTTTTTTCCTTACAAAATTATTACTCATGAAACTTTCATTTTAATCATAAAACCTTCTTTTCTCCTTATCAACTCATTTCTATCATCTTAGAAGATTATCAACGTTATGGGATTTTTGGGTTTTTTTTTTTTTGAGACAGAGTCTCACTCTGTCGCCCAGGCTGGAGTGCAGTGACGCGATCTTGGCTCACTGCAAGCTCCGCCTCCCACGTTCACACTATTCTCCTGCCTCAGCCTCCCTAGTAGCTGGGACTACAGGCGCATGCCACCATGCCTGGCTAATTTTTTGTGTTTTTAGTAGAGACGGGGTTTCACCGTGTTAGCCAGGATGGTCTCGATCTCCTGACCTTGTGATCCGTCTGCCTCGGCCTCCCAAAGTGCTGGGATTACAGGCACGAGCCACCGCACCCAGTCGGTTATGGTTTTTAATGATAAATTAATTTGTCATATACCTACAATCATTGTTTGCACAAATTCCCATCAGTTCACTAGGAATCACGAAAAAAAAAGCAGTGGGCCTGCCACTACAAAACACTTTATGCATCAAAACAGATGAAGCAACTGTAAGGTATTTCTGTGATGTGTAACCAGGCTTGTAGAAGACTTTTCCACATCATTGATTTTTTATGTTAAGTCACATAATTTATAGAGGAAAGCTACCTCCCTCTAGTTTTCACTTCCTATATTTTGTTCCATAATTCATTTTCTTCAAATTAAGATTAATTTATACTTAACATTTATAAGACAAGTAGAAATTAATATGGGAAGCAAAATACTAGTATATAAAAATGAGGTGAATAAGTACCACAAATAAAAATTATTTAGGACTAAATGACCAACTACTACTATAGTATATAAAGATTTTCTTGCATTGTTCCTATCCTGGATTTACCAGCCTTCAGGCTTAGATCCTATCTAACCCCTCTAACTATTACTTTCAAATTCAAGTCTTAGCTACCACACAGGCAGTGCAAAAACAGAACCACTCAAGGAGTTGAACCTTCACTATGTCTTAACTTCTCGGTCACAAAACTCCTATTTTTTTTTTTTTTTTTTTTTTTTTTGAGGCAGAGTTTTGCTCTTGCTGCCCAAGTTGCAGTGCAATGGCGCCATCTCAGCTCACTGCAACCTCTGCCTCCCAGGTTCGAGCAATTCTCCTGCCTCAGCCTCCCAAGTAGCTGGTATTACTGGCACCTGACACCACACCCCATTAATTTTTTGTATTTTTAGTAGAAATGGGGTTTCACCATGTTAACCAAGCTGGTCTCGAACTCCTGACCTCAGATGATCCGCCTGCCTCGGCCTCCCAAAGTGCTGGGATTACAGGCATGAGCCACCGCGCCCAGCCAAAACTCCTGTTCTAGTTGAATACGCAGAAATGCTATTCTGACTACCTCAAACAGAATTCTTTCTGATCCACAGATATCAAAGATTTATGAGACAAAATTTTAAAAGGAGTGAGAGGTGAAAAAGAGCTCTACTTTTACTATTAAATTAGCTGTCTGACCTTTGGCAAATACTTAACTTTCTGGATCTTAGCTTCTCCATCTAAAACCAGAAAGGAGGTTAGAGGAGATATGACTACAGAGCAACCCAGCTTATGGAAATTATATATTATTGCTCTATAATCCTTAATCCATATATATTAGGACACTGTTTCAAAAATATTATTGAAGCCTTTCACCTCCTGATATGATGCAATAGGATGTTTATAAACTACCGCATAAAAAGCATAAGAAGTAGTCAAACCTGAACCTAATCAAGCATCTAAATTTTACCATTAGTTTACAGAAAATAAACATGATAGAATAGGTTGAAAGATTGTATGAGGATGGAAACAGCCAAATCCTGAATATGGGAAATTCAATCAGACAAATGACCTAATCTCTACAACAAATAAATGTCAACAACAAAAAAAAGGGAGACTCTGTTATATATTAAGAGAGACAAAGATATATCAATAAAATGAAATATGTGGACATAGTTTAGCTTCTAATTCAAAGAAACAAGTGTAAAAAACATTTTTTGGCAATAATTATAAAAATCTTAACACTCAATATTAGATATTAGATAAAAATGTTACAGGGTCATACATTTCCTTCACAATAATTCTGGCTGAGAGAAGGGTAGAGTGTGTGTATATGTGAATGAGTATTACGGGGGGGAGGGGGAGGACTTGATAATGGTTGAAACTAGGTGTTGGGTTGTTGGGTTCATTATACAATTCTTTACTTTTGTGTATATTTGAACACTTTCAGAATAAATAATTTTAAAGTATGATTTTCAGTTCTGTTAAGTACATGTTACCTAATATATCACTAGTCCATGTTAAAGAAATGAAATTCTCAAAGCTAAGAACAAAATCTTAAGAAAACAAAAAGACAAAAAAAGTAGTCACGAATGGCCCAATACAATTATCTAACAAATGATATGTTCTATATTTATTAAGAAAATAAACCACTGAAAGCATACATGCACTACAACTCCGTTTATATTAAGGTCAAAAAGAGGTTTATTTCGGATATACCGCTAGATAGCGTTAAAACTATAATAAACTCTGAAGACAAGCAAGGTAACAGATAACACAAAATTCAAGATAATGGTTTCCTCTGGGAAGCAGAGGAAATATATTCACAAAGGAACACAAGAGGCTTAAAAGATACCTTTATGTTATGTTTCTTAATTTGGATGCTGGGTATATATGTTCGTCTTATTACTCTTCTGTGGTATAATAAAAAATATATTTATTCTTTGTCCTTGGTTCCTGGAAGAAAGCTCCTAAAACCCTTGGAATTTCCTAATAGGAGGTGTCTTTTATACTTCATAATATATCCCTTTCAATTATGCCTGAGTTTATGTTAATGAGGTGACTCATAGGGGTTGGGAGATAGAGAGGGACCCTAGGTACCTTCAGGATGGAGGCTGGTTACCAGAAAAACCAACTAGGTGTTTACAGGATTAAAACTTTTAGCCCATCTCACTATCTCTGACAAGGGGAGAAGAACTGGAGACTGAGTTCAAATAAGTGACTAGTGATTAATGATTAATGAGTCATGTCTGATCATTGGAAGCTCAAGGGGCTTCCAAACACATTAATGTGCTGGGAGGGTGGCACAGAGAGGGCATGAAAGTTTTGCACCCTCTGTCCTCCATACCTTCCCCTATGTGTCTCTTCCATTTGGCTGTTCCCAAGTTGTATCCTTTACACAAAAATTGTAGTAGTAAATATAGTGCTTTCCTAAGTTCTGTGAGTCATTCTAGCAAATTATCAAACTTGGGGAGTAGGTCATGGGAATGCCCAAATATGGAGTCAGCCTGGAAGAAGTCCAAGTAGGTTGGGAATACCTGAGACTTGTGGCTGGCATCTGAAATGGAGGCAGTCCTGTGGGACTGAGCGCTTAACCTGTGTGGCAACTGTGCTAACTTCAGGCAATTAGTAACGAAATTGAATTGCATTGTAGGACATTCAGCTGGTGTCAGGGAATTGCTATTGGAATGATGTATCATTAAATGGGCGGGTGGGTGTGTTTCATACATACTTTCTTTTCTCATAAATTATATATTTAATAGGAATAATTCAACTACTGTGAATTTAAAAATCAAACAAAAAACTATGAAGTTGCACATACTTTTAACTTATGGGACAAGTCATTATTCATAGGTGTTAAGTCTCAAAACAGGCAGGATTGCCTGGATTTTCTCATTTGCAATTTTATCTTTCAATCTAACAAGAATGGCTTCATTAATTTTTTACACAAAACATTATTAATCTAGGCATTTTCTGGCTTATTTCCCAATAACTTACTCAGAATTTGGCACATCAAAAACTTCATTGCTGTTTACCTCAGTATTGAAACAAAAACAAATGAAAACTTATTCCCAAGTGGCATTGTAACGACCACTTGATTTTCCCCAAGTGAAGGCTTTAATAACTCAAAGGGGTTACAATTCATGCAAACGAAGAAAAGCTACAATGCTACTTTCATGCATAGGTATACTAAATATACATTTACATAGTCTCAAAATAGTCCTTGTCTGAAATATTTGCTAAATAACAAGAATGCAACAACTTTTTGACCAAAATGATCTTCTGCATTCCTTCCTAGGTAGAGCATTAATTTAAGTATATTTACCTAAAATTGGTTTCTTATAATTTTAAATGTAAGCTATTATTACTTAACAAATCAGCTTTTAATTATAAGCTTATTATTTTAGCCTACAGAAAAATATTTATAAGGTCATTTTGTTTGAAATGTCACTGTCTTCATTTTTCTCATTATCTTCCTTCTGTTTGGTGAAATGATGTAATAAACTGCTGCAAATTCTGTTTCTCACTCTACTGTTGGTTCATATTTGCAGATCATCATAGCTTAATTGATATAATGAACAAATGCCTCTTAAAAAACTTTTACTGGTCAGCAGAAATAAAAAACAAACCCTTCACAAACTACATTGATAATAGTCTCTGTCCCTAGCACTATCATAATTCTCAAAAATCTCAACAATTTTTCACCAAACTAAAATCTCTATTTTTTTTTTTTTTTTTTTTGAGACGGAGTCTCACTCTCACCAGGCTGGAGTGCAGCGGCGTGATCTCGGCTCACTGCAACCTCCGCCTCCTGGGTTCAAGCGATTCTCCTGCCTCAGCCTCCTGAGTAGCTGGGATTATAGGCACGTGCCACCACACCCAGCTAATTTTTGTATTTTTAGTAGAGACAGGGTTTCACCATGTTGGTCAGGATCTCCTGATCTCATGATCCACCCGCTTCGGCCTCTCAAAGTGCTGGGATTACAGGTGTGAGCCACCATGTCGGGCTAAAATATCTACTCTTTAACAATTATTAATTATCCATCCAGTAGAAAAAACTGAGGAAAATAAACCTGAGTAATATTTACCCAAGTCTCTTGTTTTTGAATTGCTTCTGTCATGGAGCAAGGAAGCACAGATTTTGATCACAAGAGATTTTGATTTTTCTAAATATCCTTGAATCTATCTAGAGAAATATGCTAAAGGTACAGTTCAGGAACAAAAAAAAAAAAAAACAAAAAAACAAAAAACCAACACCCAATGGTCCCAATTCAATACTGCTTTTTAAAATTAAGCCTTCTTATCACACAACAAGTTATTTTTGTTATATGTTTTATCATTCTAACTCATATTCCCAAACTTTTCAGGATTTTACTTATCTATCAAAAAATCCCAATTATATTCCTGTTCTTTCCAATCCCCCTAAAAAAAAAAAAGCAGTATGTCTCATTCTCTTCTCTGCTGATAGGAGTGTAAAATGGATCACTCTATGAAGGGCAACTGTAAATATCTATCATATTTGCAAACACATTTCCTCTTGGATCCAGCAATTCTTTTCAGAATCTGACAGTTACCCCTGCAAATGTAGAAATGACATGTATTCACTGAAGAGTTGTTTCTAATATCTGAAGACTGGAAACAACGCCAAGTGTCCACCTACGCGTGATTTACTGTATAAACTGGAGTATATCTACAAAATGGAGTATGTGACAGGAAAAAATAAGTTTAATTGAATACTGATAAGGAGGAATATCCAGAATATACAGTAAAACAGGAAAAAAAAAAACATGAACAATGCAGAAAATATTGAAGGAGAGACCGAGTGAAATAAGACTGTATATTCTCATCTGCTTGTATCTCTGCATGAAGACCGGAAGGATAAACAAGAAACTAATTTAAAATGATTACCCGTGAAGACTATTAGGAATGGTACTGGATAGGGACTAGGGAGGAAGTGTTTCTTGCTGCATTTCTTTTCATGTAGTTTGAGCCATGTAAAAGAAATATTTGCTAATCAAAAAACAGCTTTAAAAATCCAGTGGGAGAGGCTGGGTGCAGTGGCTCACCCCTGTAATCCCAGCACTTTGGGAGGCCCAAGTGGGTGGATCACCTGAGGTCAGGAGTTCGAGACCAGCCTGGCCAAAATGGTGAAACCCCGTCTTTGTATTTTTGAAAAATACAAAAATTAGCCTGGCATGGTGGCGGTCGCCTGTAATCCCAGCTACTCGGGAGGTTGTGGCAGGGGAATCGCTTGAACCAGGAGGCTGAGGTTGCAGTGAGCCGAGGCTGCGCCACTGCACTCCAGCCTGGGCGAGAGAGTGAGACTCCGTCTCAAAAATTAAAAAAAAAAATCCAGTTGGAGAATCAAAAATTTTTAAAAATTTGACTGTGTAATCCTACAAGAAGTAAGTAGCTTGAGAAAGAGAAATGCTGATAAAGTCGCATTAAGTTTCAGAGTTGAAATTCAAGCTCCTGTATCTAACATGTTTCCCTGTTTAAGGTAGAATTTAAAAAAAAACTATATATGACATATATATGTCAACCCAAAAAAATAAAGCAGTATATATTATATATATAAGAATATATATATATTCTCCTTTATATGTTTTTTGTTTCACATATATATATAAATATATATCTCAACCACAAAAAAATTTGGTTTGTGACAAAGATGCACTTATTTGCACGAACCTATCTTGTTAATGATCAAGAAATCTGCTTTGTTACAATCATTAGAGGACAGAAATATACATACATATTTAAATCTATTTAATGAAATGCAGTTTTATGTTAAAAATCAATGATCTGCTAACCTAAAGAGTCGCACAGGAATACTATGATTATTAAACACAATGCGATTCTCTAAATAAGTAAACACGTGCAATGATATCAAAGTTCAAAATTCTCTAATTCTTCCACAAAGACTATGAAAATCACCTTGGAGTGTATGAACCAGCGTCCTGGCCCCGCCAGGTCGGGGCTGGGGCGGGCGCGGGCCGGGAGCGCTTACCCCGCGGCAGGAGCGATTCAGCGCCACTACCTGCTTCGCCTGGTTGTGGTGTGGCTGCTGCGCCAACCGAAAGGCCTCCTTAATCCGCAGCAGTCTCTTTTCGCTCCCATGGCTCTGGGACTCTGTCCGGACTAGCCCTGTCCGCGCTCGGCTACATCCGGCCCGCCCACCAGCTCAGAGGCAGAGTTCTCCGCGGTGTCTCCTAGGGTTTCTTGTCAGAGGGCCCCAGGCGCCTAGGGAGTCGTTACCGCCCTGGCATTCAAATAACTCCCGCGAGAGGCGGAAATCCCGCGAGACTGCCGACAGAGCGTAGGGAAGTGGAAAAGTGGAGCCTGCACCGCCCGCTCCCGGCACCCCCGGACACCGCCCCGGTCTCACGCATGCGCAGAGGGCCGATCCAGTTCTTTTCGGCTGGAATGGGGAATTTGTGAGGTAGGCCGGAAGTGGTGTTGCGGAGGGAAGTGTGGGGAGAGCAGAGGCGCAGCTCTGCTGGAGAGACCTGAGGCTTGCAGCGCTGGGCCCGGCCGGGTCGCTGCGGCTGGGCTGGAGGTGAGGCGAAAGAAGGGCATCCTCTGATGGGAGTGGACCGGAGTCCGCTAAAGCGAAGCATTCCAGGGTTCGTTGCGGGAAATACAGTCTGGTTTTGCCCCCCGTATGAATTGAGGGAAGGTGAGAGCAGAAGCAATCCGGGCCTGAAGGGCGATTATTCTAGGGTCGGCCGAGGGGTTCAGGCCAAAGTTCATTGAAATCCTAGCTGGGTCCCTGGAGGACGAGAAAACCGGTCAGGAGTCTCCTGGGAAGAGGGTCATGTTTTAATCTAGCTAAAGCTGGTACCTGGCAGTTTCCACTCTTAAGGCCTAGTGTACTAACTAATGTGTGCGCAATGTCAAAACAGGAAACAAAGGGAAATGCAAGAGGTGGAAGGTAATTTTAAGTTAGTGGCAGTATGACAGATTTCCAGTGCCTTCAGGAAGGTATCCAGCCTTAAAGATGCTTTTTTTAAATAGACGATTTTAGACAGAAAAAAGGTAGAAACAAAACTATAACACATGTGTACTCACCACTGAATTGGAGAAATAAATGATTATATAAGTGATTGAAGTCCTTTGTCAGCTCTACCCCGTCTCATTCTCTTTCCTTTTGCCTAAGGAAACCACTCTCCTAACCACCTTTATGCAATCTGTAATGTGTACATCTTTTTGCAGCTAGCTTGTTTTACATAATGTTTTTGAGATTTGTCAGTGTTGTGTAACTCCACCTTATTCATCTTAATAGCTGAACAGATATTCTGTTATTTTAATATGTCACTGTTCATTGTTTAGTATCTCCAGTGCCTGACATACTTTAGGCACTGTAGGTAGCTAAATGTTAGTTGAATGCATGGCTGCTGTAGCATTTGAACTAAGTAGAAAAGAATAAATAGGACTTCATGTGACCCAACAAGAGTATTCCAGGCAAAAGGAATACTAGCCAAAAGCAGAGACATGAAAGTGCATGAACTATTTCAAGAATTTCCATACTTTTAGTACTGAAATGTAGAATGTATGGAGATCATGTGATGAAGGAGAAACCTGGAAAGATGAGGCTTAAGCTTAAAGGATATTATCCTGAAGAGCTTACACAAGCTCGGCGCCATTAAATGCTTTTCCAGTTATGAGGAAGCTGATTAGAGCTGTATTTTCAGAAGATGATACAGCGCACTAGAGATATATCTTAGGATATAAAAGATTAGTGACGGGGAATTTTAGACTATCAAGCATTGTAACAATAACAATCATTGCATTAAGCAAGTAAGACAACCAGCCAGACTAAAAATCCAAAAACATTTTCCTAGTCCATCATATTATCACATTCCTTAACAATTATTAATATTTCATATTTTCTTCTGACAAACTTGCAACATTTTCTACTTCGGCCTCTTACTTAGATGATACCTCACATCCTATTGAGTTAAAAAAAAACTTCCCCATGCTTTCATCACCACATCTACCAGACCTGTTCCCTAATATACTGCCACTGCTGTTACTATAGATGAACTGTCTGATTTAGGAGGGAGAGTAAACCCTTTAAAAATATCTTTTTAATACAATAGTAACTGAACTAGTGTTACAAACTTTCAAGGGGGGATTGAAACGTGAATAGTAAGAATATGAAAGAATGGAATAGTTAAAAGACAATTGCTTCTAAGAGATAAATGATCCATATATAGTAATATAAAAATAAGATACTTTTTTAATGTATATTTCTTTTTTTCAGGTAGATTTAGGTTCTAAGCTTTAAAAGCTAAATCTAAATTTACATGTATGTTTTTATAGGATCATTGTTTCTACTATTTCTTAACATAAGCAGTTTATTATGAAGTAGAATCTTTAACAATCCTGTTTTAAATAATATGTTTTATTAGCCTTCGTCTTACATATTTCCCAGTTGTCCAAATATAGTTGGATAACTTATTTGTTACTGACTGTGATAAAAATAGAGTGTACATTGTACAGTTTACTACAGGTGTCATTAATTTTCTCATTCTCTCATATGCATTGAGTAACTACCATACAGCAAGCACTATTCTAGGAACAGGTAGATAAGATTTATTAGTGGAAAATCACTTACCTAAAACCATATCATATAACCGTGTTAATGCACCTTGGTGTATGAGAAACTTTCAACTACAAATATTTGATTACCTTAATTGCAATTCTTAAGGGAGGCTAAGTAGATGGATAGCTGAATAAAGTTATTACTTGGAAATGTTGCCATGTAGCCGCAGGAGCCAATTTCAGTGCACACATCTTAAGCATCAGTGTACACATTTATAGGTCTTTGGTGTTTGGGCCAGCAGAACCCACCTGGGTTATGGAATCACACTGGTGTACTTGATCGTGTTCGGGTATGAACATGCTCTGATTTACATTGAGTACTAATTGAGCATGTCTATTTAAATTAAAGTTCCAGAATTTATGTTTAGGCCAGAACCTCAGGTTTGAACTTCTCCCCTAAAATTCCTCTGGCTTCTCATTAAAGCCGCTTTCGGAGATATAAGTAAAGAAAGTCAAACAAAAGACTTTGTAGCATGTTTTGTTTAACATGTTTTGTTTAGCACTGTTTTTCTTGAGCTATATATGATAAATATCTAGGGAGAGGTGGCAGAAGGACAAAATTGTAGTAGTTTGAGGTTTCTTGGGGGAAAGTTGAAGCATTAAAACATGTTAGCATCCTTATATGAACTTTTAACTATGGAAGGAAGAGTCAGTATTCCCTTTCAGGCAGCTGTTTATCTGGCTTAGACTGCCTCAAGGCTGTGTATTGCCCTTCAGCTTTTCTTATGCATTAGAAAGAGATCTAGATGCATTTGCCTTTAGCAGTGTAGTTCTGAATACATTGATGACCACCCACTGTGCTGGGACATGCAAGAGGTATGTACCATAAACTCTTTAGTCCTGCTAATGTCCTCGACAGAGGACATAAAACCTCCTAAGAAAAGCTTTGTCTCTTTCCAGCCAAGGTTAACTATTTGTAACATGTCATCTTTCAAGGAAGCATCTAACCAAGATTAAGTCAAAGGCATCTACCAGGTCCTGAATTCTCTCCCAGATGCACACCTTTTAAGGTACAATCAGGTACCATATGTAATCTGTAGCTATTTAACCATCGTTAAAGCATTTAGGACTTTGATTTCCTAGAAGAAGTCATGGTCTGCAAAATAATTGTATTAAAAGGTATAAAACCTGATCAGGAAAAAGAGGTTTAGGGCCAAACTATACAACTTTGTAACTAGACCAATAACACAAAATAATAGTGTTTTAAAATGTACCCAGGATTTATTTTAATCAGATATGGTAAGATATGCAGATGTGAAAATGATTGTCATGAAAGAAGAAATTTTTATACTCATGGATCCCTAGAAACAGGAAGCATGGCACCTTACACCATGCAAGGGTGCCATACCTAGAAGCAGCAGGGTCAATGGGGAGAGGAAGTACAAGGAAACTGCAGGAAAGCCTTTATTTGGTTTTCTGAGGAAGGAATGGGCAAAACTGGATAAGCAGGCTTGAACAGGTTTAAAATTGGCTAGTTGAAATAATTTTGGCCGACTTCGGGCGTAGGGGATATCCCTAGTTGCCTGGTAGCTGGTCTGGAGTGATTAGGATAGGGCAATATTGGCCAGGAGTATAAGAACCCAAGATGTCTGTGTTGGGAGTTGGGGGATTCTGGATTGGTTAGTTTGCATAGGAATTAGCTAACCCTGGGAGAGGTAGTACCTCTCCAGTCATCAAGGACCCACCTAGATACCAAATGATTAACAATACAAAAATAAGAAAGTACAATTAATACAAACAGTCATAATAAAGATACAGTATTAACACAGTTAAGACGTGGAAATTTTAATAAATAAACACTACAGTAAATGTAGGACTGCACCCCTCCCAAAAAATTTGAGATAATTTGATGGAAAGGTGTGTAAGGAAGGGTTGAAACTACTGTTATGGTCATAAGACTGAAATATACTATGATCCAAGAGAGCAGTGCAGCACTACCAAGGCAGGCATGACCAAGATAGGTGCGGCCAAGCAAAAAGGAAGTATGTATGGTGAATAAGCTATACTCCTTCATGGCTTGCTGTATTCTGTTTTGTTAATATACTTTCCAAGTCCTGATGCCAACTTCTGGGTTTTACTGTCACTATTTTTCTATTTACTAATCTCAGTTGAAGTGGTTTGCCTTACAGAAATAGGCCTAAGCCAATATAAGATAGTGATAAAGAGAGCTATAGACTGTTTGCCTCACCATCTATGATCTTGGATATCATAAAGGCCCCCATAGCTGGCAGTAATACTACTTTGTACTGTGATGCTTTAATGTCTTATCTCTGGTCTTATTCCCAGGTCAAGGATGCATTCCAGGAAAGTTCTATAAAAATATACCATCAACTCCAACCTGATATTTGACCTAGCCATGGAAAACCTCATTGGCTCCTCACTGGATCAGACCATAAAAATGATCCAGGAATGAAAATCTAAGATAAATTCCCACCACTTCAAGATGTTCTTATACAAGTCAACAGTCTAGCAGATCAGCCAGTCTCTTTCATCATCAAGCAGACATACTCAAGGTACCAACACAGCAAAGGCACAAAATGTCTCTATATCAGTATTTTTCATGGTATATGTGAGACCCATTAGTGAGGCATGAAATCAATTCTGTGAGTCACAATGAACATTTGTCTAAAAAACAAAATAAAATGTAAAATACCAAAGTGTTTTGCATGAATCCTTTGCCTGAATTGTGCACATTGCAAGGAATGCTGAGGTCAATTTCAATATGCGAGAGGGGTATTTGATGGAGGAGATATGATGAATAGAATGTATATTGGCTAAGAAATGGTTTTCAGTCATTGATTCCTGGGTGTCTTGCTTGATTTTCATAATAGCACGGTTAATGTTCTATAGTCAAGTTTTATATTACAATTACTTGCAACTAGTTGTGAAGTCTGAAATATTCGATTCAATTGCAAACTTTGAGTGTAGTTTTTGAAAAGATGTTATTTAGACTGTATATTTTTTTCTTCTTTTTTGAGTTAGTGCCAATTATAACATTTTAATCAAACTGGAACAAATTGCTATTAAAATGGATCATTTCTTTATTAAAAGAAAGAGGAATAGTGAAGTGAAATATACAGAAGCATGTTCAAGTTCATCTGTTGAATCTGGAATTGTGAATAGTGACAATATTGAGAAAAATACTGACTCCAATCTGCAAACTTCAACTTCATTTGAGCCACATTTCAAAAAGAAAAAAGTAAGTGCAAGACGTTATAATGAAGATTACTTAAAATATGGCTTTATCAAATGTGAAAAACCCTTTGAAAATGACAGACCTCAGTGTGTTATTTGTAATAATATTCTTGCGAATGAAAGCTTAAAACCTTCGAAATTAAAAAGGCACTTAGAAACTCAGCATGCTGAACTTATTGATAAGCCTCTTGAATATTTTCAAAGAAAGAAAAAAGACATAAAGTTATCAACACAATTTCTTAGTTGTTCTACTGCTGTTAGTGAGAAAGCCTTATTATCATCATATTTAGTTGCATATCGTGTGGCAAAAGAGAAAATAGCTAACACAGCTGCTGAAAAAATTATTCTTCCAGCATGTTTGGATATGGTGCGTACAATATTTGATGATAAATCAGCTGATAAATTAAAAACTATACCTAATGATAACACAGTATCTCTTCGAATTTGTACTATTGCAGAACATTTAGAAACAATGCTTATTACTCGTTTACAGTCTGGTATAGATTTTGCAATCCAGCTTGATGAAAGCACTGATATTGGAAGCTGCACAACACTTTTAGTTTATGTCAGATATGCGTGGCAAGATGATTTTTTGGAGGATTTTTTGTGTTTTTTAAATTTAACCTCACACCTAAGTGGATTAGATATTTTTACAGAATTAGAAAGGCGCATAGTTGGCCAATATAAATTAAACTGGAAAAACTGTAAAGGAATTACAAGTGATGGCACAGCAACCATGACTGGAAAACATAGCAGAGTAATTAAAAAATTACTAGAAGTTACTAATAATGGTGCTGTGTGGAATCATTGTTTTATACATCGTGAAGGTTTAGCATCCAGAGAAATTCCACAGAATCTCATGGAGGTATTGAAAAATGCAGTGAAAGTTGTTAATTTTATTAAAGGAAGCTCATTGAATAGCCGGCTTCTTGAAACATTTTGTTCAGAGATTGGAACTAATCATACCCACTTACTATATCATACCAAAATTCGTTGGTTGTCTCAAGGGAAAATACTAAGCAGGGTTTATGAGCTCAGGAATGAGATTCACTTTTTTCTCATTGAAAAAAAATCTCATTTGGCAAGTATTTTTGAAGATGATACTTGGGTAACAAAATTGGCATATTTAACTGATATTTTTAGCATTCTTAATGAACTGAGTTTAAAACTACAGGGGAAAAACAGTGATGTATTCCAACATGTTGAACGTATCCAGGGATTTCGAAAGACATTATTGTTATGGCAAGTAAGACTTAAAAGTAATCGTCCTAGCTATTACATGTTTCCAAGATTTTTGCAGCATATTGAAGAGAATATTATTAATGAAAACATTTTGAAAGAAATAAAATTAGAGATATTGTTGCATCTCACTTCTCTGTCTCAAACTTTTAACCATTTCTTTCCAGAAGAAAAATTTGAAACATTAAGGGAAAACAGTTGGGTAAAAGATCCATTTGCTTTTCGACACCCTGAATCAATAATTGAGCTAAACTTGGTGCCTGAAGAAGAGAATGAATTATTGCAGCTTAGTTCTTCATATACATTGAAGAATGATTATGAAACCTTAAGTTTATCAGCATTTTGGATGAAGGTAAAGGAAGACTTTCCATTGTTAAGTAGAAAGAGTGTCCTGCTATTGCTACCATTCACAACAACTAGTTTGTGTGAACTAGGGTTTTCCATCTTAACGCAGTTAAAAACAAAGGAAAGAAATGGGCTGAATTGTGCAGCAGTTATGCGGGTAGCATTATCTTCCTGTGTTCCAGACTGGAATGAACTTATGAACAGGCAAGCACACCCATCATAGTAAATAAAAATCTTACCTAGCTTTTGTCTTTGTATTTCTTATTTTGTAGTATTTTTCTATGTTATATTTAAATGGTACTATAATACTGTGATACTTTTGTTATGTTTTAATTTTTGTTATATTTAATAAAATTATTTTATGTTCATTGAACAAAAATTTAATGAATTTCTGTTAGAGGCCAGGAACTATTCTAGAGACATTTGGGATACAAAAGTGAACAAAACAGGTAATTCCCTAGTAGAGTTTATATCCTGGCAAGGAGAAATTGACAATAAACCTAATAAATAAGGTTTATAATATTTAGAAGCTATTAAGTGCTATGGAAAGAGTAGTAAGAAGGAAGGTCAGGGAAGTACTGGGGAACCAAACCATGAAGGGTTCTGTAGACCATTATTGGGCCTCTGGCTTTTGTCAGTGGACTAGAGAACAGTTGAAGGGTTTAAGCGAAGGAGAGAAATGATCTGAGCTAGGTTTTAAAAGACACTCTGGTCACTATTTTAAATTCTTAGGGTAAGTCTGAATTAAATGTTACTTTCCCCTCACTGGGCATGGTGGCTCAGACCTGTAATCCCCGCACTTTGGCAGGCCATGGCAGAAGGCTCTGTTGAGCCCAGGAGTTCAAGACCATCCTGGGCAACATAGTGAGACCTTATTTCTACTAAAAATATTTTAAAAATAAGTCAGGTGTGGTGGTGCACACCTATAGTCCCAGCTACTCAGGAGGCTGTGGCAGGAGGGTCGCTTGACCTCAGGAGTTTGAAGTTGCAGTCATCTATGATTGCACCACTGCAGTCCAGCCTGAGCAACAGAGTGAAACCCTGTCTCGAGAAAATTAAATGTTACTTCCCTAAAAAAACCTTTTCTAACCACCCTAGGGTAAATCCTCCATTATTCCTTTATTTCTTTGTTTTCCTTGTAGTATATAATTTGTAATAATTTTGATTACTGATTGTCATTCTGCCACCCTGGAGTATATAATTTTTAATTATCTGATTACTGTTATTCTTCCATAGTAGGGGAGGTGATATCCATTTGCCTGATACATAGTATGTGTTCAATACACATTTGCTAAAGAATAAATGAATCAATAATACCTAACATCTCTAATTTGCAGTCATTCCCAAGAGTAATTATTAAATATGTGGCAAATTTCTTTGCCTTTTTACTTTTAAAAATCTAATTTTGACATAACTGCTGTAACCATCCAGAAACGGCATTGATGTTGCTTCACGTTGCTGATGCTTAAGCAATGTATATTGTGTAATATACAATGTAGTCTTCAAACTAATTTCAACTTCTGCCTTTCTGTGTACTCCCTTATCCCACTGGGTGATATTATTTGGCATGGTCATTGTCATTAAAATCATACAGGATAGTAATTCCTTTCCATCTGCTACCATGCCTAGCCTTATTTAATTTTTCAGATTTTCTGTTCTATTGAAGGTAATTGATTTTTTCTTTTTTTTTAATGCTTGAAATAAAGTGTTGAAAAACAATTCCCTGTGAATAGCTCATATTTCTGCACAGTCTGAATCCCGTTTGACCGTGTTCACATCCAAATTAAGAATGTGTAAAGGAAACATTCCAGGATAGTGACGCTAGAGATAGCACCTCCCCTAGAGACATCCCAGGGAAGTAAAGATAAAGCCTTCTCTTTTCTCACGCCAGGAGGGGAATTTGCCTACATTCCAGAAATAATGAGTAATCTCTCTGGAGAAGATAGGCAGACATGTCAGCAGCCCCATAAAAGCCTAGAGACTTAAAATTTGGGGCTCCTCTTCTGTAGTGCAACCCACTCCATGCAGAGGTAACACCTGGCCCTTACTGTATTACGTTATAGGAATTGGAGCATGGGGAACACATACAATGCTACTCTGGCTGCTGTTTTTGCTATGAATAAGAAATTGTGTCTCTGATCCAGAGGTTTGTGTGTTTCTGTGTGTCTCCTCTGTAAAATCTCTTTTACCATGTAAGGTAACATTCATGGGTTTCAGGCAGTAGGATGTAGACATCTTTGGGGAGGCCATTATTAAGCCTACTGTAGCACCCTCTGGTCCCCAAAGACTCATCCATCCCATGTGAAAAATACATTCACCCCTCCTAGGGTCCCCATAAATCTCAACCCATTATAGCATCAACTCAAGTCCAAATCTCATCTAAGTTTCATCAACTAAAAAGTCCCAAATCTCATATCTAAATTAGATATGGGTGCAGCTCTGAGTATAATCTACTCTGGGGCAAAATTTTTTATCTAAGGACCTATGAAACTAGAAAGCAAGTTCTGTGCTCTACAACAGTAGTGGGACAGAAATAGGGTAACATTCATAGATGTTCCCATTCAAAAAGGGAGAAAAAGCCAAAAAGAAGACACCAGCCAATTCCTTTCAAAGTCCCATGGACAAACTGCATTAGGTTACTAAGCCTGGGAATAGCTGTGGCTCCTGCACCTGCCCTCTGTACCTGGGGCTCCACCCTCAGAGCCATCTTTTTGGATGAGGAGTACCACATGTCTGCTACTAAATAGTTTTATTAGCCCATTTCCTGCTAGTAGAATTTAGGGAACTCGGTTGCCTTCTTTCATTTCAACCACTCTGTCCGTTTTAGTCCAATTTGACAGTGTTTCTATTGGTAAACAAAACATTGTGAGTCATAGGGATTCACTCCATTGAAAGAGGCTTCTCAACAGATGTTTCCTGAATAATCCTATCTCTAGTTGGGGCTTCTGCTGAGATTGGTTGAGGGGGTTTGTGAGTCACATGCCTCTTCAAAGAGCTCTGTGTATCTGAATACTGTAATCTTTTGTGCCTCCTAAGCAGTAGCAAAAGACTACCCACACTTACAAATAGTTAAGATAATAAATTTCATATTGTGTATATTTTACCACAATTTAAAATTCAAAAACTTTTTAAAAAAAGGATGTGCAGCCATATTGTTGGCTTTCTCGCCAGAGCATGTTTTCCTTACAGTGGATCTCTTAGCTTTGGCATCTTTTGCAATCTGGATAGGCTGAGAATTACTCAAATCATCAAATCATAGTTTCATTTTCTAACAGTTCTCTCAGTTTATCCCTTTTCTCTCTCATTTTTCTAAAAGTAACAAGAAAAATCCAAGTCAGACCTTCATCACTGCTTGGAAACTTCAACTATACAAGTTCATTGCTTAAAAGTTCTGTTTTCTTACAATTATAGGACACAATTCATCTAAGCTTTCTACCACTGTATAACAAGAACCCTCTTTCCTTTAGTTTCCAAAAATATGTTTCTCAATTTCTTGTGAGCCCTCACCAGCAGCACTTTTAACATCTATATTTCTACAGTTTATGGTGTGTTAAGATTTTCTCTAGTATGATACAGGTTTTCTCTACCATGCTGTTCACTTACTTCCAAGCCCTCATAACACCCGTATTTTTACTAACAGCCTATTCGAGCATATTTAGGCCTCTTCTATCATATTCCTAAGAATTCTTCCAGTCTCTCTACAGATTATCCAAATCCAAATTACTTCCATAATTTTAGTGTTTGTTACAGCAAAGTTGTCATAATTTGGGGCCAGAAAAATCTTTATCTTGATGACTGAACTCACCTATTCTCCAATCTTGCTTTTTCTTTGGGGTGCCTTCCTTGTGGACTCTGGTCAAGATTAAACAAGAATAATAGTCCTACTCCTGGTGATTCCCAAGTTCAACCTTACAAATGAAGGGGAAAAGGGGCAGAAAGAGTGATGGTTTCAGGTACCCTAATCTGTATTTGTTTCCTATTGCTGCTTTAGCAAATTGCCACATAGTGGCTTAAAGCAACATAAATTTATTCTTCTTTGGAGTCCAATGTATACTGGGCAAAAGTCGAGGTATCAGCAGGATTCATTCCATCTGGATTATTCAGGGAAGAATGTTTCCTTACCCTTCCAAGCTTCTGAAGTCTGCCTGCGTCCCCTGTCTTATGGCTCCTTCCTGCATCTTCAGAGCCAGCAGCATAATATCTTCAAGTATCTCTCTGCTTTTGCCATCACATTATTTTCTCTGTGTCTCTGATTTACCTGACTTCCTCCTGTAAGGACTCTTAAGATGACATTGGACTCATCCAGATCAGCCAGTATAATCTGCTCATCTCAAGATCCTTAATTTAATCACATCTGCAAAGGCCTTCTTACTATGTAAAGTAACGTATTCATAGGCTCCAGGGTTTAGGACATGGACATCTTTGCTGGCCTATTTTTCAGCCTTCCACAACGGACAATAAACACACAGAACATATTAGATAAGCATTCAAAACCATCAATGAGAGCACACTATGAAACACTATTCTAAGGCCTTTAAATGCATAATCTCTCTTCATTCTCTGGCAATCAAGAATTTTGGCCAAGAAAAGAAACACAGTTTTCAATAAGGAAGCTCAGAAATTATTGATAACTCATAATGATCAAGAGAACAAAGTGAAAATGCCTTAGCATTGTGCTCAATGGTTTTAAGATATGACCCTAACTTTCCTGTCCAATCTCCATCTGCAACCTGTTTACCAATCAAACTAAATTTTCAACTGTTTTCAGAAGCTCCATGGTTTTTCCTTTTCTGCCTTTGCTCAGGCAATTCGTTCCATCTGAAATCTCTTTTCCGCCAACTGTGTATATCAGCATACTACTATTTCTTCTAGAAATTTATGTAAGTGGAGTAATAAAGTTTGTGTTCTTTTACATCTAGCTTCTTTCATTCAGCATATTTTTAAAAGATTTGTCATTTTTTTGTATTGCTAAATAATACTCTATTATATGATGATGTTACAAGTTATTAATATATTGTTGTTGGACATTTGCATTGTTTACTGTTTTGAGTTACGAATTAAGCTTCTACAAACATGGGCACAAATCTTTGCATAGATGTATTTTCATTTTTCCTTTGGTAAATACCTAGGAATGGAATATCTTCTTTGGTGAGGCATTTGTTTAACTATTTTGCCAATTTTAAGATGTGGTTGTTTTTCTTATTTTTGAGTTTGTTGGATATAAAAAGCTCGAGGAATAAATGCTCGGTGCCGTGAAGTAAAACCAGCAGTCAGGCAAAAGTTTAATCCTGTCAGCAAGGCAATTGACTTCTGCAGAAGGGTGCCACTTGCATCAACTAAGATCGCAAGAGCACAGAGAACAAAGGAGACTGGGGGGTTTTTATATCCTTAACGCAATTCCTACTTCTGTGTCCCTCCCCCATGGGTAGGGTCAGACTGCACAATCTGAGCTGACCCTATTGGCTACTTGTACATATTTTTCTAAATATAAAAGGGGAGGGGGACGTGAGCTACAGAGGTGGAGCATGTGAGACGTGCAGTTTCAGGGACACAATGGGTGCAGGTAACCAAGGGAATAGATGTGAGTTATTGATTAGGGATGACAGAAAAGGGGTAGGCTGTTTTACAGTAACTAGGGACAAGGAGGAACAGGAAAGTTGAGTTTGAGAACAAAAGACAAGGAAGTTAGCAGGCTACATTTTTGAAGAGAAACTCAGAGAAATTCATTGTATCTTACAACTCCTCCCTTTTAAATTTTCTTATGATTTTTCTCTTCAAACTCTTTAACATGTCTTGGCTTTGCCGTTTGTTTTGATCTTCTAAAAGGAAAAGCTTACTTGAATAAGGTGGAGGAGAACTAAGGGAGGCTTTAGTAAGTGCTGTTTGTACAATCTTTTGTATTTGCCTATGGATGCATGGTATGACACATCACCTAACGAGTTCGTCTAGTACGATTGCAAGAGAAATAAGAATTGAGGCTATGTTTCCTTTATATTTACCAAACCACTTTCCTAGCCATTCTGAAATAGGGTCATTGACTTCAGAATTTTTAGTTAATGCATTGGATAAAGCAGTAAATCCCTGCAAGGCCTTTGTTATGCTTCCATTGGGAGCAGTGTTGTTTGGGATGAAGGTGCAATATTGGGTTTTAATTATAACACAAACCCTACCTTTTTTGGCTAATAACATGTCTAGAGCTATTCTGTTTTCCCAAGTCATTTGGCTAGTAGGCCTTAATTGGTCAGCTATTCCTTTGATAGCATCCTTGGTGTAATTAATAAACTGTTGCTGATTATAATAGATGTAATTTATCCAAGCCACATTTTTATTAATAGTTACCTGTGGAAATATGGATTTAAATTCTGCAGCTATTTGGTCATGGACTTTGAATCTGTTAGGCACTTCTTGTGGGACTCCAATGACGTCTATGTTAACTTGAGAGTCAAAAGATCCATAAGAGGCTTTTCTTCTTCTTTTTTTTTTTTTGGCGGGGGAGGTGTTGTGGTTTTTCTTTTTCTGGTTGATGAAATGTCAGGGTGAAAGGGATAGCCAATTAGACAAGAGTGTAAGTACCACTCCAGTTACCTGGCAGAGTGTCCAGTAAGTGTTCACCACAATACCACCATACATCTGTTTGAGGATGACTAAGGGCAGACTGATGAGTAAGCTCCTGGAAAGGCTTAAGCTCACGGCATCCCATTAAGCTTCCAAGGAATGCCAAATTCTCCCCCTGTGGTGACAGACACAAGGTGAAATTGACGGGAAAAGGAAGCTGAGTGGTCCTCGGGGGCTGACTCGCAGGGTGTTGGACTTCGGGATATAGCAGAGAGAGAGCCTGGCATGATTTGTTGCCCCAAGCCGTAGAATCCTGGAAGAGAGCTACCATGCAGCCCATGCCCGGTCGACTGGGAGACCATCCGAGTGGAAAGGGGACTCTCTGGGCCTCCAGCCGGCCATGCACACAAGCATAACAACTGCTTTTATTTAATGTACTTGGGAGGTGAGCATGCACAATGTGTTTAGGAAGCTGTATGCATGCCATCTGAGGCTTTCTTCCATTTTCCAGGGGAGTGCCCCTGGAAGGTCATACTCCACCATTTTGTCTCTTAATGTACATGCCCTGGAAGTTGCTTTTCCCTGGTCTCTGCATTCAATTAACCGTTTAGTGCCGCAGGTGTGGACCATAAGGAAATGGCCTCTCCCTGGTGTCAGCTGCCAATTTATCACTTTTAAAGAGGCAATGTAATAAGTGCCAAACCAACACCCGACATTCCTAGTGGGTGGGGGAAGAGCCCTCTCCTGCTGCACTCATGCCTGTCTAACTACATGTAACACACAGAACTTTTTCTTTTTTTTTTTTAAGCTCATCAGCTAATGCTAGTGCTTTTTATGTGTGGCTGAAGTTAGTGTTAGTCTTATGTTAGTGTTAGTGTTTTTTATGTGTGGGTTATTCCAATGTGGCCCAGGGAAGCCACAAGATTGGACAACCCTGTTTTTTACATACATGCCTTTGTCAGATACATGTATTGCAAGTACATCCCAATTTGTGGATTGCTCATTTTCTTAGTGGTGTTTTTTGAAGAGCAGAATTTCTTAGCTTTGATGAATGTCAATATATAAATTTGGTTTTTGGCTTTTGGTACGTAGACCCAAAATAAAATAGATATAAATATCCCCAAGAGCATAAATAATAGCAACATGTAGTAAAATAATTAAGAAGTTATGTATTTTGGATGTTTATTACCTTTGCTTTTATTTATTTTTTTGAGACGGAATCTGGCTTTGTAGCCCAGGCTGAGATTGCAGTGGCGCAATCTCAGCTCACTGCAAGCTCCACCTCCCAGGTTCACACCATTCTCCTGTCTCAGCCTTCCAAGTAGCTGGGACCAAAGGCACCCGCCACCACGCCCAGCTAATGTTTTGTATTTTTAGTAGAGATGGGGTTTCACCATGTTAGCTAGGATGGTCTCGAACTCCTGACCTCATGATCCACCCGCCTCGGCCTCCCAAAGTGCTGGGATTACAGGCGTGAGCCACTGTGCCCGGCCTGCTTTTAATATAATTTATTTTATTGTAAGTTTATATAATTTAATTTTTAATATGACTGTGTTTAACAAATGGCTCCCAGATTTTTGATACATTTTTGAAAATATACCTGTCAAATATTGTCAGCCGGTTTCAGTGCATGACTGCCTGTGGTATCATTTAACATGTCCCTCTATCCTCTATATTTCCTGAAAACTGTAGTTAAATCTGAAAGTTTGCTAGATTCAGATTAGATAGATAGATAGATAGACAGACAGATGCATGGATACTTCAGAAGTGGTGCTGTGTATTTCCTGTTGCCTCACACATCAAGATAAAGTCATGTTTTGAGGGTTTGTGAGGTATGAAAGACTTCTTCCCTCAAAACAAACTCATCCCCCATGACAATGAATAAGATGAATATAAACAAAATGAAAAAGGAGTAAACCATGAGGGAAAAGAGAAAAGAAGAGGAGTTGTCAGGAACAGAATTTGGGATGGTGGAAAGAAAATGAGGAAGGGGTAACAATTTAGTTGGCCAGTGAAGGCTGAAACCTCAGTTGGCTAGTGGGGAAAGAGAATGTAAGCTGTGAAGAAAGTTGTTTGATGTCATGAACCCTCAAAAGGAAGAGGAATTGGAAGAAAGGTCTGTCACTAACATGAAAGTGGGAGTGGATGTAGGGCTGGAAGTCAAAAAAGTAGTTGGAAGTCCAAGAATGCCCTCCCTAATCCTGTGCAGCAACATATTTCCTGAAGAGTAGACCAAAGATTCTAGGTTGTGGGGTACCAGGCATCAGTGAGGCCAGAGCTTCTACTAAAAATGTGGTGAGAGAGGAGGGATAAGTGAAAATCTTTATACTGAATAGTGAGATTCTCCCAGCCACCTTCCCCCACTCAGCTCCACATTGCTATCATCCAGGCATATATCCTTCCAGGTAGAAAATAGGAATATTAGGCCAGGCACAGTGGCTCACGCCTGTAATCCCAGCACTTTGGGAGGCTGAGGCGGGTGGATCACGAGATCGGGAGATCAAGACCATCCTGGCTAACATGGTGAATCCCCGTCTCTACTAAAAATACAAAAAAAATTAGCCAGGTGTGGTGGTGGGCGCCTGTAGTCCCAGCTACTTGGGAGGCTGAGGCGGGAGAATGGCATGAATCCAGGAGGCAGGGCTTGCAGTGAGCCGAGATCACGCCACTACACTCCAGCCTGGGCAACAGAGCGAGACTCTGTCTCAAAAAAAAAAAAAAAAAAAAAAAAAGGAATATTACTCTCTGGAAAAACGGACTGTCCAAGAGAAAATGACAGGTATCTCTTAGTGATAAAGTGCAGTATGTTCATCCTACAGGGCAGCCCACCCTTTGACAAACTCTGACCATTTGCCTTGAGCCTGCTTCTAATTAGTGCCTGATATGGTATGGCTGCGTCCCCAACCAAATCTCATCTTGAATTGTAGTTCCCACAATTCCCTCATGTCATATGAGGGACTCGGTGGGAGGTAATTGAATCATGGGGGTGGGTCTTTCCCATTCTCATAATAGTGAATAAGTTTCACAAGATCTGATGGTTTTATAAAGAGGAGTTCCCCTGCACAAGCTGTCTCTTGCCTACTGCCATGTAAGACGTGCCTGTTGCCTTCTGCCAAATTACCCAGTCTCAGGTATGTCTTTATCTGCAGTGCGACAATGAACTAATACTGTTCCTTATGTTTTTCTGTGTTTGTAAAAATAATCAGCCAAAGGTCATCAGTTTATTTGAGGGAAACTTCTCACATTAAAGCCAGTCACCAAAATGGAAATAAGGCACTCAAAGGAAACAGACATTGGCAGAAGAAAATTTAAAAGAAAAATGAAAAACCTACATCTGTAATAAAAGCCTCAGAAATATTCACAAAACAGCAAGAGAAGATTATAAAAAGCAAAAAGACCTGAACGTGTAGAACACAACTGTATATATAAGTATATATATATATATATATATATATATATATATATAGTATAAATTTAAAAAAGCAACAGAGAAGTTGGAAGATAATGATAAATTTATATTCAAGAAAGTATAAGAAGACAAAGAAAAAAGGTGAAAATATAGAAAATTAAAGACTAGGAAGTCTAACAAGGAAATCATTCCTATATGAGTAACAGGAATTTCAGAAAGAGAAAACAGAATTTGGAGGAGGGGAAATTACCAAAAAATTGAGAAAATATCTCAGTATTTAAAGACATGAGTTTGTAGGTTAAAAGGGCTCATGGATTGTCCAGTACAATGAAAAACAACTACTTTTGCCCAACTTCATCTCTGAAATTTCATACTCCTAAGAATAGAAGGAAATTCTGAAAATTTCCAGATAGAAAAAAAACAGGCCAAAGAATAAAAAACAAAACAAACAACAACAAAAAAGGTCAAATAAACAGGAATAGGAAAATGGGTTCAGATTTCTCAACAGCAACACAGAAAACAATGGAACACAGTCTTCAAAATTTTGAAGGGAAATGCTTTCCAATGCAAAAATGTACCCAACCAAATTCTCAATCAAGTGTGAGGTTAGAATAATGACACTTTGAATTCTTATGCAAAAATCTCAGACATCCAATCAAATTCTCAATTAAGTGTGAAGGTAGAATAATGACATTTTGAATTCTTATGCAAAAAATCTCAGAAAGTTTAGTCCCTGTGTATCTTCTCAAGAAGCTATTGGAAGATGTGCTCCATAAAACAAGAAAGAGGAGGATGTGAGATCTAGTTGTATTAGTTCGTTTTCATGCTGCTCATAAAGACACACCTGAAACTGGGAACAGAAAGAGGGTTAATTGGACTTACAGTTCTGCATGGCTGGGGAGGCCTCAGAATCATGGCATGAGGTGAAAGGCACTTCTTACATGGCAGCGGCAAGAGAAAAATGAGGAAGAAGCAAAAGTGGAAACACCTGATAAACCCATCAGATCTTGTGAGACTTATTCACTATCACCAGAATACCAGAATAGCATGGGAAAGACCGGCCCCCATGATTCAATTACTCCCACCCTGCCTCCCCACCCCCACCCCAACCTAGCTCTCTCCCACAACACGTGGGAATTCTGGGAGATACAATTCAAGTTGAGATTTGGGTGGGGACACAGCCAAACCATATCATTCCACCCCGGCCCCTCCAAATCTCACATCCTCACATTTCAAAACCAATCATGCCTTCTCAACAGACCCTCAAAGTCTTAACTTCAACATTAGCCCAAAAGTCCACAGTTCAAAGTTTCATCTGAGACAAGGCAAATGCCTTCTGCCTATGAGCCTGTAATATCAAAAGCAAGCTAGTTACTTTCTAGATAATGATTACCTCCAGGGTAAACAAGAGGTTTACAACAAATAAAATGTCATAATGTCCCAAACAGAATAATGTCCCAAACAGAAACATCAAGAAATAGCATATAGGTATTGTATTAGTCTGTTCTTGCATTGCTATAGATACCTGAAACTGCTCATTTATAAGAAAAAGAGGTTGAATTGGCTCACAGTTCTGCAGGCTGTAGGAAGCATAGTGGCTTCTGCATCTGGAGAGGCTTCAGGAAGTTTCCAAATGTGGTGGAAGGCAAAGGGGGAGCAATGGGTCTTACACGGTGGCAGCAGGGAGCAAGAGAGAGGGAGGAGGTGCTACACACTTCTTTTTTTTTTTTTTTTGAGACAGAGTCTCACTCTGTCACCAGGCTGGAGTGCAGTGGTGAGATCTCAGCTCACTGCAACCTCCGCCTCCCAGGTTCAAGCGATTCTTCTGCCTCAGCCTCCCGAAGAGCTGGGACTACAGGTGCGTGCCACCACGCCCAGCTAATTTTTGTATTTTTAGTATAGATGGGGTTTCACCATGTTGGCCAGGATGGTCTCGATCCGTGATTCCCAACACACCCCCCACACCAGCCTCCCAAACTGCTGTGATTACAGGTGTGAGCCACGGCGCCCTGCCAGTGCTACACAGTTTAAAACAACCAGATCTCACTTACTATCATGAGAATAGCAACAAGGGGATGGTGCTAGACTATTCTTGAGAAACCCACACCCATGATAAAATCACCTCCCACCAGGCCCCACCTCCAACGTTGGGGATTACAATTTCACATTAGATTTGGTGGGACGAGCCATGCCAGGGATGCCCCAAAATTACTAAACTAAAGGGAAAAGTCAGGCTGGGAACTGCTCAGGGCAAACTTGCCTCCCATTCTATTCAAAGTCATTCAGCTGCTCACTGAGATATATGCATATTCTGATGGCCTTCTTTGGAAAGGCTTATCAGAAACTCAAAAGAAGGCAACCATTTGTCTCTCACCTACCTGAGACCTGGAAGCCCCCTCCGTGCTTCGAGTTGTCCCCGCCTCTCTGGACAGAACCAATGTACTTCTTACATATATTGATTGATATCTCATGTCTCCCTAAAATGTATAAAACCAAGCTGTGCCCTGACCACCTTGGGTACATGTCGTCAGGACTTCCTGAGGTTGTGTCATGGACACGTGTCCTCAACCTTGCTAAAATAAACTTTCTAAATTAATTGAGACCTGTCTCAAAATTTGCGGGTTCACACATGTTATTTAGAAATATGGAAGTAAACACAGGAACAAAACTTGAAAGAATTAAAAATGCTTTCCTCTGGAAAGTGGATTTAACTTAAGGAGGAACTGAACAGGAGAATGCGGGTTTTGGTTACAGAAAAAAAGAGATTCAAATAAAACAGTAGAGAACACCTGTTCTGTCCTCCCTTGTGTTTATCAAGTGCTTGCCAGGCACTCAAAGTTCATTGCTGTCATTATTGTAAGAATTGAGGACTTGGGCCTCCACGTGGTATTCTATTAATACTGGCTCTTTTTTTTTTTTTTTTTGAGACGGAGTCTCACTCTGTTGCCCAGACTGGAGTGCAGTGGCCCGATCTCGGCTCACTGCGAGCTCTGCCTCCTGGGTTCACGCCGTTTTCCCGCCTCAGCCTCCCGAGTAGCTGGGACAACAGGCGCCCGCCACCGCGCCTGGCTAATCTTTTGTATTTTTAGTAGAGACGGGGTTTCACCGTGTTAGCAAGGATGGTCTCGATCTCTTGACCTCGTGATCCACCCGCCTCGGCCTCCCAAAGTGCTGGGATTACAGGTGTGAGCCACCGCGCCCGGCCAATCCTGGCTCTCTTAAACTGAACATCTCCAGGATTTTGCATCTATCAGGAAGGGATATTGTGACCTCTGACAAGTTACAGTCGGCGGTAGGTATCCATGGAGAATTGGTTCCAGGAACCTCCTGGATACCAAAATCCACAGATGCTCAAGGCCCTTATATTAAATGGTGTAGTATACAGTATTTGCACATCCTCTTCTATAATTCACGTCATCTCCAGATTCCTTGTAATATCAAGTACTATGTAATTGTTACATAAGTAGTTGTTACATTGGATTATTTAGGGAATGATGACAAGGAAAAAAAAGTCCGTACATGTTCCGTACAGATGCAAGCATTCTTTTTTTCCTCAAATGTTTCTCATCCGTGGTTAGCTGAATTTGGATGATGAATCCGCAAATCTGGAGGGCCGAACATGCTTAACTTCCCTGAGTTTATCCATTGCTAAAGCGAGAGAAATTACAAACTTAGCTAGGAAGGGTGTTGCGGAAAGTAATTAATATTATACTTGCAAAGTGCTTGGCACGTTGTTGTGGTTATTATTTCCTGAAAACAAACAAACACCACTTATTGGTTGGTGTGAAAGAGGGCATCTGTCAAAGTTGTCGTCCTTTGGAGCCAGAAAAGTATTTCTTCTGATGATGACTGACCTCTCCTCACCTCTCCTTCAACCTTGCGGCTTCTTTGGGGCTCCCTCCCCGTGGACAGCGGTCAAGATTAGCCTGGGCCACAGTGCACTGGTCCTGTCCTGGGTGATGTTCCAAGCTCACTCTTTTTTAATTTTATTTATTTATTAATTTTTTTTTTAGACAGAGTCTCACTCTGTCGCCCAGGGCTGGAGTGCAGTGGTGCAATCACTGCTCGCTGCAGCCTCGATCCCCTGGGGTCAAGCCTCCTCACATCTCACCTCGCAGGTAGCTGAGACTACAGATGCGCACCACCAGGACCAGCTAAGTTTTGTATTTTTTTGTAGAGAGGAGGTTTCTCACCTGTATGTTACTCAGGTTTGTCTCGAACTCCTATACTCAAGCGATCCGCCCGTCTAGGCCTCTCAAAGTGCTGGGATTACAGGCATGAGCCGCCGCGCCCCGCCCCACGCTCAGTCTTGAAATTGTCTGGAACGGGAAACGGCAAACAGCGAGATATCCGAGCGAGAGTCCCGCCCTGCATCAGTTTGCGGAACCGCCTTGGTAGAAGGAGAGAAGGGGAGTGGAGGAAGCACGGGACTGGAGGGACCAAAGTTCCCCGATGGCGGCCCAGGGGTGCGCGGCATCGCGGCTGCTCCAGCTGCTGCTGCAGCTTCTGCTTCTACTGTTGCTGCTGGCGGCGGGCGGGGCGCGCGCGCGGTGGCGCGGGGAGGGCACCAGCGCACACTTGCGGGACATCTTCCTGGGCCGCTGCGCCGAGTACCGCGCACTGCTGAGTCCCGAGCAGCGGTGAGGCAGTCGGCCGGGTGGAAGGGGAGCCGGAAAGAGGCAACGGTGGGGAGGGCCTGGGGAGGGGAAAACTGGCGCTAAAGTTCGGGGTGAGGGGGCAATGAGAGAGGCCTTGAGGGGAGAGGTGAGTGTGGAGACAGCGATGGTCCTGAACGATGGGGGCGAGTGAGGAGGGGGCTGTGAAGTGTGTCTGCAGGTGAGGGGTGCGCTGTGCGGGGTCTAGAGATGAGTGTGTGTGTGTGCGCGCACACACACACTGTAGAGGTGAGGGGTGTGTGCGTGTGTTCTAGAGGTGAGGGGGGTGTGTGTGTGCGCGCGCTCTAGAGGTGGGAGGTGTGTGTGTGCTCTAGAGGTGGATGTGTGTGTGTGTGCTCTAGAGGTGGGGGTGTGTGTGTGTGTGTGTGCTCTAGAGGTGAGGGGTGTGTGTGTGTGTTCTAAAGGTGAGATGTGTGTGTGTGTTCTAGAGGTAAGGGGTGTGTGTGTTCCAGAGGTGAGGTGTCTGTATGTGTGTTCTAGAGGTGAGGGGTGTGTGCATGTGTGTTCTAGAGGTGAAGGGGGTGTGTGTGCGTGCGCTCTAGAGGTGAGGGGTGTGTGTATTCTAGAGGTGAGGGGTGTGTGTGTTCTAGAAGTGAGGGGTGTGTGTGTTCTGGAGGTGAGATGTGTGTGTGTGTGTTCTAGAGGTGAGGGGTGCGTGCATGTGTTCTAGAGGTGTGTGTGTATCTGTGTTCTAGAGGTGAGGGGTGTGTGTGTGTAGTCTAGAGGTGACAGGTGTGTGTGTGTGGTCTATAGGTGAGGGATGTGTGTGTGGTCTAGAGGTGAGGGATGTGTGTGTGGTCTAGAGGTGAGGGGTGTGTGTGTTCTAGAGGTGAGGGGGTGTATGTGTATTCTAGAGCTGAGGAGAGTGTGTGTTCTAGAGATGAGGTGTGTATGTGTGTTCTAGAGGTGAGGGGTGTGTGTGTGTTCTGGAGTTGAGGGGTGTGTGTTCTAGAGGTGAGATGTGTGTGTTCTAGAGATGATGGGTGTGTGTGTTCTAGAAGTGAGAGGTGTGTGTGTTCTAGAGGTAAGGGATGTGTGTGTGTGTGTGTTCTAGAGGTGAGTTGTGTGTGTGTTCTAGAGGTGAGATGTGTGTGTGTTTGTTCTAGAGGTGAGGGGTGTGTGTGTGTAGTCTAGAGGTGACAGGTGTGTGTGTGTGGTCTATAGGTGAGGGATGTGTGTGTGGTCTAGAGGTGAGGGATGTGTGTGTGGTCTAGAGGTGAGAGGTGTGTGTGAGTGTGAAGGAGGGTGGAGAGGTATCCCTCTAGAAGTGAGGGTGGGGTAGAGGTGAACTGGGTAACAGCCCATTGCCACCCAGCAGATGTTTAGTCTGAATACTCAGAACCCAGAATGTGATCTCAGGTTGGAATTCCTTGAGTCCAGTCCTTCCAGAATTCAAATTTCAGATCCCCTAAATCTGGAGGATTTCTGAAGTTTGGGTCTTTCTTGCCAGTGCTGCATTTCTTACTGATTTTTGTTCCTTCTGTGGCCCCCCTTTTCTTATGTTTGTGATGTCTTTCTTGTGCTGATCATTTTTATTGTCGCACATTTCAGGCAAATAAGAAACAGCAGAGAACCACCTGTGTTACACACCACCCAGTATGAGAAACAAAGTTACAAATGCTATGGGAAATATTTTTTGAAAACTAGCATGGACCTCAAGAGGGGCTTGCACTGGAGGGTGCACCTGCTTTGCCAGAGGTGGAAGCCTTTTGCAGCATTGGGCCTCCCTCCTAACACTACACATCCTGCTGGCTGGCCTGGCCTCACCTGGTCCCCGAGCTCCACACTGGAACTGGACTATGAGACTGGCCCCACCGTTAGGTCTAAATGAAGAGGCACCTGCTGTATAGTTGACTGAATTTGTCACCTCCTGCTCGGTGCCATTTCTGCTTGTCTCCGTGAGCCTGGGGCAAGGCTGTATTCCTTAGCTCTGAGAAATCTGTGCAGTGCCTTCAGAGAGACAATTCCAGTGTCAGATTTCTGAATCTGTCACCTAAGCCATGACAATTCGTTGTCTTTTTTGTAAGCCTACTTCTGCAGTTACTATATGAAAAATCTCTTGTAAAGCTCTTAGACAAATGGGCATACTTCACAACACATTATGATGTGCATGTGTGTGTTCTTCCCAACTTGTACTTTTGCACAGGAACAAGAACTGCACAGCCATCTGGGAAGCCTTTAAAGTGGCGCTGGACAAGGATCCCTGCTCCGTGCTGCCCTCAGACTATGACCTTTTTATTAACTTGTCCAGGCACTCTATTCCCAGAGATAAGGTAACACCACAACCATCTTGGGTAAAACTGTGTTCTCTGTCTCTACAGAAATGGATGGTGCATGGGCCAGGTTGACATTAGCTGTCCCCTGCATCCTGCAATGTCACAGAAACATCAGGCAGCACACATAATGTGTGTGCTGAGCTCTCTGTGGGAAGCTAGCTTTGTTTCTGTATTAGTCCGTTGTCACATTGCTATAAAGAAATGCCTGAGACTGGGTAATTTACAAAGAAAAGAGGTTTAACTGGTTCACAGTTCCACAGGCTGTACAGGAAGAATGGCAACATCTACTTCTGGGAGGCCTCTGGGAGCTTTTACTTCAGCAGAAGGCAAAGTGGGAGCAGGTGTCTTACATGGCACGAGCAGGACCAAGGGCAGAGGGAGGTGCCACAGGCTTGTAAACAACTGGATCTTCTGAGAACTCCCTCAGGAGAACAGCAGCAAAGGGGGAAATCCACCCCCATAATCCAATCACCTCACACCAGGCCCCACCTCCAACATAGGGGATTACAATTTTACAAGAGACACAAATCCAAATCATATCAGTTTCCAATAGTGATTGTAGATCTCCCGCTGGTTGTGGGCAGAAGAAAATTTCCTAAGTTAGCAAGTTAGTGTGAGAATCAACATGAGGACATCAGGACATGGCCATACCTGTCACACTGGGCCTCCACATCTGGCCAGTTCTAAATAACCTTCATCCTAACTGGCCCAATGGCCTGAACCTTGAGTAATTCAGAAAACTCTCAATCTCAGTATCCTCCCGGGAGACCAGTCTCTCCATTTAACGGGTCTTAAGATTATATTTATTTAGTACCAGTTTATTTAAGAAAACCACATATCTATATTCTGTATACACTCTCAGGTCTAATAAAATGAAAATAATGAGAAAATTTCCATAAAACCCTTGCTTAAAACAATACCTCAAGTTTAAGGAATGCTAGACACCATTTTTGTTTCTGTGACATAAACATTGTTAACCTGATTTTTTCCATTGTGTGTTATTTGTAAAGGCAAGTAAATGGAACTGTGAGGTTCAAAGATAGAATAGACTGAAAACATGATTTTTGAGTATATGCTGTCTTTTGAACCTTGCTGCCCTCCTGTCACTAAAAGTGGGGAAGCTGACTTTTTAACCTTCTGTTTCATAGATTCGGTGCTAGTTGATGAACTCAGTAAATACTTCCGGGGCTATTTGTTTGCCAGTCATTGGTGCTAAGGGTTAAGGATGTAACAGTGAAAAACAGCCCTCACCCTTGGGGACCTTCTAGTCTAAATATAAACTGATTGGACTACTGAGGGTCAGATGAAATAGTGACTGGGGGATTTGTGTTATTGTTATATAAAAACACTATGGTGGAAACTATAAAGTATAATATAAAAGCAATGTGTTTTTGAGGCACTTGACACTTTAGGAAGTGCTTTTTGTGACTGCTTATTATCCTGGCCACAGCTCTGGAAGAAGAGAAAGGGCTCATGCTCTGCATTTTCCAGAAGTAGAAACTGAGAAACAGGGAGATTGCATGCCTTGCTCAAGATTACATATCTAATACATGACAGAGCCAGGATTCCAGCCCAGTTCCCTTGATCATTTTTAATGTAGGGGATCTTACCACATGCACGTATATTTAGTACTAGTGAGAAAATATTCCATTAACATTTGCATGATACCCTGGGAATAAAGGGAGGAGAGATGCTAGCAGTCTTTGAATGAATAAATAAAGACAACGAAAAAGAACGTTCAGTTGTTGTGCAGCAGGTCAGAGTTGAATGAGAACTGGATTGCCCAACTTGCCTTGATGATATTGTGCCTGAGGAGTCGGTTTTGATTCTGTTTTGTATTTTGATGTTTTGTTTGTCTTTCCTTAGTCCCTGTTCTGGGAAAATAGCCACCTCCTTGTTAACAGCTTTGCAGACAACACCCGTCGTTTTATGCCCCTGAGCGATGTTCTGTATGGCAGGGTTGCAGATTTCTTGAGCTGGTGTCGACAGAAAAATGACTCTGGTAAGACTCCTGCACAAATCACAGGAGACTTAAGAACTCCTATTTACTATGCATTACCATTTGTGCTAAATGCTTTCATATGCATTTATTTCACTTGATCCTCTCCAAGTCCTCTGAGATAAGTGGCAAGAATAGTTAATAATAACAATACTAGAGAATACTTAACTTTGCAGGTGCCAGTCTAAGCACTCTCTCTCTCTCTCTCTCTCTATATATATATATATATATACACATATATATACACATATATATACATATCTATACATATCTATATCTATATATACACACATACTCATTTGATGCCCACAACAACCTCATGGGATCCTATCATAATCCCCATTTTGATAAATGAGGAAACTGAGGCACAGCAAGATTAAGAAATCTGCTCAGGGGGCATAGCTAGTAAGCAGCAGACAGTCTGACTCCAGAGCCCATTTTCTCAACTTTGCACAACTCTGCCTTACTATCCTCATTTGTCCAGAGGGGGAAGCTGAGGCTTAGGGAGGTTAAATGACTGGAAGTGGTAAGGCTGGGTCTCAGTCCTGTCCTGATGGATTCTGAAGCCTGTGCTCTGTAACACCACTCCAGGCCGCCGGCAGATATTTCGAGATCCAAGTCACAAGGAAAGTTAGAGTCACAAGAGCTGGCCTGAATGTTCTGCAAACACTCCTCATTCATCCAACTGTGGTGCTAGGAGCTGGAGACACAGCAGTCCCCATCTTCAGGGAGGTTATAGCCTCATGGGGGATATCAGCTCGAGTGATATGGGCTATAATGCAGGAAAAATGGTGTTCGAGGAGTAGCAGAGTGAGACACCAGCCTCCACCAGATCATCAGGGAAGCTTCAGAAGGGAGGCTAGCAAGGAAAGGAGGTTAGGGAGTGTTTCCATTATGAAGACTGGAGATCCTTCCTGGGTATCAGAGTTACTTCAAAAGTTAACCTAATATCAGGCCGGGCATGGTAGCTCACGCTTGTAATCCTAGCACTTTGGGAGGCCGAGGTGGGTGGATCATTTGAGGTCACGAGTTCGAGATTAGCCTGGCCAACATGAAGAAATCCAAACTCTACTAAAAATACAAAAAAATTAGCCAGGTATGGTGGTGCATGCCTGTAATCACAGCTACTCGGGAGGCTGAGGCAGGAGAATCCCTCGAACCCTGGAGAAGGAGGTTGCACTGAGGCGAGATCATACCACTGCACTCCAGCCTGGATGACAGAGTGAGACTCGGCACACACAAAAAAAAGAGTTAACCTAATATCAGTTCTGTTTATTTCTCCTCCATTCATTTGTCCATCAAACTAAAATTTATAGTGTCTACTATGTGCCAGACCCTCATCTTCTAGACAGTAGGAAAACAGCAGAGAATAAAACATGAAATTAATACCCCATGCTTACATTATAGGAGGGCAGATAAGACAATAAACAGGCAAGTGAAATATACAGACTGCCTTAAGATTATAAGGGCTATGGAGAAAATTAAAACAGGTAATAAGGACAAAAAAGATTGAGGGTGGAGGGCCAGGGAAAGGAAAGTGTTGCATTTTTACCTAGATGCCGAGGGAAAACCTCACTGATAAGCTGATATTTGAACAAGGACCTGAAGGAGATGAGAAAGAGCATTTTCTGATGGGAGAACAGCAATTGCAAAGGCCCTGAGGTGGGAGCGTGTGTGACATATTTAACAGCAAAGAGGACAGTGGGCAAAGAGGAAAGTGTGAGCTATGAGGCTAGAGGAATAAAGGAGGGCCAGGTGGCACAGGATGTTGTGAGGCCTCTGCTTTTCACTGTGAGTGAGATGGGCAGCATTGCAGGTTCCACGTCAAATGGACACAGCCATTCTTTCAATGGAGAACTTCCAGGAAGCTTTTGTTTGATGATGCTGCAGAGGGTGGGGAGAAGGAGGGGAGGAATGTGATGAAAAACACATAAAGAAAGGGAGAGCCTTCCAGAAAACCACCAGTTATTTCTTCTTCACCTCGCTGCCCTTTTCTATCTATGCCCTCCTATCAGGGCTCTTTGTTTCAGAAAGAAGTGAAGTCCAGCAGTTCAGGTCAGCTAAATAACCATATGTGTATGTCATGGAATCCTGTGGGGCCAGCAGCAATGGTGATGGGGTTTTTTATTTATTGACCCAGAAAGGGGCATGTTTTTAAGCAAAAAATAAATTTACATAACCCTGTGATTGGTATGAGGCTATTCAAATAAAAACACATATACACAATACATCTATGTAAATAAACACAGAAAAAAGTCAAGAAAATAGCAAAGCCAAACCATTGACAGCAGCTCTTTTTTATTTTATTTATTTATTTATTTATATTTTAAAATCATTATTATTTTTTGAGGCAGCGTCTCACTCTGCCACCCGGGCTGTAATGCAGTGGTGTGATCCTAGCTCATTGCAGCCTTGAACTCCTGTGCTCAAGCGATCCTCTTGCCTCAGCCTCTTAAGTAGCTGGACTACAGGCACACACCACCACACTAGGCTGTTTTTAAAATTATTTTTGTAGACACATGGTCTTGCCATGTTGCCCAGGCTGGTCTTGAACTCCTGACTTCAAATAATCCTCCTGCCTCAGCCTCCCAAAGCACTGGCATTACAGGCCACAGTACCTGGCCTTGGTGCTTTTTTTAATTTTAATTTTAATTTTATTTTTGATTTACTCAAAAAATTGTATATATTTATGGCATACAATGTGATGTTTTATACATATATACATTGTGTAATGATCAAATCAGGGTAATTAGCATATCAATCATCTTAAACATTTACTATTTCTTTGTGGTGAGACATTCAAAATCCTCTCTACTAGTTATTTTGAAATATACAATACACTATTGTTAGCTATGGCCACTCTATTGTGCATTACAGCCCCAGTACTTATTCCTCCTATGTAACTGTAATATTGTTGACCAACCTCTTCCCATCTCCCTTATCCATTCCCCTCTCCAGCCTCTGGTAGCCACTATTCTACCCCCAACTTCTATGAGATCAGCTTTTGAAGATTCCACTTTCAAGTGAGATCATGCAATATTTGTTTTCCTGTACCTGGCTTATTTCACTTGACATAATGTCCTCCAGGTTCATCCATGTTGTTGCAAATGGCTCAATAGTATTGCATTATGCATACATGCCATATTTTCTTTCTTTTTTTTTTTGAAACGGAGTCTCTGTGTGTCACCCAGGCCAGAGTGCAGTGGCACGATCTCAGCTCACTGCAGCATTCGCCCCCCAGGTTCAAGCGATTCTCCTGCCTCAGCCTCCTGAGTAGCTGGGACTACAGATGCGTGCCACCATACCCGGCTAATTTTTGTATTTTTAGTAGAGATGGGGTTTTACCATGTTGGCTAGTCTGGTCTTGAACTCCTGACCTCAGGTAATCCACCCGCCTCAGCTTCCTAAAATGCTGAGATTACAGGCGTGAGCCACTGTGCCCAGTCTATTTTATCTATTAATCAGTTGATGGACACAGATTGATTCCATATCTTGGCTATTATGAATAATGCCATTAATATCAGTTTTTGCTAGGAATATGAGGTCAACTTGTAGATTAGAAATTTTTTTTCTTTATAGAGTATATGGTAAGTACATCCCACATCCCATTGATCTGCTAGGGTCTTTAGTCTGTCCTTAAACATTGTAAAATGTAATACATTTTAACATTTTATATATTTTTCAATTGTATAAAATTTCTGTTTCTGGCTAAGCATTATCACTTTCTTAATCCTTTGTTTCCTTGCATTTACTACTAAGATAATGGCTAACAATTTAATTTTTGGAGACGGCTCTTCTCCCAATAAAGCAAAGGTTTTTGTTGTTGTTGTTTGTGGGTTTTTAAACATTGTTGAGAAATAACCCAGCTAATACACTGATGCTCAGTGGTCAGCTAGACTCACTCACTAGCCAGCTATTTAGTTCTCTGCCTTCCTCACATTTGTGATGAGCAAAATGACCAACATCTTTAGTATCATGGACAAGGTGGTCCCTCACCAGGCTCCTTGTGGATTGAGTGGGAAGAACTGTGGATGTTAAACTTGTACACATTGTACAGAATGGAAGCTAAGTATACATCATGGAACTGGGATATATTGTAAGTTAATTCTTCTCTGAGATAGATAATCTTTGGAATAAAATGTGTTTGTCTACTTACCCCTTAGGACTCGATTACCAATCCTGCCCTACATCAGAAGACTGTGAAAATAATCCTGTGGATTCCTTTTGGAAAAGGGCATCCATCCAGGTAATGCTGGGATGATATCTGAGTGGTTGAGCATGTGTGGGACCCATAGAGATGGAACATAGTCATTCAGAGTCTGGGCCCCAGGTCATCACTCAACTTCTCTGAGCCTCACTTTCCACTTTTACCACATCATGATTCATGCTCTTTGCTATATAAAGTTGTGAGAATTTAAGGGAATAAAATACTTAATGCAGTGCCTGGCACGGAGAAAACATTCTGTAAATGTTAGCTATACATGAGGGTTTTAATTAGTCATTATTATTTCCATTATGTCCTGGTTATCATTAGTATTTCAAATCAATGATTTTGATTGCTACATAAAATGGGGCAACTCCTGCTTTATGGAAGACCCTAGGATGCTGGAGATCAATTTGTGGGGATCAGAAATGTCCACAAGACTAATATTAATGGGAGAGGAACTGATAGGAGATGGAGGATAAGCTGGAGACACAGAAATGGTCCCCTGAAGGTAGGTCTGTTTCCCAGAGAATGATGTCACCAGAGTTGATGACAGCTATCTGTAGCTATAACATGCCAGTGACTACAGCTGACACTCTCTGTCATGAGAATTAGAATAGAGATTACAAATAAAGAGGGTTAAGTTCTTAGTTCAGTGCCTGGCAAAGAGCTGTTGACTATAAAACATTAGCTAGGTTGACCAGGTGGATGTCAGGCCCCTTCCACCCACCACCGCCAACCCCCTTTCAGGACTATCCATGTCTTTTTCAGTCCCATCTTCTACCCTAGATCCTCAGGTATCCACTAGGTTGATTGTTAGTCAGGGTGAGAAGGACCTTGGCCAAATCCTCCATGGTGGCTGCAGTTTGGAGCTAAGCAGGGGGTCCCTCCCAGATAAAACATATTCTGTTTATTATTGTGCTCTGCTGCCCACCCCAAGAGAGCACCATTTGCTCCCACTACCTGTAGGTTTCATCTTGAGCACAGACTCCAGTCAGTTGGCAGTGGCTGCCAGGGCCCCTCATTGAGAACTGGGAGGCTACAGAGATGTCATCATCTGAAAGTGGGATCAAACAGTAACTCAGGGGAGATGTCAACATTACATGTAAAGGAACCATGTATTTTACCCAGTGGATCTGCCAGACTTCCAAGAGTGTGCTACAAACCACCACCTTATACTTCCTCCAATTCTATAATGGAAATCTCATACTAGTGCCCACATTTTTTGAGAACTTGGCATTTGCTCTGTAGTCGAAGCAAGAGGAGAGGTAGTGTGGTATAGTGATGGGAAGCAGATTTGAACTTTAGCAGACAAGTATTCAATAAATGTTAGCAGTCATTATTTTAAATATTTTCATCTTTTTTTTTTTTTTTTTTTTTGAGACGGAGTCTCGCTCTGTCGATCTTGGCTCACTGCAACCTCTGCCTCCCGAGTTCAAGTGATTCTCCTGCCTCAGCCTCCCGAGTAGCTGGGACTACAGGCGTGTGCCACCATGCCCAGCTAATTTTTGTATTTTCAGTAGAGACAGGGTTTCACCATATTGGCCAGGATGGTCTTGAACTCCTGACCTCATAATCCACCCGCCTCAGCCTCCCAAAGTGCTAGGATTACAGGCGTGAGCCACTGTGCCTGGCCAAATAGTTTCATCTTTATGACAATTCTGTGAGGCAGAGACTTTTAACACCCTTATTTTACAGATAATAAAGTAAGGTACAGAGAGGTCAAGAAGCTTTACCAGGATTATGGAACTGACAAGTAGGGGAGCTAGGATTTGAAACCAGGCAGGCTGGCTTGAGATCAGACTTTCAACCACGACGTTATACAGCCTTATTGCATTGGCATACTTTTTATTTTTATTTTTATCTTTTTTTTTGAGACAGAGTCAGTCTCTGTCACCCAGACTGGAGTGCAGTGGTACATTCTCAGCTCACTGCAACCTCCACCTCCTAGGTTCAAGCGATTCTCACACCTCAGCCTCCCGAGTAGCTGGGACTACAGGTGCGTGTCACCATGCCCAACTAATTTTTGCATTTTTAGTTGAGATGGGTTTTTGCCATGTTAGCCAGACTGGTCGCAAACTCCTGACCCCAGGTGATCTGCCCACCTCAGTCTCCCAAATGGCTGAGATTACAGGTGTGAGCCACAGCGCCTGACTCTGCACACATTTTTTTTTTAATATTTTTTTCTTTTTGTCAGTGTAATAGCTGCTCATAATAGTGAATGACACATATAGAAAATATAAATTAATCACCCACATTCCTGCCACCTAAAGGCAACCCGTTTAGCATAGTGGTGATCAGGTATTGGCATTTAAGAATTTAACTATGACTGTTAGCACTATTTGGAAGCAATCTATGACATGGAGTGTATTGTTTGGTATTGTGTATCACTTTGCTAGGGAGTGAATCCAGCCACCTATACGTCAGTGCCACATATTTCACCTCTACACCTCCTTCATTCTAGTATAAACATTTTATGAGGGAAATTACATGCTCCAGTAGTATTCTCAAGTGGAGATTTTGGAATTTCTGTGGACCTGTCTCACCCTTGGGAATTCCTGGACTTCAGCCCATGTATTTTTCACACAGTAGAGCCCATGCCCCTCAAATGACTGTTGAATTTTGCTTTGAAAGCAAATACTTCCTATGCTATTGCAAATACTTTGTATACAGACTTTTACTAATGGCTGGTTAAGATTTCAGACCCTTAAGTATCATAGTTTACTTACCATTCCCTTGTTGTTGAGTATTCTGTATTAGTTACAATATTTCAGTATTATGAGGAATTGCTGCACTATACATCTCTGTGCACAGTGCTCCTGGTAGTCCTTAGTGCTGTTTGCCAAATATTTCTGGCTTGTCTTCTGAGCCCACGGTTTGCACTCCCTGCCTCATGAAATTATTTACACGTGACTTACACTGGCCAATCAGTTGCGAGCGGGAGTGTGACTTTTGGGTGGAAGCCTTTAAGAAGTGGTCTATGATTTGTCACTGTCTCCTCCCTTTCCTGGCAATCAGATATTTTGCAGATGTGTCCCAGAATGAGGACACTTGAAACAAAACCCCAGTGGGCCTGTGATAAACATGTAGTGTGAGCATGATATAAATCATTGTTGTTTAAAGCCACTGCAGTTTCGAGGTTCTTTGCTAAGGGAGCATAAGCTAGTTTATTCCAGCTGATAAGATACTGTGTATTTTCTATTATCTTCTTAGGGTAGATTCCCAGACATGGATTACTGAGTCTATGAGTTTTTTGACATTTCAAGGCAATTTGCTTTCCAAAATAAACCAGTTTGCATTTCTACTAAGCCATATGAAATGCCACATTTATCATATCCTTGCCATTATTTAGAACTGACAATTTGTAAAAAATGCACATTTCATAGCAGAAAAATGTCACGTCTTTATTTGCTAAAAATACTTGGTTCTTCTCGTAGTATTCCAAGGATAGTTCTGGGGTGATCCACGTCATGCTGAATGGTTCAGAGCCAACAGGAGCCTATCCCATCAAAGGGTAAGAACACCAGCACATTCAAACACAAGAGAGAATGCCAAAATATTTATTTAATTGTTTTAAATAGAGGCTAAAGAAAATTATCCTAGTCCCCATCTCATGCGTGCTTCTGTAAATTCAGGTAAAGCAAAACAGATGAATGACCTGGTGATCAGAGCCATGTCTATAGAGTTAAACCATTAACAGCTGATGAATACAGGAATAAAAAGTAACCTAAAAATAAAAGCTAAAGAAGAAAAACTTCTAAAAGCTCTTTATTTTTTTTTAAGAAAGGTAATGTGTAAATTAACAACTGAAATGGAAAAGATATCATATTGCTTTAGGGCTTCAAGAAATGTTTCTCAGTTTTTTTGCAGATTATGAAATTCCAAACCTCCAGAAGGAAAAAATTACACGAATCGAGATCTGGGTTATGCATGAAATTGGGGGACCCAATGTGTAAGTTATGGTGATATTGATGATGATAATTGCACAAGTTTGTTTTTCTTGTATATAATATGATAAAGTTCGTTTAACATTTTCAGTTTAGGGGAAATGACAGCCTTCTTTGCTTCTAATGGGGTTGGTAGAGAAAGACAAAAGCTTGACTTTCTGGGAATGCCACTAGCCAGTCCCGAGCCCAGAGAGAAAGCCTCCTTTATCTGGGATATTCTTCTCAGCCAGCGAAGACAGTGTTCCTTTCTGAATGACCTTGGTAGCTTTGGATGGGTGAGTTCCTTATGCATTTGTGAGGGTCTAAGCCAGTTTCTCCTTCTGGTCATTTGAAATTCAAAAGCCCTCACCACTGGTTCTCAGAATTAACCTAGGGACTCTATAATTAAGACGTCATTCTCAGAGAACAACCAGCTCTTCAACTGGGTCTTGAATAACTGGTTGAGAAAGCTTTTATGATCCACATTTTCTGGGAAAGCACGAGTTTACATGTAAATGCAAACTTAAACTCATTCTTCTCAGCAGTAAAGAGCACTGCTGGCACAAACTCAAGATAAAAAAGTTAAACTGATTTGGTTTAAAGACAAGCCAACAAGGCCACAGCCTAAATAAAGCTGGACAGCCATGATGGAGATTCAGAAGCAAGCTGAGGCCTTGTCCTTCAGAACAGTCCCTCCGTGCTACATGGAGGAAGGTATTACTAACCCCAAGGAGTGCAGGTCCCATTGAAAGTGTTTAGGAGAACTTCAGTGAATTCCCTGTGTCCGTGTTGGCCCCCAGGACCTTCTAAGACTCACCATATAAGGGGTTATTTTTCCCGTCTCTTAGGCAATAGATTGTGATAAATTTGCAAACTACTTAATTACGTAAGTTATACCAAGATCTGCATTCCCCTTCTCAGAAGACAAATTATACTTATTTTTGCATGCATGAAAAACGTGTATCGTTGGTCTTATTTTTGTGAGAAGTTGCTCTCTCTGGAAGTTATACTTGCTTGTTGTTTTAATGTATCTATCTTGTTGCCCAGGCTGGAGTGCAGTGGCGAGATGTCAGCTCACTGCAACCTCCGCCTCCCGAGTTCAAGTGATTCTCTTGACTCAACCTCCCGAGTAGCTGGGATTACAGGTGTCCGTTACCACGCCCAGCTGATTTTTTGTATTTTTAGTGGAGGCAAGGTTTCACCATGTTGGCCAGGCTGGTCTTGAATTCCTGACCTCAGGTGATCCACCTGAGGCTTCAGCCTCCCAAAGTACTAGGATTACAGGCATGAGCCACCATGCCCGTCCTTTATAGTTATTTTAACAACACGTTCACTTATCTCTGTGTCCAGGTGTCCTGCAGCCTAGATGTCGTTGCTTACTAAAAAGAAATTCTAAGTAGTGAGCCTGGCCCCGAGTAAGGCATTTTCCCGGGTATTGGCAAAGTTCTAAAAAATGATGTTATTCAACACTGTGCTTTCTTCATTCCTATAATGCCTGGAATTCCACTTCTGTAAAAATTTCCAATTGCTCATTTCCTCCCTGTACACTCCCCCTCTATTAATTTTATGGTGGTGAGGCTGTTTACCATCCCATTTCATGTAAACTCAGGGTCCTGCCTGTAATATACCGTGCCTAATAACCACAGCTGGTGGTGTTGTGTATCTACCTCTGTTTGCGTTTGTAAATTCTCCCTGCTTAATTGTGACCATTAGTGAAAGTGGGCAAGAATCACTGTTGGTACGAGTGTGGGAAATTGCCACTCTCATACTTTATCAGGGTGTAATTTGGCTGTTCCTATAAAAGCCTTAAAATGGATTCAAATCTTTGATGCTAGAAAACCTACTTTCATGAATTTATGCCAAGGGAACAAATAATTAATAATGTGTAGGAAAATGAAGTTCCAATTAGTGACTGGGCTGGTGGCATGGGAGGTAAGAATTTACCAAGACAGTTGTAGGTAAAGAAAGATAGATTTATTAGAGAAAGTATGAAAATATGTTGCAAGGATGCAACTGGCAGGTCAGCAAGAGACTAGCTGACTGCATGGAGACAAAGGCTTACTGGGCATTTTGCAGAATGGTGCTTGTGCTGTGTACTGAAGAGCACTTGTGCAGTTCTGATAATGCCAAGGTTGCAGTGAGCTAACTTGCCTTTTTCTATCAGCTGAGCGTCTGGTGATAGGTGGGCATGGGAAGGTTGTGAGTTATTTGTGCAGGAAGCCTATGTGTCCTGGACCATGAAGAAGGTAGACTTATAGCTTATCTGCTTTGTCTTTTTGCTTTACCCTGCTCCTGCCAGCCTGGCTCCTTTTTCCTAATTAGGACTCCACAGCAACAAAGTTTGTTGTAGTGTAAATGGTATCGAAATGAAAGAATCAACCTAGGTCTTCAACAAGAGAGGACGGGTTCCATGAGTTATGGTCTGTTTATGTAAGGGAGGCCATGCTGGAGCTAAAAATAATGGCAGAGAAGTGTGTGTGTGTGTGTGTGTGTGTGTCTGTGTATACACACACACACAGAGACAGGAGCTAAAGCAGACTACAAAACACATTGGATAGCAGAGACCCTTTGCTTTATTTTTAAAATCTTGCAGAAATAAATATATTCTAAAAGACTAGACCTATATACACCAAAATGTTAACAGAGCTATCTCTAGGGGTGTGAGATTTGGGGTAATTTTTTAAAATTTTTGTTTATTTGCATTTTCTAATATTTTAAAATTTGTATGTTTTGGTGGTTACTTAAAACTTCAAATGAATATACTGTAGTGTAGGGTGAACAAATTGGCAGGTAGCATTGTGTCGAGCCCCTGGAGCACATTGCAGATATGTGTCACTGTCTGGGGACAGACTGCACAGGTGGCTGACACCACGCACATGCACTGGCCCTGGCTCTCCCAGTGCTCCTGGCTGCCCAGCTTCAGGCCCGGTGCTGGGGTCCTCAGAGCATCGTCTCTTGGGTCCTGCAGGTTTACCGGAAGCAGCCCTTTTTAAACCAGAGACATTCCAGTTTTCTTTCTGAGAGTAGAATATCCAGGAGCACATGGTCAAAAGAAATTATGTTTAACCCAGAAACAACTTCCTCTTCCTCCTCTTATTTGCTTACTTTTTAATTATATATTTTCATGTTTTAGGGAATCCTGCGGGGAAGGCAGCATGAAAGTCCTGGAAAAGAGGCTGAAGGACATGGGGTTCCAGTACAGCTGTATTAATGATTACCGGTAGGTGGCCTATATATCAATGTGCTCTTGTAGAGGTGGTGTATGATTTTGGAGGAGGTGGGCTGCCGAAAGGGTATTGATGGCTCTCAGCTCTGAAGGCCATGGTGTCTTCCGGGTGGCTTCTCGGTGTGGAGGCAAGGAGCACTTTCTGGCCTGAGTTTGGCCAGGGCCCCACCCACTGCTGTCCAGAGTCCATCTTCACGGCACTGGACGTTTAAAGAACACACAGAGCAGCACTTTCTCATTTGCTCATGCCCAGTTCTCTCCTCACTGTGCTTACTGTGCAGCGAGATGCTGGAGTACAGGGACTGAGGTTCCTATGTCTTTGGATCTCTGTGGGATCCCTGTGCATGACAGGTGCTAAGGTGGGAGCTTGTTTGAGGTATTTACAGACACATCTTGACCACAGACCAATAGGAAAATAATAATAACTACCACTTGGTGAGCAGCTATGGGCCAGACACTTTATATATTTATAATCAGGTATCATTTGTGGGCCTTGTTGCTTGGACATTTTTTTTTTAAAAAACTTGGCTCAAGCCCTAAGGTAGTTGCAAGCCATCTCTGGACTCAAACGCCTGCCTCTGGCTCTCTCTGCCCCAGCCCCTAAGACTGTGGACCTGCTGATTCTGCAAGGGGCTGGAATCCAACATTGCAAAAACTGAGTGGTTTTCTTGAACATTTCTGAGTGTCGCTGGGTGGAAATGACGTCAGTGGTCTTTTGTTGCCTAACACCCTTGATTATCCTGCTTCTCTGCCACTCTCTGCCTTCCAGCAGCCCCATGGGCTGGATCATTCTCCCAGCTGAGCAAAGCACCCTAAACGTGTGAACCACTCCCTCCCACTCCATGCCTCCTCAAGACAAGGAGCCCCTCAAGGCTGTTCTGTTATCTGTACCTTTTACTCATAAATTATTGCCAGTGCTCTCAAAAGTTAGATGTTGTTTATCACCCCTTTTAAATACAAAACAAGGCAAATGTCCTTTTCTGGAAATATAATCTATGTACAGAAAAATATACAAACCATGAGTACACAGGTGGATGAAGTTTCCCCCATTTAGTGCATACCTGCAACCAGCCCTCAGACCAATAAACAGAACATACTCAGCATCCCCAGGGGCTCCCATTGGCCTCTTTTGGTCACCACCCCCATAGTAACCACTCTCTAGATTTATAATGCCATTAATTAGTTTTATCTGTCTTTAAGCTTTAAACTCAGTGACAGAGCTGAGTTTTGAACCCAGCTTTGCATGGCCTTAACGCACGCTCTTTCCCTCCTGCTACCAAGCTCTTCCTTCCTTAATTGAAGCTCCAGTAGTACATTTTAAAAAACATTCAATTCTTGGCCGAGTGCAGTGGCTCATACCTGTAATCCCAGCACTTTGGAAGGCCGAGGCGGGCGGATAACAAGGTCAGGAGTTCGAGACCAGCCTGGCCAACATGGTGAAACCCCGTCTCTACTAAAAATACAAAAATTAGCCGCGTGTGGTGACTGGTGCCTGTAATCCCAGCTACTCGGGAGGCTGAGGCAGGAGAATCACTTGAGGCAGAGGTTCCAGTGAGCCAGGGTGACAAGAGCCTGGGTGACAAGAGCAAGACTCTGTCTCAAAAAAAAAAAAAAAAATCAGTTCTTAATCCAAAACAGCTCAATAGCCAAGTGCAGTGGCATGCACCTGTAGTTCCAGCTATTTGGGAGGCTGAGGTGGGAGGATTGCTTGAGCCCAGGAGTTCAAGGGAACAGTGAGCTATGATGGTGCCACTGCACTCTAGCCTGGGTGACAGAGCAGGACCTGGTCTCAAAATAAAACAAAGTAAACCCCTAGCCATCGCCCCCTCAAAAACAAACAAACAAACAACAACAACAAAAAGCTCAATGATGGAGAAAATTGTAGCTAAAATTGTTGCATTCACAACCACTTTGCTTTGTTTTTATGTCATTGGGCTGAGTTATAATAGCCGGGCCAGAGCCCAGGTCTCCTTGCCCCTCACGGCTGCCCTGGGTCTGGGCTTATGTGCTTCCTCTCTATTGTGTCCCTACCTCAGTCAGCCTCAGGGCTCTTCTCTTCCAGGCCTGACTCAGTAAAGAAATGAGGAAGCTCCCATTTCTTTATTGCCCATAGGCTGTTTCTGTGTTAGTGTCAGGAGCAGAGAGGATATAATGAAAGGTATAAATGGGAAAGTGATGAGGGTTAACATAACAAATCCAACTCCAACCCAGATGTGAGAAACTCCTGCCCCTCACAATTCAGGTGGCATTGCCTTCTGCCCCACATCAGTAGAAAGTTCTCCCTGAGGTTCTTGCCCATTTTGGAGGGGGCTTATCTTTTCATGGCCTCCCTTACCTTCTGGTTGGTTTCTGCCAGTACTGTGTTGAATCAGACTCAGTGAAAACTCCATACCTGTTTTTGGGCATAAACAATGACAGATAACTACTTTTATTAAAAATATGTGCATCACATATACACCATGGAATACTATGCAGCCATAAAAAGGATGAGTTCATGTCCTTTGTAGGGACATGGATGAAGCTAGACACAATCATTCTGAGCAAACTATCCCAAGGACAGAAAACCAAACACCGCATGTTCTCACTCACAGGTGGGAACTGAACAATGAGAACCCTTGGACACAGGGTAGGGAATATCACACACTGGGGCCTGTCGTGGGGTAGGGGGAGGGGGGAGGGATAGCATTAGGAGACATACCTAATGTAAATGACGAGTTGACAGGTGTGGCACACCAACATGGCATGTGTATACATATGTAACAAACCTGCACGTTGTGCACATGTACCCTAGAACTTGAAGTATAATAATAAAAAATAAAAATATGTGCATCAAGTAGACACTACTGAAAGGTAGCTGAGTCAAGGACAGAAGACATGGCATGCCATAGAGACAACAATATCACGTTCCTGTTCTTCCATAGTCCCCTGCAGTGATCGTGCCACAGAGATCCTGTCTAGGCTTGCCTCCTACCTAACTCCCCGTGTGCCACCAAGACCTGGCTCCTGTCTTCATTGCTGCTTCCCTTCCCCTCCTGGTGGCTTGGAACTTCACATCTTCTCCCTCTGTTGTGCACAGCAAGTTAGCTTTCCTCTCTGATGCCTGAGCATTGGCCATCACCCATGTGGTTCAAGTCCAACCTTCTGCCCAAAGTACTTATCAGGTCATACGAGTTGTACGTGCATACAGAAATGGTTAGAAGCTCAGGCCCTAGAGTCAGCCTGCATAGTTCAAGTTCAGCCCTTCAACTTGCTACTGTGAGAACTTGGGTGGGTTATTGTGGTCAGCTTTCTCAATTGTAAATTGGAGAAGATAAAGCACCTATTCCATTTGGTTGTTATGAGGATTACATGACATGATCCTTACAAAAGATATAATCAAATGTCTTGGTACGTAGGAAGTGCTTGATAAATGCTGGCTAATATTTTCATTTGTTTTAGTTTTTCTAGATACAAGGCCTCACTCTGTTATCCAGGCTGGAGTGCAGTGGTGCGATCATAGCTCACTGCAGCCTTGAACTCCTGGGCCTCCTGCCTCAGCCTCCTGGGTAGCTGAGACTATAGGCATGAGCGTCTGCACCCAGATAATTTTTAGATTTTTTTTTTTTTTTTTTTTTGTAGAGCCAAGGTCTCGCTATGTTGCCCAGGCTGGTCTCAAACTCCTGGTCTCAAGCAGTCCTCCTGCCTCAACCTCCCAAAGTGCTGGGATTACAGGTGTAAGCCACCGTGCTGGGCCACTAATATTTTTAGAGGAAATAGTTTGTGTATTATTTGAGGTCAGAGACTACTGTATCTCCAGGACTTTTCAGGCAAGCCATAAATGGTTGATGGATGAAAGTTATTTAAATAATCCCTTAAATATTATTTTCTTTCTGTAGACCAGTGAAGCTCTTACAGTGCGTGGACCACAGCACCCATCCTGACTGTGCCTTAAAGTCGTAAGTAAATGTCTTAACCCAAATCGTTCTTTCCAAAGATAACCATCTCCTTTCAGAAGTTTTCAGTTCACAAACATGAACATATTATCAGAGGCAGATGTAAGTGTGCTCATTGGATTCTGGTTTGGCCTTATTTTTATTTATATGTATCTGTCTTAGTTTTTGTACAAAAAGCAATCACGCTACACATAACGTCCTGCTGTGAGCTTTCTTCACTTGCTGGTGTAATGGGGCCACCCTTTAAAGTTTGTTCATACTTCTGTCCTAGTCTGTTAGTGGCTGTAGAGCAATCTGTAGGATGGTCACACTACCTTTTTTTTTGGGAGGCGGGGGGCAGAGTCTCGCTCTATCGCCCAGGCTGGAGTGCAGTGGCGCAATCTCGGCTCACTGCAAGCTCCGCCTTCCGAGTTCACACCATTCTCCTGCCTCAGCCTCCCGAGTAGCTGGGACTACAGGGGCCTGCCACCACGCCCAGCTAATTTTTTTGTATTTTTTTGTAGAGACGGGGTTTCACCGTGTTAGCCAGGATGGTCTCGATCTCCTGGCCTTGTGATCCGCCTTCCTTGGCCTCCTAAAGTGCTGGGATTACAGGCGTAAGCCACCACGCCTGGCCCACACCACCTTTTATGTAATCCTTTCTGAGTCATGGGCTGGCTTGGTTGTATGTTGTTATAGTAGTTGTTTTGCTATTATAAACAATGCTGAAATATAATCCTTGATTATATACTTTAAGCTGTTGTGCAAGTATTTGTGTAGGATAGATTCCCAGAAATTGAGTTGCTGAGTCAAAGAATGTGTGTGTATTTTAAATTTTGATATGTTCTGAGAAATTTTGATATGTTTCAAAAAGGCTGTGCCAGCATACACTTCCACCACCAGTATATGCTAGGAGTGCCCATTCTCCACTCCTCCACGCTATGTATTTTCTATATCCATATCTGTATCTGTGCCTGTACCTATAGCCTATCATTTTAGCCCATCTTAGGGGTAAAACATAGTGCATTATTGTCATTTCAGTTTGTGTGGGCAGGAAGATTTCTGATCCCTCCACTTGAATTCTTTTCCGAAATCTATTTACTAACATCATACTTATCCTGACAATCCAACTCAAGTGTTCTTTGCTCTGTGAGGCTTTCCTCATTCTCCACGTTGATTGAGGAACTCCCTTCTCTTTGCTTCCAAGGACTTTGTACACAACCTGATGACAGTGCTTTACTCTTCCTAGCCCTGCTATCGTTCATTCTGTACCATCTGCCTGCCTCACTCTGCCTTCCTCTTTGTGTTTCTCTTAGTATTTTTCATTACAGTTGCACATAGTAGGTGCACCATCTATGCCTGTAGGATCCGTTCTTCCATCTACAAGGGAAGAGAACTAATCAGAGTGCACAGTAACTATATGCTAGGCATTTGCTGTGTGCACTACATAAAATAGTATGTTTATCTGAATAACCAGTACATTAAAGAGAGTCAGGCTGGGTGTGGTGGCTCATGCCTGTAATCCCAGCACTTTGGGAGGCTGAGGCGGGTGGATCACCTGAGGTCAGGAGTTCAAGACCTGCCTGACCAACATGGTGAAACCCCATCTCTACTAAATACAAAACATTAGCCAGGAGTGGTGGTGCGTGCCTGTAACCCCAGCTACTTGGGAGGCTGAGGCAGGAGAATCACTTGAACCCAGTAGGCAGAGGTTGCAGTGAGCCGAGATTGCACCAGTGCACTCCAGCCCAGTCAACAAGTGTGAAACTCCATCTCAAAAAATAAAATAAAATAAGAGAGAGAGAGAGAGAGAGAAAGAGAGCACATGCACTGGTGAGCTGGCTTGTCATCCCCATATAGTTCTTATTCTCTTTTTCATTTAGTAATAGAACCCTTGAATTTTAGATGGTTCATGGCTATCAAGAATAATGATCCTAGCCTCTCTACCCACTGTGGCCAAGTGACATGTGCAATTTCTGGGTTTAGCACTTGAAAGGAAGGGACTTACATTCCCTTTCTCCTTTTATGCTGGCTGGTATATGGGCCCACAAGATGTGGAGGTGAGCGTCTTCAACTGGGCGTGGCAGAGTAACACAGCAAAAGGAAGCCGGGTGCCTCTGTACCATGGCATCACTCTACCAGCCCTGAAGAGTTACTGAGAGAGAAATAAACATCTGTCTTCTCTAAGCCACTGTCATTTAGACAGAAGCCAGATTTTATTTGATCCAATGTGGGTAGGTTCATATTCTCCCTTCAGAAGCAAAGAAACTCTGGCTCAGAGAAGTTTATGAAGGACTCACCCAAGACCACCCAGCTAGTGCAGGCAGAACCAGGATCTGAAGGAGTCTGAGAACTGTCAAAATTCACTCTGGCAGATGTCTTGCTCTTTGGGCTGGAAATTAGGACAACAGACCCATCATCTCCAGCATGTATTCTAGGAGCCAACATCCCAGGGTTCGGTGATGGATTTAAGTCCTCTCCTCATTCTTTAATGCTATTCGTTCCCTGTGAATTTGGCATGCATCGTTTCTGAGTCCTTTCACAGGAGGTAAAGGATAGCCTGTGAACCTGGGTCTTTCCTTTCCTCACCTGAAAATGAAGTCCACCCTCATGTCGCTGCTGCTCAAAAACCTTCAAAGTTACCTACTACCAAGTTCAGACTTCTAGTCCCATCTTCCAGGTTCATCATACTCTTTCCAGACACGTCACCCACAGCTTCTCATCTGGAATGTTTATTTCAAGGCTAGTTTTGATCCACTTCCCATAAGATATCATATGCTTTCCTGCTCATCAGCCTGTGGAAACACCGTTTTGGCAGTAGTAAGCACTCTGTTCTTACTGAGTTAGTCAGATGATCTGAAATTGTCAGTTTTCTTATCTACAAAGCCTCCATGAGGTTACCCTGATCCCTGATCTCAATATTTAAAATCATAGCCTCCATCTCACAACTGTGGCTCTTCAAAACCCTCATGTGACTGCATTTTTTTTCTTTTTTATAGTGTTTATCTTCTGACTGACCTACTTGTGAAGTGCGGTCTTTTTTTTTTTTTTTTTTTTTTTTTGAGACGAGGTCTCTCTCCTCTCTCTGTCACCCAGGCTGTAGTGCAGTGGCACAATCACGGCTCACTGCAGGTTTGACCTCCTGGGCTCACGTGATCCTCCCACCTCAGCCTCCCAAACAGCTGGGGATACAGGCACTTACCACTACGCCAGCTAACTTTTAAAGTTTTTTTTTTTTTTTTTTTGTAGAGATGAGGTCTCACTATATTGCCCATGCTGGCAAATTCATTCTTTAGCGCCTCCCACCTGTCAGAACATGAGCTCCAGGAGGTCAGGGACTTTGACCTGTTTTTTTCACTGATGATGGTATTCTAAGGACCTAAAACAGAACTTGCAACTCGGTAGACACTTAGGAATGAATGAATGGATGAATAGATGAATGAACGAATGAATGGTTGGATTCTACCCTGGAAAGGCATAGATTTAAGAAGAACGATGTTCAAAGGTGCTGGGCAGCCAGAAGGAATGACAAATGCTCTACAACACCTTCAGAGAAGTGCCCAGAGGCTGCATATGCATAAGGTCTACATTTTGATTGCAAGAAAAAGAATCCTTGTGTGGCTCACTTATGTGGAAAAGGGGGAATAAAGTTGTTGCAAAGATTAGTGGTATAGACTTTCTAAGGAGCCTGGAACCTCATAAGTCTTGGATAGGGAAGTGTCTGTGGTGTTAGAATTACTTAGGTTTGTATGGTTTTACTCTTTGTCTCATTAATCAGACTGTCAACCTATACAGAAACAGACCATGTAAAATTCCTTGTTGTAAAACCCACTGCACCCTACACCACCATTCCTGAAATGGGCAAATGGTGCCATCCTAGCACCAGTGCCTTGGGTTAGCTCCCCTGCTGCAGGAAGAATAAGGAGAACGAGGGTAGCTCTTCTCACTTTTCCTCGGTATTTTTTTTTTTTTTTTTTTGAGATGGAGTCTCGCTCTGTTGCCCAGGCTGGAGTGCAGTGGCGTGATCTCGGCTCACTGCACCCTCCGCCTCCCGGGTTCAAGCAATTCCCCTGCTTCAGCCTCCCGAGTTTTCCTCAGTATTTCTGAGCACTTTGCAGTGTCAGGCTTCCAGCTGGCACTCTGGAGTCATCATCTCATTTTACTCCAACCACATTCCTAGAAGGAAGACAGTTTGATTGTCATCAATGATGCTGAGGTTCAGAAGGATTAAGTGATCATTTAATGTTACTCAGAGGCCGAAGCAAAACGGAGATTTGTCTGTGTGTAAAGTTCTCATTCTTCCTACCACACCACACTGCCTTAAAATGTCTCTGGGTCTCACACCACAGCAGGTAAGTAAGGGGTTTGCAGTTCCTGACCTGTTCTTCCCTGTGTGTGGGCATTCTTTCAGTGACTGTTGGTAGACATTTTTGACAATTCTGGCTGATTCCTTTGAATGTCAAGGATAAAACTCTCTTTCACTCTGCCAAGTTTTTCACCAACTTTCATCACCCTGGCAGGAATTTTTCTAATCTATTTTTTAAACATTCTAGCTGTGAATAGTCATAGATAATTTACAAAAGAGAAACCACAAATAGCAAATATACAAAATTATTTAATCACTCTAATAATAATGGAAAACAAATTCAACAAGGTGTCATTTTCACCTAAACTTTCTTGGCATACATTAAAACATAGCAGAAAAATGTTTTAGAGATGTTATTCAATGCTTGATGTCACTGTAAATTGATAAAGTGCTTTGGGAAAACAATTTGACAATATGTGTCAAGAATTAGAAAAATATCACAGTCTTTGACCTAGGTCACACTTTAGGGTACTTTTGGTGCCCTATTCCAAACAAGTGATTTGAAATGCACATACAGCCTATATGCTCAAATATGTTCTCCAGAGCATTCTTTATAATACTGAAATACTGGGAACTGGACTCAAATATCCACTGACAAGTAAACAGTTACATCAAAGGGTACACTTACTGGAGGGAGTAGAATATAGCCCTTAAAGACAATGGTAGGATAATCATACAGCAAGCAGAAGACCCCATGAATAATCCAAGGGGAAAAAACCAACCTTAGCGCTTATAGGTTATAATATTGGCCAAAAATTCAGTAGACTTTTAATCTGCAGGATTGGTGATGATATGAGAAAACAGACATATAGTACTGGAATGAGGACTCAGTGTGGCACTAAGGGCCAAAGGCAAACATCAGATCTTTTAACTTAGCTGGAAGGCTCTATCCTAAATGCCCCAGGCCACAGAGACAGGACTACTCATCTCTACTTGTTTAGGAATAGTGGGGTAAAGGGCTTTTAATCTGCAAAGGTTTCAAATGAAATAAACAACTGTTGATGTAAATCCACCCATTTTATTAATAGTTTTGTGGTAAATTTAGGGACAATCTGTATGTTTTGGTATTTAATTATTGGCAATATTTTAGAGAATGTAGCATATAAGAACAGCTGTTGGATTAAACCTGTGATGCCAGTATATGGGTTACTATTAAGTAACTAATTCTTTTTCTTTTTTTTTTTTTTTTTTTGGAGACAGGTTATCGCTCTGTCACCCAGGCATGGAGTGCAGTGGTGTGATCATGGCATATTGTAACCTCAACCTCCTGGGTTCAAGTGATCCTCCTGCCTCATCCTTTCAAGTGGCTGAGACTACAGGAGCAAGCCAGCACTACTGGAAAATTTTCTTTTCCCTTCCTTCCTTCCTTTTTTTTTTTTTTTTTTTGATGGAGTCTTGCTCTGTCACCCAGGCTAGAGTTCAGTGGCTTGATCTTGGCTCATCACTGCAGCCTCCACCTCCTGGGCTCAAGTGATTCTCCTGCCTCAGCCTGCCAAGTAGCTGGGCCCACAGGTGTGAGCTACCACGCCTGGCTGATTTTTGTATTTTTAGTGGAGATGAAGTTTTACCATGTTGGCCAGGCTGGTCTCAAACTCCTGACTTCAGGTGATCCTTCTGCCTTGGCCTCCCAAAGTGCTGGGATTATAGGTGTGAACCACCATGCTCAGCCAAGTAACTGATTTTAGGCTTGGGATTTTTAGTAGGAAGTTATAAGAGAATTTTACTAAGTTTTGAACCAGTATTGGAATTTGTAAAAGAATTAAGATTAAATTTTATACATTTATTAGGTTTACTACAATCAAGTAATTGAGAAAGTTTTGCTAATTTAAAGTCATTTAAAATATTTTTTAAAAAAGATGTAATATTTTAATATTTAAGTTGAAAATAACCTGAAGCCTTGCCCAGTGGCTCATGCCTGTAACCGTAGCACTTTGGGAGTTCAGTGCGGGAGGATCACTTGAACCCAGGCATTCAAGACCAGCCTAGGCAACATGGCGAGACCCCGCCTCTACAAGCAAACAAACAAAAAATTGGCTGGGTATGTTGGTGTGCACCTATGGTCCCAGCTACTCAGGAGTCTGAGGCAGGAGGATTCTCTAAACCCGGGAAGGTCAATGCTTCAACGAGCTGTAGTCATGCCACTGCACTCCAGCCTGGGTGACAGAATGAGACCCTGTCTCAAAGAATAATAATAATAATAATAACTTAACCTGAAATAACTTGAGTTTAAAACATCACAGGAATTAAGTAAGTGTGACAAATCCTTAAGAGTTATTGTCAGAGTTCACCAGGTTTTTAAATAGAACAATGTGATTTATAAATTAAATAAAAGGGCATGGGAAAATTAGGCTTTTGAGTATATAAATGTAATAACAAGAATCAATTTTAAAAATCAAAGTAACTGCAAATAGTGCAGTTACCCCCTCAAGTATAGTCTCACATTGACAAGAAAAGGTTTTTAAGCTACAAAGTGAGAAACCAATGCACAGAACATGAACCGAGACATGTAAACCAGAAGAAAGCAAAACAGCATGTTTCTATTTGTGCATGATAATGGATGTAAGTGATAGAAATAGGTCTGAGAAAGTAAACTCCAAGCACCTAACTGTGGGTTCCTTCTAGGCAAAGGAATAGAAACTGGAAAAAGATGAAGGGAGGCTGTCATTATTAGTGTATCTAATTATGTGTTATTTTATTTTTTAAAAAAGTAAAGAAAAATGTAACCTTATGTTAATTAGTTAATTATTTGAAAGCAAAAGTAATTTTAAATTTTGAGTGAATCGAGTCTGGGACATTAACTGCATCACAGGTGCAATTGTAGAAAATGTCCGGTAGGTGGAGCACTAATACAAACCTGTGGGTCAGATTTCTTTAGCAAAAAAGAGAGGACCAGCATTCAAATGGAGTCAGGAACTTTTAAGGACAGGGCCACTAGTCCAGAGCCATGGGATATATTTCCAAGCCAACATTAGATGGTTTCATAATTTTAAAATTCATCTTTTAGTTGGTTTAAAAGAATTCAGTAATTTCTGTTTTTACAAACCCAGTGGCCAGATACTGTTTACTATGAATAGGGTCCATATTTTGGGCAGGCCCTCTGTTGATGTCTTCATGTCAGGACAGGTTTTTCTTCACCACTTAAACTCTGATCATGTAATAGCCATCAGTAGGAAACCTGGCTAACACTGTGTTCCATCCGTACAATAAGAATTCATCCACAAGGAAGAATGAGTTAACTCCCTGTGTACCAATATGGAAGCATGTTCAAAATATGATGTTAGGTGAAGAACGCACGTTGCAGATTCCATTTGTGCTTAGATAAAAGGATATCTAAAGACATCTAAGGATAATTTGCAGGGCAGCAGCAGGTCCTGTTGTCTAGAGAAGCTTTTTGCTCAGGAAAGAATGTCTTGAGATGGTATTTCAATGACGTGTGTGCTCAGGATTGCAGAAATAGGAATTAGTTATATTGAGCAGGTTCAGCATGCATGTGTTCATTGCATTCCTGGAAAGAGAACTCAAACTATCAAAGTTGGTTTTCTATGGAAAGTGCAAATGGGGAGACTAAGAGACTTTTACTTTCCACTTTATAACTTCCTATATACTATGTACATTTCTCCACAGTGTGCACAATTTGCTTTTTTTTTTTTTATACTGGTAGCAGTAGAATTTATTCAAATGTGCCTTAATATAGGCACTGGGGCTTGCCTATGGTGCTCTCGATATATAAGGCCCGGACATTCTGCCAGTTTTTCTGCCAGTTTTTCTTGAGCAATGTCACCAAGAAGTTGACAGGCAGGTGACTGTTACACACAAGCTCATTGTCTGTCCTTTTCACGTGGCCAACAGCCACAGCCAGACATAACACCTTCTTCATGTGGAAATTGATTACGGACTTCATCTCATCCACTTTGGCCACCATGTTTTCCTTGTGTGTGAGCAGGGAGGGGCAATTTCCTGCCTTATTTAGGACTGGGCCGAGGATTCGTGGGATCTGCTTGATCAGAGACTCTGAGGCCAAAAATGCATCATACTCTTGGCCAGTTTCTTGACCAGTTTCTTATTCTTGTTGAGTTTTTTCAGTACCTCGTTTTCCATGTGGTGGAAATCCACAGGCTTGGCCTTGTCACGGTGCTGCTGGTTACCCAGGACACACATGGAGAACTTGGGGCAGGGAGTGGACTTAAGCCTGACGGTGCCCGAGAAGCGCTTGTCCTTCTGGGGAGTCATAGTTCTTGAAGCTGATCTGCAACTCCACCATCTCCAGAAACTTGGGGTGCTTGCGCTGGTTTCGGTGCAGGACTTCGCGCACCGCCTCCTACGGGGTGTCACGGGAGACTTTGCTGCTCATGGCTTCTCGCTCCGCGCTAACCAGAAAAGAGACTAATACTGCACATATATTTTTGAGCGTAGATTCCATACACCAATACTGACACTTTCTCTATTTCCTTGTTAATTTGCAGGGCAGCAGCCGCTACTCAAAGAAAAGCCCCAAGTCTTTATACAGAACAAAGGGCGGGTCTTATCATTCCCCTCTTTCTGGTGCTGGCTTCCAGGACTCAACTGTAACTGGAAACTGTGTTGCTCTAACCCTCCTCCAGCCCTGCAGCCTCCCCTTGCAGTCATCATTCGTGTTCTGTGTATACCAAATGATTCTGTTATCTAAAGAAGCTTTTTGCTGGGAAAACGATGTCCTGAAAATGGTATTTCAATGAGGCATATGTTCAGGATTTCAGAAACAAGAAGTTAGTTCTATTTAGCAGGTTAAAAAATGCTGCATTAGAATTAAAGCAAGTTATTTTCTTATTTGTATAATGACACAAAGCATTGGGAGTCAGACTGCTTGTATATTATCAAACATTTTAAGAGAATTCTAATAAAGCTGTATTTTACATCATCTATATTTTCCTATATCTCCAGCAGCACGGACACTGCATGCTTGTTGATTGCTTAAGACATATGTATACTATATAAATGTATGCATATATGGTCTGCAAAGTTTTCATTTTTCATTTATTTGGTATAAAGATGTTCAGTTAATGGTTCCTTTTTGTTTTGAGAGACAGAGTTTCGCTCCTTTGCCCAGGCTGGAGTGAGGTGGGGAGATCTCAGCTCACTGCAACCTCTGCTTCCAGGATTCAAGCGATTCTCCTGCCTCAGCCTCCCAAGTAGCTGGGATTGCAGGTGCCTGCCACCATGTCCAGCTAATTTTTGTATTTTTAGTAGAGATGGGGTTTCACCATGTTGGCCAGGCTAGTCTCGAATTCCTGACCTCAGGTGATCCACCCACCTCAGCCTCCCAAAGTGCTAGGATTACAGGCGTGAGCCACCACATCCAGCCATAATAGTTACTTATAATGAGGGAAAAACCCAAAATATCCAGTAATATTTACATATTTACTGAAACTGTTTGGAACTTGTATTAGTTTGTTCTTGCATTGCTATAAAGAACTGCCCGAGACTGGGTAATTTACAAAAATAAAAATAAAAAAGAGGTTTAATTGACTCACAGTTCTGTGTCCAGAATTGTGACAAAATTGTGACAACCTCTGGGTTTTTGGTCTTGCTGACTTCAAGAATGAAGCCATGGACTTTTGCAGTGAGTGTTACAGCTCTTAAAGATGGTGTGTTCAGAGTTTGTTCCTTCAGATGTGTCTGGAGTTTCTTCCTTCTGGTGGGTTCGTGGTCTCGCTGACTTCAAGAATGAAGCTGCGGACCTTCGCGGCAAGTGTTACAGCTATTAAAGGTAGTGCGGACCCAAAGAGTGAGCAGCAGCAAGATTTATTGTGAAGAGCGAAAAAACAAAGCTTCCACAATGTGGAAGGGGACCCAAGCTGGTTGCCACTGCTGGCTCGGTGGCCAGCTTTTATTCCCTTATTTGGTCCCACCCACATCCTGCTGATTGGTCCATTTTACAGAGCGCTGATTGGTCCATTTTACAGAGTGCTGATTGATGCATTTACAATCCTTTAGCTAGACACAGAGTGCTGATTGGTGTGTTTACTATCCTTTAGCCGGACACAGAGTGCTGACTGGTGTGTTTTTACAGAGTGCTGACTGGTGCATTTACAATCCTTTAGCTAGACACAGAGTGCTGATTGGTGCGTTTACAATCCTTTAGCTGGACACAGAGTGCTGACTGGTGTGTTTTTACAGAGTGCTGACTGGTGCATTTACAATCCTTTAGCTAGACACAGAGTGCTGATCGGTGCATTTACAATCCTTTAGCTAGACAGAAAAGCTCTCCAAGTCCCCTCTCGACCTAGGAAGTCCAGCTGGCTTCACCTCTCTGTTCCACAGGCTTACAGGAAGCATGGCTGGGGAGGCCTCAGGAAACTTACGATCATCATGGAAGGCAAAAGGGAAGCAGTCATGTCTTACATGGCCAGAGAAGGAGGAAGGGAGTGAAGGGGGAGGTGCTACATGCTTTCAAACCACCAGATCTCGTGAGAACTCTGTCATGAGACAGCACTAGGTGATGGTGCTAAACCATCCGAAACCACCTCCGTGATCCAATCACCTCCCACCAGACCCCACCTTCAACACTGGGGATCACAATTCAATATGAAATTTAGGTGGGGATACAGAGCCAAACCATATCAGAACTATTTACATGGGTTTTAGAATATTTGTAGAATGGAGTATCATTCAACAAGTAAAAGCCATGTTTACCAATTCACATGTCCTTCAGATGGTGAAGGAATAAACTAACTGGTAAATCTACACCATGGAATACTACTCAGCAATAAAGGTAACTACCTTGATATATGCAGCAATATGGATGAAACCCAAATGTGAGAGCTGCCGCACCAAAAGGCCACCAACTGTATGATTCTATTTATATGACATCCTCGAGAAGGCAGAACTATAGTAGCGGAGAGCAGACCAGTGATTGTGGGGGTTGAGAATGATCAGGACTAGAAGGAGGCGCTGACTGCAAAGTGACACTGAGAAAAATTTTGGGAGCGATGGAGCTGCTCTGTGTCTTGATTGTGGTGGTGATTGCATGAATCCAAGTGTTCGTCAACACTCATGGCCCTGTACATGAAAAAGAGTAAATTTTATTTTATGTAAACCAAAAAGAAATGTTTTCAAAGAACATTTAATCACATAGGAAAATGTGTAAGAGATAAAATATAAAACTTAATTATATGATGAAAATGTCTAAAGTATGATACAAATTTAATATATTAAAATATAATATATATACGGGAAATCATTCTCAAAATTGTCTCCTCCACCAGTCGACTAAACTTAGGGGTTTACATAGCAGGAAGGAAATGTAACTATATGTGAGAAAACAGGAATGGGGGAGGGGTAAGGAAGAGAAGCTGCTAAACAGGAGTCATGATGGATGAAGGGTCTGGCATCTAATTGTGTGGATGTGGTGGTCTGGTGAGTTTCGGTTCCTTGATACTAACTGGTTGCCTAAGGGTCAGTTTCCTGAAGAAGGAATTCAGATAAGACAAATGTAAGTTTCAATCTTAGATGAGAGGGTCAATTTTCATGTTTATCCAAAAAACAGTAGACATCACTTCTCTGGGACAGCTGGGCTGGTTTCAGTCGGACACTGCCACAGGGAGCAGGCAGGAGCGGGAACCAGGCCACGCTCAGAAGGGTTAAGGAAAGAGACTTTGGGAAGTGAGACTGCAGAGGAATGAAATCCATGAAAACCTGGCATGGTAGAATGTTCATTTGGTGTAGACACTGGTGTGTATTGTAAAAGCGGTATTAGCTTCTTACAGAAGGTGTGCTCAGCTGGGCTCCTCTAACCAAGTTGCTTGGTGCTCTACCCAGACGTGCTCTCTACTCTCTCCCTCCTCAGGGTCTTTGAACATGTTGGTCTCTCTGTGTTGATTTTCCTTCCTGCCCTGTCTCCCATCTGGCAGACTCTAAGACATACCTTAAGCATCACCTCCTCCCTGGATCCTTCTGTTGACCTCTCTCCCTGCAAAAAAGCAAAGAATTCCCTAACAGGGCCCATCTTCATGGTGTCAGCATTGTTTGGGTCCTTGCCTAACTTCACCCTGGGACTGTGGCTTCTTTGCAGACTCACTCATCTTTGCAGCCCTAGCCTAGCCCTGCTTGGATGAAGTAGACCTTCCACGTGTGAATGAACTAAGTTTAATAGAGGAAAACAGAGGGTGGGGGATTCTTTAGCTTTCTTTTGTTGGAGGAGGCCAGGGAGGGTACAAGGGAAGCTTAATAACAAGGTGTGGCATGCTTTTCTGTATTTATGGCATACTTTCATAAAACACTTGAAGTGTGTGATATTGCTAGGGTGTGTGAGGGGAGCCGTGAGGGAAGATGACAAGCAGCATAAGACTTTTGGGTACTTAGAGAAAGAGAAAAGGACCCAACCAACCAACTTCCAATTCATAATTCATGGTTTGTCTCAGGACCGTCTGGCTCCTTAGGCCAATCCCATGGGAGCCCCAGCCAAGGGGCGTCTCTTAGACCAAGCTTGGAAAACACAGTGTCTGCTGCCTTCATGTTGCCTGGGTTACCAGGCGACTTAGCCACTCACAGCACAGTGACCTGCGACTCAATTAGAGAAATGCCATTTTGAGTTCCATAAGAAAAATAAGGCTTTATTTTTAAAAACTAAACATAACTTCACTTTTTTCCCGAATATAAGAGTAATAATGGCTCTTTACTTGAAAAAAATCTACACAATACAGAAAAATTAGGAAGAAGGCAAATCTCATCTGTCATACTGCACGCAGAGTAGCAGACATTTTTCTATGTGTTTTTATGCACATATTTATATTTATAGACCCAAGAGGCTATGTGGGACATTAGGAGTGCGACCCAGAGCAGAACCATACAACCGCCGGTTCTAGCCTTTGTACAAGGTAAATCATGGGTTTCAAACATATCATTGCCTCCTGACTGATCTCTCTGCTTCTGCTTGGTTTCTCCTTCAGCCTAACTTCCACAATGCTGCCAGAGCAATGTCCTACGCTAGGGTCCTGAGTGCATCGTCCTCTTGCTCAAAATCAGCAATGGTTTCCTACCCTTGGCAAGACAAATTTCAAATTTTAAAATCTGCTCTTCAAGAAGCCGGGCGCAGTGGCTCCTGCCTATAATTCCAGCACTTTGTGAGGCCAAGGTGGGCAGATCACTTGAGGTCAGGAGCCCTGGACAACATGGTGAAACCCTGTATGTACTAAAAATACAAAAATTAGCTGGGCGTGGTGGCACGTGCCTGTAATCCCAGGTACTCTGAAGGTTGAGGCAGGAGAACTGCTTGAACCAAGGACACAGAGGTTGCAGTGAGCCTAGATTGCTCCACTGCACTCCAGCCTGGGTGATAGAGTGAGACTCTGTCTCCAAAAAAAAAAAAAAATCTGCGATTCAAGATCTTTCCATTTGCCCCTAAACTGCCTTACTAGGTCTGTGTCCCAGGAGACCCCACTGCACTCTCCATGAACCTTCTCTCAGTTCCGTATTCTCAACATAAGCCTTTGGATCTGGTACCTTTGCTCACCTCCTCCTCGAAGCCTTACTTAGTTCCAGATCCATTTGTTTTTATGTCTCTCTCTCTTGAGGACAGCAACTTTACCTCTTTGTCTTTGTGTCTGTCATAATGCTTTACCCTGACCAGCCATGACCTAGTCAGCATTTGATCAGATTGGGTGAGAACCTTGGGTTTGGGGAATCAAGACAAAGGAAATGGGGAGGCAGCCTAACATTGTGGCCAAGAGCATGGACTCTGGCACCTAACAGGTTGGCCCACATCCTACCTTCAGCACTTGCTCGCTGTGTAGCCTTGGGCAACTCACTTACCTTACCTGAGCTGCATCACCGTGTGTGTAAGTAGGGATTATAAGTACTCATAATTCAATGAGCGAATGTGCATAAAGAACCCAGAACAGTGCCAGGAGTATAGTAGATCAGCCCTGTATAAGTGTTATTTGCTAGTGTTATTGTTACTACTACTAGAGTTGTTTGATAGCTGTCTAAACACCATCTGCAATACAGCACTCTCTGCAGATCAGAAGTTACTGTGCACTGGGCACTGTGTGAAGTATTTTCATAAATGGCCCCTTTCAATCCTCACTCGACCCCATAGGATCAATTCTCTTATTATCCTATTTTACAGATGAGAAAACATAGACATAGAAAGCTTTTCTTACTTGGCCAAGGTCACCTCTCTTGGCCTCGGTTCCTCCATGGTCTGGGCAGCAAGGGGGCAGCAGGGAGCCCTGGCAAAAGCAGCTAAGAAAACCAGCCTCGTGTGTCTTCAACAAACAGGTCCCAGCACCAGCTCCATGCCTGGCACACTTAATGGGTACTTAATGCTCTTCTACCAAGTGAATGAACAATGCTAAGCATTTGACCAAAAGAGAAATGCACATGGAAGACCCCTGAGCACAAGGACTGGGTGGGCACATGAAGAACTGAGTTCTCTTTCCTCTCCTGTCGTAGGTACCAGGTACCTTACACTTGGCTGTATTCCCTCTAGCACGATAGACTTGGTAACAAGGTACTTTCTGAACCTGAACAGGAAACTGTGGGAACCATGATGGGGAAGATACTGACTGTCAGAGAGTCCAAAGATGTAAATGCCTTCCACTCCCACAGCAAGGAAGCCGAAATCTCCAGAGGCTCTGGCAAGAGTTGAGTCAATTGCATGCCTGCCTAGTCCAGCTCCGTCCACATGAATGCTCTCCACAAGCTTCAGAGGAAACAGGATAAAATGGACTCCCAAATATTTAGGGTGGTGAAAATACTCTGCATGATACTAGAATTGTGGATACAGGTGATTATATATGTGTCCAAACCTACAGAAGGTACAACACCAAGGGTGAACCCTCAGGTAAACTACAGAGGCTGGGTGACCATGATGTTTCAATGTCGGTTCATTAGTTGTGACAAATGCACCACTCCACCACTCTGGTGGGGATGCTGCCAGTGGGGGAGGCTATGTATGTGTGGGGACAGAGCGTATGTGGGAAGCTCTGTACTTTCTGCTCAAATTTGCTGTGAACCTAAAACTGCTCTAAACATTAAAGCCTATTCAAAAAAATGAAAGCCTAATTTGAAAAGGAATTTCAGACACTTGGGAAAAAGAATAATGACGTCTATAAGTCATTCTTTGATAAGAGAGTCGGTCAGTCTGGTGTGTCTAGTAAGGTAGCAGAGGGACATTCACAAAGACCGGAGAATACAAAGATGTTAAACAGGGTGAGGAGTCTATGATGTTGGTCAGTATAAAAGGAGAAAAAGATCCTAAAAACATTCCTAAATATTGTTTGATTTAAAAATATATGTTGGAAGGCAAGAGAGTTTGATAAAAAAATAAAAATAAAAATAAAAAACCTTGATGGGAAGTGGGAATGACCACACGTTAGCCAGCTGATAGCTTACCTGTTTGAAGTTCAGCTTCCACACGATTGTTACAGACGGAACTGTGTTCCCTCAAATTCATAGTTCGTTATGGCCACCCTGGTAAGCTAACACAACAATGAAAATTTCCAAAGTAAAGACTAGAAGCAGGCATGTGCCAAGTGAACACTAGCTTTTTTTATTTCTCCTGCTGTGAAAATTGAGGTTTGCCAAAGGTGCCAAATGAACATGGCTGATTGAGAAGTAATCCCAGTTCCACTAACCTGAGAGACAGCCCAGGCAAGCGGACCTAGCTCCTAATGCTCATTTCCATTTCAGTCTTTCTGAAGTTTCCCAGGGTGAGAAAGTGGAACTCAGGACAATGAATCATCATTGGAGACTCTGCAGTTGCTAGAACTTAATTCACAGGCATTTGAAACCCAGAACTCAGCCTTACTCTTCTCAGGAGACTTTTGGCACCAAAGAGAAGGGCAAATTGAAAGCCCATGCTGGAGAACAGGGCACAGCTATTGCTGAGACTGGGAGCTTGTTTTTAAAGACCTGGCAAGGGTTTCAAACACCCACATGCATAACCAATGAAGCAGGTTGGAAAATCTGAACTATGCTAATTTCACCATAATTACTCATTACTTGAAGTCTTATGTATTTGTGTTTTCTTGGTAGTCTCTTTAAAACATGTTTCAATATGAAACGTATATGTATTAAATCACTCCGCTTAGAATTTTAGGAATATAGTTTTGTTTTTCCCCCTAAAAGATGTAGAATGCAGCAGGTTCTCTAAAGCACATGTATTCTTTGTTACGTGATTTGGTTCTTTGGAACTTCTTTTATCATGTAGCTATTAAAGGGTAGCTGTCAGAATTACCCAAACTCTTCACTGAAATGACTTACTTATTTGAGAAAAATGCATGTTAAGAAGCCAAACCGTGTGTGTGTGTGTGTGTGTGTGTGTGTGTGTGTGTGTGTATTTCTCCCCTGCACAAAAGTAGAAGGGTTTTCATTTGACTTGTGCCAGCTGCACCTTCATGACTTTGCTATAGGACATGTGACACAGTAACTCTAAGATGGTGCTTGTAAAATTTTAAAATAGTTAACATACAGTGACAAGCTCTCAGGGGAACACATTAAACTCGATTAAATTTTGTAGGGTAAAAAGATGTGTACAGAAATATAATCAGAGTGAAGTCATTGTTCACCATTGCTGCTAGTAATAAAATTTGGTGGTAGGAGGGGGAAGGAGAAAGGGAGGGAGGGAAGTCGGTGAGAGAGAGAAAAGGAGAGGGAGACATTGACAGAGAGAGAGACAGACAGACAGAGAAACAGAGAGAGACAGAGAAAGAGAGGGAAGAAGGGAGAGAGAGAGAGATAAGGATAGAGAGAGACAGGGAGAGAGTGTATCTCCTGATCCTCACTGGCTGATAACTAAATTAGTTGGGGGCAGGGGGGACTGAATCTCGTTCTGTCACCGAGGCTGGAGTGCAGTGGCACCGTCTCGTCTCACTGCAACGTCTGCCTCCCAGGTTCAAGTGATTCTCATGCCTCGGCCTCCCTAGCAGCTGGGACTACAGGCACACGCCACTATGCCTGGCTAATTTTTTGTATTCTTTTTGCTAGAGACGGGGTTTTGCCATGTTGACCAGGCTGGTCTCAAACTTCTAACCACAGTGATCTGCCCGCCTTGGGTTCCCAAAGTGCTAGGATTATAGGCATGAGCCACCATGTCGGGCCTAAATTAGTAGTTATTATCTACTTTCATTTGTGGGATGAAGATGAAACAGAGTCCTTTGGGATTGTGCACTGGGGGAAACCTAACATAGTCTAGTATCGGGAGAGGAGGCTTTCCAGAGAAAGTCTTCCTTAAGTTGAACCTGAAAAAACGAGAGCTATTAGCCAGATGAGAGGTGAAGGTGTGAGGGGGTGGATTGGAAATATTTTCAGGTAGGGAGACTAATCTATACAAAGGTTTATGTTCTCAACTACTGAGTTTGTCTTCAGCATTTGCACCTTATTTAACAAATTTATTAATTTGTTAAATTATAACAAATATTTGACAGCAGAGCTGAGGATATTAAAATAAAATGTAATTTTATTTCTTATATGTTGGTGAAGAAGGAGCAGCAACAGAGGCTGGAGCATTATTTACAAGCCAAACTATCCGTCTGGAGATTCCCAGTGCAGCAACTGGGACGGGGACTACTGAATCCCTCAGATTTTAGGCCATAGGCCAATGAACATTTTCTGTAAAAGGTGAAGTAATACTTTTAGCTTTGCTGGCCATGCAACCTCTGTCGCAACTACTCAACTCCGTGGTTCGTGAGGGGTCCACAGGGTTCATTATCCGTCATGAACCGCAGAGTTGAGTAGTTGTGACAGAGGTTGCATATATTTACTCAGCCAATATTTACTGATGATATTGATTAGGAGTCTTGGGAAGAGCAGTGACAGTTTTTTTGGTATTATATCTAGCGACAAAAGATTGAATTTGGCCGTTACTCACTCCTCCTCCAACAAAGTTGTCAAACGGGGCTGCTACAGACAAGTAGAATCACAGATTGGAGATCAGCTGTCATTATGTAACAGCTGGATTGGCAGGCTTCCCTCTAGGGGCCATCCCTGTCTACAGCTAGAGTGGACAGGCCAGGGAGGACACCATACTTGGAGTAGAGTAACCTTGTCCAGGAGTAAAACATGGCCCGAGAATTCTGTGCTCCTAGCAATCCTATTATTATAGAAGTGCTTCCTGATAAGGGAGGAAGGGTAGGAAGAGGAAAGCTGAGGCAGATGGATGGGGAAAGTACTGAAACATTCTGTTCACATCCTCAATAACCTTCATGAAAAATCAGTCATAGATGCTGGAATCTCCAAACCTCCAAGGGGCTTACAACATTGTGTGCAGGGAAACCTCTAATTCACAGCCTTATTGAGAGCATGTGTCAATGGCCCATAGCAGGGGCCCATTCTGGCTTTTGTACAACCCCAAAGACACACGTGGGTTTTCCATTTTTAAATGGTTGAAAAAAATCAAAAGAAGAACATTATTTCATGGCGTCTGAAAACTACATGAAGCTCAAATTTTAGTGTATAAAGTTTTACTGGAACTCAGCCATGCTCATTAGTTTGTGCTTATCTATTCCGCTTCTGAGCTATTGCAGAGTTGAGCAGTGGCAACAGAGGTTGCATGGCCCGCAAAGCGAAAAGTATTATCTCACCTTTTACAGTAAATGTTCATTGGCTTATGGCCTAAAGTCTGAGGGATTCAGTAGTCCCTGTCCCAGTTGCTGCTCTGGGAATCTCCAGATGCATAATATGGTTGGTGCATAACGCCCCGGTCTCTGTTGCTGCTGCCTCCTTCACCAACATACAGTACAAACAAATAAAACTCCATTTTATTTTAACATGCTCAGCTCTGCTGCCAAAGCTGTGACAAGCCCAGAAGCAGTTTTTCAGGGTTTGAGATGGAGAAGAAGGTGGTCTCTTCTCTTGCTCATCAAGGAATCCTCTTTATTATTTAAGCCAGATTAAGTTTGCTATGGTTTGAATGTTTGTCCCTCCAAACTTCATGCTGAGATTTGATCCTCAATGTGGCAATGTTCAGAGGTGGGGTCTACTGGGAGGTGTTTGGGTCATGGGGGTCAACCCCTCATGAATTAATTACTGTGCTCCCTTGGGGATGGGTGTGTGAGTTCTCACTGTCTTAGTTCCCTTGAGAGCTGGCTGTTAAAAAGAGCCTGGCACCTGTCTCCCTCCCTCCTTGGCTTCCCCTACTGCCATGTGATCTCTTTGCATACTTTGGCTCCCCTTCCACTTCCACCATGAGTCGAAGCAGCCTGAGGCCCTCACCAGATACAGATGCCTAATCTTGAACTTTCCAGCCACCAGAATTTTAAGCCAAATAAACCTCTTTTCTTTATAAACTGCTCAGGCTCAGGTATTCTGTTACAGCAACACTAAATAGACAAAGACAAAGTTGTTGACTGACTTTGAATTTCTTTAGAAGCAGACCTGTGACAGAGGATAAGTCCAGGGAGTTCATTTGGGAGGTAATAAACTACCTGAAGGTACAGGAAACACTGATGAAGAAGTGGGAATTGAGTTAGGGATGGCAGGAAGCCAATACAGTGTTATCAGGCTGTTATCACTGAAGGAAACTGGGGTTGAAGCCTGCTGGGGAACTAAGGCATACAGTGCAGAATGCACCTCGAACTGATTGTATCTGAGACAGAAGGAGGTTGAGATATTTATCTACTTGTCAGTCATGGGTTCAGGACTGCTCCCAGGAGGACATTGGGCCTGCCCTGAGATGGCAACTGGCACCAGCTGCAGCAGAGATGGGATGGAAAGAAAACAAATTAATATGAAGTTTCAGATGAGCCACTTATTTACAAGGAGGACAGTTTTGAAATTAATTTTTCCTTATACTTTAAGGTACAGTGAAAGGATGCATAAACAGACCTTTTTGAAGTATGTGAAAATCATGAACCCACTTTCAGTTTGTTGCACCAACTTCCACAAATTACAATGTCAGAGGAAACATCAAAATTCCCTTGCATAATTTTACATTTAAAATAAAATTCAGACACCAAGATGGTAACCCCCATGGATCTTCACAGAGCTTCAAGACAAAGTTTTTGACACTCAACAGAAGGTGAAGCTTACAGACATACCGACCAAACAGCTAAACAGAACAAAAAAGCATGCACATCTTACAGATGCAGAGATCATGACTTCGGTGGATGAGACTAATCTGTATGAAGCTGTAGGATATATGTATGAAGATGAAGAATGTTTATTCTTCAATCCAAGGAGGCAGTTCACAATAAACTGTTAGAAAGTCAGAAAATAGCAGAAGAAAAAAAAATTAAAGAACTAAAACAGAAAAAAATCCTACCTAGAGCAGAATGTTAAGGAAGCTGAGGGCAACATCTGGGAGATGCTGATGGCACAAAGGGCCCAGCTGGGAGCCTCTGCGGGAAGCTCTTCCTCCTGCCCCTCCTATTTCTGGCAAGGGCAGAGTGGTCTGTGCAGGGAAACAGTCTGTCTTCTGCCCTAATGGATGTTTTATCTGGATGGCCTAGCAATCTCACATGTTGAGCCCCTCTTGTATCCCAACTCTGAGATTTTTACCCTGGCTTTGCCTCCCCTGCTCAGGACACTCTTTTCTGTTGGTGTGAGTCATGAGCTCCCAGGAAAGGGAAGATGGGAGCCAGGACTGATAGGAGGCTCTGTCTGAGCCTTCCATTAGGGACGCTGGTCAGACCAGTAAACAGCATCTGTCCCACTCTGCTACATCTGCCTTTCTTGAGCCAAGGGATGGGAATGGAGGGTGAGAGAGGCAGTGGCTATCTCCATCACAGCTCCTGCTCCCTCTGCATTAGAGTCTTTCTTTCCTTGGGGGATGGGATCTTGTCCTCTTATCTTTTCCTTTTCTGGACATTTGACTAATCCCTTCACCTTCTGGGCCTCTGTGTAGTATACAGATGAGGAAGAAAGAAGACTTACACCGAAAGCTGAATTTAAGTGAAAAGAATAGTGGTTCCTTTATGGCAGTCTGCCTACAGATTCCTTTCCCTGCTTTCTCCCATACCTTCTGTATTAGTCCATTGGCACACTGCTATAAAGAGCAGCTCGAGACTGGGTAATTTTTAAAGGAAAGAGGTTTAATTGACTCAGGGTCCCACGTGGTTGGGGAGGCCTCAGGAAACTTACAAATCACGGTGGAAGGCAAAGGGGAAGCAAGGCACCTTCTTCACAAGGTGGCAGGAAAGGGAATGACACAGGAGGAACTACCAAACACTTATAAAACCATCAGATCTTGTGAGAACTCACTCACCATCAGGAGAACAGCATGGGGGAAACCGCCCCCATAATCCAATCACCTCCACCTGGTGTCTCTTCCTTGACACATGGGATTATGGGGATTACAATTTAAGATGAGATTTTGGGTGGAGACACAGACAAACCATATCACATTCCAAAAGAAAGTTCAACAATAAGCAGCACTTCCAAGACTTTCTCCCTTTGGCCAATATCATAAGATGGACACTGTAATCGTGAGGCTTAGGGGCAGAGGAGTGCTGGAGCTGGCCTATACCCACTCAGGAGGGCTGATTGTTCAATTTTCATGAATTTTGTTGCAAGCCACTTGTTAAAAACAGCCATTACAAAAATTATCTAAATTTGAAAATCGTGTTAGAAACAAGGATAATGAATGTTCAAAGCTCAAATAAAAATTCAGACTTATACAGAACTGATATGAAGAGTTAAATTTTTTGGAAAATGTTTTCTGTAAGTCATCACTTCTAGACATGCTAAAATTTATATAATGAAATATTTTTTCAGATTTATTCCAATGCTATAAAACATGTTTAGCATTTCAGTAACAGTTTTATTAGCAGAAAATTCTTCCAAAATTTAAAATTATTAAAATTATCTGCAACTTTGCAGGTAATAAAAGTGTTTTATATCACATTCAATTATATTGATCAATAAAGAAGTTGCAAAAAGCATAAATTCTGATACCTAATACATTTATGGAAGAATGAATTAGAGAAATCTCATAATAAATCAAGGTGTCACATTAAGAAAGTATTACTGTTTACTGTATCATATAAAATTACATATTATACATTGAATTACATACAAATATAAAATTATGACACCAATATTTTCTTGCAATTTGTAGGTTTATGTTGTAATTCATGATAACTATTACTCTGATTACATTTTGTCAGTAATATAATATTTTTAAAGGAAAATGTATTGTTTCAGTATATTTAACTTAGCTGTACTTTTTTTCTGCTTTTTGAACAAAGTGTTTCACGTTTTCATTTTGCATTGCCCCCAAAATTATGTAGTTGGCCCTGCCTTTAAAATCATGGTTTCTTCCAGGTAATATGACTGAAATGTCAAGATCCAGGCTCTGGACTGTCTGCAGAGCCCTCTCTTGTTCTTGAGGTCATTCAAAATCAAGAGCCTTCTGAGTTACATGACTAACGGATCAGAACCATATTCCTAAATGTGGCTTGTGCTGCCTTCAAAATCCAGAGAAACCTTCCATGGGCTGTACTTCTTTCATAGTGGTAGGAGGTGGAAGATGAAATAACATATCCTTTATTTTGTAGGGGATACTCTGGAATGTCCCCAGACCACTGGCTCACTATAATCTCAGTCCCAAATCTTTGTAGGGTTTATCTCCCACCCTCTGGCCTGCATGTGTTTTAATAAGGCATCTCGAAGACTTACCACCTTATGATTACTAATTTTAGTTAACATGATATTATCAATATAAGGGGCCAGACTGATGTCATATAGAATGCTTAGACAAAGGTTAAGGTTCTTTTAGACTACATAGGGATAGAGGAGAGTAGAGCTAACATAGCCCTTGGGCAAGATGGTGAGTTACCTGCATAGTCAAGGTGAATGAACTGCATTTTATTCTTCTTCCCAAAGGAGATTGAAAATAAGGTGTTTGCAGTATACCTAGACTCAAAGGCTGTGACAATTTGCTGTCATAAAATACCACCATCTGGTACTGCAACTGCAAACTGGGGCTACCACTTGGCTAAATTATCTGACATAGTCCATTTAGTGTTTGGTTTTTTCCAGGGGTTAGATTGATGAATTAAAGGAGGATATGATGAAATCACCACACTGTTCTTTCTTTTTGAGTCTCTAAGGGTGGTTCCAAGCCCTTGCATTACACTTGTGTCTTAGTTTATTTCCTGCTCCTATAACATAATACCATAGACTGGGTAATTTGTAAAGACAAGAAACATTTCTCACAGTTCTGGAGACTGGGAAGTTCAAGAGCATCGCACTAGTATCTGGTGGGGCCATTCCATGGCAGAAGGCATAGCAAAGTGAAGAAACATGTGCATGAGGCAGGGAGAGAAGTGTGCCAAACTCATCATTTTTACCAGGACTCCTGCAATAACCAACCCACTCCTGTGATAACACCATTAATCCCTTCATGAAGGCTCTGCCTCTTAAAGGCCCCACCCCTTAATATGGTTACTGTGACAATTGAATCTCATCATAAGTTTGGAGGGAACATTCAAACCATAGGAACCTAGGATGTGGTATTGCTCTGGAATGGTGGTCACCTTCAGGGGTGTTTACTTCATCTTTCCTACTATAAAGGCTCTTACTCCACAGGTCAAAAAACAAATGTGAGAGGGGGCTAGGGACATGATCACAGCATGGGTGCTGATAAACTTAGTTCTGGAGTCCATTTGTCATCTAGCCTCAGTAAGTCCTTATTTAACTGAGGGGGCCCATGATTGTGTTTTGGGTCTTGTAGCAGTGACAGCTCAGACTCTGTGATCAAGCCATCAGAAGATCTGAGTATTCCATTCCTCCAAATGCACAGGAACTCCAACAAATGGGTATGGGTCCCTTTGGGGAAGGGTTGGGAGAATCACTATGTTATATGCTTGCTGTGGCTTACAGGACTTCCTCTCCCTTAAGTGATTAAATCTGGGCCTGAGGTTCCAGACACCAGTCTGGGAACTGGGTATCAGACTGTGATCGTCCATTGTGGTAGCTGACATCATCAACATTTGGCTCTCTTGCTCCTGATCACTTTTGATTGTAAAGGTCAAGCAATATCCTTATCAACTGCACATCTAAGAGCTCTTAGGAACCATGGGATATATTAACCACAGTCTCAGATTCGTGCCTGTCAGGCCCCTGTTTGCCATGCTGCCTTTATGCCATTATAGTAGTCATGGCTGCCTTGCTGCCACCAAGCCTCCACTATTCTGGAATCCTATTTTGCTTCTTGGTACTAGGAATCCCAGTCCCATAATGATATCACTACCATCAATCCTGGCCTTCAGAATATAAACCACTTCGGAGTTTTTCCGTGAAGCCAGTACCCCCATCACCATCACATTCTTTACTGTTTTAATGAAGACTGTCTTCTTGGACTCTCTTGGAAACATTGTCAGCGAGCTGTGTTATTCTATGTCATTCTTTGGAGTAAGCTTATCTCCCTGAGCCAAAGCACAGTAGTAAATAAATCTTATCTAGTTTTTAAAAACATTTATTTATTTATTTATTAGAGACAAGTTCCTACCTTCTCCCAGGCTGGAGCACAGTGGTCCCATCATGGCTCACTGCAGCCTCAAATTCTTAGGCTCATGTGATCTTCCTTCCTCAGTCTCCTGAGTAGCTAGGACTACAGGCACAAGTCACCATGCCCAGCTAATATTTTAAATTCTTATTTTTTGTAGAGATGTGGTCTTGCTATGTTGCCAAGGCTGGTCTCGAATTCCTGGCCTCAAGCAATCCTTCTTCCTTGGCCTCCTAAAGTGTTGGGATTACAGGCATGAGCCACTGTGTCCAGCCAACCTTATCTCATTTATTTCAGGCCTTCTTTTCTCCAGATTTCAATGAGCCATTCCTACAGTTGTATTAGGACCAGCTCTAAGTGCCTTGCCAGGTCATTAAACTTTGACTCATGAGAGAGTACCCTTTTATCAACTCATTCTTTCTTATCCAGCCTTGTATATTACGTACCACCATTATCAGTCCAACACCATTCTCATGCGTGCTTTCCCAATTCCTGACATATATTTAGGCAGATCCTACAATTCTTTTGGTTAACAATCCCTTTTCTCCAAAATAAGGGACAGTATTTCCCAGGAGCATGGTGCCGATACTGAAGCTTAGTTATTTGTCTAGAAGCAGTGAAGGGAGACAGGTTCTGAAGAGGCAAGCACCCTCTTGCAATGCAAGGCTGTGCACAGTTTCCAGGCAAAGGGAGCTGCTATCCTTCAGTAAGAGGGGGAGAAAGCGACTCCTGCCAACTCTCTGGGGGGTCATGGGAATCTAGGGGTTCAAGGTGTGCCATTTCATAGGCAAAGATGTCCCCATCCCATCTCAGGGTCTTACTCTCTCCCCACAAAGGCCTTGACTTTAATGAAGGATATCTGCCAGGGCTGGGAATAGAGACCAAAGTTTCTTGATTATTCTGCTGTGATCATAATGAACATGCTGTGCTTGTAGGATTTTCGCACAGTCTGCCCTCTGGCTGCAGGGGGTGAGGGGCTCCTTCAATGTTGAGGGCCATTGAGGTCTTCTGACTTCACACTACACCCGAGTTGATAGTTGGTAGTTGATCTGATCCTGTTGTTTTCTTCCCTTAGCACATGATGGTAGTGGAAAGCAACAGCTAATTCCACATTCCTTATGATTACCATTTTATGACATCTCTCAGTTGCTATAATAGCGTGTAAGTCAGTGCATCTCTTTCTCTTTCTTCCATCATAGCTCACTTCATGCAAGAGTCGCAGTAATTGAAATGCCACAGCACACCAGAGGAAGGGAGGATGAGACGAGGGAGGGAAGCAGCCCATAAAGGACACATTACCAAGCAAGTTGTCACTGAGGGCAACTGGAGCTTAATCCTGCGGGGACCTTTGGCTGACAGTGTAGCAAATTTCTCAGAGTTAATTAATCAAAGACATGGGGAAGCTGAGGTGTCTATCCTTCATTCCTGCCAGTCATTGGTTGAGGGCACTCCCAGGAAGGATATTAATTCCTGACACTTCCAGGCTGCCCCGTGTGGGGGCAGAACAGGTATTGGAAGTCAGAGAAGGCTCTCAGGCAGTCACAGGTGCTTCCCATTGGAAGTTGAGAGGATGGGTCCAGAAACGGTCATTGCCAAGATGAATAAGCACGAGACACCAGCACTTTCTGCTACGAGCGGGTTTTCTGTCACTTGATCCAAATGCTTCACAGTTGAGAGTCTGGATTTTGTTGTTGTTGTCGTTGTTGTTATTTTACTTTATTCAGGGGATCTTTTCTAGGATCCTTTCAATTTTGCCTCTACCTCAAAATTCATTATTGCTACAGATCTGCTTTCATGGATGAAAGAGTTACTATTCTATCACCGTCCTGGTCATTTTATTATGTTTTCAAAGCAAAGAATAGCTCTGGAAATCACTTCTTCAATTAGAACTAAAGAGCTTCCCTGCTTAGCAGCATAACAAGCCTGAAAGGTAGCACAGGTGTCATTCACAAGCAAATGACAGCAAAGAGTACTTTTTATTATTTGAAATTTATTTTTTTGTGGGCTCATAGTAGCATATATTTATGAGGTACATGAGATGTTTTGAAACAGGCATGCAATGTGAAATAAGCACATCATGAAAAATGGGGTATTCACCACCCCCCGAGCATTTATCCTTTGAGCTACAAACAATCCAGTTATACTTTGTAAATTATTTTAAAATACATAATTGTTATTATTGACTATAGTCACCCTATTGTGTTATCAAACAGTAGGTCTTATTCATTCTTTTCTTTTTTTTTTTTTTTTGTATCCATTAACCATCCCCATCTACCTCTCATCCCCTCACTACCCTTCCCAGCCTCTGGTAACTATCCTTCTACCTTTTATGTCCATGAGTTCAGATGGTTTGATTTTTATTTTATTTTATTTTTGGAGACGGAGTTTTGCTCTTGCTGCCCAACCTCCGCCACCCAGGTTCAAGCGATTCTCCTGCCTCAGCCTCCTGAGTGGCTGGGATTACAGGTGCCCACCACTATGCCCAGCTAATTTTTGTATTTTTAGTAGAGATTTGGTTTCACTCTGTTGTCCAGGCTAGTCTCAAACTCCTGACCTCAGGTGATTCACCAGCCTCAGCCTCTCAAAGTGCTGGGATTACAGGAGTGAGCCACTGTGCCTGGCATGGTTTGAATTTTAGATCTCACAAATAAGTGTGAACATGTGATGTATGTTTTTCTGGGCCTGGCTTATTTCACTCAACATAAGCAAAGAGTATTTGGCAATTCATTCCCATCCCTTCAGGTGGAAGACTTTTAATATGTCTCTGCTTAGAACTAGAGAGAGGTTTATTAATTATCTGTGAAAGAAAGCCGGGTGAATAAGACAGATGTTGCTCTCAAGGAACTACTATCCAGAACTATGCTGTCCAGTATGGTAGCCACAAAATACTTGCAGCTACTGAGTATTTGAGATGTGGCTAGTGCCAACTAAGATGGGCTGTAAGTGTACAATGAACACCATATTTCAAAGACTTGGTACAAAGATAAAAGAATATAAAATATCACATTAATAATTGTTATATTGATTACATGTAGAAATGATCATGCTTGTTTTGCATATGTTGGGTTAATTAAAATATATTTTAACATTAATTGTAACTGGGTTTTTTTGTTCCTTAATAATATAGCTGCTTATAAAAATGTAAAATTTTATATATGGCTCATATTATATTTCTACTGGTCAGTACTGATCAAGAATAAATTATCAGGTGGTCCACAATGAATGGTGTGCAATATCAGTCAAAACTCATTATGGTAGGTTCTGGAAATACAAAGGTGAATCCACATGATTTTCTATCCTCAAGTAGCTCTCAGCCTAGTGTTTGGAGAAGACAAACAGTAACATTTAATTGAGAAGACAGGGCTACCAGAGGCATGAATCAGGTGTAACAGAGTTCATGCACTACAGAGACTTATACTAGAGCAGGGGTGGTGCATGGAGTGGATAGGCAGGTGAGTGAGCAAGTTAGAGAAGATTTTAAAGAGGAGGGGTTATATGAATTAATTTGTCACAAGAGTGGGGTTTTACAAGGTAGAAAAGTGTGTAGTCTGTGCGGTGGTTAGGCCTGTGAGTGAAATAACTTCCCCTTATAATCCCCTTTAATTGAAAAAAATCTCGGGGAACATTCTGATTGGCAGGGCTGGAGTCACATGACCACCATGGGCCAATGACTATGGCAAGCTGGGTTGACTATTACAATTGACTAGCTGTGATCAGGGAGGTGGTACCATGAAAGAAGACAGGTATTTTTATTCAGAAGAGGAAGAGAAGCAATTCCTCAAAAGAAAGGTAGCATTGGTCCATAAAGGGAGGGTGCTGGGAAGATTCAATACTCTTCCTACATAGTGGAGATCTAGATATATACATTATAGTCACTATTGTGTATACAGTGTATATAGATATACACTATATCTATGTATATAGATATATGTGTATACACTATATGTATATCTATAGATCTATATTTATATAGTATATGTATATCTTATAGATATACATAGATATAATGTATACATCCACATATAGTATGCACACATCTATGTATATATCTATGTATATACATCTATGTATAGATGTACTGTGTATAGTGTATATAAATATACACTGTAGTCACTATTTTCTTCATCTTAATATGCTTATGTCTCAGTCTCTTTTCTCATCACAGCACACAGAATCCAGCACTTCTCCTTTGTGTATTATAACAATTTATTTCTTGCAACAACTCATGGCAGTGGGAACGTGGCTCGTATAAGACTAGAAAATGAATTATTGCCGTTTTATAAACATGCTAAGGAGATTTAGTTTTGCACTGAAAGCAAAGGAAAACCATAAAAGATTAAAAAACTTTGACAAGAGAGGTGTATGATCAGATTTGTGCTTTGATCATTAATTCATTAAACAGCTATCATTGTGTGTTTATGAGTTCCAGGTGTTCTTCTAAGTTCTAGGATCTATTCAGTAAATGGGCAATTGTGCATATGTTCTTGTAGTGCACATTCTAGTGGGTGGAGATAATAAATAGCTTGTATAAGGAATAAATTGTATTTTCGAAGGTGATGCATGCTCCAGGAAATAATACAACATGGAAAGCTAGGCTGGGGCTATGGTTTTAAATGAGAAGTCTGGATAGGCCTCATTGAGAAGATGATGTTTAAACAAAGATTTGAAGGAGTGAAGGAATCAAGCTATTCTTTTTTTTTTTTTGAGACAGAGTTTCGCTCTTATTGCCCAGGCTGGAGTGCAATGGCGCAATCTCGGCTCACTGCAACCCCCGCCTCCCGGGTTCCAGTGATTCTCCTGCCTCAGCCTCCTGAGTAGCTGGGATTACAGGTATGTGCCACCATGCAGAGCTAATTTTGTATTTTTAGTAGAGACACGGTTTCTCCATGTTGGTCAGGCTGGTCTCAAACTCCTGACCTCAAGTGATCCACCTGCCTCAGCCTCCCAAGCCATTCTTATATCTATAGAATGAACATTTCAAGCAGAAGGAGCAGAAGCAAAGGCCCCGTGGTAGCCATGTGTCTGAACTATTTGAGGAACGGCAAGGAGGCCAGGATGGCAGGATCAAGGTGAGGGAAGAAAATAGGCCAGATCAGGTCAGGCCTTGCAGGCTATTTCACTGGCTTTTTTTGGAATGAGATGGAAAGCCAGTAAAGGCCCACTGGAGAGAGGCTTCTGGCCACTGCACATTGATGCTGGTTGATAATGTAAATAGTACATATAAATCACTAAGAAGATATAAATCACTAAGAAGATAAAGTGATTTACATATAAATCACTAAGAAATATTTAAATATAAATCACTAAGAAATATAAATATAAATCACTAAGAAATATTTAAATATAAATCACTAAGAAATATAAATATAAATCACTAAAAAATATTTAAATATAAATCACTAAGAAGATAAAGTGGCTGTCCTCTTAGCATTTCATCTGGCAATATATCACCCTCCATCTTCATCTCTCTGATATAAATGTCATATCCAAAATACAGCACGCTGCATTCTTCTTCTAAAATTTCAGATTAGATATGTTCCAGCCTCTGTCTAAGCTGTCTCTATCTCTGGGGCTCAGATATGTCAGAGCTGATAGCATGGGACTTTCAGAAGTCCATTTGTGGGAGGGATTTTTTCAGATAAAGGCGGTCTGGAAAAGGGAGAAGAATTAGAAGGTATCCATCGTATCTGTAGCAGAGATTTTTTATGTATGTGTGTGCTCCTGTGTATACATGTAGAAACCAAACATCCTGAATGGCTCACGATCGCGCCAGTGGGTGTCCTTTGTCCTTGCATAATTATTAGTAGCATCCCTCTCCATTAGGTGAGCCCTAAGGAGAAAGAGTAGGGTCTTTAAGAATGTTACGAGACACAGAGCCACAAACAGTATTGGGATAGGACCCAGCTCTCAAAGTGTGGCCCAGCCATGGCACAGCTGGAGGTTCGCAGAGATGGTGCCCACCAAAGGCAATGATGGGACATACATAAACTGCCTTGCAGGCAGGGAGAGTCCAAATCGGTCAGGGCCCATCCAGACACACAGATAGCACACTCAAATCAGGAAAATCGGAGGAGGTTTAATAGGGACTATCTGCAAACCATTGATGTGTACAGAGATGCACCAAGGCCTCACAGAGTGAGGCAACAGGGAGGTCATGGGAATCCGGAAGGAGAGAGTCCCATGGAGAGGTCATCTGGAGAAGAGCAGTGGCCTCTGTCAAGGAACCCAGTGGCCTGAGGCAACCCTGCAGGGAGGAAGCCAGCTGAGGGAATGGATAACCGGACCTCAGTCACCTTCCTTCCTTTGGGAGAGCCTCCTGGGGCTGGATCCAGGGCAGAGAGCCAAAGGGAGAGGCTGGAAGATCTGGAAGGCCAAGTGGGGGGGTGTGAGGCCACAGCTTCTTCGTGTGTATCATCAGTGGAGATTGAAAAGAGAGGAAAACCACGATGGAGGCCTGTGGGACTGTGGGCAGCTTTTTCAAGTGCAGATGTGATAATCCCCACGAAGACCCCCGGAAATATTGAGAGGGAGGCTCTTTGAAAGGGGATGGTGTTCTGCAGAACAATAGAGGCTTCATGAGTCGCTAAAGTAGAGGTTGTGAGGATTAGTGTGACCCCATTGTGAAAACTGGCCTAAAAGAACCCAAGGAAACAGGGGTATGTTGAGTTCAGGAACATTGCAGAATTTCCAGATGTTCTCTGAAGCATGCACATGTCTAAGATTGTCTCCTCTCTAAGGGTTGTGTGCAGTTTCTTACCTTCTGTGAGCTGGCTGTGAACTCAGTGCCCCTGGGTGGTAGCAGAAGCATGAATGCTGAGAGGAAGGATGTTGCTGTCAGCACTGTGTGGTTTTGAATGAGATAAAGAATCAACGTCAGATGTAGCTGCACACATACTTTATTTTGTTGAATTTCCAACTGATGAAGTATTTGATAAGCATGCCTGAAAAGATGGAAAAAACGGGCTCTTTCCCAGCGGTCCATTTTTGTAATTTAAGTACGTAGATTTGTTTTAGTTTACATTTGGTGATTTTTATGTTATTTCTGAAAAGGTAGTATATACACATGGCTTAAAAATAAAACACTATGAAAAAATCTCATTCCCACTCCTGTCCCCTGTTCTGGTCCCACACCTCTAATTCGGATGACCACTTGTTTAAAGTTCATGTAGATCTGTCTAGGGTTTCTTTGCACAAGCACATACAAATACATGTTATTACTCCCTACCTTTTCTTACACAAAAGGAAGCATTAAACACAAAATACTTTGTACTCCTTAATAGTACATCCTGGAGATTATTCTGTATCAATACATACAGAGATCCCTCACTTTATTTTTTACAGCTGCATAATATTCCATGGGAGAGATGTTTTGTAATTTATTTAACCCACCCCGTTAGGAACATCATTTAGGTTGTTTGCAATCAGTTTCTCTTTTTTTTATTTTTTTATTTTTTTGAGATGGAGTCTCACTCTGTCGCCCAGGCTGGAGTGCAGTAGTGCAATCTCAGCTCACTGCAACCTCCGCCTCCCAGGTTCAAGTGATTCTCCTGCCTCGGCCTCTTCAGTAGCTGGGATTACAGGTGTGCACCACCACGCCTGGCTAATTTTTGTATTTTTAGTAGAGATGGGGTTTCACCATGTTTGTCTGGCTGGTCTTGAACTCCTGACCTCTTGATCCGCCCGCCTTGGCCTCCCAAAGTTCTGGGATTACAGGCATGAGCCACCGTGCCTGGCGCCAGTTTCTCTTATAAACAATGCTGCAATGACTAATCTGGTATATTTATTATCTTTCATGTGGGCAGAGATATTTGTAGGTTGAATTCCTAGAAATGGGGTCAGTGAGTCAAAGAGTAAATGCATTTGCAATATTAATGTATTCATTCTTCACTGGATCTCTGTAGTTTAGCAATGAATTGAACAACTGCATATTATTTATGGGTGAAAAGCCCCAAAGAAAAAAGAAATGCTGAGTCCAGATGTCACCTTCAGTCAATGTAGAGTGGTGGTTACCACCAGTGATGAAGGTCTTAGAGTGTTTATGCATCTGTGAGTGTGTGAGTGTGTGCTCATTTGTGTACTCTGAAAACCCTATTTGAAAAAAAAAACTTAACCATTGGGTTATTAGACAGATAATCACTTCACTCCAATTTCAAATCAATGAGTTTCTTATTCCAGCTTATATTCCAATAGTCCAAAGCTTCCAGGGAATAAAGGTAAAACAATCTGAGAGCTCTGAGTTCCTCCACAGGGCAAGTACCATGTAAACTGATAGATGATGTTAAGGTTCTCAAGGTGGTGACTAAACAGTTCTCCCAGTCTCTGCAACATAAACATAAACTTAAAAATTACACTGTAAGCTAGATCTTCATTTTGAAAATAACCATGGAATTTGAAAAAATAAAACTGAAACAAACAAAACACACCACCATGAACAACAAAAACAACAACAAAACAAGGGGGAAAAACCGACTTTCTGGTGTTTTTGCTAAAAGACTGCAGGGTGGGTTGGGGGAAGCTCTTCTCATAAAAGAAAAGTACTAGACAATCTGGTCTTTTAAAGGGTCTTGAAAACAGATTATGCAGTAAAACTGAGCTGTCAAAGACCCTCAGAGATGGTCGTACCTGGCTAGTCCTATGAAGCGCCCAGCTAGAGGAGAGTTTTCTTTCTCATTTTCAATCGTGGTTTGTGGTTAAAGATGTGCATGCCAATGGCAGGTCTGGGGGTGAGATGTGTTTGAAAAAACGTTGAATTTATATTTGCAGTACCAGCCAGACTCAGGAAGTGACACTCAACCACATTTTCCTGACCTGGGTGGAGATTAGTTGAGAGTGTGTTTGATAGGTTAACACATGTTGAGAAACATTTTGACATAGGACGTGTTGCATATAACTAGTTTTATGAAGATGATGTCCTTAATGGGTATATCTTCTATGAATGACTCAGGTCATCATCATAGACTTGGGTTATTGTAACATCTAGCAGGTATGTTGCGCTGTGGAGAGCTGTTTTTCCCCCTAGCGGCCTCGGAGGGTGAGGTTTGGAGTGCTATTCACATTTTTCTGTGCACTGGCTGTGCAATGGCCAGCCATATCTCTTTCCAAGATGCTCATTTGTTGGGGCTCAGGATGCACCACCTCAAAACATACTGTGGGAGACAAGATGTGCCACCCCAAAATACACTTCCTGGCATATTTCAAGCTGGTTATTCAGATACACTGCAGACGCAGGAGTATCTCTGAAAAGCTGCCCTTTGTAAAAGAAATGTATGCCTATTGTAAATTGAAAGTTAAGTTTCTTGTAAAAGAAATCTATATTAGTAAAACCATCTGTATCAGGAAGAGGGCTGTTCCTAGACAATTTTTATTACCTGAGATACTTTATTTGCATAACAAGACAAACTTTTATTCACCTTATATTTCCTCCCTCCCCTTCTCATAGCTTGTCTCTACCACCCTCAGAAGCCCCAAGCTCCTCCTATTCCTTTCTGTAGCTCAGGCTGCTATATAAGCTTCAATCATCTGGTCTTTCTTCAACTCTCATATTTTCGCGGGACCCCTGTGCCAACGTGTGTAGTTAAACATAGCTTTTTTTCTTGCTAATCTGTTGTGTGCTGATTTAATTCACAGCCATGCCAAAGAACCCAGGAGGGTGGAGGTAGACCATTTGGTTCTCCCTGCACGAACTGCAGTGTATTTTTTTGGGCCCAAGGTCAAATACCAGCTCCACTGTCCTAGTCCTGTGACCTTGGCTGAACAGAATAATGATCCTCCTGTCTATAAAGAGGACAAAAGCACACCCCCACCCCGCCCCGCAGACTGTTCTGAACAGTGGTCCCCTGTTAAAGAAAACTTCTCCTCAACTTCACTCCCTCTTCACCATTTCTTTCCATTAATATTACAGAGAATCCTTTATAGGGAATTTCTTTTAAAAATTTTATTTATTTATTTATTTATTTAGAGAAAGAGTTTTGCTCTTGTTGCCCAGGCTGGAGTGCAATGGCAGGATCTCGGCTCTCTGCAACCTCCATCTCCTGGGTTCGAGTGATTCTCCTGCCTCAACCTCCCAAGTAACTTGGACTACAGGCATGCGCCACCACACCTAGCTAATTTTTGTATTTTTAGTAGAGACAGGGTTTCTCCATGTTGATCAGGCTGGTCTTGAACTCCCGACCTCAGGTGATCCGCCCTCCTCGGCCTCCCAAAGTGCTGGGATTACAGGCATGAGCCACCGCGCCCGGTGGGATTTTCTTAAACATTAAATGTCTAATGTTTTAAAAACCCAATAACATCAGCATTTTTAATAACAATTTTTATTGTAAATTGACAATTTATAATTGTGTATATTTCTGGATACAACGTGATGTTATAATTTATAAATACAATGTAGGATAATTAAATTAAGCTAGTTAACATATCCATCATCTCAAATATTTAGCATTTTTTTTCAACTTTTATTTTAGTTTCAGGGGGTACATGGGCAGGTTTGTTACACAGGCAAATTGTGTGTCACTGGGGTTTGGTATACTAATGATCTTATCACCCAGGTAGTGAGCATAGTACCTGACAGCTGGTTTTTCAGCCGTCCCTCCCCTTCCGCCCTGTCTCCTCTAGTAGTCCCCAGCGTCTATTGTTTCCATCTTTATGTCCATGTGCACTCAATATTTAGCTTTCACTTAAACGTGAGAACATGTGGCATTTGATTTTCTGTTCCTGCATCAATACACTTAGGACAATGGCCTCCATTATCCTAAGCTACATCTTTTGCGGCTGTATCCATGTTGCTGCTAAATATGTGGAATACTATGCAGCCATAAAAAAGAATGAAATCATATCCTTAGCATTTTTTTGTCATGAGAACATTTGAAATTTACTCTCTTAGCAATTTTGAAATGTATGATACTGTTTGTTAACTATATTCACCACACTATGCAATAGATTTCAAAGAAACTTCCATATTCCTTCTGAGATTTTTGTACCTTGTTCATCATCTCCCTAACACCCTCACCCTCTAGCCTCTGTAACCACCAGTTTATTCTCTGGTTCTACGAGTTTGATTGTTTTAGATTCTTCATTTAAGTGAGAATATGCAGTATTATTTAAGATCATTTAATTAAGTTTTAGTATGTATAAAGTATTTGGCGTCAATGCCTACCTATTTCTATGGAATGAAACAGAACAAAACATTTCCCACCTGAACCACAACCTGCATGCTGGTGTTGTCTTCACTGCAGGTGGATTACGGAGCTATGGCCTACACACCTCAGTGCCTTTTGTAGGAAATCATGGCTAAGAGTCAATGCTTGGAATCAGGTGGACAGGCATCAAGTCCCATTTCCACCACACGTATCTGTGTGTCCTCAGTTAAGTTAACTGACCTCTGTCTGCCATAGTCAAAATTCCTAGTTATGTATATCAAAAACTATCTCCTGGTGTATATTACAGAATATTAGGAAGCTCAAGCATCTCAGGGACGGAGAAGGACTAAGGAAAGAGCCAAGAATAACATCCAGATTATACTACTGGTCCACTATGGAGCCCACTACCCAGATTTCTGGGCGAAAGAAGATGGATGTGCTGCTCAAGGGCTGACTGGTAGAACGCCCAGCAGTGGCACCTCTGAAAATGCTGTATTCACCACACTCAAGTTTTCAAATCTGTAAAGCAGGTATAGTAAGAATATTTACCTCATGGGGTTATTATGCAGATTTGATAACACTGTGTATAGAAAGACCCCAGTATGGTGTTTGGCACTTAGTAAATGCTCAGTTAATGTTTCTGCTCCATTTCCTCCTTCATTTTCTTCTACCTTAACTTCTCATCTATTTTCATTTTTCTTCTTTTTTCTTTCTCTAACTTCTTCCTCCTCCTGTTTTTCTCACTTCTTCACTTCTCTTCCATCCCCTTTCTTCTTCCTCATTCCTTATTTCTCTTCCTAAGAGTTGGTAAGAGGCAGCGTATGACTATTCTGCCAATGGAAACCATTTTCCCTGTTTCTGTAACAGGGGGTGTCATGGGGTACAGCACCAAAGAGCTACTATTTAGTTGGATATTACCATAAGTTAATAAAGGCTCAATACCCCGCTTTCTCCTTTACTTCCCCCCTCCACTCCCAGTATTTACCCAGTGGCATCAAATCTGGAATGGGCTATCTTCATATCAGAACCAGGAAAAATGGAAGGGAGTTACACCAGAAACCATAAACCCTATGTGAGGAGGGATTTTGTTTAACATCTTTTTTTGAGATCGAATTTACAAACATAAAATTTATCCTGAAAGTATATGATTTAGTAGTTTTTAGCATATTCAGTTTTGTGACTATCACACAAGTTTAGAACATTCCTCTCAACCCCAAGGAAACCCCATTCCTATTGGGCTGTCACTCCTCATTCCCCAACATGCAGCCCTAGGGAACTTCTAATCTACTTTCCGTCTCTATGGATTTGCCTAGTCTGGATATCTCATGTAAGTGGAATTATACAATATGTTACTTCTTGTGACTAGCTTCTTACACTTGGCATGTTTTTGAGGTACGTCCATGTTGTGGTATGCGTTAGCATTTCATTTTTTTTTTTGGCTCAATAATATTCCGCTGTGTGGGCATATCACATTTTGTTTATCCATTCATCAATTAAGGATATTTGGGTTGTTTCTGTTTATCAATTATTATGATAATGCCTTTATGAACCTTCATGTACATTTCTGTGTGAACATATGTTTTCATATCTCTTGGGTAGATATCCAGGAGTGGAATTTCCAGGTCATGTTCACTCTGCTTAACATTTTGAGGAATTGCCAGATTATTTTCTAAAGTAGCTGAGGGCAGGGATTTTTGTCTGGTTTGTTCATCGCTGATCCAGTGCTGACATATGGTAAACTTAAAACTATTTATTAAATAAATTGAATAAATGAATTAATAGTTGTCTGGTAAAAATATAATTTTTCCTTATATATGTAAGCATGCATAAATAAATATATACTATATATTTATTTATTTATTTATTTATTTTTCGAGATAAGGTCTCTTTTACCCAGGCTGAAGTGCAGTGGTGTGATCTTGGCTTACTGCAGTCTCCACTTCCTGGGCTCAGGTGATCCTCCTACTTCAGCCTCATGAGTAGTGGGGACCACAGGTGTGCACCACCACGCCTAGCTTTTTTTTTTTTTTGGTATTTTTAGTAGAGATGGGGTTTCACCATGTTGCCCAGGCTGGTTTCAAATTCCTGAGTAATCTGCCTGCCTTGGCCTTTCAAAGTGCTGGGATTACAGGTGTGAGCCCCCTGCACCCAGCCAACATATTTTTGTTTAAACATTATGTATGGCATATAGTTTTTTTGTTTTGTTTTGTTTTGTTTTGTTTTTTAAGACAGAGTTTCGCTCTTGTTGCCCAGGCTGGGGTGCTGTGGCACAACCTCAGCTCACCTCAACCCCCGCCTCCCGGGTTCAAGTGATTCTTGTGCCTCAGCCTCCCGAGTAGCTGGGATTACAGGCATGTTCCACCATGCCCGGCTAATTTTCTGTATTTTTAGTGGAGATGGGGTTTCTCCATGGGCATATAGTTTTGTAAATTGGCAATTGCTGTTTGTTAAAAATGGAGTTTTAAAATTCTACTCTAGCTGTACAGTTCTGGGAAAGAGGCTTTTTTTGCGTTGTCCTGTGTGCCACCTTCTCACTTGGAAAGGAAAAGAAATTAACTGAGCATGAAACTTAAGTGAGATAAAATTGTATGTGGCAATACATGTATACCATAATACAGGGAACGTATTGAAGTGCTAAAAAACAAGAAAGTAATTTCTTTATTGTTATCTTCCTGTCTGTTGCTAGCTTGGTAGCTAGAAAACCAAGCTTAAAACATAAAATATGAGAAAATAATTTATGAATGAGAATCTGGATGAAGTTGTAATTTTAGTCAATTCACCATTCTCTCACTTTTGCCACCACATTTCTGTGCTTGAGCTTGCATGATGGTGTGCACAGTGATAAATTATTCTTATGTGATAGAAATTCCTTCTCCTGGGTGGAATATAGACATGCACAGAACAGACACCTTGTCCAGAAGGTCTTTATATTCCTGGAACCCAGCCCACAGCCAGGTAAATAGCAGAGGCTCAACACAGGTTTTGAGTGTATAAATGAATGAATGAGTGAGCTTTTGTTACATGATTTTCGTGTTTATGTGCTATTTTCTTTTTTTGTAGATGGTTTTAAGAACTTAATTCGGCCGGGCGCGGTGGCTCATGCCTGTAATCCCAGCACTTTGGGAGGCCGAGACAGGCCGAGGCAGGCGGATCACGAGCCTGGCCAATATGCTGAAACCCCGTCTCTACTAAAAATACAAAAATTAGCCAGGCATAGTGGCATCTGCCTGTAGTCCCAGCTACTCGGGAGGCTGAGGCAGAAGAATCGCTTGAACCTGGGAGGAAGAGGTTGCGGTGAGCCGAGATCGCGCCACTGCACTCCAGCCTGGGCGACGGAGTGAGACTCCATCTCAAAAAAAAAAAAAAAAAAAAAAAAAAAAATAGAAAGAACTTAATTCAAAACCATGCATACATATGTGTGTGTATGTATGTATACAACTTTCTTTTATACACACACACCCATATATACATATATGTATACACACACACATAAGTAGAAAGGTAAGTAAAAACATAATTTTCTCTAGGTAGTATGATTATGGGTGTTTTTCATAAGCTTATTTGTAATTGTTTATATTTTATTACATTTAAAGTTCATTTCATTTAAAAATATTTAATTAAAAATAAAGATTGAATATATTCAAAGCATACAAGCTTACAACAATCAAATGAACACATCCATCACCACCCATGTTGTATATTAGATTCTCTGAACTTATAACTGAAAGTTTGTACTTTTTGACCATTTCACCATTTCTGCTAACCCCAACTTCCTGACAATCAGCATTCTACTCTCTGCTATGAGTTTGGTTTATATTAGATTATCTGAACTTATAACTGAAAGTTTGTACTTTTTGACCATTTCTCCATTTCTGCTAACCCCAACTTCCTGACAATCAGCATTCTACTCTCTGCTATGAGTTTGGTTTTCTCAGAGTCCACATATAAGTGCAATCATATAGTATTTGTCTTTCTGTGTCAGGCTTATTTCACTTAGCATAATGTCCTCCAGGTTCATCCAAATTGACACAAATGGCAGGATTTCCTTCTTTTTTATGGCTGAGTAATATTCTATTGTATATATGTACCACAATTTCTTTATCTATTCATCCATTGGTGAATATGATGGATACTTAGGTTGATTTCATATCTTGGCTATTGTGAATAATGCTGTAATGAACATGAGGTTATTTTCCCATTACTTTTCAAAAAACCATGCATTACACTATTGATCTGGAAATGTATAATAAATGCATTTTTGAAAAGAAAAAAATTATTTCTAGGCTCTTGATGTTTTTGACAATCTAATTTAAAGAGCTGAGTTACTTTTTTCTACATGACTTTTAAAGATTGTAGCTTTAGAATATGTTTTAAAATAAAATAAATTAAAATGCTATTTCAGAAGAATATTTATCCATGTATGTATACAGGAGGAAAAAATTTAAAAAGGAAGAATATTTAAAGATAAGGCAAAATATGTATCATATAATGTGGAGTTAAAATCTTAGGATATAAATTCCTGGGAAAATGTATATATAATACACCAAAATATTAATATTAATGCCATTTATTTCTGAATTTTGAAGTTACAAGTAGTTGTATTTTTTCTTTGTACGCTTCTTATTTTTCAAAATTATATATAAGCACACAATTGCTATTATAACCTGAAAAATTATTTGTAGAGCTTATTACTTTTTACGAAGGAATGTCTTTCTGAAATATACATTTGAACTTTGCTTTGATTACTAATTATTTAGTAAAATATTAATAAGCAGAATTTTACAATTTATTAGAGTAAGAAAAATTTACTGTCAGGAAACAAAACAAAATAACCAAGACATTCTTCAGTTGGTAAATGGATAAATTGTGGTACATCCAGACAAATGAATATTATTCAGTGCTAAAAACAAATGAGCTATTAAGCCATGAAAAGACATAAAGGAACCTTAAATGCATATTGCTAAGTGAACGAAGCCAATCTGAAAGGGTTACATACTGTATGATTCCAGCTGTATGACATTGTGGAAAAGGCAAAACTGCAGTGATAATAAACAAACAAACAACAATGGTTGTCTGAGGTTGAAGAGAGGACGTGATGAATGAGCAGTTAAACAATTCTGTATGATACTATAATAGTGTGTGGACATCACTCTACCTTTGTTGAAACCTCTAGAATGTACAATATCAAGAGTGAGCGCTAATGTAAACTATGGGCTTTGGGTGATAATGAGAAGTCAATGTTGGCTCATTGATATTAACAAATATACCCCTCTGGGTGGGATGTTGATAGTGGAGGAGACTGTGCATGTGTAGGGAGAAGGGAGAATAGGAGAACATTCTGTATTTTCTGCTGGATTTTGCTGTAAACCTAAAGCTGCTCTAAAAAATGAAGTAAAATAAAAAAAATCAGTGAATGATATTCAGTATCCCTATTTTCAATGAATTATATTTGGGGCTTTCTTTTGGAATTTTTGTTTGCTTTTGTTTTTAACTTGCTCTGAAAAATGCTGCATTGAGAAAGCATTGCACAGTTGCTTCTTAAATATTCAAGAATGTATTCCTCCCCTCAGCTGAGATATTTGACCTTCAGCCTCTTTGTGTTAGAATATAAGAACGGAAAGTGTAATTGTCCTAGGAAATCAAGTAAACATCTTATTAGAAAATCTTTTGAGAAAATTTTGGCACAAGTTGGTGTTCTGGGTGTTTGAAATGCATATAAAGAATGGCTCATATATAAACTTTGTCCATGTGCTATGATGGGCTTAATTTGATATCAGAATGGGTTTTAAGAAATATATATATTCAGCATCTATTCACCCTATTTCTGGTGACGACACCCTGATTTTCCTCTGGAGAGCTACCTGTTGCTTTACTCTCAACCGATGTGGGCCTCCACCCCCAAGATCAGGCCCACAGAAAGTGACACAGACCCAATCTAATTGGAGCACTCCAGTCCCTGGCCACAGTGATTGGCTCATAAATGGGCTCAATGACTGCTCATGGCAAGAAATATCTTAAGTGACTAGAATTAGGTGAGGTGTGTGTGTGTGTGTGTGTGTGTTTTGCAAAGTGTAGAAAAGCATGAATTCCAGAGCCCTATTGCATAGGTTTGAATCCCAGTTCCCCACTTCCACCACCAACCAGCTAGGTAAACTTGGAAAAGTCACTCTTCCTCTCTGGGCTTCAGGCTTCAGTCTCTTTCCTGTAAGATGGGGTCAGTACTACTTACCTCATGGGGTTCTTATGGGGATTGAACAAGTTAACCTTTGTGGAGCATGGCACGGTGTTTGTCTCAACATTTTCACTTGGATACATAACTGGCATCTTAAACTTGACATACCTCCAATGAATTCTCCTTTCATAGTCTTTCTCCACTTGGTAAACGACAACTCCATCCTTCCAGTTGCTCAAGCCAAAAATCTTGGAGTTGTCTCTGACTACTCTCATTGTCTCTTTACTCTATCGGCAAATCCGGTCTGTTGTACCTTTAAAATATATTCAGAATTTAATTGCATCTGCTGATGCCAACCCAGTGCAAGGCACCATCATCTCTTGTCAGGATTATGGCACCATGGCTTCCAAAATGGCCTCGTTGCTTCTGTCCCTGCCCCACTTCCGTTTCTGCTCAACAAACAGCCAGAGTGAGCCTGACAAAACACGTCGGGACATGTCACTCTTGTGCACCAGCGCCTGCCTATCTCCGGGTCCCAAACACACAATTAAATCTCTATCCTCATCTCCCACATATTTCCTCCTTGTTCTTCCTGTGCCATGCACCTGTTACTTGACCTCTGCTGTTCTCTGAACACACCAGGCTTGCTTCTGCCTTAGGGCCTTTGCAATTGCTCTTCTCTGTCTGGAGCCCTGTTCCCCCAGATTTCACCTCACCTTCTTCAGATTCTTACCCAAGTGCCACCTTCTGAGTGAGACCTTCCTTGGTCCTTTACCCAAAATTGCAACCTTCCCCCAAGTCTTTATCCTGTTCCCTGCTGAGTTTGTTTCTTAGCCCTCATCATCACCTCGCATGTGCTATGGTTTACTTATCTTGTCTATTATATGTCGATTCCCCTTTAAAACATAAGCTTCTGGCAACCGAATTTGTTTAACAGCTATAAACCCAGTACTAAAATAGTTCATGGTGCTCAGTAAATATTTAATGCACAAATGGCTGAATAAGGGGATGGAAGTCAAAAGAATTGCATTACAGTGTGATACTCATCAACATACAGTTGTGCAGTGCCCTCTAAGCACCAGGGACTTGCTAGCCACTGAGGACGTACCTGAGACAAAGACTGTTTGGCATCCTTCTATAATCTAGTTGGGGATGGAGGTAGGGTGGCAAAACTGTCCCAAAAAATCAGGAAGTATAGGATGCATATGGTTATCCATGATACGAGCTTGTAATCCAGACATGAAGGCCTGTAAAAGATGTCTCAGATTTGGAGTGTCTAAACTGTCACCTGAAGGTTAAGGAAAAACAACTGGATGAGGGAGGTGGGGCAGTGGGAGAGCTGAAAAGTCACCAGATCTGTTAAGCTGCGGTCAGACCTAAGGGAGGATGTGGCTGAGAAGCTGACTTTTGATGAACTCCTGTCTTTACTCTGATGAAATAAACAAGGAAGCCTAGAATGAAGGGCAGGCAGCCCAAGTGAATTAAAAGCATTTTGAGGCATCTTGCCAAGTTCTATTTACTCTTATTTCATTAAAAATACAGAAAGAGTAGTAAATACAAGATTCAGCCTTGCTCGGTTTCAGGATGTGGGAGGAGAAATCATGCAGCTGTCTTACATGAATCTGCTAGAAAGAAGCAGGTCACAGGTGTGATCTGTGTGGCATCAACGAGCATGCTTTTCTGTTGTTTTTGACATTCAGCATTTATCTATTCTTCTTTTCGTGATGGTATCCTGACTTGAGGAGGCACAAAACATATTGAGGAGACAAAGACCTCCCTAAAAAAAAAAAAAAAAAAAAAAGACCTCCCTAAAAAAAAAACAGGTTAACCCTGAGCTTCCTGGTGACACTCAAAGCCTTCTGACCAGAAGAAGTGTGAAGAAAAGGGGAGAACAATCCCTGGACCAACCAATGCCCACACGTTGCTGCATCCCACGCCCAGTGCCCATGTCCCACTGCCGTTGCCAGCATGCCCAAGAGAACAGCTGAAGGGGATGCTATAGTAGATAAGGCCAAGGTGAAGCATGAACCACATAGTAGATCTGCAAGTTGTCTGCTAACCCTGCCCCTCCAAAGCCAGAGCCGAAGCCTAAAAAGACCCCTGCAAAGAAGGGAGAGAAAGTACCCAAAGGGAAAAGTTGACGCTGGCAAGGAGCGGATAACCCTGCAGAAAATGGATATGCCCGAACAGACGTGGCACACAGAAAGCCAAAGGTGCTGGGGGTGCCGAGGGAAATGTGTGCATTTTTGAAAATTGTGTACTTCTGGTGGCTGCACAGTTTGAAATACTACTTTTTATCAATTTTTTTTTTTTTGAGATGGAGTCTTGCTCTGTCACCAGGCTGGAGTGTAATGGTGTGATCTCAGCTCACTGCAAACTCCACCTCTCGGGTTCAAGACATTCTCCTGCCTCAGCCTCCTGAGTAGCTGGGACTACAGGCACGTGCCGCCACACCCAGCTAATTTTTTGTATTTTTAGTAGAGACAGGGTTTCACCATGTTGGCCAGGATGGTCTCGATCTCCTGACCTTGTGATCTGCCCGTTTCGGCTTTCCAAAGTGCTGGGGTTACAAGCGTGAGCCACCGTGCCCGGCCCTACTTTTTTTTTTTTAATCAAGTTTTATAAAAATCAGAATTTTGTTTTACTCTTTTTAAAGCTATGTTGTTAGCACACAGAACACTTTATTGTTTTTTTGGGGAAGGGGCATACGTCACTAATAGAATGTCTCTGAAGCTGGATTGATGTGGGGAAAACACTTTTCCCTTCTAGTTTTTAATTTTTTTTTTATTTTTAGTAGAGATGGAATTTCACCATGTTGGCCAGGCTGGTCTCGAACTCCTGACCTCAAGTGATCTGCCCATCTCGGCCTCCTCAAGTGTTGAGATTACAGGCATAAGCCACCATGCTCAGCCCCCTTGTAGTTTTGAAAGACTTCCTCTTGGCTCCCAGGAGGAGGGATTCCCTGACTTTGACCACATGGTCACCTTGGCACAAAAGCTTTGTGGTATGGAAAAACAAAATCATTCATTTTTAAATCCTCTTCTTCCTTTCTACCTTTCAGCACAGACTTAACTCCCTTAAATCCAGACACCTGTTGGGACCTGACCCCCAATAATTGGTTACCAGTGTGTTAGGCAATCTGGACTTTCCAGTGATGCCACTGAGATGCTGCCCCTCCAAAGAGCAGCGGTTCCGATTCTAGACTGTGGATCTTCAGATAACCCTGACTTTCAGGAAGTGAAATAAAAATGGCAGAATTTAAAGTTGTTAAACAATGCGCTAAATGTGAAATGTCAACCCTCACTCTAAACTTTCCCTGTTTAGAGCATCAGTCGAAAGCTTCATGGGTTTTAGAGTGGCTTTCTGATTTTTGGTAGTCCATGGAAGAAGAGAGTTTGAAAGTTGTTGTATACTGTTAATGATTGTCTGCCCATGTCCTGCTGAAATACCATGAGTGTTGATGGACAGTATCTTTTTTTTTTTTTTTTTTTTTTTTGAGACGGAGTCTCACTCTGTCACCCAGGCCGGACTGCGGACTGCAGTGGCGCAATCTCGGCTCACTGCAAGCTCCGCTTCCCGGGTTCACGCCATTCTCCTGCCTCAGCCTCCCGAGTAGCTGGGACTACAGGCGCCCGCCACCGCGCCCGGCTAATTTTTTTTTGTATTTTTAGTAGAGATGGGGTTTCACCTCGTTAGCCAGGATGGTCTCGATCTCCTGACCTCATGATCCACCCGCCTCAGCCTCCCAAAGTGCTGGGATTACAGGCGTGAGCCACCGCGCCCGGCCGATGGACAGTATCTTTAATAAAACTGAATACAGTTTGGCTTGGGGAAAAAAAAGCCCTCCTGACAGCTGCCACAGACCCGTACCCAAGAGCATGTTTCCAGAAGTTCCCACTATGGGGCATAAATCCCCTTTGAGAACAGACTGAGTCTGTCAACTGTAAGCCTTTATTTTCACATTTACAATATGAAAATCATCACATGTTTACATGATGGCAGTGTTGTGAGGGTACAGTTCACAAAGGACCTGACACTCAACGATGTTAGCAATTATTGTTGAAAGAAAAAAAAAAACAAGAATTATGTATGAATTCCAGCATCTCCCTTTTCTCCCTTCAACATTGTGCCTTATTTCTCAGCAAATGAGCCAACAGATGCTTGTTGATAGATGGTTTTAGCCGGTGAATCCGATGAAGACCTTGGATCTGTTGGTGAATGTCCAGCCTGTTGTCACTGAGTTTGAACTGTGGGAGAAGGAGCTGCTTATTCTGCAGGCGTTGCTTGAGTGCCAACCACATACTGGGCATGGTTCTGGTGCTAGGGACAGAGAACTTGGTATTTCTGGTGAACAAAGGCAGGCAACGGCCCTGTTGGCATGGAGCTGCCCTTCTAGTGGGGGAACTGAAGAGAGGAGGCTCCCCCATTTCTAGAAGCTTTCCCAGGGAAATTGGCTGCTTTTTGCTTGACATGTACACTCACATGTTCTTGCAGCAAGCCTGAGCCACAGGGAGTTACATGAGATGCTCAGGCTCAAAGAGCTAGTGGGGGTGGAGAGCTGGTATTGGAGTCTGGGCTCTGGTGGTTTGGGAGAGGACATATGGCCTGGAAGGAGCCACGTATACACAGTGAAGCAGAAAGAACAGAATTTCTCTCTCTCTATATATATATGTATATATATGTTTACAATATCAAATAATATTTTTTAATCATTTTTAAAGCTAACAAAGATTAGGGGAAAAAAAGGCAAGATACTACCAAAATGTTAGTGGTAGTTGGGCTACGAGTGGGAGCATTTTTCTTCTTTGCTCTATTTCCACTTTTAAAATGTAGTTTTTTGTTTTTTTTTTAAAGACAATCTCCCTCTGTCGCCCAGGCTGGAGTGCAGTGGCACGATTTCAGTTCACTGCAACTTCCACCACCTAGGCTCAAGTGATTCTCCTGCTTCAGCCTCCTGAGTAGCTGTGATTACAGGTGTGTGCCACTGCGCCTGGCTAACTTTTGTATTTTCAGTAGAGACGTGGTTTCACCATGTTGGCCAGGCTGGTCTCGAACTCTTGACCTCAAGTGATCCGCCCACCTTGGCCTCCCAAAGTGCTGGGATTACAGGCGTAAGCCACCGGGCATGGCTAAAATGTGATTTTTTTTTTTACTTGAATGATTTTAAAATGACTAATGAAGTTGACCAAAGAAAGAAGAACATGTGTGCTTTTTATTCTAGAACCAATGTTTCTACTAACCAGCTGTGTGGCCTGGAGATAGTCATGCCTCTTGTCCCCAGGTGTCCCCAAATCTGTTGTTCTCCCCGCCGTTCTGTTTATATGCTGTTCCCTCCTTTTTGCAAACCTTGCTTGCCCTTCAACAGCCTGCTGTGGTGTCACTGTCTTTTCAAAGGCTTCCTAAAAACTACTCCGGGCCAGGTGTGGTGGCTCACGTCTGTAATCCCAGAACTTTGGGAGGCCGAGGCGGGTGGATCACCTGAGGTCAGGAGTTCATGACCAGCCTGGGCAACATGGTGAAGCCCCGTCTCTACTAAAAATACAAAAATTAGCTGGGCACAGTGGCACGTGCCTCCCAGCTACTCGGGAGGCTGAGGCAGGAGAATCGCTTGAGCCCGGGAGGCAGAGGTTGCGGTGAGCCGAGATTGCATCATTGCACTCCAGCCTGGGCAACAGAGTGAGACTCCGTCTCAAAACAAACAAACAAATAAACAAACACCACTCCGATTCCTTCTGATTCCCCCTGTTTGCTACATCACCACTGCAATATTAATGCTTATTTGTTGACTACTTGCTAGGGGCCAGACATTCAGCTCTGTTCCCTATACACATTACCTGATTCAACTCTCAAAAGAATTCAATGACGGCCACAGATATTTTTCAGCCTGTTCGACAGATGAGAAACTTGTCCTTCAGAGAAGCTTTACTATTTGCCCAAATAGCAAAGCCCACCCAGGTCTACCTGACCACCAAGTGCTCTTAAGTGCTGGGCTATACAGGGATTCCTCAAGGCTAGTTTATTTCTGTGCCCTCAATACTTAACACAGTACCTGGCCCATGGTGGGTCCTTAATATTTGTTGAATAAATGAATATCAGAATATGCCATTTTTCAAGCCTCAGTGCAGTGTAACTATGCACAAATAAGTCTGCAATAATGATATTACCATATGTTGAGTGTCTAGCGTGTTCTAGGTGTGTACATTACCAATTAATCCGCACTTCAAGCTGATGAGTAGACATTGCACTGCACCTATTTTACAGATGAGAAAATAGAAATTAAAAAATATTGGTAACTTGCCCCAAATCATACTACAGCAACAGGGTGTGGTAGGAGGATCTGGGTAGTTCCTTGTGCATTATCTTCTTCCCCCCAAATATACCACAGTGTTAGACGTTTGTAGCCAAGCTTCTTGCCTGCAGAAAGATAAAATGCAAAATGAGAATATTCACAAACCAAGTGATGTAGCAGAAGTAAGGGGCTATAGGGTTCCTTTAGGTTTTATTTTCTCAAGTGTTTATTACATTTCACAGAAAGAGAAACTAACATCTGAAGGTGCCAAATCCCTGGTGATTAATAATCAGAAAGGAAGACAAAACAAACTTGAAACTGTAACTGTGTGAGTGTGGAAAAACCCACATTCTCAGCTACCGTCAGTGAGAGGGCCAACTGGTACCAGCCTTTGGCTGGCAATATCTTTCCAAATTATAAGTGCTTGTGTCTTTTGACCCAGGAAGTCCACTTTTAGGAGTGTATGTACTTGGACACCTAAAAAATATGCTGCCACAAGAACATTTGTTGTAGCATTCTGTGCTCATTTATACAGGTCTAGTTAAGTAAACTCTAGCATACTATACAGTAGAATTCTAGGGGTCATCTAAAAGAATTGGGTAAGCAACCTGTGCTGGTGTTTAATGTCTTCAACATACATTAGTATGTGAGGAAAGCCAGGTACACAACAGGATATGTCCTATGCTATAATTTTTATGAAACAATGAAGGTCTCTCTCTCTCTCTCTCTCTCTCTGTATGCTGCTTGTTCATTAAAATGGGAAGAGGGGAGTTCAGGGAAGAAGAAAGAATTGTTTTCTGAATCTAGCCCTTTGATCTATTTGACATTTATTCCACGTGTGTTTATCATATTTATTGTCAGAAACAAATAGCCTTTTCAAAGGGGTGTGTTTTGTGGCAGGACTCAGATGTTTCATTTCACAAGCTGGAAAACTATAATTCCTAATGGTTCAGTTTCATAAACAGCAGGTGGCAAACCTTCTTGCATGGTAACTGATTTTGAACCTTGCACTATAAGGATCATGAAAGAAAGTACATGCCCAGAACAAGAGAGCAGAAGAAAGGAGGGAACACAGCAAGGTCAGAAATTAACAGAAATGAATCCAGAGGCAAAACCCACATTTCTCAGTCATTCACTAACTGGTTTGTTCAACCAGCATTTATAGACATCAGATTGATCCCAGGGTACTAAGAGAATAAATTTCAATTGCTGCCAACCTAGCCTTGTGCAAACTCCTGGTCTCCTGAGGAGGGGACACCCAGAAGAAATTCTCAGAGTGTGCATTCCTGGGCTAGGGGGTCCAGACCAGAGCCTCTGAGATGGGTATTGTCTCAGGAGATCTGTTGGCATCTATGTTATTCAGCGAGAAGAGTGTACAACAATTTGCAGATCGAACCTAGCTTGGGAGCTGAGTGGGGTTAGAAAAGGCTTCCTGAGGATGTCTCATTGAAGCTGAAACATGAAGGGTCAGTAGGAGTCAGCAGGGTGAGGGCATGGCATCTGTGAAGTCCCAGAGGCAGAGGAGAGCTTGGGCTGGTTGGGGACAGAGAGAAGGCCAGCAGGAGTGGAGAAGCATAGGAGTTGTTGGGGACAGAGGTGCGCACGCACCATGGAGGCTGGAGAAGCAGACGTGGGCCAACAGACAGGCTGCTTGTCATGTCCAGAGCAAGAGGGGAGGGAGTCAGAATTATGTTGTAAAAGTTATATCTTTGAAAGGGGTGACTTGGAAAAAAAACCCCACCAACCTGACTGTGGTATAGACAATACATGGAGGAAGGCGGAAAGAGTGGAATTGGGAGAATGGTGGGGAAGCTCTTCCTGGGTGAGAAAGGAGGTGAACTTTCTCTTGGACTAAGTTAGTGGCACTGGAGATGAAGAAATGGATATTTAATGAATAATTTGCAGGCAGTAGGAACTGTCGTTCATGTGGATATGTGGAACGAGGGAGAGGCAAGAGTCAAAGACTGGGAAAATTCTAGCTTGAGTAACTGCAGGAGATGTTGGTTCTTTTCACTGAAATGCAAAAGACCAGAAGAGGAGCTGGTTTGACAGAGAAAGATTAAAAGTTTAGTTTTGGACAGAATGAGTCTGCATTGCCTATGAAAGCACTCAAATGCAAATGTTGTCTTTTCTAACAACTCTTTGGTCCCTTCAGGACCTCCCAGCCATGAGCTCTCTCATCTTTTCGTGATCTCTCACCCTTCTTTTGCCCCCACTTCAGTTTCTGTGGGACTTAGATGTTATGGACCATTATTAAAATCCCATCCTTGAGGAGAGTGGATGGCCTGAATCCAGGAGTTTGAAATCAGCCTGGGCAACATGGCGAAACCCCATCTCTACAAAAAAAATCCAATAAGTTGTGGTAGTGCACATCTGCAGCCCCAGCTACTCAGGAGACTGAGGCAGGAGGATCGCTTGAGCCCAGGAGGTTAAGGCTGCAGTGAGCCACGGGCTCAGCACTGCATCCAGAGCCTGGGTGACAGAGCAAGAGCCTGTCTCAAACAAAACAAAACAAAACAAAAACAAACAAACAAAAACCAAAAACAAAACAACCCATAAAAACCAAAAACAAAACCCATTCTTGCTTAAAGTTTCTACTTCCCTGACGTTTTTTTCTCCGTTATATTTACTGGTGTTAGGGGCTGAATGGTGTACACCCCAAATTCATATGTTGAAATCCTAACCCTCAGTACCTTAGAATGTGGCTGTATTTGAAGATAGGGTAATAGCTTCAAAAAGGTAATTAAGTTAAAATGGGGTAATTAAAGTGAGCTCAAATTCACTATGACTGGTGTTCTTATAAAAACAGGAAAATTGGACACAGAGGAGTTCACCGGGAAGACCACGTGCAGACAGAGTGAGAAGACAGCCACTTACAAGCCAAGGAGAGAGGCCTCAGAAGAAATCAGCCTGGTGACGCCTTGATCTTGGACTTCTAGCCTCCAGACCTGTGAGTCAATACATTTCTGTTGCTTAAGCCACCCCATTGTGGCACTTTGTTATGGCAACCCTAGAACACAAATACACACAGCAAACCCCAACCCTGTCAAATCCAACTCTGCTCACTTTCACCCTTCTGTTTAAACAGTGGGGAGTGGCTGGGCAAAAGAACGCAACCTACTAACCGACCTTTTAAAAAATTCCTGACCACTTGATGATACCCTGAGAACCCACAGTCCATTTGCTCTCCTGGTCTCCTTCCAGGTCTACCAGCACCCCACCAACTCTCAGAAGATGACCTTTTCTTCTCATTTCACTGAAAAGCAGCAGAAAAGTACATCCACATCATCATCACCAAATCCATGAACCTCCCAACCCCCAAAGCTGTGTTTTCCATCTTTCTTCTGTGAGGTGGTGGAGCTCCTACCCACACTCTCACCTGTGCTTCGGATACCTCTCACCAATATATGAGTCCAGGAGTTCAAGACCAGCTTGGGCAACATGGTGAAACCCTGCCTCTACAAAAATAAATAAATAAATAACTGCAAAAAATTAACCAGGCCCATGGTGGTGCGTGCCTGTAGTCCCAGCTACTCGGGAGACTGAGGCAGGATGATCGCTTGAGCTCAGCAGGTCAAGGGAAATTACTGGAGCAATTGCCAATTGTCGCCTGCCTACTGGGTCATCCCAGCATCCTACAAACATACTGTGATAATCTCAACTTAGAACAAAATATTCTCTCCTGACTGCCCAGCATCCTCTAGCTATGGCTTTATTTCTCGATTTCATTTTACAGAAAAGCTCTCCACACACACGCAAACCCCAGCTAACTTACTGATATCACTTATCTTCTCACATACTCTCCTAAACCTGCTGTGGGTGGGCTTTGTCCTCATCTTTCCTCTAAAATGATTCCTCTTGTCACTATCATCAATAACTTTCAGGGCACCCTTCCTCTTGTCTCAGGGATCATCCTTCCCAGTTCTCTTTGCTGAAGCTCTCTCATCTTTCTGGCCTCTGTCACAGGAGTAGCCCATGGCTGAGACTCTGAAACTCTTCTGTTTCTGCACACACTCTTCACATGATCTTATATATACACTCTTGGCTTTAAGAACTGTCCATATCTAAGGTCTCCCTTATTAGTGTCTCCAGCATTAATCCCTTGCCCAAACTCCAGAAGCTTATACCCAAGTGGCTCCTTGATGCCTCCTGTTGGGGGTCTAATAGACATCTCAAACTTAGCACATCAAAAACCAAATTCTTGATTCATGCCTCTTCCCAAGACCAAATCTACTTCACCTCCCGTTTTCCCATCACTGTAGATTGCAGTGCTTTCCTTCCTTTGGTCAGTTACACAAATAAAAAATCTTGGCATCATCTTTGACTCATCTCTTTCTTGCAAATGCTACATCCAATTCATCAGCAAATCCTGCTGCTGCTACCTTCAAACTCTATTCAGAATCCATCTTTTTTTTTCTTTGCCACCTTCATTACTGCTACTACAGCCATTGTAACTGTTCTCCATCCTTATCCTCCTACAATTTATTCTTAATACCAAAGCCAGATTGATCCTTTAAAATAATATGCCAGATCAAGTCATTTGGTGACTTGTATGGGTAAAAATAAAATGCACACGAATGGGTTAAAAATAAAATCCAAAAACAGGCACATAGACCAATGAAACAGAATAGAGATCTCAGAAATAAGACTCACATCTACAACCATCTGATCTTTGACAGACCTGACAAAAACAAGCAATGGGGAAAGGATTCCCTATTTAATAAATGGTGCTGGGAAAACTGGCTAGCTATACGCAGAAAATTGAAACTGGATCCCTTCCTTACACCTTTTTCAAAAATTAACTCAAGATGGATTAAAGATTTAAAATGTAAAACCCAAAACTATAAAAACCCTAGAAGAAAATCTAGGCAATACCATTCAGGACATAGGCATGGGCAAAGATTTCATAATGAAAATGTCAAAAGCAATTCCAACAAAAGCGAAAATGACAAATGGGATCCAATTAAACTCAGGAACTTCTGCACACCGAAAGAAACTATAATCAGGGTGAACAGACAACCTACAGCATGGGAGAACATTTTCAAAATCTATCCATCTGACAAAGGTCTAATATCCAGAATCTACAAGGAACTTAAACTAATTTATAAGAAATAAACAACCCCATTAAAAAGTGGGCAAAGGACATGAACAGATATTTCTCAAAAGAAGACATTTATATAGCCAACAAACATATGAAAAAAAGCTCAACATCATTGATCATTAGAAAAATGCAAACCAAAACCACAATGAAATATCATCTCATGCCAGTCAGAATGGTGATCATTAAAAAGTCAATAAACAACAGATGCTGGTGAGGTTGTGGAGAAATAGGAACACTTACACTGTTGATGGGAGTGTAAATTAGTTCAACCATTGTGGAAGACAGTATGGGGATTCCTCAAAGATCTAGAACCAGAAATACCATTTGACCCAGCAATCTCATTACTGGGTATATACCCAAAGGAATATAAATCATTCTGTTATAAAGATACATGCATGCATATGTTCATTGTAGCACTATTCACAATAGCAATGACATGGAATCAACCCAAATGCCCATCAATGACAGACTGGATAAAGACAATGTGGTACATATACACCAGGGAATACTGTGCAGCCACAAAAAGGAACGAGATCATGTCCTTTGCAGGGACATGGATGGAGCTGGAAGCCATTATCCTCAGCAAACTAACACAGGAACAGAAAACCAAGCACTGCATGTTCTCACTTATAAGTGGGAGCTGAACAATGAACACAGGGAGGGGAACAACACACACTGGGGCCTGTTGGGGAGAGTGGAGGGAGGGAGAGCATCAGAAAGAATAGCTAAAACATGAGGGGCTTAATACCTAAGCAATGGATTGATAGGTGCAGCAAACCACCATGGCACACATTTACCTATGTAACAACTCTGCACGTCCTGTACATGTATCCCAGAACTTAAAACAAAATAAAAAAGATAAAAAATAAATAAAACACACAGTCCAAAAAGTCATCCTGTCTTACAGAGCTATGGGTGATCTGGTCTCCTGCTACTTTCCGAACTTCTGTTCTGTTTCCCTCAACCCTCTAGCCTAACTACAATTGGCCTCCTTGCTGCTCTGGAACAGGCCAAGAGCTTTTCTGCCTCAGAGTCTTTGCACCTGCCATTTCCTCTGCTTGGGAAATGTTTGCCCCAAGGGAGTTGGGTGACTTGATCGCTCACATTACTTAGGTCTCTGCTTGAATGTCACAGATGTTCTCTTAATAAAGAAGAGGCAAGAAAAGCCACTTTATTATTTATTAAACTCCCGCATAGAGTGCAGTATTATTACTGTGTGCCAGACCCTGCTTCAAACACATTCCATGGACTATAAAATTGCATCTCTGAGCAGCTCCTAGAGCTGGTAGTAACAACTTACATTTACTGGGTGATTACCATGTGCCAGGTATTGTGCTAAACACGTTGTAGATATTAACTCACTTAATCCTCGTAACAATCCCATGAAGTAGGTACTGCTACTATCCCGGCTTTACATCTGAAGTACAGAGAGGTTAAGTAACTTGCCCCATGTCATCCAGCAAGAACTAAATTTGAACCCAGAGCTTAGCCACTGATGCCTCTTGAGAGAAGGAGTCAGACTTAAGTTGAGTCTTTAAAGGTGGTTGACCAGGCATTTGTCAGAGTTAAGAAAGAGAGGTAGGACATCCTTTTCCAGGCAGAGGGCATTGTGTGCACACACGTATAGAAGCAGGCAGCCCACCCTCATGCTTTCCAGGAAGCAAATGTGGCTCAGGTGTAAAGTGCCCGGTTGATGAAGGGAGTTAGCGGAGGGAGTATAAGGATGTACTGTCTGCCCCCTTAGGACACCTGCAGAGGATTAAGGTGGCTGTTTCTCCCTGGAGGTGGAGTGGGTGGGTCACTGCACAGGAGCCTATAGTTGTTGGTCTTTTAAACTCTTATTGGTGTAACCAGCCACGGAACTCTGAGGCAAGGGGTTGGGGGTGGGAAGGGAAACAGAGAAAAGGCAAGTGAAACAGAAGGGGAGGTGCAGTTTCAGAACCCAGCCAGCCTCTCTCTTGCTGCCTAGCCTCCTGCCGGCCTCATCTTCGCCCAGCCAACCCCGCCTGGAGCCCTATGGCCAACTGCGAGTTCAGCCCGGTGTCCGGGGACAAACCCTGCTGCCGGCTCTCTAGGAGAGCCCAACTCTGTCTTGGCGTCAGTATCCTGGTCCTGATCCTCGTCGTGGTGCTCGCGGTGGTCGTCCCGAGGTGGCGCCAGCAGTGGAGCGGTCCGGGCACCACCAAGCGCTTTCCCGAGACCGTCCTGGCGCGATGCGTCAAGTACACTGAAATTCATCCTGAGATGAGGTGGGTTGGCGACTAAGGCGCACCGGTGGGCACTGCGGGGACAGCAGGGCCCCGCGCGCAGGGAAGCCGCCCGGATCGCCCGGAACCGGGCATCTTCCGTGGCGGGTCAGCCGAGAGCCCGCCGGGTGGTGCTGAGTAGGGAGTCCCGGGCTCGGGGCTCCGCGGGCCGCTTTCAGGAGCAGCTGGCCTTGGCACCGAGCGTGCCCGCGGGAGGCGGGGGGGGGCGCTGCTCGGTGGCTCTGCTGCGTAGCCGGTGAACACTTGGCACCGATGCCCGCCTTCTGGGCAAGGTGCCCTGAGCCCAGCCCCTCGCCGGGCTGCAGCCCACCCTCGGCGCGCTCAGCCCGCTTCACCGCTTCAGGGACGGAATAGAACTCGCAGATGCAGGGTGTCGCTGACATTTTCAACTTTTTCTGCGGTTTCCGCCCGCTGTCTCTGACCCGAAAGTGCCCCCGGACGGTTACAGAGGACACTTAAGTGGTTTGCAAAGCCTGTGGTAGGGGAGGAGGGTGTAGAAGGGCCAAACCACGGAACTTAGTTTTATTCATTTATATAAAGCAGCACTCCGATTCTTTTTGCGCGGCCTGAAATGCATGTGACCAGAGAAGTAATTAACAAAACAATGTCAACTTCTAAAACCGAGACATTACTTAGATGATAAGGCGCAGCAACTCGGTGAATCTGTACAAACCTTGGAAAAAAAACACATTAGTCTATGGGACCTTCCAGTTTTCTCATGCTCCTTTCCAGCTACTAACCTCTCCTAAAGGGAACAACCACTTTTTGGATTTGATTCCCAGGCCTCGCTTTCACCGGGAAATTATCGTTGCTTGTAAAACAGAAGAAGCCGGGAAGGCAGGCAGGGGGAGCTGCTACTTTACACTCTGTGCTTTGGGATAGCAAAATCCCGCATTTAAGCAATCCGAGGAAACGAGCAAATAGACCTCCCTCGCCTCTCCGAGCACACTCAACAGTTCCGGTTGCAAAATGTTTGCCTCCTGGGCTTCCCAGCGTCCCGTTAGTTGTTCTATTTACACATAATTAGATACTTAATGGAGAGAGAAACTAGAAGTTGAGGCGTTCCTCCAGGCTGTATTGTAAAGTATGAAGTGAAATCCAAAATGAAATGGTAATGTTAGAAAGCAACCTCATTAAAAAAAAAAAAAGTAACACTGGTCTTGAAGATCTTTCAATGTGAGTACATAAAGATCTATCTCATTTCTTTTGACAGCCCATAGTATTTCATAAACTAGATGTAACCATTTCCTATTGACAGGAAATTAGCTTGTTTCCAATTTTTCAATCCCATTCATTCATCCAACAAGTATCTGTTGAGCACCCACTATGTTCCAGACAGTGATCTAGCTACTGATGACACAAGAGTGAATGACGAAGTTCTCACTCATGAAATTTTCACCTTAGTTGGGAGAAACATGATGCAATGAAAATCTTCATACATACATTGTGTGTACATATGGGAGTATTTCTGTAGGATAGATTTCTAGTGATGAAACTGCTGAGTAAAAGGGAGAATTATGCATATTTTAAGTTTTGATTTTTCCAAATTCCAGGTATTCCATATATACTCCAAAATAGTTGTGCCATTTTACTCTCCCATCATCAGTCTATCAGAGGGGATGCTTTCCCACAATCTCTTGAATGCTGAATATTTTCAACTTTTTTACTTAAGAGAAAAAAGAGCATCTAATTGTTCCCTCAGTATCAGTGAGTCTAAGCATCTTGTATATGTTTATTTGCCATTTATATTTTTTTCTGTGATTTTCCTGTCCAGATACTTGATACTTTCTATTGAGCTGCTTATTTATTTCTTATGGGAGATTTTTATATATTTTAGATAATATTCTCTCTCTCACACACACACACACACACACACACACACACACACACACACACACACACATACAGTCTTACAGCCACATCCCTGAAATCTTGACCTTGTGAACATGTTTTACTGGCAGCACTCTGGACTCGATCATTGCCTTGAGACTATTTCTTTTTTGATATTCTTTGGAAAGACTAACAATGACAGTTTTATTTTCAAACCCAACAAATCCTGGCATGGAAATGTTTGCTCTTGATTCTGCTTTTAAAAAAATAAAGAATTATTTTCTCTCTTTCTTTCTGCACCTTATCAGAAACAGCTAAAAGAAGTGAGTTGGGCCAGGCACTGTGGCTCACACCTGTAATCCCAGCACTTTGGGAGGCCCAGGCAGGTGGATCACTTAAGGTCAGGAGTACAAGACCTGCCTGGCCAACATGCTGAAACTCCGTCTCTACTAAAAATACAAAATTAGCCGGGTGTTGTGGCGCGTGCCTGTAATCCCAGCTACTCTGGAGACTGAGGTGGGAGAATCGCTTGAACCCAGGAGGAGGAGGTAGCACTGAACCAAGATCCAGCCTGGCCAAGAGAGTAAGACTCCGTCTCAAAACCAAACCAAACCAAACCAAAAAAAGAAGTGAGTTGGCACTTTCAACATTCTGCCTGGAAATCTCCTTACCAAACCTATAAGATCATTAGGTATATTTTCTGCACTTTGTATTGTGACAGGTGACAGTGTTACCAAACTTTTTACCAGGACATAATAGGGTCTGCCTTTCTTCTAGTTGCTAACAATTTCCCCCAAGTCCATCTTGCCTGCACTAACAGTCTCCTTTAGACCTCTCCTCTCCTGCCTGTCACACATTCCTAGTACTAATGCTACAGTATAGTAGTAAGGGTCTCCAGAGAAACAACATTTATATAACATAATATAAATACATTAATAGAGAGAAAGAGATTTTAAGAAATTGGCTTATATCATTGTGAAGTCGGGCAAGCCCCAAATCTGCTGGACAGGCCAGCAGCCTGGAGACCCAGGGAAGAGTTGATGTTGCAGCTGGAGTCCAAAGGCAGTCTCTGGCAGAATTCTCTTTTACTTCTGGGACCTTGGTCTTTCTCTTAAGGCCTTCAACTGATTGGATGAGGCCCACCACATTATGAAGGGTAACATGCTTTACACCGAGTCTCCTGACTTAAAATCTAAAAAATACCTTCACATCACAACTAGATGTGTTTGACCAAATATCTGGATACCATGCCTGGGCGAATTGCCACTTAAAATTAATCATCACGTACATGTTTTAAGGTTTTGTTACACAAGACCTCACTTCCAAGTATCACTTTCTGTTTTGGTCATCAGTTGCTGCATAATAAACAACCACCCTAAAATTTAGTGACTTAAAACAACAATCATTTATTGTCTGCCATGGTTCTGTGGTTTGACTGGGATCAGCTGAGTGGCCTGTTTCACTTGGTGTCAGCTGGGGGTGTAGGCATCTGCAACATTGTCTTGGCAGGAACATCCAAGATGTCCCACTTAACACGATGGCTCCTGGGCTCAGCTGGGCTGGTCAGGCCTCCCTTCCTCTCTGTGTTGCCACACGGCCTCTCTCTATCCATGTGGCCTCTCCATATGGTCTCTCCCTGGTGGAGGTGAATTTCTTCAAGGTTTCTAAACTCTCAAAAGTGGAGCCTGGCAAGCCCACTCAAAGCTTCAGATCCACAACTGGCACAGCTTCCCTTCCACAGATTCTATAGGTTAAAACAATCACCGGACCAGCCCAGATTCAAAAGAAGGAGAAACAAACTCCACCCCTCCATGGAGGAAGTAGCAAAAATAATGTAGACAGTTTTTACCCTTTACATCTGGATTTGTTAGCTTTTCTGTTTTCATTTTCTTCTGGTCTTTCTTTTGTCCTTCTCTTACACTTATTTTATTACCTTTTATCAATTAGCTTTTAAGATGATAAAAATCTAATACATGCCTCCTGGAATGTCTTCTTGAGCCTAGGGACTTTTGTTTAATGATATATCTTGAGGACCTAGAATAGTGCCTGAAATACAATAGTCATTAAATATTTAGCTGAATTAAATGAATGGTATATAAGCCAGGGTATTAAAAATAACATAAACAAAGTTGTAATAAATATACTTCCCCAGTGAACGACCTAATACCATTACTCCCCAAACCCTCAATTTCTGTCTTGAGCATAGAAACTGTTAATTTTTCCTTTGTGTAGTAGGTCCTTAGTATTTCTTTAGAGGTTGTAGCACTTTATCTTCCTCACTGTTCCTTTTCCTTGGTTGTCCTTTTCCAAACATCTCTCAACAATTTCTCCCAAGTCCATCTTGCCTGCACTAACAGTCTCCTTTAGAACTCCCCTCTCCTGCCTGTCACACAGTCTTAGTAATAGTGCCACAGTATAGTAGTAAGGGTCTCCAGAGAAACTCACTTTCTGCAAGTTTTTTAGTGTGGGTAGGTGAGTATTGAAGCTTGTTCTTGGCGTTACCAGGTTGGTTCTTTGAGTTGAACCAGGGGCATTACATGCGGAATATTCCTGAACAGATCACCTCTGGTTCTGCTGTCTCAAGGGCCACACACAAGAGCTGCCTTCTGACCAAGATGTCTCTGGGCACATGAGACCTGAAATACACATGGCCAAGACTCAACAAAGCGTTTGCTGACTGTCAGAGCTGACAGCATCTCGGTACTGTGGGAGGGAGCCCAGTGTCTGGTGATAGTCAGGACGGACCCAGGTGATGTCAGGGGTGGGGTGGGGCCTGCAGGAGGGAATGGAGAGCCAGCACCTAGGGGAAGCTGGGAATTTAGGAAGATATCCAGAGAGTGTAACTTCAGTTCCACTAATCTCACCTGGGTGAAAACCAGCCCTCTCCATGGATGATGGTGATTGCAGGTACTGACGATAGCTGCAGACTGCTGGTGGTCTAGGCAAGCATGCAGGGATGGGAGCAGGCATTTCTGAGAGCTCCCCTTATCCCTGCCCCAAGACAAGGTGGGGGCCCTGTGGGGAAGGACTATTTTATTCACTTCTGCATCTCCAGTTGTCTAACACATTGCTTATCACCTAACAGTCTCTTAATAGAAGCTTGCTATATTGAGCTGCCTTGAGTCCACATCATGCTGGTTGAACATAAGTAGAAATTGTGGGAGACTTAATCAGAGAAAATCTTTCATCTGTCTTACCTTACGTTCTAATGATCACTTCTGTGCCCACAAGGACCATCTTTTCTGATTCATGTTCATGTCGATTTCTTTTTTATTTAACTTCCTCTTCAAAATTTCTGGCAGGATTTCTTGGGAGCCAATTCTCCATTTTTACTTCCCCATGCCTCCCATTTTAATGACTGTAGGATTTTCTCAGGGTCTACTCAGCAAAACTTGTTAGTACAACATGAGCAAAACAGCAAATTTATGCAAACACTTAGCAAAGACTTAGCTGTCTGCCTAATGCTAGGGTGAGACATGGGAGATTCACAAATGAAGAAACACAAGCATTGATCTCCAGGATCCTGCAGTGGGAGGTATGCGGAGGACCAACCTGGGAACAGAGCAACGCAACACCATGTGATCTGTAATGAAAAAGAGGCCTGTACACAGCCAAGAGGTCACTGAGGAAGGAGCCATTGCTTCTGTGCAGTTAGTGCTGCGCTAGATTCTGCAGGGATGTAAGAAATGTACCCCTATCAAACAAGAAAGACTATGTGAATTGCTGAATATGTGAGTGGAGTACCAGCACAATGCCATGGAGATGCAGACGTGCCCCATGTGGTGGGGCAGAGTCAGGAAGCACTTTAAGAAAGAAATAGCATTTCAGGTCTTCCTTTAAAGGTAGAATTTCAACAAGAGGGTGCTCTGGAGAGTGTGTGTTACCCTGCTGAGAAAATCCTGGCGGTCAGGTAAGATGCTACTGCCAGGGAAGATTGGCCAATTGATTGACTAAACCCTTAAAGGTTTGGGGATCTTGGGGAGGATTCTGCTGGTGAGAGGGTCTGGACTTCCTCTTGGTCTGTCCACAGCTGGACCTTCTCAGCACACAAGAGACTATGAGGGTGACCATTTTGCACAGGACAGAATTCCAGCATGTTTTTCCCCTGGAGTGATGGAATGACCACCTGCTCAACATCAGTGTCCTCACTGAGACCATGAGATTCAGTAGAGTGCTGGAAAGCTTCATGCTTACCTGTGTCTTCTTAATGCTTAGTGTTATGATTGAAGGCTTCCTTCAGTCCTACCTTTTGTTCTGGGGTTCTAAGAATCTTAGGTGCAGGCGAGGCACGGTGGCTCACACCTGTAATCCCAGCATTTTGGGAGGCTGACGTGGGTGGATGACGAGGTCAGGGGATTGAGACCATCCTGGCAAACATGGTGAAACCCCGTCTCTACTAAAAATACAAAAATTAGCCGGGTGTGGTTGCGTGCACCTGTAGTCCCAGCTACTCAGGAGGCTGAGGCAGGAGAATCGCTTGAACCTGGGAGGCGGAGGTTGCAATGAGCTGAGCTCACGCCACTACACTCCAGCCTGGGTGACAGAGCAAGACTCTGTCTTAAAAAAAAAAAATCTCAGGTGCACCTGAGACAGATTGAATGTGGAAGGGGAAGTGAAACAGGCCTTCCAGGTGTGGGGCCTGGGTGCTGCTATAGTTACAAATGGGGAAGTGAGACTATAGGTCTCAGTTACCTGTGGAAGGAAGGGTAGAGTGGAGTACTTACGCAAATTAGCTAATTCTGGGAGCTTGGGGTGCTACCAGGGTATCAGGGAGAATACAGCCAGGGAATAGAATCTTCTTGAAGCAAAGGCTGTTTGGAAGCCCCCAGAGTGGATGAAAAGGCTCAGTGGGAAACAACAGATATCAGGAGAGGGAGAAGAAGATACCTATTTCTATACCTTTTGGCCTTGTGTTTTGCTTCAGACACTGTTCCCAGCAAGGTCAGTGGAACCCACTGCTCAAAACACACACTTGCTCCTTGTTCTGGTGTCATAATAGCTCTGCAAGCAGTGGTGGTGTTCAGCCTGGAGAACGTTCCTTTTCTTTTTTTTTTTATCACAATAAACACTCATGGCTTCTCTGCTTCTTCCTTTCTTCTTTGTCTTAGGACTCTTGAAAAACAGCTGCCAAATGTCAGTTTAGATATTTTGGAGGGAAAAAAGTTGGGAATCAATGTTTACAGGTTGCCTGCAATGTGCTGGAAACTACATAGTTGGTTCTTTTTAAACTTTCTCTGAATCCTGTCAGGAAAGTTCCAGCAATCACATCTTAGTGGGTCCGGAATTCGTGGGTTCTTGGTCTCACTAACTTCAAGAATGAAGCTGTGGACCCTCGTGGTGAGTGTTACAGTTCTTAAAGGTGGTGTGTCCAGAGTTTGTTCCTTCTGGTGTTGGACATGTTCGGAGTTTCTTCCTTCTGGTGGGCTCGTGGTCTCGCTGGCTTCAGGAGTGAAGCTGCAGACCTTCACGGTGAGTGTTACAGCTCTTAAGGCAGCGCGTCTGGAGTTGTTCGTTCCTCCCATCTGGAGTTGTTCGTTCCTCCTGGTGGGTTCATGGTCTCACTGTGCTCAGGAGTTAAGCTGCAGACTTTCGTGGTGAGTGTTACAGCTCATAAAAGCACTGTGGACCCAAAGAGTGAGCAGCAGCAAGATTTATTGCAAAGAGCAAAAGAACAAAGCTTCCCCAGTGTAGAAGTGTAGAACGGGACGCCAATGGGTTGCCAGTGTTGGCTCCCCCCAGCCTGCTTTTATTCCCTTATCTGGCCCCACCCACATCCTGCTGATTGGTTCATTTTACAGAGGGCTGATTGGTCTGTTTTACAGAGAGCTGATTGGTCCGTTTTGACAGGGTGCTGATTGGTGCATTTACAAACCTTGAGCTAGACACAAAGTGCTGATTGGTGTGTTTACAAACCTTGAGCTAGACATAGAGTGCTGATTGGTGTATTTACAATCCCTTAGCTAGACATAAAGATTCTCTAAGTCCCTAGTAGATTAGCTAGACACAGAGCACTGATTGGTGCATTTACAAACCTTGAGCTAGACACAGGGTGCTGATTGGTCCGTTTACAAACCTTGAGCCAGACACAGAGTGCTGATTGGTGTATTTACAATCCCTTAGCTAGACATAAATGTTCTCCAAGTCCCCACTAGACTCAGAAGCCCAGCTGGCTTCACCTAGCCGATTGTGCACCAAGTCAGCAGGCGGAGCTGCCTGCCAGTCACCTGCTATGCACCCGCACTCCTCAGCCCTTGGACGGTGGATGGGACGCCAGGGAGCAGGGCGCGGTGCTCGTCGGGGAGGCTCCAGCGGCACAGGAGCCCACGGCAGGGAGGGTGGGGGGAGGCTCAGGCATGGTGGGCTACAGGTCCCAAGCCCTGCCCCGCGGGGAGGCAGCTGAGGCCCAGCAAGAATTGGAGCGCAGCGCCAGTGGGCCAGCACTGCTGGGGGACTTGGCACACCCTCCACAGCTGCTGGCCTGGGTGCTAAGCCCTTCACTGTCCGGGGCCTGCTGCGCTCGCCGGCCGCTCAGAGTGCGGCCTGGGGAGCCCACGCCCACCTGGAACTCGCGCTGGCCCACGAGCGCCTCTCTCTCTACACCTCCGCTCAAGCAGAGGGAGCCGACTCCGGCCTGGGCCAGCCCAGAGAGGGTCTCCCACAGTGCAGCTGTGGGCTGAAGGGCTCCTCAAGCACGGCCAGAGTGGGCGCGCAGAGGCCGGGGGGCACTGAGAGCGAGCGAGGGCCACCAGCACGTTGTCTCCTCTCATTAGGGTTGGGGAAATGGACCCTGAGAGAGATTAAGTAATTTGGTGATATTCTATAGTCACTCTGGCTATGTAATTTATGGAGCCTAGTACAGAATGAAAATGTGGGGCTCATTTTTCAAAAAGCAGGAAACAGCTTTTCCTTTCTTCCAGGGTCTCTTCCTCCACCTGCCATGCTGGTGTTTGGTTGCTATTTAATGTTGAGCCCTCTTGGGCACAGGGATACTTGCAGGGACAGGGTGTCTGCTCATTTTTCTGTAGACCTCAAAGGTGAGTCCTGAGGCTTCAGGGTCACTGGCCTCCTTTTAGGGAGTCACGACGCCTTGTCTTTGTACTTCAGGAATGATTACGAATCTTTGTAGGTAAAGCGGCAGAATGCCACGTCCTCTCCTGGTTGCCAGGACGTGTTCCTTGTGGTTTAATTGCCGGGTCTGCCCTGCAGACCCTGGCTGAGCGACAGATGAAAGGAGTACTCAGACACAGGTACGCAGTGAAAGAGCGGCTAGGGGACTGCCGAAGAGTCAGCAGTCTCAATAAACTGGAGCTGCTCACTTTTATTCAGTACAGACATAATGCCGAAAGCCTGGAGCCAACGCAGTCTGTGGGTAATTAACATTGTTGTTCCGCCGTGCAGGGAGCAGTCTCGCCAGAGGATGATGAAAGGTTGGTTTCCGGAAGTAAACAAGCTTATTTAGACAAACTCCCCTACATTCCCTTGTACCCACTCCTCGCCCTCTGCGTCAGGGTAAGAGAACAGCTGCCTTCAGCTTATTCTCCCCCGAAGCTTTGCAGAGCCTTCTGACCTTTCAAAAGGTCTTCTTCTTTCCCTATCGGTTCTCCCACTACTCTGACTGATCTCCTATATTTGATCTCACCTTAACAATCACTTCTTAGAGCTGGGTCAGGAAGTATGCAGCATGCACCTGGCACTCCTAGTACTGTGCCCATGATGGGCATTGCTGATTGTTCAGAGCATATTGGATGAGCCTGGTTCAGCCTCAGAATCTTCCACCCAGTGCACCATGGAGATGCTACCAATTGGTTGGAGTTGCTCTGAGAGGTGACATTTCCTTGTGATTCTGCATTAGAAACATGTTGTTTGTCAGCCGAAACAGGGAAACCTGACACGTTATCCGCCCCCAGGAAGATCCCATCATCATTCCATGCACCTTCAGTCCTGGGAGCTTACTTTAAAAAAAAGTGACTGACATATGAGCGCAGGTCCCCAAACAGAGGGGAGGCAGGATGAGAAGCCAGATGAAGAGAGTCAAGGTCCTGGGGCTGCTTAGCTTGGATGAATCTGATGGGAGGTGGGGTGCATCTGAGTGTTCTCTGCTGATGAAGAACAGACTTGTTGCACGGGGGTAGGTGTGTGCTGTGTAAACACACATCAGAATCAGGACCCCGAATAGTGAATAGGCAAGAGTAACAGCTGAATTTGCCCAGCTCATCACAATTTAACATCAGTTTTCAAAAAGGTAAGAGCGTGGCTTTCATAGCATGCAGAATCAACACACATCAAAGATTGATTTACTCATTTATGAAGGAATCAGCAAAATGACAAACTTAGTTCAGAGAATATTTTGAGGCTCTGAGTAGATATAAAACTGGTTAATGTTTCTCAGGGCAATAAAAAGCTATAAACGTTGGGGATTTCTTTTTTATCAGACAGAAATTATTTGCATACTTAACAGAAAAGATCTCCAAGTTACCATCTAACTTCATAAGGTTCGAATAAAACTTCATAGAGTTATTAATGAATGGTAAATAGAAAAGACAAATATATGTTTTACCAGATAATTAAGTAATTCTTGGTAAACCTGGCAAACAGTACCCCAGTGTGACTCTGAAAAGACATGCTGCCCATCTTTTTGCCTTATTTCCACGTTTTAGGTATTTTTGTAAGATATCTATTCAATAAATATGTATTGAGCTCCTATGATGTCCCAGAAACTCTTTTAGATCCTGGAGATATAGCAGTAAACAAAACAGATGAAATTCTTGCTCACATGGAACTTATATTCTAGTAGGGGAGACAGACATTGAAACAGAAAAATACATAGTATGGCAGATGGTGGAAAGTATTAAAAAGAGTGCTGTGTAGTGTTTACAACTTACTCATTTATGAAGGAATCAGCAAGATGATAAACTCAGTTCAAAGAACATCTTGAGGCACCGAGTACATTTAAAAGTGGTTAGTTTCTCAGGGCGATAAAAAGCCATAAACTTTGGGGATTTCTTTTTTAGGTATGGAAACCTAAAGTAAAGAAGATGCTATGGTTTGCACATTTGTCCCCTCCAAAACTCATGTTTGAAATGTAATCCCAGAAGTGGCAGGATGAGAGATTGGCCCTTTAGGAGGTGACTGGGTCATGAGAGATCTGCCCTCATGAATGGATTAATCCATTCATGGATTACTGATTAATACGCTAATGGGTTAATGGATCAATGGGTTATCCTTGGAATGAAATGGCAGGCTTTACAAGGAGAGGAAAAGGGACTTGAGCTAGCATGCTCACCCTCCTCACCGTGTGATGCCCTGTCCTGCCTCAGGACTCTGCGGAGTTCTGGTAAGCAAGAAGGCTGTCACCAGATGTGTCCCCTAAACCTTGGACTTTTTGGCCTCCATAACTTTAAGGAATAAATTCATTTTTAAAATAAATTACCCAGCTTCAGGTATTCTGCTATAAGCAACAGAAAATGACTAAAACAGGAGGCTTTACTGGAAGGTGTCCTCTTAGCAAAGACCTAAAGAAAGAGGGAGAGTGAAACATAGAAATATCTGGGGAGAACATCCTAGGTAAAAGGAACAGCATGTGCAAAGGCCTTGAAAAGCAGCAAGCCGCTCTCCCTCTCCCTCTCCCTCTCCCTCTCCCTCTCCCTCTCCCTCTCCCTCTCCCCCTCTCCCTCCCCCTCCCCCTCCCTCTCCCTCTCTCTCCACGGTCTCCTTCCACGGTCTCCCTCTGATGCCGAGCCAAAGCTGGACGGTACTGCTGCCATCTCGGCTCACTGCAACCTCCCTGCCTGATTCTCCTGCCTCAGCCTGCCGAGTGCCTGCGCACGCCGCCACGCCTGACTGGTTTTCGTTTTTTTTTTTTGGTGGAGACGGGGTTTTGCTGTGTTGGCCGGGCTGGTCTCCAGCTCCTGACCGCGAGTGATCCGCCGGCCTCGGCCTCCCGAGGTGCCGGGATTGCGGACGGAGTCTCGTTCACTCGGTGCTCGGTGGTGCCCAGGCTGGAGTGCAGTGGCGTGATCTCGGCTCGCTACAACCTCCACCTCCCAGCCGCCTGCCTTGGCCCCCCAAAGTGCCGAGATTGCAGCCTCTGCCCGGCCGCCACCCCGTCTGGGAAGTGAGGAGCGTCTCTGCCTGGCCCCCCATCGTCTGGGATATGAGGAGCCTCTCTGCCTGGCTGCCCAGTCTGGAGGGTGAGGAGCGTCTCTGCCCGGCCGCCATCCCATCTAGGAGGCGAGGAGCGCCTCTTCCCCGCCGCCATCCCATCTAGGAAGTGAGGAGCGTCTCTGCCCGGCCGCCCATCGTCTGAGATGTGGGGAGCACCTCTGCCCCGCCGCCCTGTCTGGGATGTGAGGAGCGCCTCTGCTGGGCCGCAACCCTGTCTGGGAGGTGAGGAGTGTCTCTGCCCGGCCGCCCCGTCTGAGAGGTGAGGAGACCCTCTGCCTGGCAACCGCCCCGTCTGAGAAGTGAGGAGCCCCTCCGTCCGGCGGCCACCCCGTCTGGGAAGTGAGGAGCGTCTCCGCCCGGCAGCCACCCCGTCCGGGAGGGAGGTGGGGGGGGGTCAGCCCCCCGCCCGGCCAGCTGCCCCGTCCGGGAGGTGAGGGGCTCCTCTGCCCGGCCGCCCCTACTGGGAAGTGAGGAGCCCCTCTGCCCGGCCAGCCGCCCCGTCCGGGAGGGAGGTGGGGGGGTCAGCCCCCCGCCCGGCCAGCCGCCCAGTCCGGGAGGTGAGGGGCGCCTCTGCCCGGCCGCCCGTACTGGGAAGTGAGGAGCCCCTCTGCCCGGCCAGCCACCCCGTCCGGGAGGGGGGAGGGGGGGTCAGCCCCCTGCCCGGCCAGCCGCCCCGTCCGGGAGGGAGGTGGTGGGGGTCAGCCCCCCGCCCGGCCGGCCGCCCCGTCCGGGAGGTGAGGGGCGCCTCTGCCCGTCCGCCCGTACTGGGAAGTGAGGACCCCTCTGCCCGGCCAGCCGCCCCGTCCGGGAGGGAGGTGGGGGGGGGTCAGCCCCCCGCCCGGCCAGCCGCCCAGTCCGGGAGGGAGGTGGGGGGATCAGCCCCCCGCCCGGCCAGCCGCCCCGTCCGGGAGGGAGGTGGGGGGGTCAGCCCCCCGCCCGGCCAGCCGCCCCGTCCGGGAGGGAGGTGGGGGGGTCAGCCCCCTGCCCGGCCAGCCGCCCCGTCCGGGAGGGAGGTGGGGGGATCAGCCCCCCGCCTGGCCAGCCGCCCCGTCCGGGAGGTGAGGGGCGCCTCTGCCCGGCCGCCCCTACTGGGAAGTGAGGATCCCTCTGCCCGGCCAGCCGCCCCGTCCGGGAGGGAGGTGGGAGGGTCAGCCCCCCGCCCGGCCAGCCGCCCTATCCAGGAGGTGAGGGGCGCCTCTGCCCGGCCGCCCCTACTGGGAAGTGAGGAGCCCCTCTGCCCGGCCAGGACCCCGTCTGGGAGGTGTGCCCAGCGGCTCATTGGGGATGGGCCATGATGACAATGGCGGTTTTGTGGAATAGAAAGGCGGGAAGGGTGGGGAAAAAATTGAGAAATCGGATGGTTGCCGGGTCTGTGTGGATAGAAGTAGACATGGGAGACTTTTCATTTTGTTCTGTACTAAGAAAAATTCTTCTGCCTTGGGATCCTGTTGATCTGTGACCTTATCCCCAACCCTGTGCTCTCTGAAACATGTGCTGTGTCCACTCAGGGTTAAATGGATTAAGGGCGGTGCAAGATGTGCTTTGTTAAACAGATGCTTGAAGGCAGCATGCTCGTTAAGAGTCATCACCACTCCCTAATCTCAAGTACCCAGGGACACAAACACTGCGGAAGGCCGCAGGGTCCTCTGCCTAGGAAAACCAGAGACCTTTGTTCACTTGTTTATCTGCTGACCTTCCCTCCACTATTGTCCTATGACCCTGCCAAATCCCCCTCTGCGAGAAACACCCAAGAATGATCAATAAAAATAAAATAAAATAAAAAAAAGGAATGAATCAAGAAAAAAAAAGAAAAGAAAAGAAAAGCAGCAAGCCAGCCAGTGTGTTTGGAATGTTCTCTTATGGAAAATTTCAAAGATATGTAAAACTAGGGCTAATAATACAATTAACCCCTACTTACCCATTACCCAACTTCAACAACTATCAACATTCTGCTGTTCTTATTTCATCTATTTACCCATTAAAAAAAAAGTGTACTTTAAAGCGAATTCCAGAGTTTGTATAATTTTGTCTGTAAATCTTTCAGTCTGTATCTCTAAATCTTTCAGTCTGTAACTCTAAAAAGAACATTAAAAAACACAACTATCATACCATCATCCTACCTGACACAACTGAGTAATTTTTCATATCATCCAATATCGATCAGAAGTTTAATTTTCCATGATTTTCTTTAAAATGTAGTTTTATAATTGATTTGTTCTAATCAAGATTTGCACATTGCATTAAAAATATATGTATCTTAAATTTCCTTTAATTTACAACCATTTCCCTCCCCCATTTAAGAGTGCATATTAATTTATTAAACAGACTGGGCAATTCATCTTGTAGAATTTCCCACCTTCTGGGTTTGGCCAATTACATCCTTGTGGTGTTATTTAAAATCCTCCTCTATTCCCTTTATTATCTGTTGACTGACAGCTTGGCCAATCAGAATCACTTGAACGAGCTGATTACACCCCCTCTTTCTGAAACGTTTTCTTCCCTTGAGTCTGTACACACTGTTGGCTTCCAAATTTATATCTCCAACCCAGACCTCTCTCCAGTACTTCTGCTTGCTACTGTGTTTTTCATAACTTTCTGATTTTTTTAGTATCCAATGCTAGAAAATATATCCATTTTGAGAAAGAGACAAAGTATGAGCTCATATTGATAATTTCATTTCAAAGTAAAGGGAACAAAGTTTTTATTTAACATGTTAATTTTATGCTTGTTTCTCTTTTACACTGAAAATCTTAGTTCTCAATGACATTAATATAATTATGTATTTACTTCCCATATATATGTTGTATATAATTGTTTTATATATACATATGTGCATATATATTATTGCTAATGAAACGTCTACTGAATGATGTAAGTTTTCTCTGTGATTCTTTTGGTCCTTGGGACACAGGACTTATCCCACTAGTGATGTGTAGTCAAAATACTATGTACCAGTGTTTGATACCTTAATTAAAGGATCTCTCTGGCTGCTGCATTGAGAACAGATGGTAGCAGGACAAGGACATCAGCCTGGAAGCCATCTGGAAGCTCTTTAGTGATTCAGATAAGATTTGATTTTGGCTTGGATGGTGATGGATGATGTTGAGAAGTGGGTGGATTCTGGATATGTTTTGAAAGTAGGTTCCATGTGATTTGCCATGGGCTAATATATGGAATGTGAGAGAAAAAGAAGAAACAACAATGCTTCCAAGATTTTGGGGCAGAGGTACTGAAAAAATGAATTTCCATTTATCAGAAAGAGAAAGACTGTGGTAAAGCAAGTTGGGAAGGAAACAGCAGCTCAGTTTTCCACATTCAGTAACCCTCCCTTATCTAGGGTTTCACTTTCTGCAGTTTCACTTATCCATGGCCAGCCACAGTCTGAAAATATTAAATGGAATATTCCAGAATTAAACAACTCGTAAGTTTTAAATTGAGCACTCTTCTGAGTAGCGTGATGAAATCTCATGATGTCCTGCTGTCTTCTGCCCTGGATGTGAATCATCCCTTTGTCCAGCATATCCATGCTGCATGTTGTACCTGCCTGTTACTTGCCTAAGCAAGTGGATGGCTACTTGCTTAGTGTCCATCTCAGTTATCAGATTGAAAAAGCAGTACATATACATAGGGTTTAGTACTATCTGCAGTTTCAGGCATCACTGAGGGGGTTGGAACATAACCCTGGCAGATAAGGGAGACTACTGTTTTAGTGGAGATGTTGACCAGAAGACTGGTTCATATGAATATGGGGGTCCTGGAGAGAGGTCTGGGCTGGAGATATAAATTTGGAAATCAACAGCGTATACAGACACAAGGAAAGAAAACATTTCAGAAAGAGGGGGTATAATCAGCTTGTTCAAGTGATTCTGATTGGCCAAGTAAGATGAAGATTGGAAATTGACCAATGGATCGGTGACTTGGCAAGGTCAGTTTGGGAGGAGTGGTAGTGATGAAAGCTTATGTGGAACAAATTCAAGAAAAAAACAGAAGAGAGAGGAATTAGAGATTGTTGTGCACAGACAACTCTTGCAAGAGGTTTTGCTGGCCAGGAGAACAGAAATACAAGTGAAGTAGTGGCTGGATGTTTTCCAAAACATGAAACTTAGTTTTCATAGGAAAAAAATGGTTTTTCTTTTTCTACTTATTCAATTTTGTGCACAATTTCATTACATTATATAAGTAAAAACCACAAGCACGAACATGTTTATAAATAGGTAAATAAATAACAAAGTAGATAGAAACAAAAATTCTCAGGTGTGCAAAAGAGTAGTTTATTAGCTGTGTAGAAGACAGAAAACTTGCTTTTATAGAGGGAATGAATAGTGTTGATTAGTATAGTGAGTCAGTTAAATAGGTATCAGTTGAATTTTTTGAGACAATAAGTACATTTAGAATTGGCTAGGCATTATTCTTCCATTAAAGGAAACTCTTAGTAATAGATTAGGTCAGAAAACCACAAAGACAGTTTTCTTGAATAAGGGGGTGGTGGGAAAAAATGGATGTAAGATGCTGAGAAAAAACAGGAAACTCAACAATAGATGAAATCAAGAATTAGTTTCGTGTGTGTGTGTGTGTGTATTTCACAGAAAAGGGCTGAAAGGGGAGGAATGGTTATATTCACAGATTTTTGTAGTTGATCTTAATAGGGAATAGGAGATTACCTTTTTTTCAGCAAAATATTACCAGCAAATGTCTACTCTGGAAATAGAGGATAAGAATCTTCTATTTAAAGACCAAAAAGGTGAAAACTGAGGTCAGAAATTTAAAGAGTAAATGTAGCAAGATGCTAACATTCTTGTTCCCTCTAATAACTCTTCTTTTTTAAAAATTATAAAAGTAAAACATGCCCATTGAAGAATATTTGGATGAATACAAAAATATAGAAAAGAATGTAAAATCGCTTAAGCCCCCAAGTAGAATTCTAAATAGCGGAGAAACCCACGATTTAAAAAAATAAATAAGGAGATCCACAAAAGGAAGATATATACCTGCTTAAGTGGACGGCCTCAGCATAAGTAGTCTTACAGTTACAATTAATTTTTTTTCTATTATACGATGTTTTAAAAAATTGCTAAGCTCAGTTGTCTACTCCCTGCTAGAATGTATCAAACATGCTGCATCCACATAGTAGACAGTTATTCTACATTTTTGGTCTTTGGATGTTTTGAAGCAATTAGCAAAGTTTGATTTGAAGAGACATTATAAATTTCCGACGGCATATTTTTCTCTGGCCATGATCCATATTTGCCTTGATATTGTCCAAATGTTCATTTTATCTTATGACTATCAAGCAAATATTATAAAGTTATTTGTGAATTTGGCACTTCATAGATGAAATATTGTGAAATTCTGAATAAAACTGCTTCATTGATTATCTTGGTTCCTAAAAGAGATAGTTTATGAGTTAAATTATCTCTAACGTTGTCTAAGTTGGCAGTAATTAAATCTCCATGGGAATTCTTAATAAAGGCAAAGAAGGACTGAAAACACCTTGCTGAAACTGAGAGAGATTTAAAACCACAAAAAAAATGTAAGATTTAGTTAGTTGTTCACGTTTTGGGGTCCTGCTTTTATGTGTTAATACTTCCAGATAAAATTTTTTCAAAGGTAGTTTTGAACCCCAGGATCTGAATATATTAATTTGTTTATCTCTGAAAACTGTATACTTTGTGTTTCCCAGGTCTGGCTTTCTTCATTTTTCCTACTTGAGGGAACTCCTTTTCTTCCTTCAATATCCTCATATCCTCCTTCAATGTTTCTCAGTCAATATCTCCTCTCAATTTTTCCATTTAAAAATTAAAAATTAAATTATTAACATTTTAAATACACTGAAATGTTCATGGAATAGTAGTACAAATACCCATTTACCCACCACATGGAGTTAATAGACAATAAAAATTTGCCATATTTGTTTTACATCTTTTTTCTAGTTTTTAAAGAAATAACATGTTACAAATAAAATCGAAATACTCTTTCCGCCGATTTTCTTTTCTCCTGTCTCAGAGGCAAATACTGCTACTTGCTTCTCTTGTATCTTTTTAGAAATATTCTCTGCATATATAAGCATATATCCATATATTTTTCCACACATAGTATCTCTTCCGTGTCTTAGTTTTTTTCATTCTACAATGTATCTTGATGATCAGTGTAGCTTTGTTTCATTCTAATAATTATATAGATTCCACTTTACAAATTTACTATACTTTGGACTTGTATCTATGAACGTTTCGATTGTTTTAAACCTTTGGCAACATTACAGACAATGCTGCAATGAAATCCTTCTGTATGTATACATACGTGGATGTGTGTATAAGATATAATTCTGGAAGTAGAATTGCTAAGTTAAAGCATATGCTACTTAATTTTGAAAAAATTGTCGAACTTCTCTTCACAAGGCAATTATCTTCTTGAGGTAATGAGAACTCCTATTTCCCCATACCCATACTACCCAGAGTATCTTCAAATTTTCTGATTTTTGCTGGTCTGATAAGGGAACGTTACCTCAGTTTAATCTTTATTTGCATTTACTATGTGTTTTTGCCCTGTAGAGTGAATTTTACTTTTCTACCTAACAATATATTTTTGTGATTTTAATGACATTACTTTTGAGATTTACCCATGCTAATATATAAACTCTGGTTCTGCAATTTTAAGTGCTATATAGTATCCTATTGAATGACCATACTACTCATTTATTTATTATTATCTACTTGTTAATTAGTCTGTTATCTTTTTTGTCAGTTTTTGTGGGCATAAACAATGCTAAAGCATACATGTCTACTTGCGCATATGATTTTTTCCCAGTGTGTTTAATAGAATGACTAAGGTAGAATGACTAAAGTTCTGAGGTGTGGCAGGTATGCCATCTTCACCTTTACTGGGTATGCTAGTGTGCTGCAGCTGCCGTGATAAAGTACTACAAGCCGGGTGGCTTCAACAATAGCATTGTACTGTCTCACAGTTCTGGAGGCTGGAAGTCTAAAATCAAGGTGTCAGAAGGGTCGGTGCCTTCTGAAGGTGTGAGAGAGAATCTGCTTCGTGCCCTCTTCCAAGCTTCTAGTAACCTCAGGTGTTCCTTGTCTTGTTGATGGTGTTGTCCCAGTGTCTTCATATTGTCTTCTCTCTGTTTGTGTTTGTGTTTGTCTCTATGCCCAAATTTCCCCTTTTCATAAGGACCCAGTCGTATGGGATTAGGGCTTACCCTAATGATCTCATCTTAACTTGATCATCTGTAAAACCTTATTTCCAAATAAGGTCATTTTCTGAGGTACTGGGTGTTAGGATTTCAACATCGTTTGGGGGGGTAAAATTCAATCAATAACAACAGGTATACCAGTTAAGATGTTTTTGGCTGCAACTAACAGAACATTCAACTGAAAAGGTTTAAAATATATTGTAAATTTTAAACAAATGTTTTATAGAGATGAGTTCTGACTGTGTTGCCCAGGCTGGTCTCAAAATCCTGGCCTCAAGCAATCCTTCCACCTTGGCCTCCCAAAGTGCTGGGATTACAGGCATGAGCCACAGAGCCTGGCCACTTTAAAATGTTGTTGACACACATAACAAGACATCCAGAAGTGGGGTGGTCATAGGATCGGTTCAGCAGCACAGTGATGGCCGAGGCTCTTTCCTTCCACTCTTCCATCTCCCTTGAGTGGCTTTCAGCTTCTTGTCACAAGATTGCTGCATTATGTCCTCATATACCTGGAACAGAGGGCAGGGAGAGGGGCAAGAGCACACCCCCATTTCAAGTCTCTTTTCATCCCAAAGTAACATATTTCCCAGCAGCCCTCTTTCAACCCTCTCTAGGCTTCTCCTTAAATTTCACTGGCCAGAATTGGGCCACACGGTTACCCAAAGGTATAAAAGAGGCTTGAGAAGTGAGAATTTGATATTTTGAATCATAATAGGAGACATGCTTTGCCAATAGGAAAGAAGGGTAAAAGAAATCTTCTGGAGAGTACGGAACCAACGGCGTCTGCCACGTTGCATATGGCCAAATGGTCACCAAATTTGTTGTATCACTTTATTTTCACAAAATTGGTGTAAAGTCCTCATTGCTATTCATCCTCGTCATCATTCGGAATTCTCAAATTTAAAAAATGCCCATTTCCTTGTTGTTTTATTTTTTTAATTCCCTGATCATTAACATAAGTAATTATCTTTTTATGTGTTTATTTGTCATTCAGGTTTCTTCTGTGAAAAGCCTATTTCTGTCTTTTGCTTGTTCTTATGTTGAATTGTCTCTACACATTCAGGATTCTAATCTTCTGTCAGTTATGTGGATTGCAAATAAAGTCTCCCAGTCTATGGCTTAACTCTTGACACTATATTTATCACGTCCCTTATTTACTAAAGATTTAAATATGATCAAATTTATGTTTTCTTTTAGGGTTGTGCCTTTTGTATCTTATTTAAGAACTGATTTCTTTAATGTGAGATCACAAAAGGGTTATAAATATTCTAAAAATGTTAAACTTTTGCTTTTCATAGTTAGATCTTTGATCCACTTGGAATTTATCTTTGTGTGTGGTGAAATTAGGAAGCCCATTTCATTTTTCCCCAGATGGATAGTCAGTTGTGTAAGTGCTGTTTATCAAATAATCCATCCTTTATCGAGGGTTTTCTGATGCCACTTCTGTTGCATCTTGTGTTTCTTTATGTATGTCAGTTTATTTCTGGACTCTCCAATCTGTTTTATGGTCTGTTTGTCGCTATACCACTGCCACGTTGTTTAAATTACTAATGCTTTGATATCCAATAGAACATGTCTGCTTTCTGTTACGGGAGATAAATTTACATTTTTAAGAAGTTTATATAAATGGAATACATATCATTTACTCTTTTGTGTCTGAGTTGTATGTCTTTGTCATGATGTTTTTGTGATTCATCCATGTTGTATGTATTAATAGCTTGTTCCTTTTTATTATTGGGTCTATTGTGTGTATATATCACAATTTGTTTATTTATCTATTGATAGACATTTGGCTTGTAGTCACTTTTTGGATACAATGAATAGAGGTTCTATGAACATTAGTGTACAAGTTATTGTATGGACATACTGACAGAGCAGGAGCACAGTCCTCTTGGACAAACACTGCCACTTTAAGTTCCAGCTCCATTTTTAGCCTCATGCATCTCAGGGAAATCACTTCTCTTCTAACTACAAGTAGCCAGAAAGAGCAAACAGTAAACCACAGATAAAACAGCTCAGGCACAGAGGGAGGAGGGAGAAAAGTCTCTTGGGTAACTGCCACACTTCACCCTCATACAGTGGGCCCCAGTAAAACAGTGGGCGTTAATAAACACATTATTTTCCCTTCAGGTGCACTAAAATAGGGAAGCTAAAAGCAGACTCGGGGGGTATGCCTGCAGCTGCAGAAAAATGTATAAAAACAGACACACAACTCTCCCTCCAAAATAAGCACAACAAAAAACACAAAAGCAGTCCAAGCCTCTAATAAACTCTCCTATCCTAAATCCTTAAAAACTCTTAGTCTGTAAGAGAGTGTGCTGTTGACCTAGCTCAGCCAAAAGCTCCTCACAGGTTCGTTTTCTCTAAAATAAACCTGTCTTAACTGGCAAGCCACCTTTCGTGTTTTTTTTCCTCTTTCTTTAATTCTTACACATACTGTTTTATTTCTCTTGAGTGAACACCCAGAAATAGAATAGCAGAGCCATATGGTACATAAGTTGATTAGCTTTTTGAGAAACCACCAAACTGTTTTATAAGGCAATTGTATAGTTTTACATGTGTAGCATCAGTGTGTGAATATTCTAGTTGTTCTACGTCCTTGTTAACATTTGGTATTGTCAGACTTTTAAATTTTAGCCATCTAAAAATTTATAGTGTTATTTTATGGTGGTTATAGTTTGCATTTCCCCCATGACTAATGATGCTGAGGATCATCTCATAGGCTTTTTGAAGTATGTGTTCAAATCTTTTGCCCATCTTTAAAAATTAGGGTTTTTGTTTTGTACAAATACTTGGAAATTAAGCAACATACTCCAGAATGACCAATGGGTCAATGAAGAAATTAAGAAAAATAAAAAAACTTACTGAAAATGATGAAAACATGTCTAACAAATAAAAATTGATACACAACATACCAAAATCTATGGAATACAGTAAAAGCAGTACTAGGAGGAAAGTTCATAGTAATGATTGCCTACGTCAAAAAAGTAGAAAGATTTAAAACAACTTAACAGTGAACCTCAGGAAACTATAAAAGCAAAACAACAACAACAAAACCCCCAAACTCCAAATTAGTAGAAGGAAGTAAATAATAAAGATCAGAACAGAAATAAATGAAATAGGTTGGAAAAGTAATACAAAAGATCAACAAAATGAAAAGTTGTTTTTTAAAAAAAATTGACTAAGCATTACCTAGACTAACTAAGAAAAAAGAGGGAAGAACCAAATAAATGAAAAAGGAGATGTTACAATTGATACCACAAAAATATAAAGGATCGTAAGAGACTATTATGAACACCAATAAATTGGAAAGCCCAGAGGAGATGGATAAATTTCTGGGCACCTACAACCTACCAAGATTGAACCAGGATGAGATACAAAATCCGAATAGACCAATAACAATTATTGAGGAACCTCAATAATAATTTTTATTAAACAACAATAAAAAGTTTCCCAATTAAAAAAAAAAGCTCAGGACTGGATGGCTTTACTGCTGGATTCTACCAAACTTTGAAAAATAACTACCAATTCTTCTCAAACTATTCCAAAAAATTGAAGGGAAGAGAATTCTTCCAAACTCATTCTATAAGGCCAGAATTAACCTGATACAAAACCAGACAAGGATACAACAACAAAAAAAGAATTTTGCAGGCCAGTATCCCTGATGAACATAAATGGAAAGTTCCTCAACAAAATACTAGCAAACTGAATCCAACAGCACATTAATAAGTTTATTTACTAAAACCAGGTGGGATTCATTCCAGGGATGCAAGAGTGGTTCAACATATGCAAATCAACAAACATAATACATCCCATCAACGGAATGAAGGACAAAAATCATATGATCACCACAATAGATGCAGAAAAACAGTTGATAAAATTCAACATCCCTCCATGATAAAAACTCTCAAACAATTAGGTTTAGAAGAAGGAACACACTTCATCTTAATAAAGGCCATATATGACAAATCCACAGCTAATATTGTACCAAACAGGGAAATGTTGGAAGTTTTTTCTCTAAAAACTGGAACAAGATAAGGATGCTTACCCTCACTACTCTGATTCCACATAGTACTGGAAGTTCTAGCCAGAGCAATTAGGCAACAGAAAGAAATAAAAGACATCCAAATTTGGAAGGAATAAGTCAAATTGACCATGTTTGCAGATGACATCCTCTTACCTACAGAAAAATCTAAAGACTCCACCAAAAAACTCTTAGAATTGATATACAAATTCAGTAAAGTTGTGAGATACAAAATCAACATACAAAAATCAGTAGCATTTCTATACACCAATAATAAACTATCTGTAAAAGGAACCCCACTTACAATAGCTACCCCCCAAAAAAAACCTCCACCTAGGAGTAAATTTAACCAAAGAGGTGAAAGATCTCTAGAATAAAGACTACAGAACACTAATAAAAGAAATTGAAGAGGACATAAAAAATTGGATAGATATCCCATGTTCATGGATTGGAAAAATTAATATTGTTAAGATTCCATACTACCCAAAGGAATCTACAGATTCAGTGCAATCTCTATCGAATTTTCAATGGCATTTTTCACAGAAATGGAAAAAAAGATTCTTAAATTTGTTAGGAACCATAAAAGACCCCAAATAGCCAAAGCAATTGTTTGTTTTATTTTATTTTATTTTATTTTATTTTATTTTATTTTATTTTATTTTATTTTATTTTATTTCACTTCATTTCATTTTATTTTTGAGACAGTCTCCCTCTGTCACACAGGTTGGAGTGCAGTTGCATGATCTCAGCTCACTGCAATCTCTCCCTCCTGGGTTCAAGCAATTCTCCTGCTTCAGCCACCTCAGTAGCTAGAATTACAGACATGCACTACCATGCCCTATTTTTAGTAGAGATAGGGTTTCACCATGTTGGCCAGGCTGGTCTCAAACTCCTGACCTCAAGTGATCCACCTGCCTCAGCCTCCCAAAGTGCTGGTATTACAGGCATGAGCCTCTGCTCCTAGCCAAGCCAAAGCAATTCTGAGCAAAAAGAACTGGAGGGATCACACTACTTTACTTTAAAATATAATACTATAGTAAAACAGCATTGTATTGGCATTAAAGCAACACATAAATCAATGGAACAGAATAGAGAACCCAGAAATAAATTCACATATTTATGGCCTATTGATTTTCTGCAACAGCACTAAGAACATAAACTGAAGAAAGGACACCTTTTTCAATAAATATTGCTGGGGAAACTGGATATTCATATGCAGAAGAATGAAACTAGAGCCCCATCTATCATAATATAAAAAAGTAACTCAAAACGAATCAAAGACTTAAGTGTAAGACCCCAAATTATGAAACTACTAAGAGAAAACATAAGGAAAATGTTCTGAGCAAAGATTTTATGGATAAGACCTCCAAAACACAGTCAACAAAGGCAAAAATAGACTAATGGGATTACATCAAACTAAACATTTCTGTGCAGCAAAGTAAACAATCAACAGAGTCATGTGACAAACTACAGAATGGGATAAAATATTTGCAAACGGTTTCTCTGACAAGGAATTAATATCTAGAATATACAAGGAACTTAACAGCAAAAAGCCAAATAATCTGATTTTTAAAATCGGCAATTGATCTGAACAGACGTTTCTCAAAAGAAGACATAAAATGGCCACTAAGTATTTGAAACAGTGCTCTATGTGACTAATGATTAGGGAAATGCAAATCAAAATCACAGTGAGATATTATCTCACGCCAGCTAGAATGGCTATCATCAAAAAGAAGAAAAAATAACAAAGCTAGCAAGAATGCAGATAAAAGGAAACTTAAAACATTTCAGCTTTTACTTTAGATTCAGGGGTTACATGTGCAGGTGTATTGCATGATGTTGAGGTTTCAGAATATGATTGAACCCATCTCCCAGGTGGTGAGCATAGTACCCAATATGTGGTTTTGCAACCCTTCCTTCCTCCTTCCCTCCCTCCTCTTATACTCCCCAGTGCCTAGCATTCCTATTTTTATGTCCATGCGTACCCAATGTTTAGCTCCCACTTATAAGTGAGAAATGTAGTATTTGGTTTTCTGTTTCTGCGTTAACTTGTTTAGGATAATGGCCTCCAGCTGCATTCATGTTGCTGCAAAATACATGATTTCATTCTTCTTTTTGTGGCTGCATGGTATTCCATGGTGTATACATACCACCACATTTTCTTTATCCAATCTGCCATTATTGGGCATCTAGGTTGATTCCATGTCTTTGCTACTGTGAATAGTGCTGTAATGAACATATAAGTGCATGTCTTTTTTTTGGTAGAACAATTTATTTTCCTGTGGGCCATATACCCAGTAGTGGGATTTCTGGGTTGAATGGTAATTCAGTTTTTATTAATAGTTCTTTAAGAAATCTCCAAAGTGATATTCACAGCGGTTGAACTAATTTACATTCCCACCAACAGTGTATAAGCGACAAAGAAAATTCTCACACATTGTTGGTAGGAATGTAAATTAGTACAGCTATTATGGAAAGCAGTGTGGAAGTTCCTTAACAGGCTAAAAATAGAACTACCATATGATCCAGTAATCTCGCTACTGGACCTATATCCAAAGAAAATAAAATCATATGTCGAAGAGATACCTGCACTCCCATCTTTACTGTAGTTTCATTTATAATAATGAAGATATGGAATCCACCGAAGTGTCTATCAACAGATGAAGAGATAAAGAAAATGTGGGATATATAGACAATGGAATGCAGCCATAAAAGAGAATGAAATCCTATCATTGGTGGCAACATGGATGAGCCTGGAGGACATTATGTTAAGTGATATAAGCCAGGCACAGAAAGACAAGTTTCATATATTCTCACTTACATGTGGGAGCTAAAAAAGTTGATCTCAGAGAAGTAGAGAGTAGAATAGTGGTTACTAGAAGCTGAGAAGGGTAGGGAGACAGAGATTGATCAATGAATACAAAATTATATATATGGATAGAGGAAATAAGTTTTAGTTTTAGTGTTCTATAGCATTGTAGGGTGACTATAGTGAACAATAACTTATTGTATATTTTCAAGTACTGAGAGGAGAAAATTTTGTACATTACCAGCACAAAGAAATGATAAACCTTTGAGATAATGGATATGCCAATTACACAGATTCGATCATTATGCATTGTATGCACGTATTGAAATGTCACTTCACCCCATAAATATGTGCAATTACATGTCATTTAAAAGTGATAAGAAAAATTAGTTTTTTTGATCTTATTATTGACTCGTAGGAAGCTTATATATTCTGAAAAGAAGTCCATTTTCAGATGTGTACTAAAAATATTTTCTTTCATTTTATGACTTACCTTTCCATTTTCTTTAATGGAAACTTTTAAAAACTTTTAAAAAACAAAGTTTTAAAAAAATCTAGTTAAGGTCCAGTTTGTTAACTTTTTTCTAATATGGCTTGTGACGCTTATTCCTTCTGCCTAGAATGTTCCTGGGATGTTTGTGGAGCTAAGTCCTCGCTTCCTTCAATTCTTTACTCAAATATGTCCACCCTATTTAATGTCAACTGTCCACCGTATTTAATGCCACCCTATTTAATATCACTAACACCTCCTCCCCCCTCACTCTTGACATTCATTCTAGTCTATTTTACATTTTTTTCTCATAGAACTCATAAATTTCTAGCATGCTTTATAACTTACATATTCATTATGTTTATTGTTTATTGTCCGTCTTTGTTCCAGTAAAATGTAAACTCCTAGAAGAACAGAGACCTGTGTTTTGTTCACTGATGTACCCTAAGTGCTCACAAGTGTTTCTAGCACCTAGTATTTGCTCAATAAATATTTGCTAGGTTGATGAATTAATGATTTCTAAGCTTTCCTTCAGCCTGAAGAGTTTTCTGATTGTAAGATTCTACTTAGATAATCCTAATTGTCTCAGTGACTCTCACCAGTCACTCACTTCTCCCACAAGGTGGCAGTCTTTACCTTCAACACAGGTTCTGGTAGCCTCAAATTTGAGAATTAATAGCTGAGTTAACCTGCTTGTTTTCTTTGAGCCCAGACAGCCTGCCCTATGGGAACTGACAGCTGTAAAATTTAAAGGACGAGTGTAATTACCCTGCAAGATCTGAGTGCTTTTAGGCAAGAGGATTTAGGGGGTGAGAGTTTTCCTGGAGAGGGACACATTATGAAGGTGATATTGCTTAATTGATGGGGACTTTGAAACATAGTTGCTCTTTGTGAGAATGGTATAGGTTTAGAGAGAGGTGCTAGCACAGAGCTGTGACACCTGAAGTAGGCTGACCGCAGACAAATTGGATTTAACCACCAAATATATCTGTGTTTTCATGTCTTCCTGCCCCGTGCCCTCTTATCTGACTCACTTTACCCCAGCACTGGGGAATAACTGTGCCCTATTCTGGTCCTGACCCTTTTGTACCATCTAGGGAAATGAGAACTCCTCTTGGGGTCTCAGATCCTCATTTCTGTTAGAACCAATCCTATTCTGTGGGTAGGGCCATGGTTGTAAATTTCCTGTGGGAGGCAGCATTGCTTTGCAAAAAGAACACAGTTTGGCATGTGAGGCAGCTCTGCCACTTGGACAAGGTGATAACGCTTTAGTCTCTTTATTTCTAAAACAGGGAAGATGCTAATACCCCGCCCATGGACTAGTATGAGATTTAAATGGCAGGTACTTGGCACAGTGGCAGGTGGTGAATGCTCTTTGGTGATCATGACTATCCCTTTCTCCTGGTAGTGCTGCCTCCTCCCTCTGAGCACCTGGAGTCAATCCACCTTGGGTAGGTCAGAGAAGGCAGAAGAAAGTGGTGGGAGGTGAACTCGACGGAATGATGTACAGGGCGATAGGGTGAGTGAGAGGTCTGGGATCTATTGGCAGGAGCAGAATGGTAGGAAAGGGAAAACATGCCATTGACCTTGAATCTTGACATTTGTGCCCATCCTATGCTGTGTTGAGCCTCAGGTCACCGTTTGCGGAGGTGAGCAGAAAACTGCTAACAGATCGAGGCTTCTCCAGCCTTCTAGGTAAACTTTCATCAGTGGGTTAGTTGTCTTGTTCAGAAGCTGATCACGGAGCTTTGGCCAAGCATAAACACTGATTATGGCAGTCCAATTGTCATAATCCCTTTGATTCTTTAATATCACCTTCAAGATTGTTTGTTATTGTCAATGCCCCCACAACCTAAGACCACCAGGAACACACTGTAATTGAAAAAGGTGGGTTTGTTGCTCTCTGCAAGAAGGGAGGACACTCAGCGTAGAGACTCATGAGGGTGGGGCAGGTTTTATCCGATGACGTTAGAAAGGACTTACTGAGGATTTGGGCTTGTTTTAGGAGATTTGGGGGAAAGGTTCAAGGAGACTGGCTTTTCCTGGATGCTGCCAGGAAGTAGTGGGATGGTAGTAAGTCTGTGGTAGGATGTTTAAATAAATTTCCTCTACTGGGCTGGAAGAATGAGAAGGCTGAAGCTGTAATAAGTAAAGAAGTGGCAGTCACTCCTATCAGCTATGATAAAAGGATGTTTGGCTATTACTTTATGGTTTGGATGCTATTTTTGCTTGTGTTCACATCATGGTCTATCATGGTGATAGGCCACGTACACAGTGGCCTTGTCTGATGCTGGTGTCCCATGGAGTTGATTATGCTCAGCTGAAGGACACTAAGGCCCAACTGTGGGGGCCAGGCCAGCTCCTGAGTGTCAGGGGGGGCTGCACTGCTTTGTCATTATCAACATCTCCACATACAATACAGCCTGTGCATGTGAGGTCCCAGAAGGAAGGAGCTAAAGCAGCTAGACTGGGATCACTTTACTCAATTTGAGGAGAGGAGTGCTCTTGAGGGAACCAGAGGAAGGCAGATGAGCTGGTCTGATCTCCTTTTCTATTGGAGCTCTATGCAGATAGACTGAAAATATTTGCTAAAACAAAGAGCTCCATCTCTAGAATACCCTTAGCAGGATGTCCTTGATTAAAGGATTATTTCTGAAAACTAAATCCAGAATCCGTGAGGCATGATTCCCTGGAAGATCATGTAAGCTGTACAATTCTCTATGGAATAAATTGGAGACTTCATCCCTTAGATCCCTTTGACTGTGTGAGGAACCCCACGAAACCTCACTTAGTGACTTTATTCATTCTTCTGGGCCTGAAAGCATATGTCTCATGCAGGAAGGAAGGCAGGACCAGTGGGGCTTTGCAGGTTGTGCCATTCTCTCCTTGCTTTGCTTGAGACTCTTTATTACCTGTCTCCCTGACATTATTTGTAGTGTGATTCTGGGTGTGTTCTGTGATTCTTGTGACTAGGTATCCAATTTTGCTTAAGGATGCAAGGAAGTGTTTGGGGAGAAAGCTCTATTGGAAGAGGTCTGTAGTCCTAGCCTCCCTCCCCACCCCACATTTCACATCATTAGACCTCAGCACATGGGTCTGGGGCACCAACACTGTCTTACCTGTTACACAGTGTGGTCTTTATCTGGATGAGGGATGCGAAAGGATACATTGTGACCAAGAGACCTGGGAGAGGCACAAAAATAACAGGTGACCACCAAGGGTGCTTGGACCTGAGATGTTTCCATTTCCTAAGACCCTCCAAGATTCTCCAACATTTGGTATAGTTGCCCAGGCAATTTAACAAGAAAATCAAATTTTTGTTATGACCCCCATTGTAATTTATGCTTATCGCAGAAAAATTGAGACTATAAGAAGGAGAATAGAAGGTCACAAAACCACTCTATACTAGTCCAGGGATAGCTATTCTTACAACATGGATTGATCAGTGTGGGGTGATTTCTCCTAGTGTTTTTTGGACAGAGAAGCATTGAAGATGCCCTGGTTTTAAGGTCTTAGGATGAAGGAATTATAGTTGAACAGTTCAAAATGATGTTATGAATTACTTTCAGATTTGTTTGCTTGATTGCATTAGCCTTGCCTGGCCCTACGGTAACTATTTGGTTCCATCATGGTGGCTGAGTAGGTGGCTCTGGAAAAAGAGCTATTCAAGAAAAGCTTTTCTTTCTCTAAAAATATTGTAGGGGGCTCGCCCTCTGTTCTTGGAAGCAACGTTTGGGATGGCCTCTTGGGAGGCTGTCTGGTGAAGTGTCTAGGGGTATGTGGTCTGGACTTGGACAGGACAAGATGCAAATTCTGGCTGGGATATTCTAGTTGTGGAGTGTTGGGCAAGTTACTTGGTCTTCTGAGTTTATAGGTAAACTGGAGATAATAGGTATGTGTGAATGAGGATCCAATGAGATGCCTGTAAAACACTTAGCCAGATGGCTGCGTGAAGAAAGCACTTGGTAAATGCTAATTGTTGTGGTTGTTATAATTAGTACAATGATTAGTCATTGCTGATTGTTGGCTAACTGGCGGTAAGAAATGAAAGTAAAGTAAGGCAGTAGCAGCTGAGGGAGGTGGTGGAGGGAATCAGGAGACACTTGGAGGTTCTGGTTCTGCCTGAGTTTAAGTGCTGGGGAAAACTAGTTGAATAACTGCTGGTCTAACATTTAACAGCTGTGTGACCTCGGGCTAGTCACATTTCCTTTATAAACTTCCTTTTTCTCATTTGCGAAATGAAGGGGTTTCGTTAGGTTACTTCTCATCACCCCTGGTTGACCATTAGAATCGTTTGGGAGACCTTTTTAGAAATTCTTGGTTCTGGGGTCTTCCATTTTCCCCATTCTCACTTGGTGGGTCTGAAAGCAGGCACTGCAGCTTTTCCAAAGCTCTTCAGGTGACCTTGAAGTGTGGCCAGGGCTGAGAACCTCTGACTTCCAACAGCACTTCTGGTTTAGGAAGGAGCAAATCACCGGCACAGAATGAGCTCTCAGGAACGGCTGCTGAGCTAGTAATTGCCGTGACACTGTCTCCCTGTCCCAACTGCAGGCACCCCTAGACGTCTCCTGATGAAGACTTCCAATTTTGGAACAGAAGAATCTTTGAAAAAAATATTATTGAACTTCCAGAAATGATTCATTCCTTCTCTGCTCCTTCTTTAGTTGGAAAGATCTGCCCCCATCCCTGTCTACTGCAGTCCCAATCCCTTTTTATTTCAACATATATATCCAAACCAACAAAAAAATTGACTCGCACAACCAAGGTGAGGTGTTTGGCTTTAAGGATAAAATAAATAGTTTCATAAAACCTGCCCCCAGATTTCTCATTGCCTCTACTCATTTTCTCTAATTTGTAGGGCACACTGAAAGCTCGGATTCATAAGATGTAGAAAGGGCAGAGAGTTAAGTTACAAACTCTTCCTAGGTCTGTTTCAACTCTAACGTTCTATAGCTCTGCTCCGTCTAAACAAGGAATTCTGTTAAATTTGTAACCTGGACTTTCTTGAATACTGAGGTAATGTTTCTTGAAGTAGGATATATATACCCAAGAAGAATAAAAATAATTCTGGAGGTGTCTTAATTCTCTGTGGGACTCAATAAAAGTTTTGGTGATTATATATAAACACACTTATGAAAGCATCTGGTACATGTAGGTGCTCAGTGCACATGAATTTCTCTTTCCTGCCAGATCTTTTGTAGTGGAAAATTATCTTATTCTTCCATCTTTGTCTGCAAAGATGCTGCTAAGGAAAGATGTAGAAGAGTTTTACAAGGGAGTTGGAGTATGGGAACAGGAAGTTCCCAAGAAGGCCACTGCATTAATAGAATTGAAACAAGATCCCCTAAAGGAAAATCGCTGCCAAATCTCTTTTCTCTAAACTATCCAAAATGGTGCCCCATAAATTTTCATTGACATTGAAGTACATAATGTAATAAGCTTTTTTTTCCTTAAATATATAATGTACGGAGAAAACCAGGTTGATAATGGTTTCCTGGCATAGCTTTCAAAGGCAAGTGTGGATGAAGTGGAAATATGGTGCACAGATATTGGAAAGAAACCGCTGTTGAACTCTTCACATTTTCATGTATAACCCAATGATTCTCAAACCTAAACTTGCATCAGAATTGCCTGGAGGGCTTATTAAAACATGATTGTTGGATGCCACCCTTGCATTAATTAATTACACCTGCAACTGTTCTATTTTTAAATGGTCACATTTTAAGGTACTGGGCTGAGGACTTCATTATGTGAGTTTCAAATGGGACATAATTCAACCCCTAGCCCAATCCTAGTGAGTGGTGAGTGGTATCTCTTCGTTTTGATTTCTACTTCCCTAGTGACTAATGATGTTGAGCATTTTTATGTGTGTTTATTAGCCATTTTTATATCTCTTATGAAAAAATGTGTATAAAATTATTGGCCCATTTGTTAATTGGGTTATCCATTTATTATTGAATTATAAGAGCTCTTTACTACTCTGGATGCAAGTCCTGAAACAGAAATAATATTTACAAATATTTTAATCCATTCTGTGAATTTTATTTTCACTTTCTTGATGGCGTCCTTTGAAGAACGTAGGATTTTAATTTTGATAAAGTGTAATTTATGTATTTTTTCTTTTGTTGCTGTGCTTTTGGTATCATATTTAAGAAATAATTGCCTAATCCAAGGTTATGACAATTTTTTATTCTATGTTTGCCTCTAAGAATTTTCTAATTTTACCTTTTATATTTAGGTCTTTCATTCATTTTGAGTCAATTTTTGTATATGGTGTAAAGTATGGGTCCTAATTTATTCTTTTGCATGTGGATATCTTGTTGTCCCTGCACCATTTGTTGAAAAGTGTTGTTTTTTTTTTCCCATTGAATGGCCTTGGCACTCTTGTCTAAAATTAATTGATGGTAACTGTAAGACTTTATTTCTGGACTCTTTATTCCATTGATCTATATTTCTATCATTGTTACTGAGCAATGTGCTTGCTGCCTGACAGATAGGGAAGCCAATATTATGGAACTGGTTTTTGAGAAAAGCAAAAGCTTTATCGTGAGGTTGACTTGCAAGGAAACAGGATGCAAAGCTCAAATCTGTCTCCCCTTCTGGGATCTGGGACAAGTTTTATGGGTTAGGGAGGGCAAGCTGGTATGCAGAAGCACTGGTAGGGCAGGTTTCAACTGGAAGTACTTTAAACAAGACCATTTATGGTAAGGTATGGTAAGGGTCTTAACACTGGACATGCCTGGGCTCAGGTTTCTTGCTTTTAAAAATGTTTGGGCCCTCAGGTTCCAGTCATGTCTTGACCATTTTCTTCTGTGGTGGGGCAGGAGAGGAATTTTTCTTCTGGGTGTTATTCAAGGTTGAGGTCTTCTTTTCTGCATTGCTTCGGCTGCATGACTTAACAACTTTTTGACTTTGTGCCTGTTAAATAACTTGACATACTATTATCATCAGAGTAGGGCCAGTTAGAACTGGTCCTGTGATTACATCATTATGCCAGTACCAATTATCTTGATTACTGTAGCATTGTAGTAAGTTTTGAAATCAGGAAGTTTGTGTCTTTCAACTTTGGTCTTCTTTTTCAGGATTTTTGGCTCTTCTGTGTTCCTTACATTTCCATATGAATTTTAAGTTAAACTGTCACTATCTGCAAAAGAAGGAACTGGGATTTTTATAGAGATTACATTGAAGCTGTAAATCAGCTTGGAGAATACTGTCATCTTAACAATATTAAGTCTTCTGGCCGGGCACGGTGGCTCACGCCTGTAATCCCAGCACTTTGGGAGGCCGAGGCGGGTGGATCACGAGCTCAGAAGTTCGAGACCAGCCTGGCCAACCTGGTAAAACCCCGTCTCTACTAAAAATAATAATAATAAAAAACTGGGCATGGTGGCATGTGCCTGTAATCCCAGCTACTCAGGAGGCTGAGGCAGGAGAATCATTTGAACCCTGGAGGCAGAGGTTGCAGTGAGCCGAGATCGCACCATTGCACTCTAGCCTGGGCAACAGGGCGAGATTCTGTCTCAAAAAAACAAAAACAAAAACAATATTAAGTCTCCTGATCCATGAATGTAGAATGTTTTTCCATTTGTTCAGGTCTTCTTTACTTTGTAACAGTGTTGTGTATTTTTCAATGTTCCAGTCCTGTAATTCTTTGTTATATTTACTCCTAAGAATATTAATTGTTTTGCTGCTATTATAAGTGGAATTGTTTAAATTTTGATTTTATATTTTTCATTGATAGTATATTTTTCATTGATAGTATACAATTGATTTTTGTACACTGATTTTGTAACCTGAAACCTTGCTGACCATGTTTACTCGTTCTAACAGTTTCCTTTTTGTGGATTTCTTATAATTTTCTATATACAGTATTTCATGTCATCCATGAAGGGGATAGGTTTACTTCTTCTTATCTAATCTGGATGAGTTTAGTTTATTTTTCTTACCTAAATTCCTTGGCTAGAACTCCAATACAATGTTGAATATAAGTAATGAAATCAGACATCTTTGGACTGTACTTGATTTTAAGGGGGAGCATCCAGTCTTTTGCCATTATGTATAATGTTAGCTGTGGGGTTTAATAGATGAATTTTATCAGGTTGAGGAAATTTTATTTCTAATCTGCTCAGTGTTTTTTTCATCACAAGAGTGTTGGATTTTGTTAATATTTTTGTGTGTCTATTGAGATGATCATATGGTTTTTGTCATTCTACAAAATACAGCACATTAAATTGATGGATTTTTACATGTTAATTTTTTTTTAAATTTTACTTTAAGTTCTGGGACACATGTGCAGAACGTGCAGGTTTGTTACATAGGTATACATGTGCCATGGTGGTTTGCTGCACCTATCAACCTATCATCTAGGTTTTAAGCCCTACATGCATTAGGTATTTGTCCTAATACTCTCCCTCCCCTTGCTCCCCACCCCCGCCGACAGGCCCCGGTGTGTGTTGTTCCCCTCCCTGTGTCCATGTGTTCTCACTGTTCAACTCTCACTTATGAGTGAGAAGACGTGGTGTCTGGTTTTCTGTTCCTGTGTTTTTTAGCTGAGAATGATGGCTTCCAGCTTCATCCATGTCCCTGCAAAGGACATAAACTCATTCTTTTTTATGACTGCATAGTATTCCATGGTGTATATGTGCCACATTTTCTTTATTCAGTCCATCATTTATGGGCATTTGGGTTGGCTCTAAGTCTTTGCTATTGTAAATAGTGCTCCAATAAACATATGTGTGGATGTGTCTTTATAGTACAATGATTTATACTCCTTTGGGTATATACCCAGTAATGGGATTGCTGGGTCAAATGATATTTCTGGATCTAGATCCTTGAGGAATCGCCACACTATCTTCCACAGTGGTTGAACTAATTCACACTCCCACCAACAGTGTAAAAGCATTCCTATTTCTCCACAGCCTCACCAGCATCTGTTGTTTCCTGACTTTTTAATGATCGTCATTCTAACTGGCGTGAGATGGTATCCATTGCGATTTTGATTTGCATTTCTCTAATGACCAGTGATGATAAGCTTTTTTTCATATGTTTGCTGGGCACATAAATGTCTTCTTTTGAGAAGCATCTGTTAATACCCTTCGCCCACTTTTTGATGGGGTTGTTTTTTTCTTGTAAATTTGTTTAAGTTGTAGACTTAGGATATTAGATCTTTGTCAGGTGGATAGATTGCAAAAAATTTCTCCCATTCTGTAGGTTGCCTGTTCACTCTGATGGTAGTTTCTTTTGGTGTGCAGTATCTCTTTAGTTTAATTAGATCCCATTTGTCAATTTTGGCTTTTGTTGCCATTGCTTTTGGTGTTTTAGTCATGAAGTCTTTGCCCATGCCTATGTCCTGAATGGTATTGCCTAGATTTTCGTCTAGGGTTTTTATGGTTTTAGGTTTTACATTTAAGTGTTTAATCCATCTTGAGTTAATTTTTGTATAAGGTGTAAAGAAGGGGTCCAGTTTTTGTTTTCTGTATATGGCTAGCCAGTTTTCCCAGCACTATTAATTAAATAGGTAATCCTTTCTCCATTGCTTGCTTTTGTCAGGTTTGTTGAAGATCAGGTGGTTGTAGACATGTGGTATTATTTCTGAGGTCTCTGTTCTGTTTTTGTTTTTTGTTTTTTGTTTTTTGTTTTTTTTTTTTGAGATGAGATCTCGCTCTGTTACCCAGGCTGGAGTGCAGTGGCACGATCTCGGCTCACTGCAACCTCCGCCTCCCTGGTTCAAGCAATTCTCCTACCTCAGCCTCCTGAGTAGCTGGGATTACAGGCATGTATCACCGCGCCTGGCTAATTTTTGTATTTTTAGTAGAGATGGGGTTTCACCATGTTGGTCAGGCTTGTCTCGAACTTATCACCTCATGATCTGCCTGCCTCAGCCTCCCAAAGTGCTGGGATTACAGGCGTGAGCCACCGTGCCCGGCCAAGGTCTCCGTTCTCTTTCATTGGTCTATATATCTGTTTTGGTACTAGTACTGTAGTTACTGTAGCCTTGTAGTACACTTTGTAGTCAGGTAACGTGATGCCTCCAACTTCGTTCTTTTTGCTTAGGATTGTCTTGGCTATACGGGCTCTTTTTTGGTTCCATATGAAATTTAAAGTAGTTTTTTTCTAATTCTATGAAGAAAGTCAATGGTATCTTGATGGGAATAGCATTGAATCTATCAATTACTTTGGGCAATATGGCCATTTTCACAATATTTATTCTTCCTATCTATGAGCATGGAATTTTTTCTATTTGTTTGTGTCCTTTATTTCCTTGAGCAGTGGTTTGTAGTTCTCCTTGAAGAGGTCCTTATGTCTCTTGTAAGTTGTATTCCTAGGTATTTTATTCTCTTTGTAGCAATTTTGAATGGGAGTTCACTCGTGATTTGGCTCTCTGCTTGTCTATTATTGGTATATAGGAATGCTTGTGATTTTTGCACACTGATTTTATATCCTGAGACTTTGCTGAAGTTGCTTATCAGCTTAAGGAGGTTTTGGGCTGAGACGTTGGGGTTTTCTAAATATACAATCATGTCATCTGCACACAGAGACAATTTGACTTTCTCTCTTCCTATATGAGTACACTTTATTTATTTCTTATGTCTGATTGCCCTGGCCAGAACTTCCAATACTATGTTGAACAGGAGTGGTGAGAGAGGACATCCTTGTCTCGTGCCACTTTTCGATAGGAATGCTTCCAGCTTTTGCCCATTTAGTATGATATGGGCTATGGGTTTTTCAGAAATAGCTCTTATTATTTTGAGATATGTTCCATCGATACCTAGTTTATTGAGAGTTTTTAGCATGAAGGGATGTTGAATTTTATTGAAGGACTTTTCTGCATCTATTGAGATAATCATGTGATTTTTTTCATTGGTTCTGATTATGTGATGGATTATGTTTATTGATTTGTGTATGTTGAACCAGCCTTGCATCCCAGAGATGAAGCCAACTTGATCGTGGTGGATAAGCTTTTTGATGTGCTGCTGGATTCAGTTTGCCAGTATTTTAGTGAGGATTTTTGCATCGATGTTCATCAGGGATATTGGACTGAAATTTTCTTTTTTTATTGTGTCTCTGCCAGGTTTCGGTATTAGGATGATATTGGCCTCATAAAATGACTTATGGAGGAGTCCCTCTTTTTCTATTGTTTGCAATAGTGTCAGAAGGAATGGTACCAGCTCCTCTTTGTACCCCTGGTAGACTGCATGTTAGACGAGATAATATGTATGAACTACCTGGCATATAATAGATGCTTCCTAAATAAGATTCTAAAAAATAATTATGCTCCAAAAATATTTTTAAAATCAAATAATTTATGTTTTATTTTCTGTGTTTTATCTCAGACATGTAGACTGCCAAAGTGTATGGGATGCTTTCAAGGGTGCATTTATTTCAAAACATCCTTGCAACATTACTGAAGAAGACTATCAGCCACTAATGAAGTTGGGAACTCAGACCGTACCTTGCAACAAGGTAATTGGGGGCATGCCATTGATTTTAAAACTGGGGATAAAAGCCAATGGTAACAATTCATAGGTCCAAATTTTTATTAGAATGAAGGAAGAGGAAAAATCCAGACATTATAGTGTGAGTGTGGTTGGTAGGAATGGAATTTGCAGGCCATTGAGGGGCCATGATATAATTAAGATTTAGGACATCTGGAGAAGGGAGCTAAGAGAGAGAAATAGGGATACAGAGATAGGAAAGGGGCTTTGGCCAAAAACTAGGCAGAAAAAACCTAACACCAAACCCAACTCGAACAAACAAATTAACACGACCTATATAATAACAAAACTTTCCCCTGACCTATGATAATAATAGTAGTAGTAGTAGTAATAACAGCAATGCCAAGTTACACTTGCAGACTGCTTCTTCTTTTTCTTGCTTACAAAAGACTCTCCTAATCCTTACTTTCTTAGGCCTTCATAGCCATTCTCTGGAATGGGCACATCAGGTGTCAGCATCCCAATTTCACCAGTGAGAAAACTGAGGGTTGGTGTGTTTAGGTGACCAGTGTTGCCCAAGTTTGACAGGCTTCAAAGTGACCAGTTTAAATGTAAATGGTATGAGACCTGGAGCCACAGAGGCCTGGATTCTAATACATTGGTTATATTGGAAAAGCTCTATCAGAGTGCACCTTTTCTATAGCCAATGTTTAAGGCAAAATTCCATGTGCCTAAAATTTTCTTTGTGAAGCCCTTAAATCCATCCAGAAATTACAGCCTCTCATTCCATTGTTAGTGAGCTGGAGTCATTGTGAAACTTCTCCATTCACTAGGCGTGATGCCCTATGCAGAGAAGGTGTTTGGCAAATAATAACCCAGGCTGACATTTGTCAAATAAGTGACTATGCGATGGATAGTATGCTAAGCAATTTACTTGCATTTATCTCAGTTAATTTCCCTAGCACCCCATTAGTTTATTTCAGTCATTATCATTACCATTTTACAGGTGTAGAAAGTGGGGCTTAGTGATGTTTTGGTTGCTCAAGGTGAAACACCTGATAAGTGATGATGATGCTGGGCTTCAATAAGGGCTGGGATTTTAGGGCCCATACTTTAAACCAGTATCCTTCACTGACTCCCATTAAGAATGAATAGGGGGAGGAGCCAAGATGGCTGAATAGGAACAGCTCCAGTCTGCAGCTCCCAGTGAGACCAACGCAGAAGGTGGGTGATTTCTGCATTTCCATCTGAGATCAGGTTTCCTCGTGTGTCTACACCACCAGGGCCCTGGGTTTCAGGCACAAAACCGAGCCGCTGTTTGGGCAGACACCAAGCTAGGTGCAGGAGTTTTTTTCGTACCCCAGTGGCGCCTGAAACCCCAGTGAGACAGAACTGTTCACTCCCCTGGAAAGGGGGCTGAAGCCAGGGAGCCAAGTGGTCTCGCTCAGCGGGTCTCACTCCCACGGAGACCAGCAAGCTAAGAACCACTGGCTTGAAATTCTTGCTGCCAGCACAGCAGTCTGAAGTTGACCTGGGATGATGGAGCTGGGTGGGGGGAGGGGCGTCCGCCATTACTGAGGCTTTAATAGGCGGTTTTCCCCTGACAGTGCTAAGGGGGCTGGGAAGTCTGGACTGAGTGTGGCAACGTGGTTGTGGCCAGACTGCTTCTCTAGATTCCTCCTCACTGGGCAGGGCATCTCTGAAGGAAAGGTAACAACCCCAGTCAGGGGCTTACAGACAAAACCTCCGTCTCCCTGGGACAGAGCACCTGGCAGAAGGGGCAGCTGTGGGCACAGCTTCAGTGGATTTAATCATTCCTGCCTGCTGGCTCTGAAGACAGCAGCTGATCCTGACAAGAGGGATTCTCCCAGCACAGCACACCAACTCTGCTAAAGGACGGATTGCCTCCTCAAGTGAGTCCCTGACCCCTGTGTCTCCTGACTGAGAGAGACCACCCAACAGGGGTCGATAGACACCTCATACAGGAGAGCTCCGGCTGGCATCAGGCCGGTGCCCCTCTGGAATGAAGCTTCCAGAGGAAGGAGCAGGCTGTCATCTTTGCTGTTCTGTAGCCTCCACTCGTGATACCTTCAGGTGCGGGAGGAACCCAGGTGAATAGGGTCTGGAGTGGACCCCCTGCACACTGCAGCAGCCCTATGGAAGAAAGGGCCTGACTGCTAAAAGAAAAAACAGAAAGCAACAACATCAATGAAAAAGACCCCACAAAAACCCATCCAAAGGTCAGTAGCCTCAAAGATCAAAGGTAGATAAATGCAAGAAGATGAGAAAGAATCAGCACAAAAATGCTGAAAACTCAAAAAGCCAGTGTGCCTCTTCTCCTCCAGATGATCTTAACACATCTCCAACAAGGGCATAGAACTGGGCTGAGGCCCCTAAAAAGAGATGAGTTCATGTCCTTTGCAGGCATATGGATGAAGCTGGAAACCATCATTCTCAGCAAACTATCACAAGATCAGAAAACCAAACACCACATGTTCTCACTCATAAGTGGGAGTTGAACAGTGAGAACACATGGACACAGGGAGGGGAACATCACACACCAGGGCCTGTCAGGGGTGGGTGCTAGGGGAGGATAACATTAGGAGAAATACCTAACGTAGGTGACGGGTTGATGGGTGCAGCAAACCACCATGGCATGTGTATACCTATGTAACAAAACTGCACATTCTGCACATGTAACCCAGAACTTAAAGTATAAAAAAACAAAAGATACTAGCTACATTTACCCAATGTTAAAAAAAAAAAAAGAACTGGGCTGAGGCTGAGGTGGATGAATTGACAGAAGTAGGCTTCAGAAGATGCATAATAATGAAATTCACTGAGCTGAAGGAGTATATTCTAACCCACTGCAAAGAAGCTAAGAACCATGATAAAACATAGGAGCTGTTAACCAGAATAACTGGTTTAGAGAGGAACATAAATGACCTGATGGAGCTGAAAAACACAACACGAGAACTTCAAGATGTAAACACAAGTATCAATAACCAAATAGACCAAACAGAAGAAAGGATATCAGAGCTTGAAGAGTATCTTGCTGAAATAAGACAGGCAGACAAGATTAGAGAAAAAAGAATGAAAAGGAACAAACAAAACCTCTGAGAACTATGGGATTACATAAAAAGAACCTATGACTGATTGGGGTACCTGAAAGAGACAGGAAGAATGAAACCACGTTGGAAAACACACTTCAGGATATCATCCAGGAGAACTTCTTCAACCTAGCAAGATGGGCCAACATTCAAATTCAGGAAATCCAGAGAACCCCAGTAAGATACTCCATGAGAAGATCAACCCCAAGACACATAATCATCAGATTCTCCAGGTCACCTATAAAGGGAAGCCAATTAGACTAACAGCAGACCTCTCAGCAGAAACCTACAAGCCAGAAGAGATTGGGGGCCAATATTCAACATTCTTAAAGAAAATAATTTCCAACCTTGAATTTCATATCTAGCCAAACTAAGTTCATAAATGAAGGAGAAATAAAATCTTTTTCAGACAAGCAAATGCTAAGGGAATTCGTCACCACCAGGCCTGCCTTGCAAGAGCTCCTGAAGGAAGCACTAAATATGGAAAGGAAAAACCATTATCAGCCACTACAGAAACACACCGAAGTACACAGACCAATGACACTATGAAGCAACTACGTAAACAAATCTTCACAATAACCAGCTAGCATCATGATAACTGGATCAAATTCACACATAACAAATTAACCTTAAGTGTAAATGGGCTAAATGTCCCAACTAAAAGACATGGAATGGCAAGCTGGATAGTCAAGATCAATTGGTGTGCTGTATACAAGAGACCCATCTCACATGCAAAGACACACATAGGCTCAAAATAAGGGATGGAGGAATATTTACCAAGCAAATGGGAAACAGAAAAGAGCAGGGGTTGCAATCCTAGTTTATGACAAAACAGACTTTAAACCAACAAAGATCAAAAAAGAAAAAGAAGGGTATTACATAAGGATAAAGGGGTAAATTCAACAAGAAGAGCAAACTATCTTAAATATATATGTGCCCAATACAGGAACACCGAGATTCATAAAACAAGTTCTTAGAGACCTTCAAAGAGATTTAGATACCCACACAATAATAGTGGGAGAATTTAACATCCCACTGTCAATATTAGACAGATCATCAAGACAGAAAATTAGCAAAGATATTCACGACCTGAACTCAGCTCAGGATCAAGTGGACCTGATGGATATCTACTGAAGTCTCCATGCCAAAGCAACAGAATATACATTATTATTGGTGCCACATGGCATCTACTCTAAAATTGATCACACAATTGGAAGTAAATTACTCCTCAGCAAATGCAGAAGAACTAAAATCATAACAAACAATCTCACAGACCACAGCACAATCAAATTAGAACTCAAGATTAAGAAACTCACTGAAAACCATGCAATTACATGGAAATTGAACAACCTGCTCCTGAATGACTCCTGGGTAAATAATAAAATTAAGCCAGAAATTAAGAAGTTCTTTGAAACTAATAGGAAAAAAGAGACAATGTATCAGAATCTCTGGGATGCAACTAAAGCAGTGTTAAGAGGGAAATTTATAGCACTAAATGCCCACATCAAAAAGCTAGGAAGATATCAAATTGACATCCTAACATCACAACTAAAAGAACTAGAGAACCAAGAGAAAACAAATCCCAAAGCTAGCAGAAGACAAGAAATAACCAAGCTCAGAGCAGAACTGAAGGAGATAGAGACACAAAAATCCCTTCCAAAAAAAAATGAATGCAGGAGGTGGTTTTTTGAAAAAAAATTAATAGAATAGATGGATCGCTAGCTAGACTAATAAAGAAAATAGAGAAGAATCAGATAGATACAATAAAATGATAAAGGGGATATCACCACAGAAATACAAACAACCATCAGAGAATACTATAAATACCTCTATGCAAATAAACTAGAACATCTAGAAGAAATGAATAAATTTCTGGATACATACACCCTCCCAAGACTGAACCAGGAAGAAGTTGAGTTCCTGAACAGACCAATAACAAGTTCTATAATTGAGGCAGTAATAAATACCAACCAAAAAAAAAAAAAAAAAAGCCCAGGATCAGACAGATTTATAACTGAATTTTACCAGATTTACAAAGAGGAGCTGATACCCTTTCTTCTGAAACTGTTCCAAAAAATTGAAAAGTAAGGACTCCTCCCTAACTCATTTTATGAGACTAGCACCATCCTGATAATAAAAACTGGCAGAGATTTAAAAAAAAAAAGAAAGAAAGAAAACTTCAGGCCAATATCCTGAAGAACATCGATACAAAAATTCTCAACAAAATACTGGCAAACTGAATCCAGCAGCACATCAAAAAGCTTATCCACCATGATCAAGTTGGCTTCATCCTCAGGATGCAAGGCAGGTTCAACGTACATGAATCAATAAATGTAATTCATTACATAAAGAGAACTAAAGACAAAAACCACATGATTATCTCAATAGATGCGGAAAAGGCCTTCGATAAAATTCACCATCCCTTCACGTTAAAAACTCTCAATAAGCTAGGTATCAAAGGAACATACCTCAAAATAATAAGAACCATTTATGACAAACCCACAAGCAATATCATACTGAGTGGGCAAAAGCTGGAAGCATTCCCCTTGAAAACCGGCACAAGACAAGGATGTCCTCTCTCACCACTCCTATTCAACATAGTATTGGATGTTCTGACCGGGACAATCAGGCAAGAGAAAGAAATAAAGTCTTTTCAAATGGAAAAAAGGAAATAAAATTGTCTTTGTTTGCAGATGACATGATCCTATAACTAGAAAACCGGATCATCTCAGCCCCAAAGCTTCTTAAGCTGATAAGCAACTTCAGCAAAGTCTCAGGATACAAAATCAATGTGCAAAAATCACAAGCATTCCTGTACACCAACAACACGCAAGCAGAGAGCCAAATCATGAATGAACTCCCATTCACAAAGGGAATAAAATACCTAGGAATACAGCAAACAAGGGAAGTGAAGGACCTCTTCATGGATACCTATAATCCACTGCTCAAGGAAATCAGAAAGGACACAAACAAATAGAAAAACATTCCTTCCTCATGGATAGGAAGAATCAATATCGTGAAAATGGCCATACTGCCCAAGGTAATTTATAGATTCAGTGCTATTCCCATTAAACTACTATTGACATTCTTCATAGAATTAGAAGAAACTATTTTAAAATTCATATGGAACCAAAAAAGCTCATATAGCCAAGATGATCCTAAGCAAAAAGAACAAAGCTGGAGGCATCGTGCTACCCAACTCCAAACTGCACTACAAGGCTACAGATGCCAAAATAGCATGGTACTTGTACAAAAATAAACACATAGACCAATAGAACAGAGTAGAGATCTCAGAAATAAAACTACACATCTGCAGCCATCTAATCTTTGGCAAACCTGACAAAAACAAGCAATGGGGAAAGGAATCCACATTTAATAACTGGTGCTTGAGAACTACCTAGCCATATGCAGACAATTGAAACTGGACCCCTTCCTTGCAACTCATACAAAAATTAAGATGAATTAGAGACTTAAATGTATAACCCAAAACTATAAAAACCTTAGAAGAAAATCTAGGCAATATCATTTGGGACACAGGCACAGGCAAAGATTTCATGAAATTGCCAAATGCAATTGTAACAAAAGCAAAAATTGACAAATGGGATCTAATTAAACTAAAGTGCTTCTGCACAGCAGAAGAAACTATCATCAGAGTGAACAGAAAACCTGCAGAATGGGAGAAGATTTTTGCAATCTATCCCTCTGACAAAGGTCTAATATCCAGAATTTACAAAGAACTTAAACAAATTTACAAGAAAAAAATAAACAGCCCCATCAAAAAGTGGGCAAAGAACATGAACAGACACTTCTCAAAAGAAGACATCCATGTGGCCAACAAACATATGAAAAAAAGCTCAACATCACTGGTCATTAGAGAAATGCAAATCAAAACCACAATCTCATGCCAGTCAGAATGGCATTATTAAAAAGTCAAGAAACAGCAGATGCTGGTGAGATTGTGGAGAGATAGAAATGCTTTTACACTGTTGGTGGGAATGTAAATTAGTTCAACCATTGTGGAAGATAGTGTGGCAATTCCTCAAAGATCTAGAACTAGAAATACCGTTTGACCCAGCAATCCCATTACTGGGTATAATAGAAATCATTCTATTATAAAGATATGTGCATGCATATGTTCATTGCAGTGCCATTCACAATAGCAAAGACATGGAATCAACTCAAATGCCCATCAGTGATAGGCTGGATAAAGAAAATGTGGTACGTATACACCATGAAATATTATGCAGCCATAAAAAGGAACAAGATCATGTCCTTTGTAGGGACATAGATGGAGCCAGAAGCCACATCTTCAGCAAACTAACACAGGAACATGCAAATGCTGCATGTTCTCACTTATAAGTGGGAGCTGAACAGTGAGAACACATGGACACCAGGAGGGGAAAAACACACACTGTAGCTTGTTGGGGTTGGGGTGAGGGGAGTGAGAACATTAGGACAAATAGCTAATGCATACTTGGCTTAATACCTAGGTGATGGGTTAATAGGTGCAGCAAACCCATGGCACATATTTACCTATGTAACAAACCTGCACATCCTGCATGTATACCCTGGATATACATGCCCAGGATATACATTTTATTTAAAATAAAAATAAAAATAATAGATTCATAAAACAGAATATAATTCTGAACTTTGACTCCCTGTACCTTTAAGAGGGACCCTTAAATTTAAAAATCTATTGTATTTTTTTTTTAGTAGGGGTAGGGAATATTTAGGGAATTTGGAAGGGGTTATATAGTTCTTTAAGAATCAAATAGCACATCTTCCTGAAAATAGCACGTAGACAAAGTTTTTTTGGAGATAACCTTAGGAATATCGTAACTCTCTGATGCCACCTCCATATGTGATCCTATGTTGATTATAAGATTTTGATCAGTGGCTTTCAGACTTTTTTGACTGCAACCTAGAATAAAAGATTCATTTACATTGTGACCTAGAACACACACACACACACACACTCTCTCTCCGCCACTCTCCTGCACACAGAAATCATTGATGCTTACAACAATTCTTACTCTTACTATGGGTGATTTACTTTGATATGCTCTGTTTTTTTTTTCATTTACAAAACTGTGGATTAATTTTTTTTGACATGCTAAATTGATCTCAGTAATAGATTGTATTTATTCTTCCTTAGATTCTTCTTTGGAGCAGAATAAAAGATCTGGCCCATCAGTTCACACAGGTCCAGCGGGACATGTTCACCCTGGAGGACACGCTGCTAGGCTACCTTGCTGATGACCTCACATGGTGTGGTGAATTCAACACTTCCAGTGAGGCTCTGGGCCCTGTGGGATTGCCCAGGGATGTGGAGGGTGAACAGAGTGACTTCTGCTGGAGGCCCTGAATGATTAGTGTGGAGGACAGAGCCACAGGCACCCATCCTGATGCCATCTATACTTATATTAGTCCATTTGTGTTGCTATTAAGGAATACCTGAGGCTGCGTAATTTATAAAGAAAAGAGGTTTATTTGACTCACAGTTACGCAGGCTGTACAAGAAGTAGGGTACCAGCATCCACTTCGGGTGAAGGCCTGAGGCTGTTTCCACTCATGGAGAAGGGGAAGGGGAGCTGGCATTTACAGAGATCACATGGTGAGGGAGGAAAGCAAGGAGAGGTCAGGGGAGGTGCCAGGCTGTTTGTAATGACCAGCTGTCCTGGGAACTAGTAGAGTAAGAACTCATTACTATAAGGACAGCACCATGCCATTCGTGCAGGATCATCCCTATGACCCAAACACCTCCTACTAGTCCCGAGCTCCAACACTGGGGGTCGAATTTCAACATAAGGTTTGGAGAGTTAAATATCCAAACTATAGCACTACCCTTAATGGCAACTCAGGCTGATATAAAGTAGCATTCCCTGTTTTCTTGAAAAATTGACTTCAGAGTTGGGGATTGCCCATGCTCCCTAATTCCCTTCTTTTGAGTGCTCACATAGCCTGCTTCCGAATTCTTGGTATTTTGCTCTCTGTAAGGTCATCATTCAGGTCCAAAGAAGTCTAGAACAGGATGAGGTCTCAGTGGGACCTAGACCAAGGTTCTTGCTCTTCAGAATCATCACAGTAGCCATGGACTGGACTCTTCCATCTCAGGCACTGGCTTTGCCATCATTTTTCAGATGTAGCCTTATCCTGCCCAGAAAGACTCAACACCTCACCAGGGGAAGGGATTTCCTACAACCAAAACCCTACTGCAGTTTTCACTTCTTTTTTTTTTCTTTTTGTTTATATGGTGGATATTTTTACTTTATATAGTTTTATTCTTATTTTTACTGTTTTTCATTGTTTGTTTTTAAAAGCTTATCTTATTATAGCTTCTTTGTCCCAGGTTTGCATTACTTTCAATTACAAAAATAAAGCATGATTATTTGAAAAAAAAATACTTGCACATTACAGAAATGCATAAAAGCAAAAAGCAAATGTCACTCTGAATTTTCCCTTCACCTCCTACCTCCGCATCACTTCTCAAAGGGTAACTATTATCAGCAATTTGATATAGATCTTTCTAGACTTTTCCTATGCTAATGTAAACATATATATTTAAAATGTACACGCGCTGTTGTGCAACTTGCTTTATTCACTTAAAATTGGTAGGTATAAAGATAGCTATCCTCTTTTAAAAGGCTTTATCATTAAGAATCCTATTAATGGATATTAAGTTGCTTTAGTTTTGGTTGCTATTATGTCATTATTGTAAGAAACACTTTTGTGCGCACACACACACACACACACACACACACACACACACACACCTGCATACTTGAACGATAAATTTTTATAAATGAAACTTCAATGTTAAAGGATAAATTGTAATAGAAACTGGTAACATGTCATTTAAAAGATGGTAACTATACCCTCATCAAGAGTATATATATGAGGCCAGGCACAGTGGCTCATACCTGCAATCCCAGCACTTTGGGAGGTGGAGGAGGGAGGATCACTTGAGCCCAGTAGTTTAAGAACGGCCTGGGCAACATAGTAAGACCCCATCTCTATTTTACACTAAAAAAAGAAAAAAAAAGAATGTATATGAGATAGTTTATTTACCTATATCCCCACTAACACCAGGTATTGTTACTTTAAAATTTTTGGCTCATTTCAGAAGAAAATAATACCTCAATTTAGTGTGAAGTTCTTTGATGGTGAGGCTACTATATATACATAAATGGTAGATTTTCTGTTTCTTCTGTAAGCTGGCAGTTCATATATTTTGACCATCTGTATGCGGTATCTATTATTTTCTAATTAGTAGAAGTTCTTTATAAATTAATAAGAGCTACGATGTATTAAGTACTTACAAAGTGCCAGTGTTCCATGTGCTACGTAAGTAGTCACTCATTTAATCCTCCACAGCCCCATGAGGTCATATGGTGATCCCATTTTAGAGATAGGAAGTCTGAGGCATGGAGTTAAGTAATTTGCCAGCCAGTAAGTGGCAAAGCAAGAAGCAAAGTTTCTCAGACTAACTTGAGAAACTTTGCTCTTAACTGCCATGTTTTTCTGCCCACTTTCTGGCTCAAGTTGGCGAATATATTTTTCTTATTTTGGACTTTACACGGTGTTTATGGTCTGTCTTTTGCCACCCAGAAATGCAGAAAACCTGTCTGTTCTCTTCCTTATAGCTTCTGTGTTTCATATCTTCCTTAAAAAGATCTTCTTAGAGAAGCATTCTTCTGTATTTTCACCTACTATTTTTACTTTCACAATGTTTAAAATATTTTCCATATTTAGATCTGAGTCTTCCCACCTAGAATATGGTAATATAAATATGTTTTTCCATTAATTTTTTTAGATTTTACAGTTTTTCCCATGTTCCATGTTTTCCTTTTTAAATTTCCCTTTTAACAATGACTGTTTTATTGGTCATTCATTTAACATTTAGCTTTTAAATGTATTTACAGTAGACTTCTCTCCTTTTGTTTTATTTTTTAATTTGTTCAATTTTTCTTGAAATAAAGTAGAGAAAATGAAATAATTTATTTTTAAGAACTGATTTATTTACAGTTCAGAGTTCCTTATTTTTGCCTTCTTTTAAATTGAATTATGTATATGTAGTTTTATTTATCTACATTCTAATACTTTGGCCTCAATTTTTAATTTCTTCTTATTTTATAGATTATCTTTCAAGTTCCTGATGTATATGTATTTATTTACTTTTTATTCTAAGTTGACAATTTATAATTGTATGTATTTGTGGGGTGAAAAATGAATTTATGAATACAATGTGGGATAATTAAATCAAACTAATTAACATATCCACCGCCTCAAATACTTTTTTTAGTTTTTGAGACAGGGTCTCACTCTGTCACCCAGGCTGAGGTGCAGTGGTGCAATCACAATTCACTGCAACCTTGACCTACCAGGCTCAGGTGGTCCTCCTACCTTAGCCTCCCAGGTAGCTGGGACTACAGGTGCCTGCCACCACACTTGGCTAATTTTTTGTATTTTTTTTAGAGACAGGGTTTCACCATGTTGCCCAGGCTGGTCTTGAACTCCTGGGCTCAAGCGATCTACCCTCTTCAGCCTCCCAAAGTGTTGGGATTACAGGTGTGAGCCACCAGGCCCGACCTCAAATACTTATTTTTTGTAGTGAGAAAATGTGAAGTTTACTGTCTTAGCAATGTTGAAATGTACAGCACACTATTATTAACTACAATCACCATGCTGTGCAATAAATATTTTTAAAAACCCTTTCTAACTGAGATTTTGTACTCTTTGACCATCATCTCCCCATTCCTTCCAACTTCTGGTCTCTGTATCCACCATTCTATTATCTGCTTCTATGAACTTGATTGTTTTAGATTCCATATGTATTAGGACATGCAGCATTTGTCTTTCTGTGGGTGGCTTATTTTACTTAGCATATTGTTTTCTTGTTCCATCTATATTGTCACAAATGACAGAATTTCTTTCTTTTTAAAGTCTGAATAGTATTCCATTGTGTATATATACCACACTTTATCCATTCGTCTATTGATGGACTCAGGTTGATTCCATATCTTGGCTATTGTAAATAGTGCTGCAATGAACATGGGGGAGCAGGTATCTCTTTGACAAACTGATTTGAAATCTTTTGGGTAAATACCTAGAAGTGGGATTGCTGGATCATATGGTAGTATTCTATTTTTAGTTTGTTGAGGAACTTTCATCACATTTTCCATAATGGGTATACTAATTTACTTTCCCAATAGTGTACAAATAACCCCCTTTCTTCACATTCTTGCCAACACTTGTTATTTATCTTTCATCTTTTTGATTATACCCTTCTGACAGGTGTGAGATGATGTCTCATTGTGGTTTTAATTTTTGTTTCCCTATTAATTAGGAAGCTTGAGCATTTTAAAATATATTTGTTGGCCATTTGTATGTCTTTTGAAAAATGTCTATTCAGGTCCTTTGCCCACCTTTAAATTGATTTTTTTTCTTGTTTTTGAGTTGTTTGAGTTCCTTATGTATTTTGTTTTTGTTTGTTTTTTAATTTTTAATTTTTGTGCATACATAATAGGTGTATATATGGGATGTGTGTACATGAGATGTTTTGATATAGATATACAGTGCATAATAATTACATCATGAAAAATGTCTCTTTCCCCATAAGCATTTATCTTTTGTGTTACAAACAATCCAATTTTATTCTTTTAGTTATTTTAAAACAGGGGTGTCCAATTTTTTGGCTTCCCTGGGCCACATTGGAAGAATTGTCTTGGGCCACACATAAAATACACTAATACTAATGATAGCTGATGGGCTGAAAAAAAATCGCAAAAAATCTCCTAATTTCTAAGAAAGTTTATGAATTGAACTTATGTGTTGGGCTGCATTCAAAGCTGTCATGGGCTGCTTGAGACCCATGGGCCATGGGTTGGACAAGCTTTTTTTAAAATGTACAACAAAATTGTTATTGACTACAGTCACCATACTGTGCTATCAAATAATAGGTCTTATTCATTCTAACTATTTTTTGGTAACCATCCCCACCTCCCCACAATGTCTTGCTACACTTCCCAGCGTCTGGTAACCATTTTTCTATTCTCCATGTCCATGAGATCAGTTGTTTTGATTTGTTGGATGCTAAAATAAGTGAGAACATCCTATGTTTATCTTTCTGTGTCTAGCTTATTTCACTTAACATAATGACCTCCAGTTCTATTCATGTTGTTGCAAATGACAGGAACACATTCTTTTTTGTGGCTGAATAGTACTCCATTGTGTATAAATACCACATTTTCTTTATCCATTTATCTATTGATGGACATTTAGGTTGTTTCCATATCTTGGCTATTGTGAACAGTGCTGCAATAAACATGGGAGTGCAGATATCTCTTCCATTGACTGATTTTCTTTCTGTTGGGTATATATCCAGCAGTGGCATTGCTGGATCATATAATAGCTCTATTTTTATTTTTTTGAGAAACCTCAAAACTGTTCTCCATAGTGGTTGTACTAATTCACATTCCCACCAACAGTGTACAAGGGTTCCCCTTTCTCCACATCCTCATCATTATTTGTTATTGCCTGACTTTTGGATGAAAGCCATTTTAGCTGGGGTGAGATGATATCTCATGATAGTTTTGATTTGCATTTATCTGATGGTCAATGATTTGAACACATTTTCATATGCCTGTTTGCCATTTGTATGTCTTCTTTTGAGAAATATGTATTCAAATCTTTTGCCCATTTTTAATTGGATTATTAGATTTCTTTCCTATAGAGTTGTTTGAATTACTTATCTATTCTGGTTTTTAATGCCTTCTTGAATGGGTAGTTTGCAAATATTTTCTCCCATTCTGTGGGCTCTCTCTTCACTTTGTTGATTGTTTCCTTTGCTATGCAGAAGCTTTTTAACTTGATGTGATCCTGTTTGTTCATTTTGCTTTCGTTGCCTGTGCTCATGGGGTATTGCTCAATAATTTTTTTTGCCCAGACAAATGTCATGGAGAGTTTCCCCAGTGGTTTCTTGTAGTAGTTTGCAGTAGTTTCATAGTTTGAGGTCTTAGATTTAAATCTTTAATCTATTTTGATTTTATTTTTGTATGTGATTTGAGATAGGGGTCTAGTTTCATTTTTATCCATTGAGCCACTCTGTGCCTTCTGATTGTAGAGTTTAGTCCATTTACATTTGACGTAAATGTTATATTTTTAAGTAAGGACTTACTCCTGCCATTTTGTTACTTGTTTTCTGTTTGTTTTGTGGTCTTCTCTTCCTTCTTTCTTTCCTTTCTGTCTTCCTTTCAGTGGAGGTGATTTTTTCAGTTTCCTGCTTTTTATTTTTTGTGGAACTGTTATATGTTTTTGAGTTTGAAGTTACCATGAGGCTTAAAAATAGTATCTTATATCCCATTATTTTAAGCTGATAACAACTTAACACAGTTTGCATAAAGAAACAAAGACAGCAAACAGAAAGCTAATACAAACTCTATACCTTAACTTCATTCTCCCACTCTAAAACTTTTTGTTGTTTCTATTTATGTCTTATTGTACTTTATATGTCTTGAAAAGTTATTGTAGTTATTATTTCTGATTGGCTCATCATTTAGTTTTTCTACTTAAGACAAGAGTAGTTTACACGTCATAGTTACAGTGTTATAACATTCTGTGGTTTTCTGTGTACTTACTACTGCCAGTGAGTTTTGTACCTTCAGATGATTAAATTGCTCATTAATATCCTTTTCTTTCTAATTGAAGTACTCCCTTTAGCATTTCTTCTAGGACAGGTCTCGTGTTAATTAAATCCCTCACCTTTTGTTTGTCTGGAAAAGTCTGTGTTTCTCCTTCAAGTTTGAAGGATATTTTCACCAGATATACTATTCTAGAGTAAAAACTTTTTTTTTTGTCTTTCAGCACTTCAAATATGTCATGCCACTCTCATCTGGCCTGTAAGGTTTCCACTGAAAAGTCTGCTGCCAGATGTACTGAAACTCCCTTGTATGCTATTTGTTTCTTTTCTCTTGCTGCTTTTAGGATCCTTTCTTTATCTTGGACCTTTGGGAGTTTGATTATCAAATGCTTTGGGGCAGCATTCTTGGGTTAAATCTGCTTGGTGTTCTATAACCTTCTTGTACTTGGGATATTGATATCTTTCTCTAGGTTTGCAAAGTTCTCTGTTATTATTGCTTTGAATAAACTTTCTACCTGTATCTCTTTTTCTACCTCCTCTTTGACACCAATAACTCTTGGATTTGCCCTTTTAAGGCAATTTTCTAGATCCTGCCAGTGTGCTTCATTGTTTTTTATTCTTTTTTCTTTTGTCTCCTCTGACTGTGTATTTTCAAATAGCCTGTCTTCAAGCTCACAAATTCTTTCTTCTGCTTGATCAGTTCTGCTATAAAAAGACTCTGATGCATTCTTCAGTGTGTTATTTGTACTTTTCAGCTCCAGAATTTCTACTTGATTCTTTTTAATTATTTCCATCTCTTTGTTAAATTCATCTGATAGAATTCTTGAATTTCTTTCAGTTTCCTCAACATGGCTATTTTGAATTCTCTGTCTCACATATCTCTGTTTCTTCAGGATTGATCTCTGATGTCTTATTTAATTCATTTGGTGAGGTCATGTATTCCTGGATGGTCTTGATACTTGTAGATATTTTTCTGCATCTAGGCATTGTATTTATTGTAGTCTTTACAACCTGGGCCTGTTTGTACTTGTCCTTGGAAAGGCTTTCCAGATATTTTGAAGGACTCGGATGTTGTGATCTACGTTGTATCTGCTGTAGGGGGCCCTGCAAGCCTAGTAATGCTGTGGGTCTTGTACACACTCATGGAGGTACCACCTTGATGGTCTTGGACAAGATCTAGAAGGATTCTCTGGATTACCAGGCAGAGATTCTTTTTCTAGTCCCTTTACTTTCTCCCAGAGTCTCTCTCTTTCTGTTCTGACCCACATAAAGCTGGTGACACACTCCACCGCAACTAGGACTTTGCTGGGTAAGACTTGAAGCCAGTACAGCACTTGCCCAGGGCCTGCAGTAACCACTTCCTAGCTGCCATCTATATTTGCTCAAGGCTCTGGGGCTCTACAATCAGTAGGTGAGAAAGCCAGCCAGACCCGTGTTCTTCTCTTCAGGTTGGCAAGTTTCCCAAGGCCCTGGGTTGGTCCAGAGGTGCCATCCAGAAGCCAGGGACTAGAGTAAAAAACCTTAGAAGTCTACCTAGTATTGCATTGTACTGTGACTAAGCTGGCATTCAAACCACAAGACACAGTCCTTCCCATGCTGTCTTCCCCTTTTCTAAGGCAAAGGAGCCTCACCTCATGGCCACCACCACCACAGGCCCACAGGGAGTACTGCCAGTGTACTGTTAATATTCCAAGGCCCAAGGACTCTTCAGTCAGCTTGTGGTTAATGCTGCCTGGCCTGGGACTCACCCTTCAAAGCAGTGGGCTCCCCTCTGGCCCAGGGCAGGCCCAGAAATGCTATCCAAGAGCCACATCCTGGAATCAGGGACCCCAAGCCCAGTTGGTGCTCTACCTCTCTGTGGCTGTACCTGAAGCCAGCAAGTCACAGAGTCTCACCCAAGGCCCATGACATACTAATTGGGTATCACTTCTGGTTTTTCAGGGCCCAAGGGCTCTTCAGTTAGTAGGTGATGAATTCTCTCCAGATGTCGTTGTGAAGATAAAAGAGGTTTATTTTCATGAAAACATATATACTTTAAAGCACCTTATGAAATGTATGTCCATTCCACCATCAACATTTTTACCTCTGTTGGGAAGATAATTCCTTTTGACTCCACAATAATTATTTATATCTACACATGGGAATGTTTCTTTTTTATTTGTGTGGTTTTGGTTTTAAAGCATTTAATCATTACAAGACTCCTAGAATTACTATATCATGTGCTCTCTGAAGGCAAAGTTCCCATCTAATTTTTCTATTTTATCTTTCTACCTCTAAGACCTAAAACTCAATAAATGTGCATTAAGGCAGATATCCTTGGGAGAAGTGACACAGAAACTATGTATTCATGCTCTGTGTCCATTGTACTTCACTCAGGGTTAAGACTGCCTTGATGAGGGCAAGTGTAGGAAGACTCTGAGGCCATCTGAGAGTAAGTGGTGAAGACTTAAGAAGTGGGGCAGGAAACACAGCAAGAGAGAGTTGTCAGGAAGCAGAAAAGCAGTTGGCAAAAGCAACCACTGAAGGACTGGTTTTACCTCTAATTCTTCCTGGACTGGGGATAATCCTAGAGGGCTTGTCTCTGTCAGATGAACTTTTGGTAGCATTTCCCAGAACCATGACTCAAAACTTGCCACTGTGTTCCCATCTGGGATTTGGAAGATAAGGTAAGAACTTGGAAAGAATTCAGGGGACACTTAGTTAAATTGGGTCAAAATGTGTCCATTCTCCAGCCTCCGTCTTGGCAGTGACACATTGGAAAATGGTTCCACTATGACTGAACAGCCAGGGAAGAGTACAGCTTATTTATACTCTCTGTTTTCCACTTTATTTTCTACAAACTATGTCTTTTAGAAATAAACTATCAATCTTGCCCAGACTGGAGAAAGGACTGCAGCAACAACCCTGTTTCAGTATTCTGGAAAACGGTTTCCCGCAGGGTAAGTACCAAGTAGTGAAATTCTAGAGCTTTGGAGACCACAGAACTTAAGACGTTACTCAGTCAGTGCTTGGTTTTAACACTTTTGGATTACAAATACTTTTAGGAATGAAAATATAGGATTCATTCCTGAGAAAAAGGTTCAGATGCACATGCCAGAAAATTTACACATCCAATTTTAGAACATTCTTAGAGGGTCCATGGGCTCCAGTTGCAGAATCTTTGCACGTACCCACTCTGACTTTGGCTACCAGGAACCTGGGGCTTGGTTTAATCCTCTGATTCAGGTATTAGTCAATCTTAGATACCTGGGACAGTCGTAACAATCTACATGTATAGACCCCTTACTATGTGGCAGGTACGGTCCTCAGATCTTTACATGAACTAGTAACTTGCATCTTCACCAGAACCCTGTGAAGCAGGTGCCATGAGTATTGTAACCATTTAACACATAACGTGAAGGTACAAGTAAACAAGGAATCTACTAAATGTACAGAATTAGTAAGAGGCATATGTGGGAGTTTATCCCAAGCTGTCTGACTCCAGATTCAGAATCTAGGCTGGGAAAAACTCACCACTCCACCCTCTACCTATTTTTTTTAAAAAAATTGATACATAATAGTTTTACATATTTATGGGGTATATAGTGATGTGGTGATACATATAAGGTATAGTGATGAAATCGGGGTAATTAACATATCTGTCATCTCGAACATTTATCATTTCTTTGTGTTGGGAGCATTGAATATCCCCCTTCTGGCTAGCTGAAACTACATATTATTAACTGTAGTCCTCCTACAGTGTTATTGAACACCAGAATTTATTCCTCCTATCTAACTATAATTTTGTATCTTTTAACAAATCTCTACCTATCTCCTCCTCCTCCTACTTTTCTAAGCCTATGGTGGCCTCTGTTCTGCCTTTTACTTCCATAAGATCAACTTAATTTTAGCTTCCATATATGAGTGAGAGTATGTAGTATTTAACCATCTGTTTCTGGCTTACTTCACTTAACATAATGCCCTCCAGTTCCTTCCATGTTGCTGCAAATGACAGGAATACTTTTTTTTTTTTTTTTTTTTTTTTTTTTTTTTGAGATGGAGTCTTGCTCTGTCACCCAGGCTGGAGTGCAATGGTGTGATCTCGGCTCCCTGCAACCACCACCTCCTAAGTTCAAGCGATTCTCCTACCTCAGCCTCCCCAGTAGCTGGGACTGCAGGTGTGGGCCACTATGCCCGGCTAATTTTTGTATTTTCAGTAGAGACGGAGTTTCACCATGTTGGCCAGGCTGGTCTCAAACTCCTGACCTCAGGTGATCCGCCAGCCTTGGCCTCCCAAGGTGCTAAGACTACAGCCATGGGCCACCATGCCCGGCTAATTTTTGTATTTTCTGTAGAGACAGGGTTTCACTATGTTGGCCAGGCTGTCTCAAGCTCCTAACCTCAGGTGATCTACCCACCTTGGCCTCCCAAAGTTCTGGGATTACAGGGGTGAGCCACTGCACCTGGCCAGGAATACATTTTTTAATTCCTGAATACAATTCCATTGTGCACATATACCCCCATCTATTTCTAACTTTACTCAAAGCTACCTGTGTATATTTATTTATCTTGTAAGTTGCTTCAGTGTTAAGTGGACAAGGAAACATTTCTTTTCAAGTGTGTTAGGGAAAAAAAGAGAAAGGAAGGAAGAAAGAAATGAAAGAAAAAGGTGTGAGTAACAATACACTAATTATAACTTTCAAAATTAAACTTAGACATCTGAGGAACTGGGGCAGGTGGAAATGTATTTGTTAAGTGCATATGTCTTAGTCCATTTGTGCTGCTATCACAAACTACCTGAGACTTGGTAATTTTTTTAAAACAGGAGTTTTATTTTCTCATTGTGCTGGATACTTGGGAAATCCAGGATTAAGGTGCCAGCAGATTCAATGTCTGGTGAGGGCTGCTGTCTGCTTCCAAAATGGTGCCTTCTTGCTGTGTCCTTACATGGCAGAGGCAGAGGGGCTAAAGGAACCTAGCTAGTTCCCTGGAGCCCTTTCATAAGGGTGTTAATCCCATTCATGAGGGCAGAACCCTTAGGGCCCAATTATCTCCTAAAGGACTCACTACTTATTACCATCACATTGGTCTTAGGTATCAACATAAGAAACACATACATTCAAATCATAGCAGCATATCTGTGACAAGCCTTGAAGTAGTTCCTCTGTCATTCCCATTGAGTCATCCCCATAGGTAGTGTGACAAATCCCTACATTAAAGGTGAAGAAACTAAGACTCAGAAGTTAAGTGACTCATCCAAGTTCCCTGGGCTAATAAGTTACAGACCTAAGAGCCTAACCTAGGCCTCCCTGATTCCAAAGCCATGCTCTTCAATTTTGTTCTTTGAATCTGCTTATTGGTTCTGTCTTTTAAATGACAGGTTTGATCTTAACTCTAGGTTGGTACCTAGCTAAATCTCTGTCTTAGGGGGATTCATGTAAACCCTGGTACGATGGAAACAGAAAAACAGCCTGGAAGTTGACATAAGGAGACCATGTTTAAACTTGGGCAGATTCCTTTACTCATTCTGATCTTCTGATTCCTCATTTGTCAAATGGAAATCAAAATATACTTGTTCCATAGGGTTACTGCAATGTTTAAATGAGATACCACCATCCTATAACATAACCCAAAATCCACCCACTTCAAAAATAATTCATTGAGTACTTACTATGGACAGTGAACATTCATGGGCACTTTATAGTTTTTGTTTGTTTGCTTTTTCTGAGAATAGTTTCCATTTCACTACTCTATGGTATGTTTTAGGACAGTGCTGTTGCTAAAATCTTTTAAAGCCAAGTCACATTTTATATGTATCAAGAACCTCCTTGCGTTCCCCACTCAGTCCCTGGCACTAGGAATACAGAGGTGCACGTGATTGAAGGCGTCCTGCCCTTGTGAGCTACCAGCACCTTTATTTTGCCAATCACTCATGGATGTATGTGGATGGACTTCTTTTTTCAGACTTGTCCCTTTCTTTTTCTGATAACAGAGGCCATGTTTTTTTTTAATTTTTAATTTTTGTGGGTAGGTTAAACTCATCATTATAATACAATACAGTTGGATAATGTGGAGGGAATGTAAGATGCTGTCAGAGTCAGAGAAGGGGACTTGAGCTAGTCCCAGGGGTTGGGGAGGCCTCCTGGAGGGAGCATATAGAACACTATTTTGTTCATTTCATTTTTCCAAAGTCTAACAAAGATTCCTGCTGAATGTTTCTTGCATGGAGAAATAAGACCCTTTGCTCAAGCATATTTATTCATTCACTTATTCAGTCCTCCTTTCTCTCTGTGCTTTTCCAGGCCTAAGGGTCCCCTGTTCTCTCCTCAGGTTCCCCTCTTATGGTGTTCCCATTTCCCTCATCCCTGAATCATCCACCTGTTCCCACTAAATGAAGCATAATGTTTACAGTGCATGACACTGAGAAAGCACTTTCATCTTCCCCCTCTAGACATTCCTCTTACTCCTCTGGACTTCTGACTTCTGAACCACTGAACCACCAGCTCTATGAACTATAACACTGAACATTGTTCACTTAGAGATTGGAGCAACTGCTTCAAGAACTCTGATATGAAGCATAATCCGTCCAGTGGCTTGGAATAAAAATTGTGTAGACCTGACATTCCTGGGCTAAAACCATATGGGATATCCTTCCTTAACCAGCTATTGCTAAGTATTGTTTTGAATGAAACTGCTGGAGGATGGTGATTAAGTTTGCATGATGAATGGTGGGCATTTTTTTTTTTAAGTTTGCAGAAGCTGCCTGTGATGTGGTCCATGTGATGCTCAATGGATCCCGCAGTAAAATCTTTGACAAAAACAGGTACACATTTATTTTGCATCCTGTTTGCAAGTATCCTGTTGCAAATATCACAGTGAATATTTCATCTCTAGAAAGAATATGCTTTTCATGTTTCAGGTCAGTTCTGAAGATTAGGGCCAAAAAAGGTAAAAATTTTGAATTCCGTGGAGAGAGTTGTCTCCTGTCAATGTGTTTGTCTGATTTCTCCTTTGCCAAAAATTGTCTACCAGGTTCTAATGGCCACTGCACTGTATCTAGCCCCTGCTCTTAACTTTTGCAGGCCTGGTGTAATTTTCTCAGCTTTCTCTCCCGTTACCCTCCACCCTACCCATTGCTCACCATTGTTCACACCGTTCCCCCATATGACCTGCCTCCCCTGCTCCCCTGCTCCCTTCTGTCTAAATCTTCACCATCCATGAAGACCTGCCTTGACCCTCCTCTCCTCCAGGAAAATTGTGTACCCCAATTCAGTAGTAAAACTACTACCGGGAACATCGGGAACTGTGCTGGGCTCTTGGCCTTCACTATCTTTTTGCAGACATTGTCAACAATGTACTGTAGTGGTTGAAAGCAGGTACTGGCGGTCATTACATATCATCTGTGTGACCTCAGGCAGGGCAGTCAACCTCTGTGAGCCCCTGAATATGTACCAAAGAGTTGATGGTGATGGGAAGATTAACTGAGACAACAGATGAAAAATGCTGAGCTCTGTGCCTGACAACAGAGAAAGTGCTCAATGAGAATCAGCTATTATTCTCATTTGCTGATCCTTGCCACTGAATCTGGCCACACCTGTGCCTTCCTTGGCTGATCTCCTTCTATATTTACAGTTTTTACTATGTTGATTACCTTTTCGGCCTTTGTTCTCTAATTTTTGTTCTCTAATCCCACATAAGGCTGACTGAAAGGAGGAAGCATATATTAATTTGCCTTATAAACTCTAGGTGCCCCAAATTAATTTTTCTTCTCTCCTGTTTTAATATTTAATTCTACAAGGAAGCATTTGTCCTTTCGTCTTCTGATCCCAATTTTTTTGGGTAAAAGCATTAACATTTCAGAATTTTATGATCTAATATTATGGTTCAAGCACTTGAAACAGGAGTGTCAGTTGTCAGAGACTAACAGGGAAGAGTTTAGGAATGGGATTAGGGCAGGCAACCATAGTCTTTCAAAGCATTGCCTCTCAAACTTCACTGAGCATGTGAATCACGTGGGGATTGTTCAACTGCAGATCATTTCAGCAGGTTATAGTGGTTGAAATTCTACATTTCTTTTTTTTTTTTTTTTTTTTTTTTTTGAGATGGCGTCTCGCTCTGTTGCCCAGGCTGGAGTGCAGTGACACGGTCTCCGCTCACTGCAAGCTCAGCCTCCCAGGTTCACGCCATTCTCCTCCCTCAGCCTCCTGAATAACTGGGACTACAGGCACCCACCACCACGCCCAGCTAATTTTTTGTATTTTTAGTAGAGACGGGGTTTCATAGTGTTAGCCAGGATGGTCTCGATCCCCTGGCATCATGATCTGCCTGCCTCGGCCTCCCAAATTGCTGGGATTACAGGCATGAGCCACCATGCCTGGCTGAAATTCTACATTTCTAATGAGTTCCCAGGTGATGTTCATTAGGTTGGTCTAAGGACCACTCTTCAAATAGCAAATATTTAAAGAATCAACATTAATGCACAAATTAAGAATTTTATTTTGAGAATCTTGTTAACCGAGGGTCATGCTGAATAAGAAAAGGTTATTGACTGATTTGCAATTTGATGTGTCAACTCTAAAGGATAGGTCCTAGCCAGTGCCTTTCTGCCTGCTGGTTGTTGAGGGGGGTGTGGATGCTTTCGTTTGGGGTTGATGTTTGGGGTTCTTTGTTTCTTCTATTTTAGCACTTTTGGGAGTGTGGAAGTCCATAATTTGCAACCAGAGAAGGTTCAGACACTAGAGGCCTGGGTGATACATGGTGGAAGAGAAGATTCCAGGTATATCTTACTACTTTGTACCCAAGTGTTATTTTATGAATCAGTCCACAAAAGAATCCACAGTCACAAGCACGCACTGGGAACAAATTGACTCAGGAAATGAAACTACATGAATGTGCATGAATCCCAACAGCCTCTTAACTTTATCTCCACAAAGGATATTTAACTGCTTGACACTTCAGCTCTCCTGCTGACCCAGGAGCTCTTAGAGGATTTACCTCTACTTTACCTCTTTATCCAAGGGCCTTGTCCAGGGCGTGCTACAAAAACAAAGAGACTCCAAAAATGTTTGTGAGATCTTGTAATTTTAATACTTTCTTCTTTCTTCCCCAGAGACTTATGCCAGGATCCCACCATAAAAGAGCTGGAATCGATTATAAGCAAAAGGAATATTCAATTTTCCTGCAAGAATATCTACAGGTAATTAATTTCTTCTTGAAGAAAAAAATGACTGTCTTGTCACCTGTAGAATTTCCTTTTTTCCTTAGCCTCCTCTGAGCTTGGAGGGCTGTGTGAATCTTTCTTGGGCCTTGATGATGATCACAGATGGCAACCTCTGGTGATCTCTGTCCCTCCTTCCAAGCCGAGTCCAGAAGGTATCCAAGCTAGTGGCCTTCACTTGGCTGCCTTTCCTCATCCGTCTCTATTGATCCCAAGTAGGACTTGCCTCTAAAGCTGACACAACCTTTGATGGCATATTTTTTCATTCCCAGTGTGAGTGGCCCAGTCCAGGGTTCACTGGCCTACTAGGTTTCAGGGGAGCAAGGGAATGTTTTGCTAAGCCCTTTCTCCCAAGTTGTAAAATCCTTGTGACTTGACATCATTTTGCAAGTGAAGCTTCCTTAGTTGGATCTGAGTACAGATGCCTAACACATGACAAGGCGTCACACGGCAGTCTACCAAAATCTATATTTTTTAAATTAAAAAAAAAAGTATTTACAAAATTTTTCTGATAATTTGTGTTTATTAGAAAACAGTTTAAAATTACAGATAGATATATATTTTTTAAAGTCACATATAATTCTAGTTTCAAAACTGAGACCCCTCACTCATTTTTAAGCAGTTGTGACCAATGGTGTAGGTAGGTACTCATTGGTAGAAGCATCTTTGGAGATTTTTCCACGTATAATAGCTTGGAACAAGATTGATGCAGAGAGGAAAAGCTGTTCAAAGGAGGTAGAAGCTGAGATGCTAGAATATTGTTCCTGTTTCCATGTCACTACCTTCTCTCACTAACCACATCAGAAAAGCAGAAGGATAGATTCTGGAGACTCTACTGATGGCTTTTGTTTCCCAAATGACCTGAATTCCCCATGAGTCACCTTGCTTCTATCTGGAAACAGCCAGAAAAGGCCATGAGCATTCTACAGCAGTTAGACAGGAAAACAGAAAGAATGAATGAAGGAGCAACTGTAAAAGCAATCTTGCGGCGGAGGAGCCAAGATGGCCGAATAGGAACAGCTCCGGTCTACAGCTCCCAGCGTGAGCGACGCAGAAGACGGGTGATTTCTGCATTTCCATCTGAGGTACCGGGTTCATCTCACTAGGGAGTGCCAGACAGTGGGCGCAGGCCAGTGTGTGTGCACACCGTGCGCGAGCCGAAGCAGGGCGAGGCATTGCCTCACCTGGGAAGCGCAAGGGGTCAGGGAGTTCCCTTTCCGAGTCAAAGAAAGGGGTGACGGACGCACCTGGAAAATCGGGTCACTCCCACCCGAATATTGCGCTTTTCAGACCGGCTTAAGAAACGGCGCACCGCGAGACTATATCCCACACCTGGCTCAGAGGGTCCTACGCCCACGGAATCTCGCTGATTGCTAGCACAGCAGTCTGAGATCAAACTGCAAGGCGGCAACGAGGCTGGGGGAGGGGCGCCCGCCATTGCCCAGGCTTGATTAGGTAAACAAAGCAGCCAGGAAGCTCGAACTGGGTGGAGCCCACCACAGCTCAAGGAGGCCTGCCTGCCTCTGTAGGCTCCACCTCTGGGGGCAGGGCACAGACAAACAAAAAGACAGCAGTAACCTCTGCAGACTTAAGTGTCCCTGTCTGACAGCTTTGAAGAGAGCAGTGGTTCTCCCAGCACGCAGCTGGAGATCTGAGAACGGGCAGACTGCCTCTTCAAGTGGGTCCCTGACCCCTGACCCCCGAGCAGCCTAACTGGGAGGCACCCCCCAGCAGGGGCACACTGACACCTCACATGGCAGAGTATTCCAACAGACCTGCAGCTGAGGGTCCTGTCTGTTAGAAGGAAAACTAACAACCAGAAAGGACATCTACACCGAAAACCCATCTGTACATCACCATCATCAAAGACCAAAAGTAGATAAAACCACAAAGATGGGGAAAAAACAGAACAGAAAAACTGGAAACTCTAAAACGCAGAGCGCCTCTCCTCCTCCAAAGGAACGCAGTTCCTCACCAGCAACAGAACAAAGCTGGATGGAGAATGATTTTGACGAGCTGAGAGAAGAAGGCTTCAGACGATCAAATTACTCTGAGCTACGGGAGGACATTCAAACCAAAGGCAAAGAAGTTGAAAACTTTGAAAAAAATTTAGAAGAATGTATAACTAGAATAACCAATACAGAGAAGTGCTTAAAGGAGCTGATGGAGCTGAAAACCAAGGCTCGAGAACTACATGAAGAATGCAGAAGCCTCAGGAGCCGATGCGATCAACTGGAAGAAAGGGTATCAGCAATGGAAGATGAAATGAATGAAATGAAGCGAGAAGGGAAGTTTAGAGAAAAAAGAATAAAAAGAAATGAGCAAAGCCTCCAAGAAATATGGGACTATGTGAAAAGACCAAATCTACGTCTGATTGGTGTACCTGAAAGTGATGTGGAGAATGGAACCAAGTTGGAAAACACTCTGCAGGATATTATCCAGGAGAACTTCCCCAATCTAGCAAGGCAGGCCAACGTTCAGATTCAGGAAATACAGAGAACGCCACAAAGATACTCCTCGAGAAGAGCAACTCCAAGACACATAATTGTCAGATTCACCAAAGTTGAAATGAAGGAAAAAATGTTAAGGGCAGCCAGAGAGAAAGGTCAGGTTACCCTCAAAGGAAAGCCCATCAGACTAACAGCGGATCTCTCGGCAGAAACCCTACAAGCCAGAAGAGAGTGGGGGCCAATATTCAACATTCTTAAAGAAAAGAATTTTCAACCCAAAATTTCATATCCAGCCAAACTAAGCTTCATAAGTGAAGGAGAAATAAAATACTTTATAGACAAGCAAATGCTGAGAGATTTTGTCACCACCAGGCCTGCCCTAAAAGAGCTCCTGAAGGAAGAGCTAAACATGGAAAGGAACAACCGGTACCAGCCGCTGCAAAATCATGCCAAAATGTAAAGACCATCGAGACTAGGAAGAAACTGCATCAACTAATGAGCAAAATCACCAGCTAACATCATAATGACAGGATCAAATTCACACATAACAATATTAACTTTAAATATAAATGGACTAAATTCTGCAATTAAAAGACACAGACTGGCAAGTTGGATAAAGAGTCAAGACCCATCAGTGTGCTGTATTCAGGAAACCCATCTCACGTGCAGAGACACACATAGGCTCAAAATAAAAGGATGGAGGAAGATCTACCAAGCCAATGGAAAACAAAAAAAGGCAGGGGTTGCAATCCTAGTCTCTGATAAAACAGACTTTAAACCAACAAAGATCAAAAGAGACAAAGAAGGCCATTACATAATGGTAAAGGGATCAATTCAACAAGAGGAGCTAACTATCCTAAATATTTATGCACCCAATACAGGAGCACCCAGATTCATAAAGCAAGTCCTCAGTGACCTACAAAGAGACTTAGACTCCCACACATTAATAATGGGAGACTTTAACACCCCACTGTCAACATTAGACAGATCAACGAGACAGAAAGTCAACAAGGATACCCAGGAATTGAACTCAGCTCTGCACCAAGCAGACCTAATAGACATCTACAGAACTCTCCACCCCAAATCAACAGAATATACATTTTTTTCAGCACCACACCACACCTATTCCAAAATTGACCACATAGTTGGAAGTAAAGCTCTCCTCAGCAAATGTAAAAGAACAGAAATTATAACAAACTATCTCTCAGACCACAGTGCAATCAAACTAGAACTCAGGATTAAGAATCTCACTCAAAGCCGCTCAACTACATGGAAACTGAACAACCTGCTCCTGAATGACTACTGGGTACATAACGAAATGAAGGCAGAAATAAAGATGTTCTTTGAAACCAACGAGAACAAAGACACCACATACCAGAATCTCTGGGACGCATTCAAAGCAGTGTGTAGAGGGAAATTTATAGCACTAAATGCCTACAAGAGAAAGCAGGAAAGATCCAAAATTGACACCCTAACATCACAATTAAAAGAACTAGAAAAGCAAGAGCAAACACATTCAAAAGCTAGCAGAAGGCAAGAAATAACTAAAATCAGAGCAGAACTGAAGGAAATAGAGACACAAAAAACCCTTCAAAAAATCAATGAATCCAGGAGCTGGTTTTTTGAAAGGATCAACAAAATTGATAGACCGCTAGCAAGACTAATAAAGAAAAAAAGAGAGATGAATCAAATAGACACAATAAAAAATGATAAAGGGGATATCACCACCGATCCCACAGAAATACAAACTACCATCAGAGAATACTACAAACACCTCTACGCAAATAAACTAGAAAATCTAGAAGAAATGGATACATTCCTCGACACATACACTCTCCCAAGACTAAACCAGGAAGAAGTTGAATCTCTGAATAGACCAATAACAGGCTCTGAAATTGTGGCAATAATCAATAGTTTACCAACCAAAAAGAGTCCAGGACCAGATGGATTCACAGCCGAATTCTACCAGAGGTACAAGGAGGAACTGGTACCATTCCTTCTGAAACTATTCCAATCAATAGAAAAAGAGGGAATCCTCCCTAACTCATTTTATGAGGCCAGCATCATTCTGATACCAAAGCCGGGCAGAGACACAACCAAAAAAGAGAATTTTAGACCAATATCCTTGATGAACATTGATGCAAAAATCCTCAATAAAATACTGGCAAACCGAATCCAGCAGCACATCAAAAAGCTTATCCACCATGATCAAGTGGGCTTCATCCCTGGGATGCAAGGCTGGTTCAATATACGCAAATCAATAAATGTAATCCAGCATATAAACAGAGCCAAAGACAAAAACCACATGATTATCTCAATAGATGCAGAAAAAGCCTTTGACAAAATTCAACAACGCTTCATGCTAAAAACTCTCAATAAATTAGGTATTGATGGGACGTATTTCAAAATAATAAGAGCTATCTATGACAAACCCACAGCCAATATCATACTGAATGGGCAAAAACTGGAAGCATTCCCTTTGAAAACTGGCACAAGACAGGGATGCCCTCTCTCACCGCTCCTATTCAACATAGTGTTGGAAGTTCTGGCCAGGGCAATCAGGCAGGAGAAGGAAATAAAGGGTATTCAATTAGGAAAAGAGGAAGTCAAATTGTCCCTGTTTGCAGACGACATGATTGTTTATCTAGAAAACCCCATCGTCTCAGCCCAAAATCTCCTTAAGCTGATAAGCAACTTCAGCAAAGTCTCAGGATACAAAATCAATGTACAAAAATCACAAGCATTCTTATACACCAACAACAGACAAACAGAGAGCCAAATCATGGGTGAACTCCCATTCACAATTGCTTCAAAGAGAATAAAATACCTAGGAATCCAACTTACAAGGGATGTGAAGGACCTCTTCAAGGAGAACTACAAACCACTGCTCAAGGAAATAAAAGAGGACACAAACAAATGGAAGAACTGCTCATGGGTAGGAAGAATCAATATCGTGAAAATGGCCATACTGCCCAAGGTAATTTACAGATTCAATGCCATCCCCATCAAGCTACCAATGACTTTCTTCACAGAATTGGAAAAAACTACTTTAAAGTTCATATGGAACCAAAAAAGAGCCCGCATTGCCAAGTCAATCCTAAGCCAAAAGAACAAAGCTGGAGGCATCACACTACCTGACTTCAAACTATACTACAAGGCTCCAGTAACCAAAACAGCATGGTACTGGTACCAAAACAGAGATATAGATCAATGGAACAGAACAGAGCCCTCAGAAATAATGCCGCATATCTACAACTATCTGATCTTTGACAAACCTGAGAAAAACAAGCAATGGGGAAAGGATTCCCTATTTAATAAATGGTGCTGGGAAAACTGGCTAGCCATATGTAGAAAGCTGAAACTGGATCCCTTCCTTACACCTTATACAAAAATCAATTCAAGATGGATTAAAGATTTAAACGTTAAACCTAAAACCATAAAAACCCTAGAAGAAAACCTAGGCATTACCATTCAGGACATAGGCGTGGGCAAGGACTTCATGTCCAAAACACCAAAAGCAATGGCAACAAAAGACAAAATTGACAAATGGGATCTAATTAAACTAAAGAGCTTCTGCACAGCAAAAGAAACTACCATCAGAGTGAACAGGCAACCTACAACATGGGAGAAAATTTTCGCAACCTACTCATCTGACAAAGGGCTAATATCCAGAATCTACAATGAACTCAAACAAATTTACAAGAAAAAAACAAACAACCCCATCAAAAAGTGGGCGAAGGACATGAACAGACACTTCTCAAAAGAAGACATTTATGCAGCCAAAAAACACATGAAGAAATGCTCATCATCACTGGCCATCAGAGAAATGCAAATCAAAACCACTATGAGATATCATCTCACACCAGTTAGAATGGCAATCATTAAAAAGTCAGGAAACAACAGGTGCTGGAGAGGATGCGGAGAAATAGGAACACTTTTACACTGTTGGTGGGACTGTAAACTAGTTCAACCATTGTGGAAGTCAGTGTGGCGATTCCTCAGGGATCTAGAACTAGAAATACCATTTGACCCAGCCATCCCATTACTGGGTATATAACCAAATGAGTATAAATCATGCTGCTATAAAGACACATGCACACGTATGTTTATTGCGGCACTATTCACAATAGCAAAGACTTGGAACCAACCCAAATGTCCAACAATGATAGACTGGATTAAGAAAATGTGGCACATATACACCATGGAATACTATGCAGCCATAAAAAATGATGAGTTCATATCCTTTGTAGGGACATGGATGAAATTGGAAACCATCATTCTCAGTAAACTATCGCAAGAACAAAAAACCAAACACCGCATATTCTCACTCATAGGTGGGAATTGAACAATGAGATCACATGGACACAGGAAGGGGAATATCACACTCTGGGGACTGTGGTGGGGTCGGGGGAGGGGGGAGGGATAGCATTGGGAGATATACCTAATGCTAGATGACACATTAGTGGGTGCAGCGCACCAGCATGGCACATGTATACATATGTAACTAACCTGCACAATGTGCACATGTACCCTAAAACTTAGAGTATAATAAAAAAAATAAAAAATAAAAAACAACTCTCAGAAGCAAAAAAAAAAAAAAAAAAAAAAAAAAAAGCAATCTTGCAGATATCTGACGAGTCTAAGCTGTTCAAAGATATGTTGCATGGAGAAAATAGAATAGTAGAAACCTAGACAAAGACTGGGAAATAAAGATGGTCTTATCCCCAATACTCTTTTACCTTTTTTGTCTTATGAAACATTAACCTTTTTCTCATAAATGACCAGAAGACCTTTATATTATAATTCGTCAACTCCCCTCATTTGTGTCTGCTTTAGGCTCCAAGTGAGCTCACTCATTCTCCATCTGGAAAGAAAATATGGGCATGGCTTCCATTTGGACTTGTACAGACAGTGGCCCATAATGGGAACCAGGTGACACATCACAAGGGCAGGTTCTGACACCTCTTCCTTCCAGAAGCCCAGGGGTGCTGGCAGCTGCTTCTGAGGATCTCTCTCTTCCTTGGCTCATATTTAGCAAAATCAAATTTAAAGAACCCCATTCCTCGCTATCCACCATCCCCCTATTCATGTGCCAGCCACTCCTATTGGATCCTGTTGCTTTAGCTAATTTTTATGAAAATAATAGTCATTCACCTGTTAGGTACTTATCTAAGGTTTGTTTCAAAGCAAGTTTGGTCCCCTTGCTGAGGGTCTCCAGCTTTTTCCCAGACTCTGCCTCTGACCCTGGATTCAACATTCCCTCAGGAAGCTTCGGAAGAGAGGAAAGCAAATTAGCCACAGAAGCTGTGGGGGTCCGTGGCCTTGGTTGCTGCTCCTGCTGTTTTTTTGACCAGCAGGTGGCATGGATAGCTCCCCTCCCGACATGTCACTGCAGGAGAGGAGTTTATATGGATGCTAAGTGGTCTGTGCACCTTGTCGTCGCTAAAAAAGGGGCTTCCTCCATTAGCGAATTGGACGACAGATGTATCCTACGGTCTCTTGATTTCCTTTTTTGCTTTCTTGTCATAGACCTGACAAGTTTCTTCAGTGTGTGAAAAATCCTGAGGATTCATCTTGCACATCTGAGATCTGAGCCAGTCGCTGTGGTTGTTTTAGCTCCTTGACTCCTTGTGGTTTATGTCATCATACATGACTCAGCATACCTGCTGGTGCAGAGCTGAAGATTTTGGAGGGTCCTCCACAATAAGGTCAATGCCAGAGACGGAAGCCTTTTTCCCCAAAGTCTTAAAATAACTTATATCATCAGCATACCTTTATTGTGATCTATCAATAGTCAAGAAAAATTATTGTATAAGATTAGAATGAAAATTGTATGTTAAGTTACTTCACTTTAATTCTCATGTGATCCTTTTATGTTATTTATATATTGGTAACATCCTTTCTATTGAAAAATCACCACACCAAACCTCTCTTATTAGAACAGGCAAGTGAAGAAAAGTGAATGCTCAAGTTTTTCAGAAAGCATTACATTTCCAAATGAATGACCTTGTTGCATGATGTATTTTTGTACCCTTCCTACAGATAGTCAAACCATAAACTTCATGGTCATGGGTCATGTTGGTGAAAATTATTCTGTAGGATATAAGCTACCCACGTACTTGGTGCTTTACCCCAACCCTTCCAACAGTGCTGTGAGGTTGGTATTATTTCATTTTTTAGATGAGAAAATGGGAGCTCAGAGAGGTTATATATTTAAGTTGGTGCAAAAGTAATTGCAAGTTTTGCCACCGAAAGGAATGGCAAAACCACAATTATTTTTGAACCAACCTAATAATTTACCGTAAGTCCTACATTTAGTATCAAGCTAGAGACTGAATTTGAACTCAACTCTGTCCAACTCCAAAATTCATGTGCTTTTTCCTTCTAGGCCTTTCATACCAAACTAATAGTAGTTTATATTCTCTTCCAACAAATGCATATTGGATTAAATTGACTAGAATGGAATCTGGAATATAGTTCTTCTGGATGGCTCCAAAACACATGTTTTTCTTCCCCCGTCTTCCTCCTCCTCTTCATGCTCAGTGTTTTATATATGTAGTATACAGTTAAAATATACTTGTTGCTGGTACTGGCAGCTTATATTTTCTCTCTTTTTTCATGGATTAACCTTGCTTGAGGGCTTTAACAATTGTATTACTTTTTCAAAGAACTAAGCTTTAGCTTCATTGATTTTTTTCTATTTAATTGGGTTTTGCTCTTCTCTTTAGCATTGGAAACATAGAAATGCTTTCTGATTTCTTTGGGTAGATTTACGTATTCAGCTTCTTGAGATGGAAGTTTAGATCACTGATCCTTCAGCTTGTTTTCTTTTTTGTATACATAGATTTTAGGACGATATATTTTCCCTTGAGTTCTGCTTTAGCTGCAGCTCTTATGTTTTGATATGCCTCTCTTTATTATCCTTCAGTTAAAAATATCTTTCAATTCATTGTTATATAAAAATATGTGCCTAGTTTTTAACATCTGGAGATTTTCTAGTTTTGAAAAAAACATAAGCCAGGCATGGTGGCTCACACCTGTATCCCCAGCACTTTGGGAGGCCGAGACGGGAGGATCGCCTGAGCTCAGGAGTTTTTACACCAGCCTGGGAATAACAGTGAGACATTATCTCCAAAAAAATTACCTGGGTATGGTGTTGTGCACCTGTAGTCCCAGCTACTCTGGAGACTGAGGTGGGAGGATTGTTTGAGCTTGGGAGGTTGAGGCTGCAGGGAGCTGTGATCACACCACTGCACTCTGGCCTGAGTGACAGATTGAGACCCTGTCTCAATAAAAGCAAAAATAAAGAAAATAAACCATATGTGTTGAACAAAGGATTAATAAATTAATTTGAGACTCCTTCAGGGAATGACCACAATTTATTGAAAATAGCCTAAATGTTGGAGTCAGGCATTTCTGGATTCATATTTTGACATCATGCTGTCATCTTGAACAAAATGCCTAACCTTTCTGAACTTCAACTTCCTTGCCACTCAAATAAGGATTACAAAACTTAAAATGTGGTAAGTACTAAAGACGACAGCAAAAATTGAGTCCAGCACAGAGCTTCCTAAATAAGCAAGCACTCAACAGAGTTGGTTCCTTTCTTCCTCCCCTGCTTGACAATCCAGTTTCCCACAGGAGCCTTTGTAGCTGTAGCCACCATGGTCAGTCCAGGGATTCTTCACTAGCCCCTTCTCCCCTGGCAGACATCCTTGTGGGAGTTTAGTCTTGGCTCGACATGAGGATGGGGGTTTGGGACCAGTTCTGAGTGAGAATCAGACTTGCCCCAAGTTGCCATTAGCTCCCCCTGCAGAATGTCTTCAGAATCGGGGCCCGGTCAGTCTCCTGGGTGACCTGCTGTTTTCCTCTTAAGATCCTTTCCACTTTGGTTGCTGCTTTCGGGACTCATCGAGTCCTTGCTCAACAGGATACCCCTTGAAGTGGCTGCCTGGGCCACATCCCCTTCCAAACAAGAAATCAAAATATTAGAAATCAATTTTTGAAATTTCCCCTAGGAAGACTCATTTGAGTGTTCAAGTTCAGAGCCAGTGGAGACCTTAGGGGAGGGTGGTCACAAGGATTTTGCACAGTGCTTTAGAGGGTCCCAGGGAGCCACAGAGGTGGTGAGGGGCTGGGTGCTCTTTTCTCCGTGCATGACCTTGTGTGTCTATCTTCATTACCACAATGCCTCATCTCTACCTCCTTTCCCCCTGTAGTTCCAACGTGGGTATCTTTGCCATCTCTGGCCCGAAGGACTTTCTGACCTACATGTATAAATACCCCCTCACAATATATATTACTTTTCCTATAAGTGACTTCTCTACTGGATTACTGGTTGCTCATACACCTCATATTTTACTCGTAAATCTACTACTCCCTGTCTGCCTACTCCATTCTCATTTGCTGTAGAAAATTCTCTTACCATCCCAACTTTCACCCACCATCATGCTTACCCAAAGGCTGTGGGAATGACCTGGGCCCTAATGCCCCTTTTCTAAATTCCTAAGGCTCACCATTTTCCTATTGTAATGGTTCTTGACCTTATAATGTTTGAGGCACCTTTTCAAATATAGTCCTTTGATTTCAGACTGAATACTTGAAAGGACACACACACACATACGTAAGTGCATATGACTGCATACACCCACACACACACACGTGCCTGTATACAGTCATATGATACATACACAAACACACGCACACAAGCCTGCATACATCATATGCCAACAGTGGGGATATGTTCTGAGAAATGCATCATTAGATGATTTTGTCATTGTGTGAACATCATAGAGTGTACTTACACTAACCTAGATGGTCTAACCTACTACACACCCAGGCTACATGGTATCACCTATTCCTCCTAGGCTACAAGCCTGTACAGCGTGTGTCTGTACTAAATGCTGTGGGCAATTTTAACCTGATGGTAAATGTTTGTGTATCTAAACATATCTAAACATAGAAAAGGTACAGTAAACATGCAGTATTATAATCTTATGAGACCGTCATCATATATGTGGTCCACTGTTTGGGCCATCATTGGCTGAAAAGTGGTTATGCGACACATGACTGTATATATACTTTCCTGTTACAACAACAGTGTCTCTCAATCCACAGTAATTGCAGCATCCAGTAGGTCTTACTTTAGCCCTGAGTCACCATTTGTGTCAACGTGTTTAGTGCCATGTCCACGTCTCTCATGTAACTGGCAGAGCTATCAAATATTTTGGCAAAACACATTGTTTCTTTGGCTTTGCCTTGGTAACTTTCTGTGCCTTTTGTAGCTCTTGTTTGGAAGAAGCTCAACCCATGTCTGCACACTGTGATACAAGGGGGACAGCATCGACATCGACTTACTTCTTGGTGCCTTATTCCTCCTTAGAACAATTCCTAAATCTGTAACTTAAGTTTCTCAGGAAGATTCCATACTGCACAGAAAACTGCTTTTGTGGGTTTTTAAAAGGCAAGTTGTTATATGTGCTGGATAGTTTTTAAGTATGACATAAAAATTGTATAAAGTAAAATATTAAAATACACCTAGAATACTGTATAACTTTAAGTCATTTTATCAACACATTGCTAATCCAGATATTTTCCCGCAGTTTTTCTTTGAATAACAGAGCAATTAATTTACTTTTACTATGAAGAGTCATCATTTTAGTATGTATTTTAAGCAATCCACCAAGAACTCAGTAGGCAGCTGAGAGGTGCTGCCCAGAGAAGTGGTGATTAGCTTGGCCTTAGCTCACCCACACAAAGCACAACAGGCTTTGAACTATTCCCTAACGGGGCATTTATTCTTTTTTTTTTTTTTTTTTGGGAGACGGAGTCTCGCTGTCGCCCAGGCTAGAGTGCAGTGGCGCGATCTCGGCTCACTGCAGGCTCCACCCCCTGGGGTTCACGCCATTCTCCTGCCTCAGCCTCCCAAGTAGCTGGGACTGCAGGCGCCCGCCATCTCGCCCGGCTAATTTTTTGTATTTTTAGTAGAGACGGGGTTTCACCGTGTTAGCCAGGATAGGGCATTTATTCTTGAACTTGATTCAGAGAGGCACACATTACCATTCTCTAATCAGAATGCAAGTAGCGCAAGGCGGTGGAAACTATGGAATTCGGAGGCAGGTGATGCATTGGGCGAGTTTATTAACATCTGTGACTCTCTAGTTTGAAATTTATTTGTAACAGACAAAAATGAATTAAACAAACAATAAAAGTATAATAAAGAACTGTGCTGAATAATTCTTTTAAAAGGAGTTGTCTCTGGGCTTGAAAGAACTAAGGGACATGTTCAGTGGGTGGCACATTGCTGAAGACAACAGGACTTCCTACCTACTGCACTACACGATTGAGTGAGTTAGGTAGCTGGGGAAAGGATGGGTCACTGTCCTGGTGTGTCTCAGTGGTGGAATAAGCGGGAATAGATGCCAACAAGAGTCCAGTGCTACTGTCTACAAAGACCTGAAAATCCTTACTCACACCTCTTTATTCTTCAACACATTGAAGAAGAATGTTGTTTGCTTTTCAGTAGGAGTCTCACATTCGAGAATCACGTGATGACGCATCTTTTATTCTCTATTAAGGAGACTCACCTTGAGACCTCACAGGATTTAACATAATGAAAACAACATGTGTGATTATTTTTTTAAAAAAAACTTTTAAGTTCAGGCATACAGGTGCAGGCTTGTTACACAGGTAAACTTGTGTCATGGGGGTTTGTTGTACAGATTATTTCATCACCCAGGTATTAAGCCTAGTACCCATTAGTTATTTTTCCTGATCCTCCCCCTCCTCACACCCTCCATGCTCCAATAAGCCCCAATGTTTGTTGTTTCTCACTGTGTCCCAAGTGTTCTCATCATTTAACGCCCACATATAAGTGAGAACATGAGGTATTTGGTTTTCTGTTCCTGCATTAGTTTGTTAAGGATAACAGCCTTCAGCCCTATCCATGTCCCTGCAAAGGACGATCTTGTGTGTGATTCTTAATAAGTGACATAAACATGAAACAACACTTAAAGACTTGATGCAAAAGACCTGGCAGGGTGGCTCGTGCCTGTAATCCCAACATTTTGGGAGGTCGAGAACGGAGGATTGCTTGAGCCCAGGAGTTCGAGACCAGCCTGGGCAACATAATGAGATCTCATCTCTGAAAAAAACTAAACAAAAATTAACCAGGCATGGTGGCATGTTCCTGTAGTCCCAACTACTTGAGAGGCTGAGGTGAGAGGATTGCTTGAGCCCAGGAGATCAAGGCTACAGTGAGCTGAGATTGTGCCACTGCACTCCAGCCTGGACAATAGAAATTTAGTTGCTGTCTCAAAACAAACAAACAAACAAAACAAAAAACAAAAAAACTTGATGCAAAATGCCAGCCTGCAGAAAAGAGAAAACCAATGTTTATTGTACAAGGTACTTCACACATTGTATCAGCCTGTGCTCTCAGCTGCAACAACAGAACACCACTCTGGCTGTGTATTAGGGTTCTCTAGAGGGACAGAGCTAAAGACAGATAGATATATGAAAGGGAGTTTATTAAGGTGTATTGACTTGCATGATCACAAGGTGAAGTCCCACAATAGGCCGTCTGCAAGCTGAGGAGCAAGGAAACCAGTCCGAGTCCCAAAATCTCAAAAGTAGGGAAGCCAGCAGTGCAGCCTTCAGTCTGTGGCCAAAGGCCTGAGAGCCCCTGACAATCCACTGGTGTAAGTCCATGAGTCCAAAAGCTGAAGAACTTGGAATCCGATGTTCGGGAGCAGGAAGCATCCATCATGGGAGAAAGATGGAAGCCAGAAGACTCAGCCAGTCTAGTCCTCCCACGTTCTTCTGCCTGCTTTTATCCTAGCTGCACTGATAGCTGATTAGATGGTGCTCACCTAGATTGACTGTGGGTCTGCCTCTCCGAGTCCACTGACTCAAATGTTAATCTCCCTTGGCAACACCCTCACAAACACACCCAGGAACAATACTTTGCATCCTTCAGTCCAATCAAGTTGACACTCAACCATCACAGGCTGAAAGTGAATTTTCTAAAAACTATCAAGAGCTTATAGATTGTCTGGGAGGGCGAGAAAATAGTTTGGAAGCCACTTAGCCAAGAACAACACTCCAGATTACTCTACTGGCTTGTCAGGTAGAAAAGTTGCCGCTTGCCCTATGGACACTTGGCTGTCGCTCTATCACTGCCAGAACACAGACATGGCTATTTCTGGGAACAGAAGTAATGAAAGAGAATGGTGGATGGTGCATGGCACCTGCTTTCCTTCCTCACCAGCCACAGATTCACGGTTGCACAGATACATTCAGTGTGTAGGGCCTGATACAGGTAAAATGCTTAGGACAGAGCTCAGTTTCTCTGTCTGTAAAATGGGAGTGATAAGAGTGTCTATCATTTTGGGTTGTTTTGAGCATTAAGTAAGGTGATATGTGCAAAATTTTTAGGATAATGCTTAATACATATGAAGAACTGTATCAATGTTAGGATTTTTATTTTTTTATTTTTATTTTATTTTATTTTTGAGACTGTTTTTATTCCGGAGGAAATTCCTTGACAAGCCTACCTAGTTTAGATGCTGAGACCCTGAGACCTAGGGGACAATGGAGAAGAGGGTAGAGAATGGCTCTCTTGCCAACCAACAGGATCAGCTATAGTCTCTCACAAGCTTTGAATCATTCTAGATGATTAGAACTTTCCCACCTAAGAGAGAAATGGGCCAGATACCTTTCACTAAGAGCTGGCCCATCCCAAGCTGGAGGTTGACAAAAATGCAGCAATAGACTCCACTGCTCCCAAATCTAAGAAGTTCAAATGTATAAATTTCATCCTTCAAGCTGATCAAGAGTTCAACAGCCTCCCTTAGCATTGCCAGTTCAAGCCCCTGCTCTCCTGACCAGGTACTTACTGCTCTGATGATGGTTAAGGCACGCAGCCTTCCTTGGTGCAACGAAGCCAGAAGACAAGATGTGCTGGGAGTAGAAATCTTCTCCCTGTGGAATCAGTGAGCTGAAAGAACATTGAGAAAGCAGGAGAGCTAAGAAGAAATGGGACAGCTATCTCTGACCTTCTGCACAAGAACAAATCTCCCGTTGTGAATAATATTTAATAATTGGTTCAGTTTTCCCAGCCTTGCCTTCCAGGGAATTTTCCTGCACTGGTAGAATAATCAGATACAAGTTGGAGGGAAAGATGCCCTGTGGGAGCTGCTGCTAAGTCCCAGATTCTTCTTAGACGCTCAGAATTTGATGACTTTGGCGCTGGGCCACAGAAGTCATGAGCTTCTCCAGGCACAGCTTGTTTGGCCTGGTGATGTGAGAGGAAGGAAGCAAGCTGGGATCTCATCAGGTGTCCTTCCTGCTGTCAGCCTTTTAGAACACGGGTGACTCTGTGCTATCAGATGGGATTATTTTTAAAATGTATTTTTTTGTTTTTGTTTTTGTTTTGAGACGGAGTCTCACTCTGTAGCCAGGCTGGAGGGCAGTGGCGTGATCTCGGCTCACTGCAACCTCCGCCTCCCAGGTTCCAGCGATTCTCCTGCCTCAGCCTCCTGAGTAGCTAGGACTACAGGCACGCACCACCATGTCCAGCTAATTTTTGTATTTTTAGTAGAGACAAGGTTTCACCATGTTGGCCAGGATGGTCTCCATCTCCTGACCTTGTGATCCGCCCCCCTCGGCCTCCCAAAATACTGGGATTACAGGCGTGAGCCACTGCGCCCGGCCTGTTGTTTTCTAAGTGTCACTCATTACCATGAACATGTCAAATACTTCCACAGTAAAAGTAACAAAATAGACATTTCTGTAATAATTTATTACAGAATCATGAAAGAACCATGGAACACAATGATGGCACATCAGTGGCTCATCTCCTTTACTTGACAAGTGAAGATACTAAGTCCTTCTGGGGTTGTGGAAGGTGTGTGGAGTTGTGAGCAATAGTTTAGGAGTCAAGGTTTTCTCCTTCCATGTCTTTCTTTCCTATCAAAAAGCCTAAGAATCCACAAACAGGTGTGGTGGAGATTGCTAACTGTTGCCTAGTATGTGTTCTTTTCTTCTTTTTTTAAAAAAAATAAACAGTATTTCCCCATCTGCCATTTTTAATCAGGGCATGACTTCACGGCTAGAGAACAGATCCCAGCTCTGCAGCTGGCTCTGGCCAATAGGGTATGAATGGAGATGATTAATGCAATTGCCTAGTCACCTTAGAAACAGCCACTTGCTCTAAATTTTCATTTTTTTAAATTATACTTTAAGTTCTAGGGTACATGTGCGTAACGTGCAGGTTTGTTACATATGTATACATGTGCCATGTTGATATGCTGCACCCATTAACTCGTCATTTACATTAGGTATTTCTCCTAATGCTATCCCTCCCTCCCTCCCTCCCCCGACCCCACGACAGGCCCCATTGTGTGATGTTCCCCACCCTGTGTCCATGTGTTCTCATTGTTCGATTCCCACCTATAAGTGAGAACATGTGGTTTTTGGTTTTCTGTCCTTGTGATAGTTTGCTCAGAATGATGGTTTCCAGCTTCATCCATGTCCCTACAAAGGACATGAACTCGTCCTTTTTTATGGCTGCACAGTATTCCATGGTGTATATGTGCCACATTTTCTTGATCCAGTCTATCATCAATGGACTAAATTTTCACTTTTATCTCCTTTACTTTGCTGAAAAACAATGAAATTTCAGCAGCAGCCTTGGACTTAGAAAATGGAAGCCATAAGCAGAGGGTACCAAACTCTAGAAAAAGATACTTCTCTCTTCCTCTCTTCCTCTGATCTAGTTTCACCCAGAATCTCATTTCCATGATGGCTAGACCTGGTCTTTTTCTTCATTGCTTTATCCTCAATCCCAGACACAGAGCAGAAACTCAGTCAGTATTTGCTCTCAGGGCTTTTGTCTCCATAATGCCTTCTTTAATCCTCACCGCTGTAGCTCAGTTTCTTTGTCCAGACTTGGCTTTGCTGGCCACTTTAGCCTCACTATTAAATAATTGACCTACTGATTATTTGATCACCAGTATTAGCTGATCCTTTTCTAGGTGCAAGGTGCTGGTGACAGAGTATTGACAGAAACAGGCATGGGCTACTGCCGTGGAGCAGATGGCCCACTCCCTGTGTATTCAAGGGGGAATCTCTACTTCAGCCTGAACTTGGTAAAAGTCATTTCCCCCATACCCCTTTCCAGCTGCCCACTGTGTTGTCTGGAAAACTCTGGTCTTTTAGGAGGACTGAGAATGAGATGGTTAGGACTGTCAATGACACAAACATGCCCCATGAGCACAAAGTACAATTTGGGGTGATGTGAGAGGGATGATGAAAGCTTCCCCAAACAGGGGAGATTGAGAGTTTTCCTTTAAAATGTTTTTATTTTTAACCAAGTTACCATTTCTTTGATGTAAGCAATACAGATAATAAAAAATAAAGACAAAATCATTGAAATATATCAGTGCTATACTTTCTACTCATTGATAATCTTACCACCCAGGTTACCAGTGGTTACCACTGATAACATCTTATGTATATATTGTACACTTTTCATATAAATCATATTTTTCATAGAAAAACAATCCTAAAATTCATATGGAACAAAAAAAGAGAACTAAATAGCCAAAGCAATCCTGAGCAAAAAGAACAAAGCTGGAGGCATCACACTACTTCACTTCAAAATATATTACAAGGCTTATAGTAACCAAAACAACATGGTGGTATGGCTCACGCCTGTAATCCCATCACTTTGGGAGGCCGAGGTAGGTGGATCATGAGGTGAAGATATCAAGACCATCCTTGCCAACATGGTGAAACCCCATCTCTACTAAACATACAAAAATTAGCTGGGTGTGGCAGTGCAGGCCTGTAGTCCCAGCTACTTGGGAGGCTGAGGCAGGAGAATCACTCAAACCTGAGAGGCAGAGGTTGCAGTGAGCCGAGACGGCACCACTGCACTCCAGCCTGGTGACAGAGCAAGACTCTCTCTCAAAAACAAAAACAGAAACAAAAAACCAACACATAGACCAATAGAACAGAATAGATAACCCAGAAAGTAATACACATATTTATAGCCAACTGATTTTCACCAAAAGCTCCAAGAACATACATTGGAGAAAGGACACCCTCTTCCATAAATGGTGCTGGGAAAATTGGACATTCATATGCAGAAAAATAAAACTGTACTTCCATCTCTCATCATATACAAAAAATCCACTCAAGATGCATTAATACTTAAACACAAAACCCTAAGCTATAAAACTACTTGAAGAAAACATAGGGAAAACACTTCAAGACATTGATCTAGGCAAAGATTTTATGGCTAAGACCTCAAAAGCATAGGCAACAAAAGCAAAAATGGACAAACGGGACTATATTAGAATACAAAGCTTCAGCACAGAAAATAATCAACAGAGTAAAGAGACAACCTGTCAAATGGGAGAAAATACTTGTGAACTATTCATCTGACAAGGGACTAATATTCAGAATATACGAGGCACTCACAACTCAACAGTAAACAAACAAACCAACCCACAATTAATCCCATTTAAAAGTGGGTAAAGGACAGGAAGAGACATTTCTCAAAAAAATACATACAAATGGCCAACAGGTATTTGAAAACATGTTCATCACTAATTATCAAAATGCAAATCAAAACCACAATGAGGTATTATCTTACCTCAGAATGGGTATTATTAAAAAGACAAACATTAACAGATGCTGATGAGGATGTGGAGAAGAGGAAACTCTTATACACTGTTGGTGGGAATGTAAATTAGTACAGTCACTATAGAAAACAGTATGGAGAGTTTTCAAAAAGCTAAAAATGGAACTATCATATGACCCGGCAATCCCACAACTGCATATTTATCCAAAGGAAAATAAATCAGTATATCAAAAGACACTTGCACCCCTATGTTTATTGTAGTGCTGTTCACAATAGCAAAGATATGAATTAACAAATTATCCATTAATAAATGGATGAAGAAAATGTGGTGTATATACACAATGGAGTACTATTTGGTCATGGAAAAGAAAGAAATCATGTCACTTTCAGAACATGAATGAAACTGGAGGTCATCATGCTAAGTGAGATAAGCCAGACATAGAAAGACAAATATTGTATATTCTCCCTCATATATGGGAGCTTAAAAAGTTGATGTCATGGAGGTGGAGAGTAGAATGAGACCAAAGGCTAAGGGTGTGTGTGTGTGTGTGTGTGTGTGTGTGTGTGTGTGTGTGTGTGGTGGAGGGGATGAAGAGAGGTTGCTGAATGGGTACAAACATACAGTTACATAGAAGGAATCAGTTCTAATATTTCATAACAGAGTAGGGTAGCTATAAGTAACAACAACGTATTGTATCTTTCAAAATAACTAGAAGAGAGAACTTGAAATGTTCCCAACACATATAAATGATAAATACTCGAGGCAATGGATACCCTAAGAACTCTGACTTGATAATTATACATTCAATGCACATAACAAAATATCACATGTATCTCATAAATGTGTACAAATATTATGTATCAATAAATTTAAAAATTACATTTTTATATCAACCACATATGCACAAGCTAAGAAACATTTTTAAAAAGATTTTAGAATTTCTGACATCAGGCTGTATCTTAGAATCAATGTATTTACAAAACAACATATGACAGTTTAAGTGGAAGCATCCTTTTTCTTAGTAATGAATAATTAATAGTCTATCTTATACTTGATGACATCTTAGATCTAATGAAATAGGTATATGTTTAGAGAAATGAGATCATATGTTTAGAGAAATGCTATCTCACCCTACAGTGACTAGCTTTTTTCAAACTAATATGTTGTGAATATCTTTCTAAGTCAATAAATAGAGCTCTGCGTTGTTATTTTTCATTGGCAAAGAATATTGTTGTACCATAATTTATTCATCCCCTAATTTGGTACAAGTATTTTATTTTCATTTTTTATAAAAACCATGGTTGGGATGGCTGTGCACGTGTGGGTGCAGGGATTATATGAAGACTGTACTTTCTACTCAGTTTTTTGTGAATCTAAAACTACTCGAAAAAATAAATTTATTAAAAAGAAAAACAAGCCATTATAAACAATGCAAGTCCAACAAGTCACAAGTCACATGGCCAACCTCATATTCAAGAGGTAGAGAAATAAACTTTACCTTGTGATTGGGAAACTACCAATTAACATTGCAAAGGAATGTGTATACATAAGAACAGATGTGATATGGTTTGCTGTGTCCCCACCCAAAACTCATCTTGAATTGTAGTTCCCATAATCCCCACATGTGGTAGGAGGAACCTGATGGAAGGTAATTGAATCATGGGGGTGGTTACCCTTATGCTCTTCTCATGAAAGTGAGTTCTCACAAGATCTGATGGTTTTATAAGGGGCTTTTCCCTCTTTGCTCGGCACTTCTCCTTTTTGATGCCCTGTGAAGAAGGATGTGTTTGCTTCTCCTTCTGCCATGATTGTAAGTTTCCTTAAGCCTCCACAGCTATGCGGAACTGTGAGTCAATTAAACCTCTTTCCTTTATAAATCTCCCAGTCTCGGGTAAGTCTTTCTCAGCAGCGTGAGAACAGACTAATACAACATGGAATTTGTGGAAACTGTTTTTACAATCAACAACACTTGGGAAGATTTTAAACATGGAAGAGACGTGATCAGATCTGCATTATAGAAACAGTACCCTGGTGATTCTATACAGAATTAATGGGAAAGTAGCTTCACTGGACACAGAGAGGCTGTGAAGAAGCTCTTTCCACAACCCTCCCAGGCAGTGGGAGTCCAAGGAAAATGTGTGAGTAAGAATCTGAAAGGTAACAGCCAGAGGGGTAGAAGGAAAGCCACTTATGAAAAGTGAGGGGAGGGGAAAGGTTCATAGATGATTGAAATGTCAGAAATTATAAAGAAAACCTTGGGCAGAAAGGTAGCTCTTGAAATTGGCAACAGGGAGGTTAATGACATCCCTTCTGGAATACTCTGAGAGTTGGGGGTGGTTGAGGAATTTAGAAGTTTAATGAATTAAAGGATTCCAGAATGTGCTAAATCTACATAGAAAGACTCCAGAGGTGCAAGGCTGCTTGTGGTTCCCCTCGACTGAGGAAGGTTAGTATTGCAAATCCCCACAGTGGCTGTGTGCTTTCACGTGCAGGTGACCAGAACAGGGTGGACAAACAGACTCCACTGCAGATGAGGGAACCTGATGAAAGAACATGTCTCACCCAGGGAGCATTTTCCAGTAAGAAATTCCCTGTTTTTATCCTTGAGCAGTGAGTAGAAAGGTAATGAATAGGATCAGTGGTGACTACTCAGGGAAAGGTGTAGCCCTGCTCATCCTTCCACTCTCAAACCATCTTTCCCTCTTGCCCTCAGCCGCAGCTTCCTCCATGCCTGCTCTTCCACCACCCTCAGCACACACTGCTTTCTGGCTGGCACACTCTTGTCTGGCAGTAAAATTTAGTGGTTGAATGAGGCTCTGGGCTGAATTACTGACCTTGAATTCTATTGCGACTCTTGTGAGTTGTGTGACCTAGGCCAGTGTGCTTAACATCTCCAGTCCTCAGCTTTCCTAAGCATAAAATAGTAAGTGCCTAGCTTGCCATAAGGATTCAGTAATTAGCTGCTATCAGTATTATTACTTTCTAAAGCTTGTACTGCCTTGTGGAGTTCCAATTTGAGACACAACGAGTAAGAATGAGAACAGGGCCTTCATGGAGCTCCTGTTCTGGACTAGACTGTGAGGATTCCAGCTCTTTCTCCCTTTGGCTGTAAGCTTTTTTGTGCTTCACTTTTCTCATCTGTAAAATGGGAATTACAGCAGTAACTTCCTTTGCTGGGTTGCTGTGAGGGCTGAATAAGAATTAGTAAAACCTAGGCTTATCTCCAAGGGGCAGGAAATCTGCAATCACAGTTAGTTAAATCTGATAGATGTTTACATCTCTTTCATGTAAAAGCCCAAAGGCCAATTGTCTGGGGCCTGTAGGACAGCTCTGCTCTGTAGGATCCTCAGAGTCCTGGCTGCCTTCCTTATCACTAAAAATCATCCTTTAATTTTCGTGGTCCAAGATGGCTCTCCAGTCATCTAACCAATGCTCCAAGTAATGGAAGGGAGGAAAAGCATGACAAAGAACTGAAGAGTAACTAACTTTGCACTGTCTTTTAAGGAAGTTTCCAGAAAGCAGCCATAGGACACCTGTAGTAATACCTCATTGACTAGAAATTAGTCATGTGACTTTATCAGTCAGAGAAGAGGTAAGAAAATGAAAGTTTTATTCTGTCCAGCCATGAACCACCTAAAAATGCTATTCCTTTAGATGAAGGTAAGAATGAGTGCTGGAGAGACAGCTACTTTGCTGAGACACGTTTACCATTTAGTCCTTGGCACACAGTAAGTGTATAACCAACGTCCATTACCATCATCATTATCATCATTATCCATCTACACACACTTGCTCATATGAAGACCATGTGGCTTCCTCAGAAGAAAGTCTCTCAGCTCTAAAGTTCCTGGGATTTCACTGTTTGGGTCCACAATTATTGTGTTTGAAAGGCTAGGTGTATTCTCCAGGACATCCCTCCTAAGGCTTCTCCCATGTGTTTAAAAATTATCTGAAGAAGATAGATAAAATTGTTATTTCTGTAAATTAAGACATACACTCTTTAAAATGCTTTGGGATGGAAATATTTGTGGTCTTTTTGGTTTAAAATACAGTCTAGTCTCCTAATTGAATAGAAAGATCAGTACATAGTTTAAAAAAATACCTGAAGGGAAGATATTTTACCTGAATAAATTACGTATGAAAGAAAAAAAAGTTGGTAGAATGAAATGGAAAGCTGCATAAATAATAGAGTGTTTGAAAATGGGATTTTCCTCTTAACTCAAGTAAGACATTCTGTTCAGGAACTATCACCAAATTGGGAGTGTGCGTGTACGTTTTGAATCAGAAACTTCAAAGGGAATATGAAACTTCAGAGCCGGCCGGGCGCGGTGGCTCACGCCTGTAATCCCAGCACTTTGGGAGGCCAAGGTGGGTGGATCACCTGAGGTCAGGAGTTCGAGACCAGCCTGACCAATATGGAGAAACCCCGTCTCTACTAAAAATACAAAATTAGCTGGGTGTGGTGGTGCATGCCTGTAATCCCAGCTACTTGGGAGGCTGGGGCAGGAGAATCGCTTGAACCCAGGAGGCGGAGGTTGCAGTGAGCCGAGATCGCACCACTGAGATCCAGCCTGGGCAACAAAAGCGAAACTCCAAAAAAAAAAAAAAAAAAGAAAAAAAAACAGGCAGTCTTTAAGGATTTTTTATTGAAGAATTCCAAATGTGTAAAAGTTTTTAAAACACACTAATTTATATTTAAAGAAACCATAGAAAGTGACTGACTCATCAGAAATAATCTCAAGAAATGGGAAAATTCAGTTAATACTATTGAAACACTACTAAGATGATTCCAGGAAACGTGGTTTATACAATAGAATAAAACGTCTTATATGCTGTAGGATAAGAAAACTGACTGTTTTTTGGTTTTTAAAGTGGTGTAATAATTAACTGTATTTAATTCTGTTCTTTTCATAAATTCATGACTAAATAAATATTAATATACCAAATAATAAATGAATATATCTTCTCTTTCAATGTTTCTTAAAGAGATTTTTATTTGTTTTGTTTTTTTCTGAGAGGTTTTTTATTCACAAGTGGAACAACAACCTATCCAAAGGGAACTGATGATCTATTGGTTCTTAGTGCTAACAATGAGTTTAGGATGGCAGCAACTGTTATATCTAAAATATGCAACAGATAAAATTCCCAAAGATCCATGCAAAAAGCTCTACTATGCAGATGACCACAGAAATGCAACATTTGACACTTTTACTGGCAATGTCAATGAGACTCCAGATGTTCCCAAACTCTGCTACTCTACTTGACCCTCATTTTTGCCTTTGTATTTTGCTTTTCCAATTTTACTAATGACACAAACATGATTCAAATCCTTAAAGTATTAATTATAGTCAAGGACATATCCTACAACAAATTGGTCTGGAATTTCACATCCATCTCTGTCTGGTCTGTACCCAAAAGTTCTGGTGCATATCCATCTGGCAATGTTGATCATCTTTGGATTATACTGCTTGGTCAAGGAAGGCCAGGTTTGCATTGTTTTGTCAGGGTAAATTGTATCTTTTTCAATCAAGACATTCTTCTCATTCCCATCGAGATTGAGGATAGTGAAAATAAAGTAATTTTTTAAAAAAGATATTCTTTCCAGTTAAAGTTGTAAAATCATCTTCCTAAATTACTTTTCTGCCCGAATTGACTGGCCATTACAGTAACTGTTTGATCTGATAAAATCTGCAGTCATAGAATGGATATGTCCTTATTTCTGCTAAGTGCTTTGCTATTCAGCAAATCAGCAAAGAATTTATGGTCTCTTGGCATGTGCAGAGGGCTGCAATCTGATTGCCTCCTACCTCCACAGAATTTCAAGAACAAGCCATTTTGTCCCATCTGTGATTAATCCATGAGGAATAAATATCTTTTCTAAATCCTCAAAATAATGATTAGATATAGAAAACCAGCTGGGTGTGGTGGCTCATGCCTGTAATCCTAGCACTTGGGAGGCTGAGGTGGGAGGATCACCCAAGGTCAGGAGTTCAAAACCATCCTGGCCAACATGGTGAAACCCTGTCTCTACTAAAAATACAAAAATTAGCCAGGTGTGGTGGTGGGCACCTGTAATCCCAGCTACTCAGGAGGTTGAGGCAGGAGAATTGCTTGAACCCAGGAGGCAGAGGTTGCAATGAGCCGAGATCGTGCCACTACACTCCAGCCTGGTCAATAGAGTGACACCTGTCTTAAAAAAAAAAAAAGAAAACCAATCTAGGTCATAACCATGATGTGGAGCTGTGGGCCACCATGATAAAACTGGCTAAAAGGAGGAGCATGAAAGGGTACCTTAAACTAGGTGTTTGAAATTCCCATGTTTTAAACACTGGTTGGATGACCAGACCATCTCACAGCAGCCCATGTAACCCCTTGACTAGAGTTGTCTGGTGGAAGGAGCACTGGCCTTGAATAGACAATGGCCTACTTGTCCCAGTTTGAGCCCCCAGAACTGTCCCAGTTTTAGCACTGAAAGTCTCACATCTGGGAAACCCTCACGGTTTCAGGCAAGTGAGATGACTTGTCATCCTTACTTGGAGTCAGAGCCATAACCTAGTTGTGGGATTTTGAGCACATCACTTCGTTTCTCAGAGTTTGTTTCCTCATGCATAAAATAGAAAAAGTGGCACCTCTGTCCCAGGCCTATGGTGGAGATCTCAGGTGAAAATGGTGCCTGGGACTCAGGAGGAGCTCAAGAACTCATGGTTAAATTTACATTTATTATTGGCTTCTAGTATCAAGGCAATAATCCCTCCCAGTGACTGTAATGGTCTGCTACTCAGTGAAATGGGATCCTCCACCCCTCAGATATTTGCTAACTCAAGGACGCATTTTCCTTAATTAACAAAAGAAAATTCTGAGCCTTGGTAGATTAAGCTATGACCCAAGCTGAGCCCTGACATCTGATTATGCTGGTAAATGTATCTTGTGTTTGGTTTCAAGGCTGTAGTATATCTTTGAGTTTTCGAAGTATTCAATGTCATATCAGGGAGATTTATAAGACAAATCATTAATGTTTAATTTCATTTGCAGAAAACCATGTTTTTGAGTTATAACATGGGTGTCACCTGATTTCCTTGAAAATCAGGAGAAGCAAAGGCCAAGTTTCAACTTGAAAAAGGGATCTAGGCTTTTCCATTTTCTGTGTTATTAAAGCACTGACCTGGGCTCATGAAAGACATATAACCTGGAAGCTCGTTACTAGATGTCCTGCAAATATTACAGATTGATATGGAAGGGCAATTGGTCAGTTTTTCTGCATGGTGTTTTAAAATTTCATTTCTTTGCTGAAGACTAATGATTATTTTTCAGCAAAAGCCAGGCAGCAGGAGGCAGCAAGTATTGCTGAGCAAGTGAGCCAAGTGAATGGGGTTTGGATATAAGAGCATTCTGGAAAGTTATGAATGCCACACAAAGGCAAGCTCTTATCTGATTTCTTCAAATCCAAGAAGCCCATTCATTTTATATGATCCCATTTCAAAAACTGGGAGTGTCTTAAAATTGATGTGATTATTTTCTGTTTTTTTTTCTTCTGAAAAACTTTTATTGATGACACATCTGGCAATGAAAGGTCACTTACAGTAGAGGAAATATGTTATTCTAAATTCTGATATCCTACTGCTTCCCACAGTCCGGGGTGCTGAGAAAACATGGTGAGGACTGTAGACCTAGCTTCAAATCCCAGCTCTTGTGTTTATGATCAAGAACCACACAGAAGTTACATTGTGTCTACACCTCCGAGAGCTCACATGTAAAATGGAATTAATAATGACATTTACTTCATAGAGATGTTGTGGATATTAAATGGCCTGGTATACTTATTGCAATTAATGCAATATCTGACATGGGGGAAGGATGCAATAAATAGTCATTATTATTAGGAGAAATTAGAAAAACACTACATAAGATGTAAAGAAATGTTATGGTGGTCTCTAGTTTTGTTTCTATATTATCCAAGGTTCCTGGTCATACAGGGCATATTTTTCCAGTGACAAGAGGCTTGGATTTATATATTTAATAAATATAATAATATAATATATTTATATTGTATTTATATATTATATAATACATATATAACATAATATAATATATATTATATTATATTTATATATAATATATATTATATTATATTTATATATAATATATATTATATTATATTTATATATAATATATATTATATTTATATAATATATATTATATTATATTTATATAATATATATTATATTATATTTATATATAATATATATTATATTTATATATAATATATATTATATTATATTTATATATAATATATATTATATTTATATATAATATATATTATATTTATATATAATATATATTATATTATATTTATATATAATATATATTATATTATATTTATATATAATATATATTATATTTATATATAATATATATTATATTATATTTATATATAATATATATATAAGATATAATATATAAAAATATACATACATACATGGAGGGTTGGTGCAGTGAGGATGCAGTGTGCTGAGACTACACCACTGTACTCCAGCCTGGTGACAGAGCGAGACTCTCAAAAAAAAAAAAAATGTTGAAAACAGTTCTTAAGCACTGAGTCTGCCTCTGGGTGGGGCCATAGGACCGGTTGAGTCATGAATCCTGGGTCTGGATGGAGTCCGTTGGTGCCCAGAATGAAAAAGTCTGACAAACACCTCAAAAGACCAATCTTAAGTTCTACAATAGTGATGTTATCTATAGAAGCAATTGGGGAAGTCATAAATCTTGTGCCCTCTGGCTTTATGACTCCAGAGCAGCAAGAGATTAAAAAAGGTAAGACAGGGAACAATGTCTGGTTATCATTTAGCTACATCTACATTTTAGGAGGATCCATGTCCCTCTTATAATACTAATCTTGTGGATCCTCCTCTTACTTTTGGGAACACCCTACTCTGTCTATGGAGTAGCTGTTCTTTCACCACTTTATTTTCTTAATAAATTTGCTTTTGCTTTGCACTGTAGACTCGCCCTGAGTTCTTTCTTGTGCGAGATCCAAGGACCCTCTCTTGGAGTCTGGATCAGGACCTCTTTCCTGTAACAGTTTGGTAACCATGAAGTGAATGACTGAGAAGGTAGAGGCCTGCTCTAGGTTGAAAGTCCTCTCCTTTGGCCTTGCTCCAAGCAGAGGCTCCTTCTCTTTGTTGTCTTTTTTAAATGAGATCAAAGTGCTCATCTTCAAATGATAAGATGCATACATTCGCCAATTAGACAATACCAGACTGACAAGAAAGACATGATTTCTAGACGCCCGGGGAAAATTCTAGTTCCCCTTGGAGTGTGCCCTGGAAACTACCTAGGCTTCCCCTACCCACATTTACATTTTTGTTTCTTAATTTTGTTCTCACTGTAGCACTTTAACAAATATTTATGAAACTTACTAATCAATCACTTTAGCAAGAGTTTCCATTTTCCATTCCTGGTTGTCCCCATGCTAAATATTGTGAGTTGTCACTTAGCAACAGAAAAATAACCACCCTTTGATAACACTAATGGGAATAATTGACATTTTCTTGGTGATTCTCTGGATGTTTAGGATGATAAAAGATCCCAAAGGCTGTGTCATACCTCAGCAACTGAGTCCAAGTGCACATTTGGATGGTTCTCACAGCGCAAAGCAGAGTGTGTATTTGGTAGGTTTCCAGTTAATTTGATTAATTAACTAGCCAACACAGAAATCTGGCTTTTAAGCAAGTCCTCCAACCAAGTGTTTACTAATTTTAAAGGTGATATTGTATTCTCCATCTGCTTTACTTCTTTGTCTATTTCTCAACCTAAAGCCCTTAAAACATTCTCGTTAGAAGACGTTGGGGAACTTCAGAGAAGCCCAAAAAAGAAATAGCATCCATACTTTCACCACCCAAGTGCCATTGTTTATGTTTCTTTCTGATCATTTTTCTTTTTAGAATAAAGCAAAACAAACAAAACAAGTAAACTTTTTTCTTTTGTATAAACTAGCTGCTTACCACAAAATATTGTGAAAAATCTAGAAATACATAATAATGAAAATAAAACTCACCTGTAAACTTACGCTTGTTGATCCTTAGTAGTTTTTCTACGAATTTTATTAGTCTTAAATAATTGAGTACATATCATATACATAATTTTCGGGCTTCATTTTTTCCCCTCAGTTTTTATTTTTATCAGATTTAATAGATGTACACAGAATTAAATTGTTTTTTAAAAACTTCGAAAAAAATCAATCTCTTTACGTCACAAACCCAGCTTCCCTCCTCATCAGAAACAATCTTCCACCCTTTTTCTGTGTCTTACAATAGATAATATTTCAGATTTGATGAATTAAGGTATTTATCAAGAAATATACTCTTGACTAGATGCTTACTGTAGTGTTTTTTTCTTTTTTTTGAAAACTTAGAAATACTACCATAGGTCAAATAGATTAATGGTGATATAGGAGTTAAAGAGAAATTACTTACGCAGATATTGAGGGTACAGAAGTCCTTGGCAAGGTTTTCCTTTTAATGAAAAGCAGCCCCAAATAACTTTCCTTTCTAATAAAGAGCAGTCTGTAAAATCGAGCTGCAGACATGGATGCCAGTACTTGTGCCAATCATGTCCAAAATGGCGGTTCCATCTTCCCTTCTGTTTGTCAGCCACGTGTATAGTAAGAAGCAGACAAGATGGCGCTAGTCGAGTGGAAAGCTCATTTGCATAATAAGATTAGGATTGGATGGCCATCCTTCCCCGCATGCTATGTAAACATCACACCTGCAGTCTGTGGGCTATAGGTAAATCAGACACTGCCTCCTCAAGCCTGCCTGTAAAATCCGGCGCATCCGCTGCTGGCTGGTCTTTTCCTTTAGGAAGCCCCTCTCAGCTGTTCTTTCTCTTTCTTCTGCCTATTAAACCTCCACTCCTAAACTCCTTGTATGTTTCCATGTCCTAAATTTTATTGGCACAAGACAAGAAGCCCCGGGTATTTACCCCAGATGAGGAAGTCATGTCGATAGAACATGATAGCCTTCTGTTAGAAGGTTCACTTATACAGTAGTAAAAATTAGCTTTAGGAAGAGTTCCCAATAATTTGGAAAAAATATTAGGTTAGTCCTTTCTTTCTATCTCTTTCTTTTCTTTCTCTTTCTCCTTCCTTCCTTCTTTCCTTTTCTTTTCTTCTTTATTTCAGCAGTCAGCACTCTAACTTTTGCTGATTAGAATAAAGCAAAACAAATAAGTAATCATTTTTCTTCTGTATAAATTAGCTGCTTACTGCAAAATATTTTTTTCACCTACTTTTGCTGACTTCCAAAACAACACAAAAAAGAATAATCAAGACATATGTAGAAAGATATAAACCTTTCAGGATAAAGACTTTATGAGAAGAGTTAGTTAATGGAGCTACATTTTGGCAAGTGGAAGGTGCTGGTTGAGTGGACTTAAATCTAGAAAGCTAAATTAAGGCTAGCACTGAGAAGACCAAAATAGCCTGGTTTTATGTTACTTGTTGTGAGATGAGTTGCATTTTCCCAAAATTTATACCCTGATGTCCTAACCCCAGTACCTCAGAATGTGACTATAAAGAGGTAATTAAATTAAAATGAGGTCATTAAGGTGGACCCTATTTCAATTTTACTGGTGTGCTTAGAAGAAGAGGAGATTAGGACAGACTCCAACAGAGGAAAGACCACGTGAAGACACAGGGAGAAGGCGCCGTCTACAAGCTAAGGAGAGAAGCCTCAGAATGAAGCCAACCCTATGGACATCTTGATCTTGGACATCCGGCCTCCAGAATTGTAAGCAAAGTTTCTGTTGTTTTAGCCACCCAGTCTGTGGTACTTTGATATGACAGCCCTAGCAAACTAGCACACTGCAATCCTTCAAAAGGAGTTGATGAAAACAAATACCTCTGGAAGGAAAAGGAGAGTGGTGTGTTAGACCAGAGGACTCCTTAAAGGCCTGATTAAGAATCTATTGATGTTCCCACTGATTCTTCATCCCCAGAGATTGTTGAGGTTTATTTTCTTCTGAGGATAATGTAGAAAGAATCTGTCGACCAGGGCAACAGTCAGATGAGAGAATAAGGTGCAAGACCAAAACAAAACAAAGAATCAAGTAAAATTTACATTCTGAATGCTGAGACATTGCTCCCAGCCTTCTTTCTTCACTCAGTCTCCAGGATATTGAAGCATGGATTTCAGAATATTGAAATCTTCAGGAGAGATTTGAAGAATTGTCTCTAGTGAATTGAACCAGCCCAAGACATCAGAGGTTCCCTTGATGAAATAGTCCAGTCAGATCACCATATAATGAAGCCCACATTCAATAAGCCCCCTCATTTTTGCCCTTTGTGCCAACTTCCAATTGGTGTTTCAATGCCTCATTGTATAATATGAGCAGTTGTGGCAGACTATGGTATTATTCACGAATACTCTGTGTCCCTCCCTGAGAAAGGAGTATAATCCCCACCATATGGACTCAGACACAGCCATGTGACCTGATGTGGCTAATTTAGGTGTGAAGGGAAGTCTTGTGTGTCACTTCTGGAAAGAAGCTTTAAAAGCCAGGGCATGCTCTCTTTTCCCTGCCTCTTTGAGCAAACATACATGAGACAGTATGAAATAGACAGGAGCTTGGGGCTTGAAGAGTGAAGGTGATGAGACCAATTCTCTGGCCAATTCATGAAGGACACATACCATGACCAAAAAATGAACATGGTTATTTTACACTACTGAAATTTCTACCCTCTTTGCGACTGCAACATGATCTAATTATTCTGATGGATAAAAAGGTAACTAAGGATCACCAGACATCTAAAAAAAAAAATACTCTGGTATAGAAACTAGATACTCAAATGACAGGGAAGAAATCTGGAGGAAAATTTAAAATGGAAGAAGAAAACTTTAAAAACAAGCTGTAATAAATATAGGCAGAGATATGAGAATCAAAAAATAACAGATGCTATTTTTTAGAAAGAAAAGAGGAGTATTTAGAGAAAAAAACAGTTTTTGGAACTTAAAAATATTATAGAACAAATGAAAATTGTAGTCAAAGGATTGGAAGATAATGTTGAAGAGAGCTACCAAAAACTTGGATAGAAAGAAAAAGGGGGCCGGGCGCGGTGGCTCACGCCTGTAATCCCAGCACTTTGGGAGGCCGAGACGGGCGGATCACGAGGTCAGGAGATCGAGACCATCCTGGCTAACACGGTGAAACCCCGTCTCTACTAAAAATACAAAAATTAGCCGGGCATGGTGGCGCGCGCCTGTAGTCCCAGCTACAAGGGAGGCTGAGGCAGGAGAATGGCGTGAACCCGGGAGGCGGAGCTTGCAGTGAGTCGAGATCGCGCCACTGCACTCCAGCCTGGGCGACAGAGCGAAACTCCGTCTCAAAAAAAAAAAAAAAAAAAAAAAAAAGAAAGAAAGAAAAAGGGATGGAAAATAAGACAGAGAAGAAAATGAGAGAACCGGACCAAAAGGTCAGCATCCTATAATAAGAATTCCAGAAAGAAAGAACAGAGAGAAATAGTGAGGGAAGAAGTCACTGCTAAAAATATCCAGAGCATTTTTCTGAACTGAAGGACTGAATTTCAAAATAGGAAGAGGCCACCAAGTATCCAAAACAGAGATGAAAATAGAATTTTGCCAGGGCACGGCATTGTGAAATTTTAGAGTTCAGGGAACAATTTGACCAAAGAAAAAAAATATTTTTTCAGTTATATCACGTAAAAGGAATCAAGAATTAGAATGGGGCTGGGTATGATGGCCCACGCCTGTAATCCCAGCACTCTGGGAAGTCGAGAAGGGCAGATCACTTAAGCTCAGGAGTTCAAGACCACTCTGGGCAACATGGCGAAACCCCGTCTCTACAAAATACAAAAATTAGCCGGGTGTGGTGGTTTATACTTGTAGTACCAGCTACTCAGAAAGCTGAGGTGAGAGGATGGTTTGAACCCAGGAGGCACAGGTTATGCTGAGCCAAGATGGCACCACTGCACTCCAGATTGGACAATAGAGCCAGACCATGTCAAAAAAAAAAAAAAAAAAAAAAAAGAATGGAATTAGCTTTCTAAAAGGAATAGAGCAAAGCAAAATAATACAAGATAATACAGCAGGAGGGAAATAACCTTCTTACTATTTTGTTTAAGGACATCCAAGTTTTCAAATCTTATCTCTTTTTTAACTCAGAGAGAATTGTGCTTTCATTTTGTTAATCGTTGCAGACGTCCAAGGCCCAGGCAGCCACTTCACTCAAATACAGGAGAGAATAAAAGGAACAGAGGCAGTCTCCTCCTCTACCTCCAGGGCTCTTTTTCTTGTCAATATTTTAATTAGTTTTGTTTATGTTCCGGGAACACCTTTTACACCAACAAACCACTCTACCCTGCAATGGAAGTTACGCAGAACATTTTAAAAGTTGTTATTCATTGATATGGTTTGGATCTGTGTCCCCACCTAAATTTCATGTTGAAGTAATCCTCAATGCTGGTGGAGGAGTGGTGGGACTGGTGGGAGGTGATTGGGTCATGGGGGCGGTTTCTCATGGTTTAACACCATCCTTCCTTGGTGCTGTCATCACGAGTGAGTTCTCGTGAAATCTGGTTGTTAAAAAGTGTGTAGCACCTCCCCTCTCTCTTCCTCCTGCTCCTGCCATGTGATGTGCCACTCCTCCTTTGCCTTCCGCCATGTTTGGAAGCTTCCTGAGGTCTCCCCAGAAGCAGAAGTTATAAGGTTTCCTGTACAGCCCGTGGAACCACGAGCCAATTAAACCTCTTTTCTTTATAAGTTACCCAGTCTCAGGTATTTCTTTATAGCAGTGTGAGAATAGGTTAATACATTCATTTTACATAATCTTAATGGTCTGAGGTAGAAAAAAGGCCAGGCTAACATGGATTAACATGGATTAATGCAATCTTCTAAATTAACGGGATACTTTAGTGCTTTTTTCTTTTTCTGGTTAGGTACATGTTATTCAGATATTTTTAGGCCAATAAACATTAAATATCATCTGATTTAAACAACATGTTTTATGAATTTGGGAACTGAGGCCCAAAGAGAATAAAAAACATACCCAAGGCCTTATAGTTTCTCAGTACAAAGAGCAACCTCTACAAACTCAGTGTGTTTGTTTCAAACCTAATTCATTATCTTCTCCAGGCACACGCAATGTTCATCCTCCTGAATTCCCAATCCCTGGAGACTAGAACCGGGTGGGGCTCTATGCTCCTGCAGAGTCCCGTTTCCCTGGCTTTCTGTGTTGGCTGGCTGGTGCTGTGCACTTTCCTCTATCCTTCTTACCCTGAGAAACACGGTGATCTGTTGCCCCAATTTAAGGAATGGATTTGATCCTGTTACTTAGTTTTGCCAGTTAATGCTTGAAAAATATTCATAGCTGGCTGGGCACAGTGGCTCCTGCAGGTAATCCTAGCACTTTGGGAGGCCACAGGAGAAGGATCCCTTGAACCCAGGAGTTCAAGACCAGCCTGGGCAACATAGCAAGACTCCATCTCTATTTTTAACAGAAAGAAAGGAATATGCGTTGCTGTAACAGCTATTTTGAATAAGCGTAGCCTGTGGGAAGTGGTTGCAAAGCAACTTGATGCTGGCTTGTCACTGCCCCTTCACTTGTGTGCACAGGGCTGTTGTTTTCTTGCCCCTGGATGAGAATTCAGGCAAGGCCCATGACATTTTTTTTTTTTTTTTTTTGAGATGGAGTCTTGCTTTGTTGCCCAGGCTGGAGTACAGTGGTGTGATCTCAGCTCACTGGAACCTCTGCCTCCTGGGTCCAAGCGATTCTCATGCCTCAGCCTCCCAAGTAGCTGAGACTACAGGTGTGCACCACTATGCCTGGCTAATTTTTGTACTTTTTGTAGAGAACAAGTTTCACTATGTTGCCCAGGCTGGCCCCAAACTCCTGAGCTCAAGCGATCCGCCTACCTCGGCCTCCCAAAGTGCTGCGATTACAGATGTGAGCCACCATGCCCAGCTCTGCTTACCCTTCTTAACTCCTGGGAAATTGGAGCTTCAAATGTTCTACAACGTTGCCTTTGGCTTCCCTAAAGACCTTTTTGGATGGGACCTGGGAAGTCTTATGCTGATTTGCTCTGATTTCACCCGTATTTGGTTCATGTGACACACTCAGGCATCCTTTGCTCCAGTGAACACCAGAACACCAGCAAGTTCCCTCACAGACACTTCTCCTCTAGCCTCAGCTGCCAGCAACTGTTCCACTGACCTTTCAACTTTTAGATTTCTCATGAAGTAATCAGACGGGATATTTTATCCCCCTGCACACCAGGGAAAGGTCGAGCTTTCTGAGTGGCTTTGTGAAAACTCCCCTCTTGACTTGAAGTGAGGTGGGGAGAATGCCTTCCTTCTTTTTTCATGAGTCTCTTGAAACACAATCATGGTGCCAGTATGCTGAGGTCAGGTGGGGGCTCACAGTATAGCTCTCTCAAAGGAAATCCCCTTCACAGGTCCTCCCTTCAATCCCAGCTCTCTGCCCCTGTATGCTGTCTGTATGAGGGCATGTATCTACAGAAAACAGAGGCACACTCAGAAGGGTAATTGAAGAGAACTTAAAGAGGAGTCATTTACCAAATATGTGGGAGGGTTAATGAGACCAGCCAGGGATGGTGAAGCATACAGAAGTAGCAACACTGGGGAGCTGTTACCACCCCCTGGTATGAGTGTACCTGGAACCTGTTGATAGTTTTGGATATTGGAGATCAGCCACCTGCCGAGTGGCCCTAAGTGAGGAAAGCAGCCACCCCAGCCTGGAAGAAAGGAAATGAAATGATAAAAAGGCTTATTCTGGCTGGTGTGTGGCTAAGATTAGAACTCCCACCTGACCTCACCATACTGGCACCATGATTGTGTTTCAAGGGACTCACATAAGCACTCTCTCTTTTCTCCTACTGCACCCCTAGCTCCTGCTAATGCTTCCTATTGGCTGAACCCAACCAAAAGGCAGAGTGCATTGAAGCCTGGAGCATGCAGGCTGTAGAGTTCAATCTTCAAGGGGTGCAAAGAGTTTACAGTAATTCTTTGTTTCCTCATCTTTTGCATATTCTTAGGATTGTGGCATCTGACTCACAATTCCCTTTGGTCTCTTAAATCTATTCTATCTAAATATCTCCATTGAGAGTTCCACTTTACCCTCTTGGGTTATTTGCCATGTCAGTTATATCATCAAGATTTAATCAGAAAACAGAAAATAAAGTAGAAAGATTTCAAATAAACAATCTAATGATGCATCCTAAGGAACTGGAAAGGCAAAAATGAACAAAACCTCAAATTATCAGAAAGAAAAGAAATAATAAACATCAGAGAAGAATTAAATGAAATACAGACCAAAAAATACAAAGGGTCAATAAAAGAAAAAGTTGATTCTTTAAAAAGATAAGCAAAATTGATAAACTACTAGATAGACCAAAAAAAGATGAGGGAAGGCCCATAGAAACAAAATCAGAAAAGAAACAAGAGGCATTACAACAAATACGACAGAAATACAAAAGTCATCAGAGACTATTATGAACAACTATATGCTAACAAAATGGAGAGCATAGAGGAAATTCACTCTTTTTGTGACTTTGGGTAAAATAACTTATTTGAGTCTTGATTTTCTCATGAGTGAAATGAACTTTTTGAGCTGCATGGTTTATAAGACACTTGTAGCTTGAACATTTAAATGTTCTTCTTTACTTACACGTTTCTGTGCTCAAATAAACTAAAAGCCCTGCTGGAAACTGTTTCCACCATCTGTTGCTGCATCACAAATCACCTCAAAATGTAGTGGCTTAGAAAAATAACCATTTTGTTGTGCATGGTTCTGTGGGCTGGGAATCTGAGCAGGGTCCAGCTAGAACAGATCACCCTTGTGGTCTCACAAGGCTCTCCTCCCAATGGGAGTAGAGGCACAGTGACCGTCTTCACAGAGAGTCTAACAGAATCCAGTGAAGAAAGTCATTTTCACCTTCTTTTACCAACTTGTCTTCTCTCAGTTTCAGCTGAAATGCCAATAGCACTCAAGTCTTATCTAGGGAAGTAACAGGGTCTTGAAGTGAGAAAAATTGGTTAACAAAGAAAAAAAAGAATGAAATGGAAGTGAGAAATAATCCTGGCAGACTTGTAACTTTCAAACCTAGGGTTGCAAACACACAGCCACAGCTACCTCTCCCTAATCCTATATCCCTTGTAGACAGCATTCATCAACCACAAAACTGTTTAATTAAGTCCATTCATGTCCTTAGCAGTCTTCTCCATAAAAGGGTCTAGGCAACCATTACCAATTGATATGGTTTGGATGTTTGTCCACTCCCAATCTCATACGGAAATGTGACCTCCAGGGTTGGAGGTGGGGCCTGGTAGGAGGTGTTTGGGTCGTGGGGGCAGATCCCTCATGAATGGCTTAGTACTTTCCCTATGGTAATGAGTTCATTCCTCCCCCTTGCTCTCTTGCTCCCTCTCTGGCCATGTGACATGCCTGCTCCCACTTCACCTGCCACGAGTAAAAGCTCCCTGAGGGTGTCCTAGAAGCCAAGCAGATGCCAGCGCCATGCTTCCTGTACAGCCTGCAGAACTGTGAGCCAATTAAACATCTTTTCCTAATAAATTACCCAGCTTCAGATTTTTAAAATAGCAATACAAGAACAGACCAATACACCAATCTAATAGTTTGTAAGAGAGAAGAAACCTATTTATCCCCTGACTCAGCTTCTGAGGTGTGGGAGAATAAATGTTTTGAAAACACTCCACAGGTTGATTCTGATACTTTCTGCCCTCTCCTTGTTGACAGCGGCTGCTTTAGCAGCTAGATGGAATAGGAGGGTACTCCTAATAAAGGGATTTCTCGAAGGAGTGTATTTGGTTCTCACAACACAGATGAAAGATAGGAAACTGTAGGGAAGAGAAAGAGAGATCAGACTGTTACTGTGTCTACATAGAAAGGGAAGACATAAGAGATTCCATTTTGACCTGTACCTTAAACAATTGCTTTGCTGAGATGTTGTTAATTTGTAACTTTGCCCCAGCCACTTTGCCCCAACCTTGAGCTCACAAAAACATGTGTTATATGGAATCAAGGTTTAAGGGATCTAAGGCTGTGTAGGACGTGCCTTGTTACCAAAATGTTTACAAGCAGTATGTTTGGTAAAAGTCATCGTCATTCTCTAGTCTCAATAAACCAGGGACACAGTGCACTGCGAAAAGCCACAGGGACCTCCGCCCTGAAAAGCTGGGTATTGTCCAAGGTTTCTCCCCATGTGATAGTCTGAAATATGGCCTCGTTGGATGAGAAAGACCTGACCGTCTCCCAGCCTGACACCCGTAAAGGGTCTGTGCTAAGGTGGATTAGTAAAAGAGGAAAGCCTCTTGCAGTTGAGATAGAGGAAGGCCACTGTCTCCTGCCTGCCCCTGGGAACTGAATGTCTCGGTATAAAACCCAATTGTACATTTGTTCAATTCTGAGATGGGAGAAAAACCGCCTTATGGCGGGAGGCGAGACATGTTGGCAGCAAAGCTGCCTTGTTATTCTTTACTCCACTGAGATGTTTGGGCGGAGAGAAACATAAATCTGGCCTACATGCACATCCAGGCGTAGTACCTCCCCTTGAACTTAATTATGACAGATTCTTTTGCTCACATGTTTTCTTGCTGACCTTCTCCCTATTATCACCCTGCTCTCCTACCGCATTCTTCTTGCTGAGATAGTGAAAATAATAATCAATAAAAACTGAGGTAAGTCAGAGACCGGTGCAGGTGAAGGTCCTTGGTATGCTGAGTGCCGGTCCCCTGGGCCCACTTTTCTTTCTCTATACTTTGTCTCTGTGTCTTATTTCTTTTCTCAGTCTCTCATCCCACCTGATGAGATATACCCACAGGTGTAGAGGGTCTGGCCACCCCTTCAGAAAACTAAGGCTCAAAAATGTTGAACAATCTGGCCACATTCCACAGAAGGATAGTGGTGGCCTCCAATCCATTTTCCACTGCCCTTAAATTGTTACTGAATCTTAAACTCTCAGAATCATAGACTCTGAGAGGAGAAGTGTGGTCATCAGGTGCAAGCTTTTTGTTTTACAGATTAGGAAACAGGTCCAGAAAGTTAAATATCTTTCCAGTGGTTAGGTCCATTAGGACAAGTCAACCTCAAGGCTAGAACTCAGCCTTGAGCTAAGCCTGGTACAATTTGGCTGACTTCAAACTTTTGGCTCATGCATTTGGCTAATTTGTTCTATGAAACCTAGTATGGTAGGAGGTAGTTTCTTACAGATTCTGACCTATAGCCCGGAGCAGATATTGTACTTTAATTTTGTCATAAAGGATATGGAACATTTACACAAATCTTAAGTTTTAACTAGCTTATCCAGACAGGACACTAAAGATATGAAATATGATATGCTGTCAGATTTTGTCATTGCCTTTGATTTAATATTTTAATAAGATGCATTTTATGTAGTGTCCTGAGGCATTTTATTAAAAGTGGAGTGTTTTAAAAGTCTGATGAGTTATTTATGGATAAATCCAGACTCACTAGCTTCTGCAATTATCTAATATATGCACAACCTTTCAGTGGAGAGGTTCCCAGGTCTGGAAAATTGTGACTTAGGGACAATGTGACAAGTCAGGGATTGCCATTTGTTTGAGTGCTGCTTGAAACCAGACACTCATCTATGTTAACTCATTTAGTCCCCATATAACCTATATGAGATTAGCATTATAAGCTGCAGTTAGGGATAAGAAAACAGAATCAGAGAGGTTTTCCATAAACCAGCATCTGTACCCATATACTCTTTGTTCTCAGCTACCAGCATAGACGATATATAAAGCCAATCACTTTGTGGACTAGATCTCACTCCTGTTGTCTTTTAAAGAACACTTTCCAGAAATTCCCCTCTGTTCTCTATATATTTTTTCCTTTTTGTTGGGTTAGTCTCGTCAGCCTACAAACATGCAGTTAATTCTCACATTTAGCCAAAAATAGGCATACAAATAGAAAATCAGTTTTTCTGGACCCCTGCATTTGGAGACTCGTTTATTAGCTCCCTGTCATAGTAAAATTTTATGGAAGAGTTGACTAAACTTACTGACTCCTACTTTTTCGCTTCCCATTCTCTCTTGAACTCATTCTGTCTTCCTTCTGGTCCACTACTCTAACAAGAGAGCTTTTGCCAAAGTCATAATGATCTCCATGTTGCTAAGTCCACTGGTCCTTCATCAATGCTCACTTTGGTATTTGTGTAGTTGGTCACTGCATCCCTGGCAATTCCTCACTTGTCTTCCAGGATGCCATGTTGTCTCGGTTGATGCCCTGTATTATGGCCCACTCCTTCTTTGTCCCCTTTTTGCTGCTTCCTGTTTTTCACCCAGGTCTCATGTTGTAGACCCAGATCTCAGTCCTTGAACTCCATGTACACTCACTCCCTTTCATTTTTTTTTTTTTTTTTTGAGATGGAGTCTCGCTCTATCACCCAGGCTGGAATGCGAGGGTGCGATCTCGGCTCACTGCAACCTCCTCCTTCCACGTTCAAGCGATTCTCCTGCTTCAGCCTCCCAAGTAGCTGTGATTACAGGCACCCGCCACCACACCCAACTAATTTTTGTATTTTTAGTAGAGACAAGGTTTTACCATATTAGTCAGGCTGGTCTCGAATCCCTGGCCTCAGGTGATCCACCCACTTCGGCCTCCCAAAATGCTGGGATTACAGGCATGAGCCACTGTGCCCAGCCCCATTCACTTCCTTTCTTGCCTCTAATCTCATTGCTTTATATACCATCCATATACTGATGACCCCAAAAATCGTCTAATTGCTAGATCTCTCCTCATCTACTGCAAGTTGTACTCCCAGTAGTAAGTATGGGAGTTCAGATTTGAGTCCTAGTCTACTCATCTTCAATGTATTCATACCTTTCCCTTTATTATAGCACCATAGTTCAGCTTGCTAAGGCCCAGGGAGTATTAAAAGTGCTTTCTATGTACTAGCTCACTTGATTCCAAAAATAATTCTACAGGACAGATACTAATATTCTAGACGAGGAAACTGAGGCACAGTAGAAAAGTTCATCATTTGCCCAAGGCGCATAGCTAGTGAGTGGCTGCACCATGACTTGTATGTACTCAGGCAATTTGACTCATGAATCTTCCCTCTTAGTATTTTAGAACACTGACCCACTATCAGTGATGACATGGGCAAAAAGTTGGCAGATCCCAGAATGCAAATTAGCAGGGTCAGAAATCCTCCCAGTTCCCTCTAAATCACTTTCTTATGTGCCGAGGAACTAAATAGCAATATAGTCCCTCTCCTGTTTTCCCGTTTCCTGTTGCCATTTCCAATTTAATAAAGTGTGGGAAGTAACCCTGATGATGTCTACAGTTGTTTATGAAACACGGGTGTAACCCACATGCAGAGGCTCAGCAAACAGTTGATGGATTTATGCTGACCTCTTGGTAGGAACACCTGCAGTTTGAGATTCTGCTACATTTTCTACCATTTTATTATGTGTCCTGGTTTTTGCCCAGAGAGCAAAAAGTTTTGGGAAAAGCATATAGAAAAAAAATAATAAAAGGTAAAATGTCTGTTGTTTCCAGGATAATGGCCCCAAGGGTGGAATCGCATCTGGTAGCTGTTTCTTCTCAGCCCAGTGAGCGGACACCAGATCGATCCTTCCTCCCCGAATGCTGCCAGAGAGACTGGAGAATCATGTAGGATGGAAGGTCAGCAGAAACGCAAGGGGCCGTTATGATGAGGACTGAGAGAGGCATCCCGTACCAGGCAGCAGGATGCTCCATTGGAATAGCACAGCAGGACAGGTGTGTGGTAGCTGAATCATGCCCCACAGGAGATCCAGGCCCTAATCCCTGGAATGTATGAATGATAACTTTGTTTGGCAAAATAAGCTTGGCACAAGTGCTTAAATTAAGGATTTTGAGATGGGAGAGTATCCTGGATCATCCAGGTGGGCCCTAAATATAATCACAAGTGTCCTTATAAGAAGGAGGCAGGGAGAGGTCTGACAAAGAAGGCAATGTGACCACTAGGGCAAGATGCTACTCTGATGCCTTCTAAAATAGTGGTGGAAGCCACCTGCAAGCAGTGTAAGGACTGCAGCTCTTAGAGGCTGGAAGAGGACAGCAAGAGATTCTGCTCTTCAGCCACCAGAGGGAGCATGTGTGCTGCCAACACCTTGATTTCAGTCCAGTGAAGCTAATTTTGGACTTGTGGCCTCTACAACTGTGAGAATAAATGTGTGATGTTTTAAGCCACCAAGTTTGTGGTGACTTGTTACAGCAGCCACAGGAAACTATACACCTGGTGACAGAGAGGAGGAGCAGAAGCAAGGGCAGCAGCAGTGATAATCAAGTTGAAGTGACGTTTCATAGAAATCCCTGGAGCAGGAGGAACCATCTCATCCCACCCTACAACCTCTGGGCTTTACTCCAGCTGCATGGGAAGGAATCCATTTTCTATTTCTTTTTTACATACAGGAGCTATTATCCAGGAGGGACCCTAAGAACTGGATGTAGGACAAAATGCCATCATAGCTTGAGCTCAAAGCAAGACCTGGTTTCATGGCACCCTGGTTCAGGCAAAATCTTGGAAAGGACTTTACCTTTGAGATGAATGAGGTTCTTTGAACAGGGCCTAGAAGAGGAAAATGACAATCAAAGCATTAAGGAGTTCTATAAAATATGCCAACAGGAATTTCAGTTTTTGGAGATGCCCAGGAGAGTGAGAGTGAGGGTCTTGGAACTTAGGGAAGGGGGAGCTGGGAGAGGTTCTCAGGAGACATTTGCCCCAACAACGTGGGGGCAGGATGGAGAGCAAGGACTGAGACAGCCCAGGAGCCAGTCACTGTTGGAGGGTCGTTTGGGGACTTTTGAACAGTGATGTCTCATTATCAGTTTTAAGTGGTTTCATGTTCCCCACTGTCAACTGAAGAATCAATAAATTTGGAAAGGAGACCTTTGTTTCTTATAAAGAGCTACCTCCAGCAGGCTGGCCATTCTGCAGGCTTGGAAATGTAGCCTCTGGCAAGAGCTGGAAGCAGGCATTTTGAGAGAGGGAAGGATGAGGCAGGAATTGATGCTGAACAGGTTGGCTAAGTAGACATATTCAACAGATTGTAGGAGGAGCTCTGAATATTCATGAAGGGGAGGCATGCACATGTGCAGTAAGCTAACATTATGTTATATGTTTGCTTTGGGTGGAGGCTTCACATTTAGATGTACTACAATTAGACTTTATATGTCAAAAGGTGAAGCAAAGGACATGAAAGCACTCAGCACGCAGGCTCCATCAACTGGCCAGAACCACTTCATGGTCCAGGATTTCTTACCAGAAGAGAATGCTGGTCAGTTTCTGTGTTAAGCCCACAAAAAGGGAGGAGTAGCAGCAGGCGGTTGGTTGAAACCAGTGGCAGAGCAAGTCTTCGAAAGGGCTGGTTTCTGTTTAACACTTAGGGAAGAAAGCTTAATGGTGATTATCAAAGGAGGGGCTGTAACGAGGTGTGTCTGATGTCCCATCCTGTCATGGTTGGGAACTCAGTTTTCAAGGTTTTTCTGGGGCCCCCTGGCCAAGCAGAGGTTCATTCAGTTGGTTGGGGGGCTTAGAATTTTATTTTTATTTCTCAACACTATGAAAAGTCCCCCTGCCCTTACCCCCAAACCTTCATCTGCAATATGGCCTAGCCATACAGCAAGGAGACAAGCAAACAGGCAAGCAGAGATATCAATTCAGCAAGAGAAGAAATCTAGAGTGAGAGTTGAACAGAATAACATCAGCATTACCTAGGCACCCTTGGAACTGTCGGGGGAGGCAATGGCATTCCAAGAGCAAATGGGATGAAACCAGAGCATTTTCTTTGGCTGCAGGACATGCAACTGCTGGGAAGTCAACTACATTCAAGTGTATGCAGGCAGAGGTTAAGGAACTCCTGAGCCAATTGCTTCTGGAGACACACAAATAATAGCAGAAGGCTATGAGACCAGAGAGGCACACATGGGGCATATTCGGGACCATAGCCTCTCCCAGACTACTGTTGTTAAAAGACAACTGCAGTCCATAGAGAGCACTGGTTAAATAAAAACGCACTCAGTAACTCATTCTTTATTTATGTATGAATTTACTTATTCACTTACAAATAATTAGACTCTGGGGTTATAATGACGAAAAAGACATTTCCTGCCGTCAGAGAATTCAAGTCCAGCAGAGAAGATAGAATCCCAAATAAATCATTAGAATAGAGTGTGACACATGCAGTGACTGAGCCCACAGCAGGGGAACCTAACCCATCCTGGGAATAGGTTCAAATGAGCTTCCTAGACTGGGCAACCTCTAAGGCAGTGTTTAAAAGAATGTTTTCCAAAGGGTGGTACCCAGAGAGGGGCAGATACAAATGCATGTGTGTGTGTGTGTGTGTGTGTGTGTGTGTGTGTGAGAGAGAGAGAGAGAGACAGAGAGAGAAACAGAGAGCAGAGAGAGATTTTAGTAATGATTTATTTTTATGGTTGCTATGTATTTATGGCAAGTGGCATTTCCATTTATGATAGTAATAGGGCTTCTTTTAAATTTTTTAAAATTTATTTCATTGTTGGGTGATGGGATTCTCCCCTTGGAATAGGCAAGGCATTTACATGATTCAAAAGTCAAAACTATTTAGAAAGATCAACTGAAAAGCCCTTCTGTTCTGTGTCTCCCATCTTCTTCCTTCCTGCCCTCTACAGGTAAAGCATTTTTATTAGTCTCTGGTTTATTCATATATATACATGAATACACATGCACGTGCACATCTAAACACATATACATATTATAGATATATAGTGATCCTCTCTCTTTTTATACAAAAGACAACGTACTGTATGTGGTTAAAGACTTTGCTTTTTTTGACTGAACAATATATTCATTCTGGATATGTCTCCATATCAATACGAACAGATAGTTATCATTATTTTTTAATGGTTGCACAATACTTCATTGTGTGGCTGTTCCACAGCTTATTCAACCAGTCCCTATTGCTACATATTCGGGTTGTTTCCAATCTTGACTTTTCAGTCACGTCCACAGTGAATTACCTGGCATTCGCGGTGTTTCTTACCTATGCAGTCTACTGCAGGATGAGTTCCTAGGACCTCAGTTGTTGGAACAAAGGGTAAATGCATGAATAATTTCCTCTCTACACAGATGGTATCATTTTGTATTAGCATTTAATGAGTAAATGAGGATTTCTTTCTAAATAAACTCACACGAGATTAAAAAAAAGATAAATCACTTTAGAAAGCATTTTTAAGTAAAGTCAAGGAAGAACTTTGATTGTACGAAGGATATGGAGATGATGAGAAGTTAGTTGCAGACAACAAAATGCAACCAGGCAGATGATGTAACATGAATAATCCATCTAGTATAATTAGTTATTTTTTATGGCTAATTAACTGTTAGTTAAATGTGGATGGCTCAACCACACTGAGGTTTGGATTCTTCTAAATTAATCCCTCCAGTTCTCAAAATCTTTGTGTTGGATCTTGTTATCCAGACTGGCACTGCTTTTGACTGTGTCCACCAATTCACCTGTTACACAGATACCCTTGATGTCATTGTATGCAGATCGAGAAGACCCTCTCTGATGTGAGTATGTCCTCTGATAATAGCAACCACAAACCCTGTGTGGTGCTTGTTTTCAAGCACAGACAGACACACACCACTATTGAGAATAATAGTAAATATCCCTCTAGGGCACACCTTATGCCAAGCACTGCTTTAAGAGCTTTATTTGTATAAATTCATTTAATCCTCAGAATTATTCTATGAGGAAAATAGAGTTACTATTTTTCACTTCAGTTGAGAAAACTGAAGCCATCATGGCATTAAATAACTTGCACCCGGCCTCACGAATAGTAAACAGTAGACTTGGAATTTGAGCACAGACAATCTCTGAAGCACTGTGATCCTATAAAGTGGGTAAAGCAGGTGTGATAAGACTTGATTTTACAGATGATCAGACCAAATCTCAAGGACGTGGAAAGACTCACCCAGCCCCACTCAACTAACAAGTAGAAGAGCTGGTATTTAAATTTTTCTTGGGACATTAAATTCATATTCATATTCATACCATTTTACATGTAAGATTCTTTTCATATGACAGAAAACTGTCCTACTATCCATTTATTGGAACTAATAACATTTCAATTATCAAAAAAATTATACTTTCCTTTTCTAGGATATAGAGCTTTTTTAATGCAGGAAAATCATCTGTAAGAAAGTTTCACCAGGTGAGGTGGCTCATGCCTATAATCCCAGCACTTTGGGAGGCCGAGGTGGGCAGGTGGATGACCTGAGGTTGGGAGACCAGTCTGATCAACATGGAGAAATGCAATCTCTACTAAAAATACAAAATTAGCCGGGCCTGGTGGCGCATGCCTGTAATCCCAGCTACTAAGAAGGCTGAGGCAGGAGAATCACTTGAACCTGGGAGGTGGAGGTTGCAGTGAGCCAAGATCATGCCATTGCACTCCAGCCTGGGCCATGAGAGCAAAACTTTGTCTCAAAGAAAAAAAAAGTTTCAGGTATGAGGAGCAAATGCCCAGTCTTACTTTAACTCATATCATTGGTGTGGGAGGGTCCCATATGAGATTTATTTGTATTCTGCTAATAAATTTCATCAGCATCTACAATGAGACTGTTGGGTCCTTCAATCTTGGTTTTGTCCTCCATAGTTTAAATATCAGGGTACCAGGAGTCCACGGAAAGACACTCATTATTGCTGAAAAACCTTTACCTTCTTCTGCTGGAAGGGATCCTGAAACCCTGGTTGCAGGATGGAATAAGGCAGCATATGGTTTAGAGGGTGGACTTTGCAGGTGACAGGCCCAGGTTTAAGTCCTGCCTTCTCTGTTCCTTAGTTATGTGACATTGGGCATATTTAGCCACTCAGAGCCTGTTTTCCCATCTGCAAAGTCAGAATAAAATTTCTGATACATATTGTTGTTGTATAGATTGAATAAGAAAACATATATAAAATGGCTAGCATAGTGCCTGTTACCATGTAATGCATATACGATAAACATATTAAATAAACAATAGCAATTTGAATAGTAAACTGAGTCATCTGAAAGCACTGTAATCTTTAGGAACCAGGAAAAACAATATGTTCAAAACAGAATGCTAGCAGTCAATCCATTGAGGTCAGCACAGTGAAGAGTAGCTTTTCACAAATTCGCATTTCTTCATCAAACTCTTCCCCAAACTGAGTTTTGTTTTGTTTTGTTTTGTTTTGTTTTGTTTTGTTTTGTTTTGTTTTGTTTTGTTTTGTTTGAGATGGAGTCTCACTCTGTCACCCAGGCTGGAGTGCAGTGGCGTGATCTTGGCTCACTGCAAGCTCTGCCTCCCGGGTTCCAGTGATTCTCCTGCCTCAGCCTCCCGAGTAGCTGGGACTACAGGCGCCTGCCACCACACCAGGCTAATTTTTTGTATTTTTAGTAGAGACGGGGTTTCACCATGTTGGCCAGGATGGTCTCGATCTCTTGACCTCGTGATCCACCCGCCTCGGCCTCCCAAAGTGCTGGGATTACAGGCGTGAGCCATCGCGCCCGGCCTGCAAACTGAATTTACTCCTATTTTGAAGAGGTCTGAAGAATCTCATGAGAATGACCAAGAAGCATAAAGTGAAAACTTTTGCACACAAAATTTCTGATCATCAAGACTGTATTGTAAAAATGCAAAGTGCCACCCTCATTCCAGCTCTACAGGTAGCGTTGACAGGTGGTATGGTTTGGATCTGTGTCCCCATGCAAATCTCATGTTCAGTTATAATTCCCATTGTTGGAGATGGGGCCTAGTGGGAGGGTGATTGGATCATGGCGGCAGTTTCTCATGAACGGTTTCCCACCATCCCCTTGGTGTTGTTCCTGTGACAGTGAGTGAGTGAGTTATCGTGAGATCTGGTTGTTTAAAACTGTGTAGCGCCTCTCCCACCCACTCCCTCCTGCTCTAGCCATGTGAAGCACCAGCTTCCCCTTCACCTTCTGCCGTGTTTGTGAGTTTCCAGAGGCCTCCCCAGAAGCCACGCAGATGACGCCATCAGCTTCCTGTACAGCCTGTGGAACCGTGAGCCAATTAAACTTCTTTTCTTTATAAATCACCCAGTCTTGGGTATTTCTTTATCGCAATGCGAGAACTGACTAATACAACAGGGCTTTGAAAAATCAGCTCTTCAGCATTGCAATGGAAGCTGAAAGGAGGTGGTGAAATCAAATCAAAACCTTGATAGAAAGATGTTATAGGATAATTTCTAAAATTATATTAACATAATTTTAATAATATTTTATTAAGAATTTAGACATGTCAAGTGGAATGAAACTTTTAGGACTCAGGAATAAACCCTGCTGGGAGGCAAATCCACTTGCAAAAGTTTTGTCAGATCAGAACATCAAATCATACTAGGCGGATAAACATTGAAGTTGAATTTGTCTTTATAAAACACATGGGAATTTAAATTAAAAACACTTTAGTAAAAAAACAAACAAAAAGACAAAAAAAGCTGATTTGTGTTGTCCACAGAAAAGTTATGAGGACCTATATATTTGTTATCCTTTGAACTATTTAATCACTATATCTGCTCTGTTCAAGGAAATGCACTGCATTGTCTGGATGCACAAAAGATTTATAGCTCTCAAAGAACGTCCTAGGTAGACAGGCATGAAAACCTTACTAAGAATGCACAATGCAGACATAAAGTGCTATGGGAGCTCTGGAAGCAGGGACCACTGTGGCTGAGAATGTCAGCTAAGCCTTCATTAAGGAGACAGAATTTGAGATGGGTTCTGTGGCGAATACTGCTGGTTACCTACTCAATATCAATTTCTCCTTTTTTCTCTAAGCATAGCATAGATTTTTGTTCAGGGCTGCAGTGTGATCATTTATGTTAATAAAAAACCAAAACAAGGCTGGGCGTGGTGGCTCACGCCTGTAATCCCAGCACTTTGGGAGGCCGAGGCAGGTGGAACACCTGAGGTTGGGAGTTCGAGACCAGCCTGACCAACATGGAGAAACCCTGTCTCTACTAAAAATACAAAATTAGCCAGGCGTGGTGGCACATGCTTGTAATCCCAGCTACTCGAGAGGCTGAGTCAGGAGAATTGCTTGAACCCAGGAGGCGGAGGTTGCTGGAGCTGAGATTGCGCCATTGCACTCCAGCCTGGGTAACAGGAGCAAAACTCTGTCTCAAAAAACAAACAAACAAAAAACACTGAAAACAAACCAGCAAAAAAGCCATACATCCCATCACAGCCTCACTTTAAGTCTAGGACTGAGGCATAAACCCATTTCCATGAGAATCTTCCAGGAAAGCTCTTGACAAAGGACAGATGAACTGACCCAAGTCTTCGTTTGGTCCTTCGTCCTTCCCTGTCTTCCTATCTGCAATGTGGATAAGAGGCCGGAGGTGGAGTAGCCAATTGAAAATCACAAAACAACAAGCATCATGATGGACACCATCAGCTTATCAGTCCATGCTGTGCTGCTATGATAAAACGCCTGAGAATGGTTCATTTATAAAGAACAGAAATGTATTTCTCACAGTTCTGGAGACTGGGAAATCCAAGGTCAAGGTGCTGGCAGGTTTGTTGTCTGGTGAGGGGCTGCGTCTCCTCCTCCAAGATGGTGCCTTTGAGGCAGGATAGGTAGTCAAGGAAATGACCATGTTCTCAGAATGTAGCAGTCGTGGTGACCATACAGCCAACACAATAAGCCTTAGCATTCGCATTATAATTGAGCTCATTCAAGCAAAACTATCTTCAATAGGGACTTTCCCCTCTAGAGAGCCTACACACTTTGATTTTACCTGTCCTCAAACTTACCCCTTGCTCATTATAATAGTAAAAACCACACCCCTGGGTGGAGATTTAAGATGCTAATGAGAATGTGATAAATGAACAAGCATGTACAGCTACTGCCCATGTGTACCCAGAGGACTACCTAGAACATGCTTGCTAGTAACACCTCTTTATACCTCCTTATGAATAACCATGTAAGGCTCCCATATAAAGGGAGTCTCCCTAGTGCCAGTCTTTGCTGTCTCACCCTTACAAGCAGCGTGCCCTGAAATCTCCCTCTCAGGGTGTACTGTCTATTCTGTATTATTTTTCTTTTGCCATAAATTGCTCTATGCTGCACTTCCTTTGCTGTGTGTCTTTTGTTTAAATTCTTTTAAACCAAGAAGACAAGATCTGAGGTATCACAGCAGCCATCAACACTTTGAATGCTGCATCCACCAGGGGAGAGGGAAACTTCTTCATGTGACAGAACAGCAGGAAAGCAAACCCTCTCTCATAGGCCACTTTTATAGTGAAGAGCTTTATTCCAGCATGAATCCATTCATAAGGCATTATTTCATTCATGAGGGCAGACCTAACACCTCCCATTAGGCACCACCTCAAGATCTAAACACCTCTCATTAGGCACCATCTCCCAGTGCTGTTGCATGGGGGATTCAGCTCCCAACACAAGAATTTGGAGGGAACAAAAACACTCAAACCACAACAATAAGGGTAGCTGAGCAGAAAGACGAATGAAGCTAGGATCCCTAATAGTACTGAGGAGCTGATGCACCAGCCCTGGCTTTCTGCTTCTAGGTTTTTTGTTATATGAGGAGCATAAAACTTATGTAAGTTACTGTTTTCTTGCAGCAAAAGGTAATTCTAACTGCAATGGTCTTTAAGGAAGGAGATGACTTTAGTAGACGGGGTGGAGGAGCAAAGGTATTCTAAGTGAGGGGAAGGGTTTAAGCAAAGTTTTGCCAGCACAAATAATCACGGTGTGGCTAATGAAGTCAATCTGGTTGAACTGAAACATCTGTTTGGAAAATCCCCTGGGTCCCTCTGAGCCCCTGTGGCATTACTGGGTAATGATCTTCCTTTCCAAAATGTAAATAGCGAAGTGAGACAATTGGTGATTATTCTTAAGCAAATTATTGCAAAGATTTATGAGTCCCTTTCCAGAAGACAGAAACAGGAAGAAAACACGTAGAGTTTGCATATTCCCCCCAACAAAGTCCTTCTTGTCTAAAATTTTTGCTTTCTGGTTTTAAATGTTTTTATTCAAGAAGAGGAAAACTAATCTGTCCTTCAGTTTTTCAAACTGAGCCTTGTTTGGATGGCTCAATTGAGCATTCCCCAAACAAGGTAACATGTAGGTCTCCCTGGCTCCTGTTCTCAACTTCTGTTCTTTGGGATGGATTCTCTATTTCTGTTTTTTTGTGATGGCTGCCGAATCATGCTGGCAGAGACCTGCTACAGGATGTGGACACTCCCTTCTCTGAGGTGCCAGAGGAGCCAGTTCTGGGTTGCTGGATGGCTCAACGCCCCACCAGGCAGAGGATGGGGCAACGTGCGTGATATCCGGATAACACTTTGGGGCTGCATTTGATGGGAAATAAAAAGATCATCATTTTTTCATGTGTCTGTTTCTTTGTTTTCTAACATTTCTATTTTTTGTATGTGATAAATGTCACTGGAGACCCCAGAGGGAAGAATCCTGAGTTAATTCAGGTCCTGAAATACTATTCAAAAGAATGTGGTACATATTTCTGCTTGGCTATCCCAACTGCCATTTTCAGCTCTATTCTGTCTTGCCACCTTTTACTTTAAGGTCTAGAAAAGTTAAAAAAAAAAAAAAATATATATATATATATATATATACACACACACACATATATATACATATATATACACACATATATATATATATATATATGTGTGTATATATATATGAATATCTGTCCAGACTCTTTTAAAGCTTGGGGTTGTCGTTTGACATAATTCTAGCCAATGATATGTCTCTGCGGAAGTTTTCTGGGAGCTCTGGTTAAGGTTGTTTTTTTTGTTTTTTTTTCTGGAAAAGGCAGACACATACTGCTAGTGGATGTGATGTCTGGAGGTGTAGCAGCCACCTTGAGACGATGTGGTGATAAGCATGAAGGTAAGGCCTAGAAAATATCAGAGACTTTGGCCTTGGCACATCAAACCACTGAACTAAAGGCAGGAATTACCCAGCTCTAAACATCTTATAATGTGTTAAATATAAATCTAGACCCTCATTTTCTGTTACTTGTGATTGAAGGCATTCTTAATGGGTACAGGTGGGTTGGTTTGGGAAACCTCAAATTATAGACTAGAAGATTTGGATTTTTAAACTTTTCCACAATAACTACTTAAGACCCATAAGGACTTATATTGGAAACATTTCTGCTAAGTCCTCTGCTTCTGGAAAGGGCAGCCCTAGACATCACAAGACATCACATAATATAGTCCTTGAAACAGCTCATGGAAACCTGACTCAAGAGGTGTGTGTCAGGGTTAGGGCAGAGTATTGCCTGTGCTGAGCCAATCAGATTTCTCTCTATGTGTCTATAATTTGAAACAGGAGGCCAGAGAATGATGGCATCTGACGATGACCATAGAAACTGGGAGTTCAAGGTCTAGGGTCAGGGATACCCCACAAGCAATAGACCCAGGAATCGGTATAGAGAGAAGAGAATGGAGCACTTGCACTGAGGGAGAACAAGGAGTGAGAGGCACCCTCAGCTTCCAGGGATTCCCAGTGTCCAGCTCCACTTCCTGTTAGCTCCTGCTCCATTTCTTGCCCTTGAGTACCTTGAACACTTCCTGTGTGGCAAATTAAAAATGGATATGAAGTGTTTGCGGCTCCTGTTATGAGCTGAATGTCTGTGGCTCCCACTCCCTGCCAACTTCGTATGTTGAAGCCTTGGCCCCCAATGTGGCTGTATTTGAAGACGGGGCCTCTAACCATGTAATTAAGGTTACAGGAGGTCATGAGGATGGGACCCTGACCTGACAGGGTTCATGTCCTTATAAGAAGAGGTCCCGGAGAGCTTGCTGTCTCTCTCACCACACATGGACAATGAACACCCATGAACACACCGTGTAACAAGCACCCAGGTCAAGAAAGAACATTTGCACCACTGTAAAACGTCCCTTGTACCTTTTCCTGTAACTGCCCCGCAAGGATAACTACATCCTGGTTTCTAACACCACAGAGTGGTTTTTTGCCTCTTTTGAACTTTGTGTGCCACAAAGTTTTATGTGTACCACATATTTTTGAATAGCATTTATTTCAGGACCTGAATTAATTCAGAATTCTTCCCTCTATGGTCTCCAATGACATGTACTTAATATATATAAATGGAACCACACTTCATTAACTTTTTTGTATTTGGCTTTTTCAGATCAACATTGTGTTTGCAAGATTCATTCCTGTTGTGTGCTATAATTTTCTCATTCTTATTGCTACCCAGTGTTTTGTTGTGTGAATATATCATAATTTGTTTCTTTATCTACTCTTAATAGGCATTTGGGTACTTTCCAGTTTGGGATTAATAAGAGTAACGCTGCTACATTCTTGTACATGCCTCTTGGCGAATCTGTGTGCACATTTCTCTTAGGTATGTTTAAGGAGTGGATGGCTGAGTCATAGGTTACGCATGTGCTCAGCATTAGTAGTTGCTACCAACAAAAATTTCCACAGTGATTGTCAAAACAGACAGTCTCCCAAGGTATGAGACTTCTGGTCACTCCGCAGCCTTGCCAACACTTGGTGTTTATTTTTTTTCCATTTTAGCCAGTCTGGTGGGGGTGAGAAGACACTGTGTTGTGGTTTTAGATGTACTTTTTTAAAAAATTGGTGTGAGATGGCCCTTACTGTCAGTGGTACTACTACTACTTCATCTACATGGTACTGAAGGGGCCAAGTTAATTTAAATTTCTTAAATAGCTCTCCACTACTTTTGTGATTGGGCTAAAACTCTATAAACTTTTCTCCCACCATCACCCCCAGGTGCCATCACTTCAGTCACACTGAGCATCTGCTGTTCTCATTCTTTTCCCAGATTTAGTCCTTCCTTTGTGCTGTTCTCTCTAGAATCCCATTCTCCAACACCAGGAAGCCTCTCCTGACTGTCCTGGCTTAGCTGCTGATAATATGCCAAAATGGCCAATTTGCTTATTTACATCCATCCGTTCTTCAAGGGAAAAGGCAATTTATGTGGTTGTCATAAGATATGAACAGCAAATGTTTGTTTAATGAATGACAGTGAACAAATAAATGCATTAATATGGAATATTTGGAAATAAGAGCAAATGTAAAGACTTATCTAAGAGGGATTTTTAGTAATAATAATGATAATGATAAAATATTCTATGTTTCCTTTTGCTTAACTGGCTTAAGCAAAGGGTTAGTTCTTTTTCTGTTCAATTCCAGTATTGAAAGAATTTTAAGAGATGCTCCAGGCTTATGCAAGGTTCACTTCCTTTAATCCTAACACTTACTCAGTGGGACATGAAGAAACTGATTAAAGCAGGTGACTCACTACTGGTCTCAATGAGAATCTTTTTTGAACCCTGTCCTGACAGCCTGGTGGGCAGAGAGGTTTGATGTCCTTTTCACTATCTTTAGGCTCAAACATGTTCAATACAAGTTCTATTGCTTGGTATTTCCCTCTAGATTTCCTCCACAGGGAAGCTCTTATAATCCAAGAATCATCTATAGAGCAATAAGTTACCAGTGGGACATCTGATTCATCTTTAAATGTCAGAACACCGTGATTCTTATTGAACAATAGTACTTGGTTGGCTCCAAACCCAAGAGTACTGATGGATGAATCTGTTGGCCAGACTTAAGAAGCAACATTCTGAAGCAGTTACCAATGTATGCCACTGATAGCAGATTAAAACAGGAAGAGGAAATCTTGAATTTGTAACCCCAATGGGGCTACCAGCTTGATTTCTCCAACTTTAGTCAGGATTGGTTGAGACAAAAATCACCGGCTAGTGAAACTCATTTATTACAGTTGTTTTAAAACCACAATGGTCTTTAAACATTCTTTTCTTACTCTAAAATGTAAAAAAAAAAAAAAAAATAGAGAATTCAACATATAACCCTGTGAAAGCTCATTTGTTCTTGGAAGACAACTCACCCCCACTACATCCATCTAATTACTGTGAGCACCACAAGAGGAGGGAGCAGGTCTTCTCCATTTCCACACTCTCCCGGTGCCGGGGCCAGAGCCTGGACTTAACAGATGTCCAATCCCTGCTTGTTGAGTGAAATAGCATTTATGCCCATGTGTTGGCTGGCTGACTGATTTTGTTTTTGCCAAGTAGCAACTTTGAAGCACAATTCAGTGCTTTTTTTACATTCTGAAGGAACTAATTGCTTAGCATCCCAAGTAGATTTTACTGATAGGTTTTTAGGGAAAAGAGAGAAAATAGTTTACAGTGCATGCAGCATTTCATTCCCCAAATATCCACCAAACATGTACTCTCTCTCTCTCTCTCTCTCTCTCTCTCTCTCTCTCTCTCTCTCTTTCTTAGCTTTACACACTGAATTCCCTCTGTTTGAAAGCAGAGCCTCCCTCTTAGGAGTTTATGCTTTCTAAGAAGTAAAATAAATATCCATGAAAGACAATTTTTGGTGGCATTTTTAATGATTTTAGATAATTCCCAGAAACAACATAATAACAAGTCTTGGGTTAAGAAAACTATTTCCTTTAATTTTTTTTCTCCTTTTATTATGTCTCCTTTTCTCCCCCATGCCCTTCATTTTTCTTTTCTTTTCTCTTTTTTCTTTTCTTCCTTCTTTTTTTCTTCGTTGCCCCTCTCCCTTCCTCTCTCTTTCTTTCTTTCTTTCTTCAAAAAGGGAGCAGGACTCAGTCTCAGAGCCTAGATGAGGCAGCAGTTTCTAGCTAGACTTTAAGAACTGAAATTTCTTCAGGGAGTATTTATTTTCTGATATATAAAATTATACTGGCTTTTATTTTAACATAAAAATAAAATAAAATCAAAAACAAAATAAACCCTCCTTTTAAAAAATTTAAGGCTGGGTATGGTGGCTCACACCTATAATCCCAGCACTTTGGGAGGCCAAGGCAAGTGGATCGCTTGAGCCCAGGAGATCCAGACCAGCCTAGGAAACATAGTGAGACCCCCATCTCTACTAAAAATAGAAAAATTAGCTGAATGTGGTGCTGCTCACCTGTAGTCCAGCTACTTGGGAGGCTGAGGTGGGAGTCTCCCCTCTGGCCTGTGTTGTAGCTATGATCCTACACAGCTAGGCTTGGCTCTTGATAAGTAAAGGGGAACTTTTCCAATGTAGAGAAACCCTTTTCTCCTGAAAAAAAAAAAAAAGAAAAAAAAAGAAAAGCCTTGGATTCAACACTACTGTCTCCCTAGGGACTCTAGAAAATCAACTTTGAGACTCAAAACTGTTTTTTAAAAAGAAAAAAAACACTTCAGCCAAATTAAATTTAAAGGAGTTTAATTGAACAATGAACAATTTGCGAATTGGGCAGCCCCCAGAATCACAGCAGATTCAGAGAGACTCCAGGGGAAATCTCTGAGCAGTGGCCTCCTGTTGTGAACTTCACCAGTGCACATTCTTATTGCTGCTTTTCAAAGAAGCCATGTGCAGCCAGGGGAGATGTCCGCCCTTATCCCTGCCACTGTCCTTGTCAGGTCATTGCCAGGCAGGACTGAATTCAAATGTCCATTCCAATTTGCATACCGTGTGTAAGCTACCCATGATTTCTGAGCCTTACTTTTATCTTAATTGTAAAATGGGCATGATGATACTGATCTCAAAGAGTCATTGTGAATGTTGAAAATAAAGGAATTCGTGTATGTAAAGAGATGGTTACTGAGTTGTATTCCAAAAATACAAATGATACAAAAGCAATTACTTAGACTAGAATCCAAACTTCTCTTCATAGCCTGTAAGGTCTTTCACAGTCTGGTTCTTGGGCACCCTCGACATTTACAGGGTTTTTATCTCTAACCAACCAATTCTCTGACACCAACTGGGTGTCCTACAATTCAATTTTGACATTAACTACCTGGAGTAAGTCTCTGACTCCAAAGGTTTAAGGGCTTGGTCTCCCAAGACTGCCCTCATCTGAGATGCCAATTGCAAGTGACCAGTTCCATTTCTTCCAACTTGGCTACAAAGTTGAGGATTTCCATCACCCTCCCCCTGCCTCAGGTTCAGGTTCAATAATTTGCTAGAATGACTCATAGAACTCATGCAAACATTCTATTTACTATTAAAGTTGATTATAAAGGACGCAAATGAACAGTCAGATGAAGAGGTACATAGGGTGAGGTCCCAAGTGCAGGAATCTCTGTTTCCACGGGGTTGAGGTGCACCATCCTCTTGGCACATGGAAGTGTTTGCAAACTTGGAAGCCTCTCAACTCATTGTTTAGGGGTTTTTATGGAGATTTCATTATGTAGACATGATTGAGTAAATTATTGGCCATTGGAGATTGGACTCAATCTCCAACATCTCTCCCCTCCCCGAGGTTAGTTGAAAACTCCAAGCTTATAACAAAGGCTTAGTCTTTCTGGTGACCAGCCCCCATCTTGAAGCTATCCAGGGGTCCTCCAAGAGTAGTCTTATTAGCATAAACTGAGATATGGGTGAAAGGGGCTCCTTAAGAACAGCAAAAGACATTCCTCTCACCTCTGTTACTCAGGAAATTCTAAAGGCTTTGGGAGCTCTGTGCCAGAAACCCTAGACAAGGGCTATTTTAAGAAATATAATTATTATGTTACAACCTCTTTTCCTCTTCTCCTGCTCCCTCTCCTACCACTCTGTCTCCTTGCTTGAATACATGAAAAACATTCTCCACAAGGAACTCCATTTATGCTGTTTCCCTTCCCAAGACATCTGTCCCCCAAGGCACGTTTTCTCACTTCACTCTGGTCTCTGCTGAAAGGTCAGCTCCTCAGGAAGCCACTGCCAACTACTCTATCCAAAAGATCCCCTGGGCTCTCTACACCCCATTCTTCTTTGTCTGTTTTTGTAGTAATTATGACTGCCTGACATTATTAGGTTAGCTTTTTTTTTCATCTCCATCCTCAAAAATAATATAAACTCCATGAGGGTAGAAGCTTTGTTTTCTCCACTATGAGAATCAAGATCAGCTCCTGACACATGATAGGAGTTCAACAAATATTGGTTTAATGGAAGAAGGAATGATTTGGTTCTGCTCTAAAAGATGAATGGGGTTTGGGTCAAGTGTCCTGCTTGATGTATCCTGGGATTGAGGCAAAACACAACTTCTCAAACTTGGATTTCAGAGTAACTGGGGAGAGGGTGAGGAGGTCTTTCCCATTCCCTTCCTTTCCCTCTTGCCACTCAATGACCCCCAGAAAAGGCAATGCTGCAAAGATCTCTTCCGGCCTGACCTGCTCTCACTTGAAGTGGTTCTTCCTCACTTGAGGTTAGCCAACTGCCCAGGGGTTGGCAGGAAGTATCAACCTGATCATTCAATTCCTCTGGGAGGAGTCCTTTCCCTGTGATCTCTTTGAGGATACATTATTAATGAGCAATCAATGGGCTCACTGCCCAAGGCACATAGAAGCCAACATCATGCCACTGGCTTTTGAGAAAAGGAAAGATTTATTGCAAGTCAACTAGCAAGAAGACAAGAGGAAGTGCTCAAATCTGTCTCTCTGAGTTTGGGGTTGGGTCAGGTTTTATAAGCATAAGGTAATGAGGTGTGATCTGATTGGATCTTTCAGTGAGGTGATGATCTGACTGGGTCCTGCCATGGGGAAATGCCAGGGATTGATCTGATTGGATCCTCTGTTTCTTCTTCTCCCTCTCCTTCTCCTCCTTTTTCTTTTGAGACAGGGTGGTGCTCTGTTGCCCAGGTTGGAGCACATGGCATGACCATGGCTCACAGCAGCCTTGACCTCCTGGGCTCAAATGATGCTCTTGCCTCAGCCTCTTGAGTAGCTGGGGCCATAGTTGTGTGCCACCACAACCAGTTAAGTTTTTATTTTTTATTTTGTAGAGACTAGGTCTTGCTCTGTTGCCCAGGCTGGTCTCAAATTCCCAGGCTCTAGTGATTCTCCTGCCTCAACCTCCCAAAGTGTTGGGATTCCAGTAGTGAGCCATTGCATCTTCCCAGTGTCCACTTCTTAATTCAGTCTTTGCTCTCAGTCTGAGAACAGGTACCAGCATGTTTGCACACTTGGTTGATCTGGGCATGCTCAGGTTATCTGACATTTAAGCCGGGGGGCCATGGCAACTGAAAAACAATTCACAACTTTGTTACATAAAAGTTGAACCAGATTAGAAGAGATACTTAATGTGTATTTGACAAGTATGTGCCTAGAAGGATACATAAATGAATGAAGACATGAATGAAAGCCATAGCAAAATCCAACACACAAGGATCAACCCATCTATAGTATCTCCAAGACAGATGATTCAGGGTCCATTCTTCTGTCTTCAAACTCTCCACTAGCTCAGGTCTCCAAGTCTTGCTATGAATGTCTTAAAATATAAGCAAAATAGAAAGATTGTACAATGAACTCCCAGAAACCCTTCAGTCCAGTTACACAGGAGTCAACATTTTGCCATCTATACTTATTTCTTTCTCTTTCTTTACTGTCTATTTCTCCTTCTTCATTCATTTTCTTCCTTCTTCCCTTCCTTCTTTTTTTCCAGTAAGCTGCAGACACTATGATACCTTGCCCCTAACTGTTCCAGCAAGTATTTCCCAGGAATAATAATATTCTTCTACTAACCACATTATCATAACTAAGAATATTAATAATAATTCTATGATATAATCTACTATAAGGACTATATTCAAATTTCTCCATTTGCCTCAAGAATGTATTTTATAGGCTGCTTTATTAGGATCTAATCAAGTATCATATATTACTTTTGGTTATGTTTCCTTTGTCTGTTTTCACCCAAAGCAGTCCCTTTTGGATTTTTTATGCTTAACATTGCCTTGTGAATAATCTAGCCAATCTATAAAGCCAAACTAAGAATTAGCTGATTCAATAACATACTAAATCTTAGTTTGCCTGGTTGCTGGTTGCTTCCTTCTTTTTTCTCTTTTTCTCTTTCTTTTTCTTTTTTTTTTTTTTTTTTTAGACAGGATTTTCTTCTGTGGCCCAGGCTGGAGAGCAATGGCATGATCTCAGCTCACTGCAACCTCCACTTCCTGGGCTCAAGAGATCTTCCTGCCTCAGCCTCCCGAGTAGCTGGGATTACAGGCATGCACCACCACACCCAGCTAATTTTCCATATTTTTTGTAGCAATGGGCTTTCGCCATGTTGCCCAGACTGGTCTTGAACTCCCGGACTCAAGCAATCCATCCACACTGGCATTCCAAAGTGCTGGAATTACAGGTGTGAGCCACCATACCTAGCCCTGGTTATTTCTTTCTAATATCATTTAAATCATTCCTTTAGTCGCTGTATTTCTTGTAATCTTAGATTCACATTGAACACTTTTGCCCAAAATATTTATATATTAGCTTCCCATTACCACTGTAACATAGTATCACAAATTTAGTGGCCCAGAACAAGACAAATTTATCATCTCACACAAATTTATTCTGATTGGGTCCTCAATCCTGCCATGCAGTGTCTGCTGCTTCTTCCTTCTTCTCCTCCTTCTTCTCTTCTTCTTCCTCTCCTTCTCCTTCTCCTTCTTCTGCTGCTGCTAATGCTTCCTCTTCCATTTCCACTTCCACTTCCACTTCTTCTTCTCTTCTGCTTCTGCTTCTTCTTCTTTTTTTAGAGACAGGGTTTTGTCCTGTCGCCCAGGCTGGAGTACAGTACTGGAAATATGGCTTGCTGCAGCCTTAACCTCCTGGGGTCAAGCCAATCTTCCTGCCTCAGCCTCCTGAGTACTTAGAAGCCCTACACAGGTCTCAGCGGACGAAAATCAACATGTCGGCAGGGCTATGTTCTTTTCTAGGAGTTTCAGGGTACAATCTGTTTCCTTGAGTTTTTTATCTTTTAAAGGCCACCCACATTCCTTGGCTGTAGCCCCATCTTCCATCTTTAAAGCCAGCACCATCATCTCTTTTTGTCCATACACATTTCTCTCTGACTACAGCTAGGAAAGGGTCTTCTCTTTTAGGGGTTCATGTAATTAGATTGAGCCCAACTAGATATTCAAGATGCCATCCCCATCTCAAGTCCCTTACCTTGATATGGAAATTTTCTTTGGTCGTGGAAGATAACATATATGTAGGTTCCAGGAATTAGAACATGGACACCCTTGTTGGGGACTGAACAGTATTCTGCCTCCAGCTTCATAGGGGATACTTTTTATGTCATCTTGCTGAGAAGTCCATTAGGAAACTGTCATCTTTTAGTGAGGCCAAATTCAGGGCATTTAAGTGTAAATTGGAGAGGGAGGCAGTTAACCAAGCTGTGGGTCTCAGAACTACCTCAAAGTGGCAGGGAGGGGATTTTAAAAATGTAGCTGTCAGAGCCTCATAACAGAGATTCTAATTCATTAGGTCAGGCCTGGCAGCTGCCATATTTGCCATCCAGAAGTGGGTGATTCACACCTGCACAAGCCTGGAGCCCATCCCTGAACAACCAGGCACCTGTAGTCCCAGCTACTAGGGAGAGATAACAGGTGGAGGCTCATTTTCTTGATCCCCTTCTGAAGTTGGCCTCTCAGGGACACCTCGCTGGTGGAGTCTTTTCCCAATTTGTCAAAAGTCATCAGCAAGAATGAAAGCACAGATGACAGTCAAAGCGAATGAATTTTCTAAGGGAAGTGGTTACTGACAGATTTCCTTTCTCAGGGTTGGTGGATTTACTCATCTTGGTCAAAGGCAAGGAAAAGGTGGGTAGCAACATCTATTTGCCAACTTTTATGGCAATATTTAGTATTTAAATTATATGGATAGATTTTGTTAACAATTTTTTAAATTAAAACGGCAATACATGAACGTTAAAATTTTTTAATGCAGATGTGTATAAAGTAAAAAGACTTTCCCCCCAGTTATCCTCTTTTAAACAGCTACTGTTATATTTCTTTCTAGTAATATATTGTGTATATAACAAACATACTTATATAGACATGTCCATATTTTTCTTATACAATTGAGAACATCTTGCACACACACTGTTCTGTATTTTGCCTTTTCCCCTTGGGCCTGATTTTATATCAGCCCAAAATATCTTCTGCATCCCTTTTCACAATTGCAAACCTTAGATGGATATCTACGATTTATCTTGCCACTTCCCAACTAATGTTCTTTTAGGTTGTTTCCAGCTTTCGCTATTACAAACACTACTGCAATAACTAATGTTGCATACATGTCACTTACCACATGTATTTTAGGGCAATATCCAGAAATGGATCTTCTGAGTTAAAGGGTTGGCTTATTTAAAAGTTTGAATAGATATTACCAAACTTCTTTCTAAAGAGATTGTGGTAATCATACTACTACTAACAGAGTCGGAGAGTGCCTGTTTCAAAACATCCTCTTTTGTGCCCACACTTAAGCAATAAGAGTCTCAAACTGGAGTCTGTTGCTATTTTTTTTTTCTTTTGAGACAGAATCTCTTTTGTCACCCAGGCTGGAATGCAGTGGCAATCTCAGCTCACTGCAACCTCTGCCTCCTGCATTCAAGTGATTTTCCTGCCTCAGCTTCCCAAGTGGCTGGGATTACAGGTGTGCACCACCACACCTGGCTAATTTTTTTTTCTGTATTTTTAGTAGAGATAGGGTTTCACCACGTTGGCCAGGCTGGTCACAAACTCCTGATCTCAAGTGATCTGCCCACCTTGGCCTCCCAAAGTGCTGGGATTATAGGTGTGAGCCACAGCACCCAGCCTGGAGTCTGTTTTTATAGGTGCCCCTTGTCCAGGGCTCAAGCTTTGTGAGTATAGGGGAAAGAGCACTGGTCTAAAAATCAGAGCTTCTATGTCCTGGTCATGGCTCTCTAATTCCCTAAAAGACTGAGCAAGTTATTTCCACTCTCTGGTACTCCAGTTTCTCATCTGATGAAAAGAGCTTTGACCTAGAGAAATGCTGAATGATTCCAAATCTGTGGTTCCCATCTGATGTGGCAATTGCCAATCACCACAATGTATAAAAGAAGCTCAATCAATGTCTCATTATGAGCCAACCTCCACGTTTAAGTGCCCTGTGAGATGCCAAAGATGAAGTGTAAGAATTGATCTTTTAAGAAAGATAGCTGGCAAACTTCAAGGAATTGGTGAACCACAAATGACTGCAGATAATCAAGTGTCCAGTTGGATGGCATACACTATAGGGACTGAGATTGTTCATGGGAATGAGGCCTGGGTGTAACCAGAGGATTCACGCAGAAAGATGTCATTTTTCTAAGATTTTACAGATAAGTGGAAATTGACCCAGCAGTGGTGGTAGAAAGGAAGCTGTGGTCACAGTGGGCCACAGAAGTCAGGGCATGGAGGTGTGCAAGTCCAATCAACATGATGAAACAAGGTGCTGGAGTGTGGGAAAGCCTCTTGATATGGTTTGGCTGTGTCCCTACCCAAATCTCAACTTGAATTGTAGCTCCCATAATCCCCACGTGTTGTGGGAGGGACTCACTGGGAGGTTATTGAATCAAGGAGGCAGGTTTTCCCATGCTGTTTGTATGATAGTGAATAAGTCTCACTAGACCTGATGGATTTATAAAGGGCAGTTCCCCTGCACACGTTCTCTTGACTGTCACCATGTAAAATGTGCCGTTCCTCCTCCTTCGCCTTCCGCCATGATTGTGAAGCCTCCTCAGTCATGCAGATGTATGAGTCCATTAAACCTCTTTTTCTTTATAAATTACCCAGTCTCAGGCATTTCTTCATAGCTGTATGAAAATGGACTAAAACAACCCACACCAAATATGGTCGTGCCTTATCACTTGTTTGCCCAATTGCTGAGAAACAACAGTGAACTCCTAATCTCCACCACCAACGTTCCTTCTACAACATTTCCTGTCTCAGGTGATGCCAACTCCATTCTTTGAATTTGGTTAGACCTTCAGACAATTTTTGGCTGCTCTTATTCATAACCCATGCCAGTCCATCTCCAAATCCTATTGAAACCAGCTTCAAATATATCCATAATCCAAGTTTTCTCTCCACCTTCACTGCTCCCACCTTGGTCCATGCTACAGTGGTCTCTCAGCTGGATTGCTGGGACTACCTCTTACCTGGTCTTCTATCTCACCCATGACACCCTGTATGCTATTCTCAGCATACCAGTAGAGTAACCTGTTTGAGATAAAAGTCCAATAATGTCACTCCTCCTATAGCCTCACATGCCACCCAGAGTGAAAGTCGGTCTTCATAATGACATACAAGATCCTATGGGTCATGACCTGACCCTGACCCCCACCCAAACATTAGATCCTTCCATTCTTTCCCCCTCACTCTTCCCTGTCTCTCCAACCCTATTAGCCTCCTTGTTGCTCCAGACACGCTCCAGCCTCAGAATTACGGCATTAGCCATTCCCTCCACAGGGAAAACTCTTTCCCAAGATATCAGCAAGCTCACACCCTGGCTGTCTTCTCAATGAATTGTACCATGAAAACCCTATTTAAAATGGCAATCTGCTTTCGCCTCCCCTCCATTCTCAATTCCCCATAATGCTCTGCTTTCTCTCATAGCACTTACTTTGCTATATAATTAAATGATTTTCTTACATTTATTGTTCATTGCCGGTCTTCCGCTTTCCACCAGGATTTTTGCCTGATTGTTGCACTGCCTGGCTCCACGTTTGTTGAATGAAAGAGTAAATGAATCATGGAATATTCTGATGGCGGGCTATGGAGACAGAGTGAGTTGGACAGTCACCACTAAATAGATATTTTCCCTCATCCTGTTTTCATGTTCTCTGCCCAGGAAACTGGTGTGTTCTAGTCTGAGTCTCTGTTGAATGCCAACTGATCCCGTAGGGATTAAGAGGGATACACATGCAGAGCAGTCACATCCAGGGCTTTGCTTTCCGGCTGCCCCTACTCGTTGTGTAAACCACCCTCCCTGGACCTCAGTTTTCTTATCTGCAAATTGGGGGCAATGATGCAAACTTCCCAGAGAAGATTAAACAAGATAACGGTTCAAAAGCATTTTAGCAGGATGCCTGCCATTTTATAAGCGCTTAATAGGTCTTAACAAATTATTAGTATTTAAGGGAGGCTTTATATCTTCCTCTAGAATGTGCATCCCGGAGGGGGTACTCCGAGTCAGATGAAGCTTCTTGCTTTAAGGGCACTCATGGTGTAACTGGATGGGGGTGGCCTGGCAGCCACACCTTTGGGACCATGACACCCCCCTTCCACTGTCTTCACATCGAACCAGCTGATCTTGCCTAGTCCTCATTTCCTATCCCATGTGATGACTTTTGCCAGTGACGCGGAAAAAGCCAGTTTAGGTCTTAGGGAAAATAAATAAAATTTTAAAAAGCTAGTCTAAGCCCAGCTCTTGCTTTTTTGTTTTGTTTTTTAAAACCAGCTCGGAGCGGGCTGGAGCAGGGGAGGAGGTGGGGCCGGGGAGCGCGCCCCGAGCCCGCCAGCTCGCTGGGGCAAGTGCAAGCCGGGTGCCTGCCGAGGGCGGCGGCCCCGCGGATTGGCCTCGCGCGTATGGGGCGACATCAGGCGGCGGGCGGGCCCGGGCGGGGCTGGCCTCTGGCCTGGGGCGCCACTGCTCTGCTGGGTGCGTCCTGCCCCTGCCCGAGTTCCCTTTTTCTCCAGGTGTGATTAGGCAAGCTTGCGAGCACCCAGCTGCTGGCTGCCAAGTGGGTGACTCACTCTGCCAGGTGGGTGGGGTGAGAAAGTGAATTTGGAAAGAATGAGAAAGGTTTCCTGACGCAGAGATGGCCACTTTCAAAGGAGCTTCCGCTTCCCCTCCATACAAAGGGCCATGTATTGACCCATCTGCTAAGTACCGGGCACTGTGTGGCGTGCTTATGCGCTCTGGCTCATTGCACCCTCTCAGCAAGCCCGACAGTAGAGGCTGCTTTAAATTCCTACTTTATAGGTAAGGAGAAGGGGGGCGCAGAGAGATAAGAACTGTCCCCTTGCTGCAGTCAGGCTTCCAGCCTCAGCCCCTTGCCTTGAAAAGGACTGAACCAATCCCATCCTCTTTTTTCTTTTTTTAAAGGAATGTAAGTTGCCATGAATAAGCATCTTCTTATTTATCCCAGATTTTCTTGGGGACTTAAAACTAATATTTCGCATTATAGGTGGTGACAAGGAGCCCACACAGACCTCAACTTCCACCAGCCTGAAAATGATGCTCCCAATTCTGCCCTTCAAACCTGTTTGTCTTGGATTTCTTATTTGTTTTTATTTTATTTCATTATTTTATTTAATGTTTTGAGACAAAGGTCACTCTGTTGCCCAGGCTGGAATGCAGGGGCGCCATTATAGCTCACTGTAGCCTCTATCACCCCAGCTCAAGTGATCCTTCTACCTCAGCCTCCTGAGGAGCTGGGTCTATAGGTGCATGCCACCACACCTGGCTAATTTTTTAATTATTTGTAGAGATGAAGTCTCATTACGTTGCCCAGGCTGATCTTGAACTCCTGAGCTCAAGCAATCCTCCTGCCTGGGCCTTCTAATGTGCTGGGATTACAGGCATGAGCCACGGCGCTTGGCCTTGAATTTCTAATGTCACTGAATCACTGAATCAGAAATTTAGAAAGGGGTCCAAACTGCCCACTGCCTCTGGACTGTTCTCCTGGCAGCCTAGGAAGTGTAGGCTCTTCCTGCCTGTAGCTCCAACCAGGCCAGGCCAGCCTAGTCCCCTCCAGATTGTTCTGGATATAGGAGGTGACCCTGCATCTTGACTGCCTGCCTCAGAGGTCTCAAAAATTTTGCCCTCAGGACCCCTTTATGATCTGAAAAATTATTGAGAACTCCAAAAAGCTTCTGTTTCTGTGAGTTATGGCTGTTAATAGTTACTGTATTAGAAATTAAAACTGAGAAAATAAAAAACCATTATTTTAAAACAATAGTAAACCCATGACATGTTCACAGAAACAGTTTTATAAAAAATAACTGTATTTTCCAAAACCAAACATAACTAGAATAGTGACATTGGTTCACATTTTTGCAAATCTCTTTAGTGTCTGCTTTAATGAAAGCCAGCTGGCTTTTTCTGCTTCTGCATCCAATCTGTCATGATACCACTGTAGCTTCTGGAAAACTCCACTAGTGGCCCTGGAGGGAGAGAGCGTGAAAGAGGCAAATAATATCTTAGTATATTAGGACAATAGTTGTGACTTTAGAAACCCCTGTAAGGGTCTGAGACTTTTGGGAAGTCTCCAGACCAAGTCTTGGACTGCTTGATTTTCATTTCCAATTCATATTCTGCCAAACATTACTGCTTTGTGCTCACTCATCTAAATAAAGCTTGTAAGGGTCCTGGACATCAAACAGTAAAATAGGTAACTCCCTAAACCAAATAAAATGGAGCCATTTGAAAAATATTTTCTTCTTATTTCAATTCAGTATCTTCCTAACTACAATAAAATCAGAAAATTGTGAATACCTATGAGCTTGTATACCCAAAGACACTCATCAGTACCAATGTGAGTATATGAAACTGACAATATACCAGGGCAAGAGAGTCCCTGCCTATGGTAGGCAGAAAAATTCCCCTGCCTCCAAGATGCTCACATCTGAATTTCTGGAACCTGTGAATATGTTGCCTTACACAGCAAAAGGGAATTAGTAGTTATGTCAACATTAAGAATCTTAAAATGGAGTGAGCATCCTGGGTTATCCAGGTGGGCCCAGTAATAGTCATGTTTATCATTAAAAGAAAGGAGACCCTTTCTCACCTGTGGTCAGAGGGAAATATGACTATGGAAGGAAGGGTGGTCAGAGAGATGCAATGATGCTGGCTTTGGGGATTCAAGAAGGAACCACAAGCCAAGGAATGTGAATGCCCTCTAGAAGATGCATCAGGCGAATTAGTGGATTGTTCCCTGGAGCCTCCAGAAAGGAATGCACCTTGCCAACACCTTGATTTTAGCCCCGTGAGAACTTGTTGGCCTTCTGACTTCCAGAACTGTAAGATAATACATTTCTGTTGTTTTAAGCCATTACGTTTGAGTTAATTTGTTACATCAGCCATAGGAAACTAACACACTGCTTCTGCCTTCTCTTTCCTCCACTAGAATTTGGGGTGTCCCAGGCTGTGCAGGGCAGGCCAACAGAGAAGTCCAGGGGGGCTAACGGAAATGAGGAGTTCAAGTATACAGCCTCTCTAATCAATGAGCTGAGACCCCTGTCTATTGTCCTTAAACAAGGCTACATCAAGGTCTGGGTATCCCCAGACGATACCCATTACCCTATACCTAGGAAGAGGAAAGTGTACATTGACACGTCGGAAGCTCTTGCTCAAAACCTGTTTGGAGAGTGCTGGCTTGCTTTCTTATGAAGTGTATTAGTCTGTTCTCCTATGGCTATAAAGAAATACCTGAGACTGGGTAATTTATAAATAAAAGATGTTTAATTGACTCACAGTTCCTCAGGCTGTACAGGAAACATGATGCTGGCATCTGTGTGGCTTCTGGGGAGACCTCAGGAAACTTACAATTATGGCAGAAGATAAAGAGTGAGCAGGCATGTCACAAGACCAGAGCAGGAGCAAAAGAGTGAGGGAGGAGGTGACACACTTTTAAACAACCAGATCTCACAAGCACTCACTCACTATCTCGAGGACAATACCAAGGCGGTGGTGCTAAGTCATTCATAAGAAATCCGCCCCATCATCCAATCACCTCCCACCAGGCCCCACCTCCAACACTGGGGATTACATTTCAATATGAGATTTGGGCAGAGACCCTCGATGTCTTAAGTGAAATAAGAGAATAATGATTGTGTTATATTGTGGACAGACATGTTCTGCCTGGGGAAAGAAATAACAGGACAATCCACTTTCTTCCTGATTGTCACCACATGAAATAGTTACCTGGTTGATCCCACAGAGCTTGGCCATGGACCATACACAAAATATGACTTCCTGATAGCTCGGGGCCCAGGACTTTTCCAAACTTCCAAGAACACCACTCTCAGTGGAAGGCTCGAAGCAGTGCAGGTAAGAGTTGAACATTACTTGGCAATGTATTTGATGGGCAAGAAAGGCACGCTAGGTGTCTGCTTAGGTATCCTGAAATTTCTGAAGTTTATTTTTTAATTTAAAAAAAATTTTTTTTTAGAGAGGGTGTCACTAGGTCACCTAGGCTGGAACACAGTGGCATGATCTTCGCTCACTGCAGCCTCAGCGTGACCTCAGGTGATCCTCTCGTCTTAGCCTCCCAAGTAGCTGGAACTACAGGCATAGGCCACCACACCCAGCTAATTTTTTGTGATTTTTGTATATACAGGATTTTGCCATGTTGCCAAGGCTGGTCTCAAACTTCTGCACTCAAGCATTCTACCTGACTCAGCCTCCTAAAGTGAGTTTCTAAAGCTTTACAATGAAAAAAAAAATCAAAGTCCTGGCTTGCCAAGTGAGGGGAGCCATCTCTACTTTGATGGACACTGAGACATCAGAGAGGTAGCACCTCCCCACCCGGAGGTCCCAGTCAAGGAGACCTGCCTGTCACAATGAAGCCTAAGAAATAAAAATTAAATTCTAAGCCCCCACAACTGACTGAATGAACCATCTCTTGGGCAAGGAGACCCCAACCTTGAAAACTGAGTTCTCAGGTATGACAGTATAGGAGGTTGAACACACCACCTTATACCTCCTTCCTCATAAGCCACCATGAGCCTTTCTTCCCTAAGGGCTAAACAGAAACCAGCCCTTTCAAAAGACCTCACCACTACTGTCAACTAACTGCCTGATGCTGCTCCTCCTTTTTTGCCTAATAAGAGACTACTGACCAGGGAGTGGTTCCAACCAGTCTAATGGGAGAATGCCTATTAAGGGTTTGTGTGTCCTCTGCTTCACCTTTGGGCATCAGATGGCCCAAAACTCCACCCTCAGATCATGCTAACACTGCCATTTTTTTGTGCATGGGACTCCAGAAGTGGCATGAAGTTCAATCGTGTATATTTCTCCTTTTGTAAATATTCATGACTCCTCCTATAGCTTATAGAATATATATATTCAGCTACCATGCTCAGCATAAATTCCTGTTCCCCTTGCCTCTCCCCTAAGGTTTTTGTTGTTGGCTTTTGGCCAGACTCTGCTTCCTAGCCTATCAGAATGGTCACCCTGCAGGCGGCAGTGGTTTATGAGAAATAAAGCTCTCCTTTCCAGATTTATGAACCTTCACATTCTTCAGTTGACAGGCCATATGGACTCTATCACCACCTCTGACTGGCAGGTTCAGACCTACCCCAAGATGCCTTGGGACTTGGCTTGCATGTCTCGTTCAGCATAAGGTCCTCTGCTCCTCGGGTACCTGGTCTGAAGACCCTCTGGGTACAGCTTCCGCAGAGCAAAAAGTGCCTCTGCCATCGGACCATGCTTTCACATCTTACCTGCCTTCTCTGCAACTTCAGTGCCCCTGCCCTCAGCAGAGGGGACAAAACAAGCAGAGTCAGTTCATCATCTGAGAACATGCTCCATTCTGGAACCTTTTCTTAAATATCTCATCTGTGTCAGGTGCTGTGTTCAGGCTTAGGGAAACACAGGTGAATAAAACACCATCTCCAACACAGACTCACAGGATTGTAAGATTAACAAGGGACCCCAGCAGTCAATCTGCAATTCACTAAACTTTAAGGAGCACTTACTAAGATCCAGGCATTAGGTATATGGAGGTAAAGCAGACATTTCTATGCCCTTCAGGAGCTCACAGCTAAATCAATGCATGCAGGGAACTGTGGCAGCTGTAAAAAAGGCAGAAGAGCAGTTGGGGACTCAGAAGGAAGTGACTGCCCAAACACCTGGAGGGACAGGAGGCACAAAGTTATCCCAAAGGGCATGCAATGATGATGTTAGATGAATTAACACCCATCAGATTAGGGGAGAAATTTATTATACACAACATAGATATTAGTCTCAGGAAATGAGCTCCCTCATCCACTCTTGGTAGGAACATAAACAAGGGGGAGATTTGACACAAACCTCCAAAATGAAGGCTGCATGATCTCTTGATCCAGCAGTCCACCCAAGAGGAGCTTATTCCATTGATTTACTCTTAAAAGTCTGCCCAGATAAACATGCGATGATGTTCACTGTACCCTTGTATGTGATAGTAAAAATATAGAAAGTGATCCAAGTTTTCATCCACAGGGGCCAAATTAAAAGAAGTAGGTACTTCTCTGTGCTTGAAGGCTCTGCAGCTCATACAGAGTGAGACAGATTTGTATGTCGATGTGGAAAGATAACCAAGATATATTGTTAAGTGGACAAAGCAAGATACAAAACTCTGTAAAAATTACAATCCCATTTCCCAACATGATTTTCATGGTGGGGGACAGGGGAGTGTCTATGCTACTCTATGCATATAAATTAAGTGGGGAGGGGGCAGGGGAAGATTTCTAAGAAACTGTTAGCAGTGGTTCCCTGTGTGGAGAGCCATGGGAAAGAGGAAAACTGCTTCCATTTTCATGTTGTATCTTTTGCTCTGCTGGAATTGTCGAACCATGAATTGTGCTTCCCAGTATTTCCTATCCTGAAGTCGTCGGGATGTAATTGTATTCAGAGATGTGGCCTTTCAAGAATTCATTTGTTAAAATGAGGCATTAGGATGGGCCTTAATCCAATGTGACTGATGGCTTTCTAAGAAGGGGAGATTGGGACACTGATAAACACAGTAGGATGACATGGGAGGACCCAGGAAAAGATGGCCATCCACAAGCCAAGAAGAGGAGCAGAAGAGCAGTTTCAGAGGCTGGATGACTCGACCTCTCCCGAGGAAGGATGTGCTCTGTCCAAGCTCAAGTTCCCAAGGAGCTCTGGTCCTCGGTGAAGATGCTTTTACCACAAACTCTCGTTGGCCACAAGCCACCAGGGGTGCGAACACAATTTTGTATGTGTTAGAGATGACACATTGAGTGAACAAAACATTGAGTGTCTCTTTGCTTCTTTCCCTAGAGACTGTTGGGTGTTGTTTAGGTTTCACAGGAAGGACAAGGAGGAATCGGAAACTATGACAACTTCAAATAAATTAAACCAACACTTGGCAAGGAATAAAAGTTATAGTTGTGCAGTTCCGCACCCTAATAAGTCAAGGAGCCTATAGTTTCAAAGGATCCTGAGATATCTGTGAGATAAATAAGTTGAAAAGCAGGTTAACTGTTTCCTCTCACAGGGAAAGAGATTTAGCAAGCTAACCCCTTTGTGACCGTGCCTTGTGGGATTTTTACAGCTTGAGCATTTTCAGCAACCCAGAAGTTAGGGTGACCACTTTATTCTGGCTTGCACAGGACTTAACCAGTTTTAGCGCTGAAAGTCCTGTGCTCTGGACATTCTGACCTCCAGTCCTGGGCAAACAGGGACAATCGGTCACTCTATCAGGAATTCCCTTCTTTGAATTCTGTGCCATTGAGCAAACGTATTTAAGTATAGCAATGGCCTCAGCAGAGCCTTTGTAAGAGGAAGCAGGAGAAGGAAATTGGAACTTTCTGCATTTTCTTTGTACCATTCCTTCTCTAATCCATTCAGCAACACTGATTTCATCAACAGAGGGTTAGAGAAGGGATGCGGCTGGCCCACGTTCACAGGATTCATGAGGTCATTGGCTGGAATGTGAACTAAGGTCTGTCTCGCTTCAAAATCTGCATTCTTAACACCTATGATGCGTGACCTAACCTGGGGCCTGGCGTTTAGTAGGACCTCAGTGAATGGTTTCTAAGTGAGCTGACTGAAATTAAGGTCCATAAAAATTAAATGACTTGCCCTTGGTGACATCTTGTTTGCAGAAAGGCTGAGAATAAGACACACACTCCTGGCTTGATAACAAAGGCTCATTATACTAGAAAGCAAGGAGGACTTATAGTTATGTGAATACTGCACCAAATTTGCCACGGTGGAGTGTAGAACTGTGTCTCAAATTAATTTCTCAAGAGTACTTTGTGGAAGATATTTCTGAGGCAAAGATGCACATGGCTCCAGGTCACTAGACTTCAAAACTGCAACACAGCTGGTACTAGATAAGGGACAAGCTCTTAATCAGGCGATTCTGGTGAAAAGCTGATATTCATGACATTTGGGTAAATACAAACAAAGCAACAAAAAGCTGAATAAAACACTCTCAGATTGGGAAACCTGCAGGGAAATAGCCTATGGGTAAACTCTCCCTAAATGAGCAATGATACGGTGTTTTGTTGCATCAGGAAGTGTGTCATAGAAACTACCAGCTGGAGCTTGACTCTGTACTATTCTATCAGTTTTAGTGGCATTCCACTTCATTCCAACAGCATTACAAATGAGTCTTGCTGTAGGTGAAACTCAGTAGCACGCCAGTCATCCACAAGTTACTAACCTGATAATGTTAGCTGTTTGGCATAGACATGAGGTTTAGAAATCAGACCATAGAGATCTGGCTTCAAATCGCAGCTCCATTATTTTCTAGCCATAAATCTTGGGGTGCTTAGTTTCTCTAATCTTTCTTTGCCTCATCTGTCAATGAGGATAGTAAATAATCAGTCAAGGTATCTGACTGTTAATTATACTAATAAAAATTAGTATCGCTACAACTTTCCAAAAAGCTAGAAAGAAATAAGACAAATGTCTTTTAAACCATTGAAATAGTTAGTTGGACACTAAAATTCATACATTCTGCTGAAAGATGATTGTGTATGTTGGGCCTTCACAATGACTGTAAATCTTCTTTTGGTTGCCAGTCTATGGACAATACATGTCCCTTTTGAATGAACGTCACATAAGAAAGTAGAGACGTGTAATCAATTTTCAAATAAAATTCTTAAAAGGGCCCAAATTTCATAGGTTAAGTGTTTATGCTCCTCATCTTGTATAATAGATATCTTGCTTTAGGAAGGCTGTGGGATTTTGTGGAAAAAGTGTTCACAGGCTTAGGATACTGACAAACTTCACCACAAAACCACAGCACATGGGAAACCTGTACCAATGTTAATTCTGTTTTAGGACCTGTCAAATTGTCAATGACTCACCTCTCTGTCCCAGATCTTACCTTAATTCTGTTAATCACAGTGAAGTTTCAGGACATCAAAAGATCGAGACAAGTCAGAGACCCCTCCTTCGCATCCAAGGCAAAACTAAGCAGCATTCAGATATTGCATACACTGTTTTGGGCCCTCTGCACAAAGTGGGTGTTTTAAAATGTAGGTTTTATTGTATTCTTCAGGTGTGGTGAGGCCAACAGACCAGGAGATGGCTGCCATTGAAAAAATAGTTTGTTACTCATAGTTCCCTGCAGGAGGGAGCATGCCACACCACTCAGGGTGGGCAAGCACCAGGAGAAGGGGTGTGCTACACTGCTCAGGGCCACATGGGGAAGCACCAGGAGGCAGGGGGAGCAGGAGGAAAATGTGGCAGCAGCCTTTGGTTTCTGCAGGAAGAAATGGTCAAGGTGGGGTAAGCAAGTTTTGGGTTGGTTAGTTGAGTCATTTCTGAGTTGTTCTGAGCTATCCACAGTGAAGGGACAGGAACTGGTAACGCATTTTGCTGTGCAGTGTGCCATATAGCATTCTCAGTCTCTCCACATCTTCAGGAAAATATAGACCACTCATTAACGGGATGTTGTTGAGGATGCAGCTCAGTGCTGGTTCTTTCTCTGAGGTGGGCACAGAATGGGGACAGAGGCTGCCCAAGGGAGGTGAGACACATTGAGTTCACATCTGTCTCATCCACAAGAACCAGTGGTGCCTTGGCATTAAGATTGTTCTTATCTATCTCCAAACAGTGCTTGGCAGAAAGTGGGTTCTCAAAATTAGTGTTTATTGCATGAAATTGTCTCTGCAGAATGTGCCATTTCTTTCCATCACTAGCATCCTAAGTCGAGGTTGTACCTGGATCATTCTGCTACTAGATGGAAAGTCTTCACTGTGAGTCATCCAGGTTCTTGGTGCATTGAACAAAGAATTGGACAAAACGCACAAACAAACCAACAAAAGAATGAAGCACTGAAAGTAGCAAGGAAAGCACAGATTTATTGAAGCAAAAGTACACTCCATGGAGTGGGAGGAGGCTCTAGTAAGAGGCTTAAGAGCCATGATTACAATGTTCTTTAGGGCTTTTATTAAGCTAAAAAAAATTTGGCAACACCCCTAAGTGCCCTTTAGAGGCCTCCAGTTGGCTACACCCTATGAAGGATTGGCCTGTGACCAATCAGAGGCTGAAGTGGAAGCTTCTGTCTCATTATCACAGGAGTAAGGATGGGGCCTGTATGCTGCCCAATTTTGCCTAGAACTGGCTGCACCTGCTGTTCTTTTGCTTATGCCTTAATCCTTGGTTTCCCTAATTCCTTATTCTCCTGCCTCAATTGCATTATCTTTTCCACAGCTCCCATGTTTTCAGATTCTCCCATTGCAAATGCATTCTGCATTCTTTCACCATTATCATTTATCTTCAACATCTCTTTGATTATAGCTTTCACTGACTTATTGAACTTCAGCACTTCTATCTTTCCTTCCTCAGAAACCTTAAAGAACTCCCCCATTGATTAGAATCACATCTAATTTCTTCATCCTGAGATTTGAAATTTCACGGGGAGTTCTAAAGATGAAAAAGAACTCGGGTATGTAAAAAGCTCTTGCAAAACATTCAGAATAATACATGTGATCATTAATATTTTCAGTTTTCTCCCATCCAGATACATAGTTGCTGAGACCAGCTTGGTCGGGGAGACTCTAACCCAGTGGCGCTAGAGGAATTAAAGACACATACACAGAAATACAGAGGCGTAAAGTGGGAAATCAGGGGTCTCACAGCCTTCAGAGCTGAGAGCCCCAAACAGAGATTTACCCACATATTTATTAACAGCAAGCCAGTCATTAGCATTGTTTCTATAGATATTCGATTAACTAAAAGTATCCCTTATGGGAAACGAAGGGATGGGCCGAAATAAAGGGGTGGGTCTGGCTAGTTATCTGCAAAAGGAACATGCCCTTAAGGCATAAATCGCTCATGCTATTGTTTGTGGTTTAAGAATGGCTTCAAGTGGTTTTCCGCCCTGGGCGGGCCAGGTGTTCCTTGCCCTCATTCCGGTAAACCCACAACCTTCCAGCGTGGGCGTTATGGCCATCATGAGCATGTCACAGTGCTGCAGAGATTTTGTTTATGGCCAGTTTTGGGGCCAGTTTATGGCCAGAATTTTGGGGGCCTGTTCCCAACACATAGTAATTGGAACTTGTCAACACCCTTAAGCTTGAGTGTAGCCACTGGCTTGGCATTGGCCAAAGAAGTCAAAATGAGCATGTCACTGGGTGGAAGCTTCAGAAGCCATGTTGATTTGCCATGCTCCTTCTTTTCCACAGGTAAAGTGACCACAGCATTCCATCTGCCCAGGTCCTGGTGTGAGAACCCCACAGAGGAACACCCCCTTCCCCCCAGGCTGATCTGAGACAGGGCTAATCTGAGACAAGGCTGATCTGAAACAGGACTGATCTGAGACAGGCATATACAGCTGGCCCTTGAACTACACAGGTTTGAACCATCCAGGTCCACTTACATGTGGATTTTTTTCAATAAATATATTTTTTGTAGATTTGTGACAATTTGAAAAAACTTGCAGATGAACCACGTATCCCAAAAATATAGAAAATTTAGAAAAAGTTAAGTATGTTGTGAATGTATAGAATACATGTAGATACTAGTCTATTTTATCATTTATTACCAGAAAATATACACAAACCTATAATAAAAATTTAAAATTTATCAAAACTTACACAAACACTTACAGACCATACATGGCGCCATTCACAGTCAAGAGAAATGTAGATAAATGTAAGGATGCAGTATTAGATCATAACTGCATAAAATTAACTGTAGCACATACTATATGTACTACTGTAATAATTTTGTAGCCACTGCTGGCTGCTATTACAGTGAGCTCAATTGTTGTGAGTATCCACTCTAAATGCCTTGTGACGCTAATCAACTCCACATGAACAGCTCATTTCTCCAGCATTTTGCTTATTGCAGTAAATAGTGATAGTGTGTGGTTCTCAAGTATTTTACATCATGTTAAGTGCAATACCCTAAATCTTGAATAACACCAGGGGATCCCATACAAAGGCAGTGCCATTTAGTGATGGTAGAAGGCCTCCCAAGAAGAAAAGTCACAAGCTGACATACAAGAAAACGTCGAATTGCTAGATATGGACCATCAATTGAGGTCTGCAGTTGCAGTTGCTGCCATTTTAGATTGACTGTTCATCTTGTAAACTTACAGAATCAATAAATACAGTACAGTACTGTAAATGTATTTTCTTTTCCTTATGATTTTCTTATAACATTTTCTTTTCTCTTGCTAACTTTATTTTCAGAATACAGTGTATAATACATACGACTACAAAACGTGTTAATTGACTGTTTAGGTTATTGGTAAAGCTTCTGGTCAACAGTAGGTTATTAAGTTTTGGGAAAGTCAAAAGTTTGACTGCACTGGGGTTTGTTTGTTCCGCTAAGCCCTGCATTATTCAAGGGTCAACTGTAGCAGGAACTGCTGTTCCCATTGCATAATAGGAATTATTAATGTCCCATATTACAGAGGAGGGAAGGAGGGTGAGAGTGGCTAAATCACTTGCCCAGGTTCTCGCCTATTCAGAAGTAGAACCAGGATCTCCCAAGTTCCAGTGGGAGATCTCGTCACCGATGAAGCCCCTTTTGCACCGTGCAGGAATATACCTAGGCAGAGTGAAAAGCTCAAGAGTTTTGCTGTTAGACCTGGATCAAATTCCAGCTTTGCCATATCCCAAGGAGTCCTAGTTTTCCTGTCTTTAAAATGGCAACAACAACAAAATCTGTCTCACAAGTTTCTGGGAGGGGTGAAATGAAATGAACTAGGATAGAAAGCCCTGGCAGGCATGCAACAGAGACTTGGTCAGGTAACCTTGGTTCTTTCCCACAGTCTGGCTCTCCTTTTTGCCCCCTGGATTGGCCACACCTGCTCTCACCTCTGAGCCCTTGCTCATGCTGTTCTCTCTGGTTATAAATCCCTCCCTGTCTCCTCCTCTTATCTCACTCAAAACCCAGCTGAGATTTCAGCATTTCCATGCAGACTCCTCCCTTATACCTGTTCTTCTTTCCGCACTTGGGACTCTGCCAGCACTTGGCATTTAATCAGCCACAGTGGATTTAAGTGTTTCACTTGTGAGTGGCTTATCTCCCACATTACACTAGATATTCCTTGAGGGCACTGACCAGCCTCCTGCATCCGTCCGTCAGCTTGGCCCAGCCACAGCTCTGTCTCTTCTTGGTGAGTGGCTCTGGGCACTTGCCCCTTCCCATCACTGTGCCTAATCCCTCTCCTGTACACGGTGGGGACCACTGGAGGAGCTCTGGAGACTCCCTCTTGTGAACATTAGGTGAGTAAGTGAAACTGGGCTGAGTCTACAATAGGAAGTGACCAGCAGGAACTGGTTGGGTTTTCCAGTAACCCCTATGGACCAGACATTGCACCCAGTACCTTGGAACTTCTCTAGTTGTCAGAAAGGCCCTAGGACATTGTGTGTTTATAGCTTAAGAATGTGAACTTTAAAGGGATACATAACTTAATTGGCAATAATTGGTTGAGAATGATTTCTTACTGATGATCACATATTTTTTACGCCATGCACTGTGCCGGGAATTCAGAGAGATATATAAGGCAGACATGGCTATCATAGGTACAAATGGTTGGGGCCGACTTCGCAGGTGGTAAAAAAATTTACCAAGACAGTTATAGGTAAAGAAAGGCAGATTTATTAGACAAAGTATGAAAATATGTTGCAAGGTTGCAACAGGCAGCAACAGCAGAGAAGGGGCTGTGTGTAAAGAGGCAGGGGCTGGAGGGAGCTAATTTCGGTGGGTTGTTTGTGATTAGCCATCTCTCAAATAACAATTGTTCATTTTTCTTCCCCACGTGGGGCCCTGCCCTACCTGGGGCCCCTTCCTAGTGACTGCTTACTTACCAGGACTCCAAAATGGTCCCCAGCTTGCTTCAGAGAGCTCACAGCCAAGATGACAAGTGAGACCATCAACCATCAGTCCACTACCACCCTCATATCATTGTTTTATATGTATGAGAACCACCATCATCATGGCAGTTACCTCCAATTCAGCACCTTTTACAGATCATCACCAGGTAATTCTACATGCACTACCTCATTTATTCCTCAAAACATCCTGAAGAAGGGGAATTATCCTTCACTGATATTCTCCAAGTGCCTGGGGCAGTGTGTGGCACATTACAGAGGGTAACTAAATTTTAATTGAATGACTTTGTTACAGGCAGTTAGACAGGCACAAGCCGCGCAGGAGAGGGCTCTCCCACCATCCACTAGGAATGTTGGGTGATGGTTTGGTAATGATCACATTCCCTCTCTAAAATTTATAAACTCGCAGCCAACACCAGAGACAGAGATCATTTCCTGATGATCCACACCTTTTGCACCAAAGTGTTAATTGAATGCAGGTGCCGGGGGAGACTGAGGCAGAAGAATCGCTTGAACCCAGAAGGTGGAGGTTGCAGTGAGCAGAGATCGCGCCACTGCCCTCCAACCAGGGTGACAGAGCGAGACTCCGTCTCAAAAAAAAGAAAAAAAGAAAAGAAAGAAAGAAAAGAAAAGAGACAAAATGGCAGAGTCTGACCTTCGGACCTTCGGGGCACTCTGCTGGAAAAGCGATGATGGGCATGTGCACCACTTCCTAAACACATTGCGCATGCTCACCTCCGGAGGGTAAGGAAGGCGCGGTGGGTGCGGGCAGCCCACCCCAAGGGAAGAATCATGGGAAAAGGGCCAGCCTATAAAGTCCTAGGATCATCGCACTTGTCCTCGGTGCCCACTTGGGTCTCTTCCAAGTGTACTTTCCTTTCCTTTCTTTCCTGTTCTAAAGCATTTAAAGAAACTTTTACTCCTGCTCTGAAACTTGCCTTGGGCTCCTTTTCTGCCTTATGCCCCTCTGTCAAATTCTTTCTCCTGAAGAGGCAAGAATTGAGGTTGTTGCAGACCCATACGGATTCACCACCCGGTACCTTCCATGGGATACTTTACGCTGGTAACATGTTCCCATTTCACAAATAAGGTTCATGGAGGTTTGCCCAAATGCATGGGAAATGTGAGGCTGGGACCCAAGGTGTGAGTGCATTTTGCTCCTTCAAGTTACTGGTAACTTGGTTGGTAAAAGAAATACTAATTCTTTGCTTTCCTCATTTACCCTCACTCCCTTCCCTAAGTTACTATGTTCCCGGTTTTGCTTCCAGCAGCTTCTCACTCAGCTGCCATGCATTGACTTCCCTGTTGATCCAGCCTACTGCGGACCCAAATATTCCTGTTGCCAGATAGGAGGGATGAGTAATGGAGACTCCAGTCCTCAGAGACCTTGATCAAGTAAAGCAAAAACCCCTTCCTCCACTTTCTTTGCAAGTGGCTAAACCCTTAGTCACTCTGGGAAGAAAAGTAAACTGAAAACTTGAAAAAGTCCCAAGACAGAATCTAACTCCATCCCCTGCCCCAGATAAAAAGCAAGATAGCACAACTATAGCAACCTTTTAAGTCAAATTAAATGAGCTAATAAAAATCAGGCCTGTTCAAGTGCCCAATTGATTTAAACATGAAGATTGTCAGTTTCCAGCATCACTGATTCTAATCCAACAACCCTCACCATAGAGGTCTTCATTCAGCCTGCTGTGTTTGGAGGTTTTGCTTATTGGGTGTGTATCTGTAAGGTAAATCTTGACGATTTCCTTACTACAGACAATTATCTGGCTGGAGATGTCATGTTTTAGACCTTGGCCATCTTGTGCAAGTTACAGAAGTTTTGCCAAAGACACTTTGCTTCTATCCGGGTTTATATCCCTGACCATCCACTCAACCATCACTTATCCATTCACTCAGCAAGTATGAATCACTTATCCATTCACTCAGCAAGTATGAATCACTTATCCATTCACTCAGCAAGTATGCCATGGCTGTGTGCCAGGCAACACTCTCAGCACAGCATATATGGAGCTCCCTGACTAGTAGAGGGATGTAGAGGATGGACAAGTGATCAGGCAATAAGAGCACAGAGAGAGCCTGGATCTGTGCCCTCTTGGCCCCTCCAGGTCTGGGCTTCATTAACAATCTCCCCTCTTCTGCAGCATCCTCAGCTTCTCCCTCTCTACCTTCCCCTAATACCATAAAACTCATCCACTGGCCTGGCGGTCCCTCCTAGGTATCATCCTACTTTTCTCCTTCCTCATCCAGACTTCTAAACAGAGTAATCTACATCCTCAATGCCTACCTTACCTTCACTTCACACCTCAACCCCCAGTAATCCATCCACCAAGAGAGTCCCCACAGCAATCCATCCACCAAGAGAGTCATAACTGCTCTTTCTAAAGTCACCTACAACCTCCTAAGTTCTGTGAACCCCCAAAATTTGACACAGGTCTCAGTTAATTTAGAAAGTTCATTTTGGCAACTTTGAGGATGCATACCCATGTCACAGCCTCAGAAAGTCCTGATGACGTGAACCCAAGGTGGTCAGGGCACAGCTTGGTTTTATACATTTTAGGGAGATTTGAGACATCAATCAGTATATGTAAGAAGTACATTGGTTCTGTCCAGAAAGGCGGGGACAACTCAAAGCAGGGAGGGGGCTTCCAGGTCACAGGTAGGTGACAGACAAATGGTTGCCTTCTTTTGGGTTTCTGATAAGCCTTTCCAAAGGAGGCCATCAGAATATGCATCTATCTCAATGAGCAGAGGGATGAGTTTGAATAGAACGGGAGGCAGGTTTGACTGGAGCAGTTTCCAGCTTGAATTTTCCTTTTAGCTTAGTGTTTTTGGGAGCCCAAGATATTTTCCTTTCACAGTCCTAAGAAGCAGATACTCTTTGTCTCTTATTTACCACCATATTTAATGCTACTGATCACTCCAGCCTCTGCTCCCAGGAAGCTTCTTTCTTCTTGTCTTCTCAGATCTTTCATTCCTTGTCTATAGCTTTGTAGATTCTTCTTCCTTTCACTTCTCAGTGCTGGTGCTCCCCAAACAACCCGCCCACTTTTCTAGATGCTCCTTCTCCCTGGGACATCTCATTTACTCTCAGGGTTTTAACTAGAATTTACCTACTGGTAGCTTTATTTATTTATTTTTGAGACAGAGGTTCACTCTTGTCACCCAAGCTGGAGTGCAATGGTGCAATCTTGGCTTACTGCAACCTCTGCCTCCCAGGTTCAAGCGATTCTACTGCCTCAGCCTCCTGAGTAGCTGGGATTACAGGCATGTGCCACTTCGCCCAGCTAATGTTTGTATTTTTAGTAGAGACGGGGTTTCATCATGTTGGCCAGGCTAGTCTGGAACTCCTGACCTCAGGTGATCCGCCTGCCTCAGCCTCCTAAAGTGCTGGGATTACAGGAGTGAGCCACTGCGCCCGGCCTACTGGTGCCTTTAATATCCAAATCTCCAGACAGAGAACACTCAATATTTGAACTCAAATTGAATGCCTGCTAGACATTTACACTTGGATGTTCTATAAGCAACTTAAACCCAACTTGTCCCAAACAAAACTCATCAGTCACCATTCTTTAAACCTGTTTTTTTGCTACTTTTGTATTTTTATTTTAGTTTTTAAATTTTATTTTTATTTTTATTTATTTATCTTGAGACAAGCTCTGGCTCTGATGCCCAGGCTCTGGAGTGCAGTGACATGATCTTGACTGACTGCAACCTCTGCCTCCCGGGCTCAAGCCATCCTTCCACCTCAGCTTTGCAAGTAGCTGGGACTACTGGCATGTGCCACCAACCCTGGCTAATTTCTGTGTGTGTGTGTGTGTGTGTGTATATATATTTTGTTTGTTTGTTTGTTTGTTTGTTTGTTTGTTTTTGTAGAGACATGGTTTCACCAAGTTGCCCAGGCTGGTCTCAAACTTGTGAGCTGAAGAGATCTGCCTGCCTTGGCTTTCCAAAGTGCTGGAATTACAGGCATAAGCCACCACGCTCGGCCCTGTATTTTTATTTTTAATCTCAGTTATTGGCACTAAAATTCAGTTGATTATCCAAATATGAAGCCTGGCTTTTGTCTTCACTATGACCTCTCAATTTTTCAAAAAAATCAAAGTTGAATCTAATTTGTGTCCTTTCTGTTACTTCCTTTTCAGCTCCTTCTCATCTCTCACCTGGGTAAGTTCTATCTCCTTCCACCTTATGCCCTTTTCAGCCTTACCATCTCCCACCTTGGCCCTTATTTCCGTGGTTCAGTTGGTCTCCCAGGCTCATCCCTCATGGCCCACAGCTCTGTCTACTGAATTGCTGCCAGAGAGGTCTTTATTAAAATCCATATCTGACCATGTTGCCTCCATACCTAAAACCCCTCAATGGAGCCTGGACACGGATAGGATAAAATATCAACTCCTTAACCACGTGTGCTGGGTATCCTCCACCTGCCTTTCTGGACTCACTCACCACCTTTCTCGTCCTTCTCCGACCTGGAAGGCTGACCTCCACCTACTGCCTCAGCTGAGCCTTCTTCCTTCTGGATGGGTTTGGCCATTGGGAGGCATGAGAAAGATGTCAGAATGCAGGAGAGAAAAATAGCTGGGATATTTACTCTCTTGCCTCCATTTCAACCCAGCTGCAGGCTTCTCTACCAGAAGCTCCAGCTCCAGTGGTGTGTGGTGGTGGTAGCAGGAGGGGGTCCCTAGTGTTAAAGCCACAGCCACCGTTCTTTCTTGAGTTCTGGTCTCCCTCTTTGCCTCTTTTAGCCTACGGGAGGTGGTGGCTCTTGGACTTGCAGTTGCTAGCCCAGGTGTCTCGTAACCCATTGTTGGTTTCCCTTAACTCTGCCCGCATCCTTGCTAACAGGCCCCCCATTAATACTCCTCAGCCACTCTGTATGTTGTGCCTGCTACCTGCTAAGACTCTCATCTTTGTGCTCCCCCATTCTATCCTCAGGCATTGCATCCCAGCAGCACCGCACTGCTTCTGCTTGGTTTCTCCACAGGAGCCTTGCTTTTCCTCACCTCCAAGCCTTTGCCCAGGCTAGCCCTCTGCCTACAGCACCCTTCCCATTCCTCCTTACATGGTCTAATGACCCTCTGAAGCGTCATCTCTTAAAAGGCTTCTGTCTGTCCCAGGCTAGGTGTAGGTCTCTGCCCACTTTCATTGCATCTGACACATTCCTGTTAAATCATTCCCTTCTCTTAGCACTTAGGAGCACAAAATTTAATGATAGGTTGCCTGTGTTCAAACTCTGGTCCTGCCTCAGTTTTCCCCTCTAAAAAGGAAAAATCCCTACCTCATAGGATCATGGTAGTTCATAAATGAAACCATGTGCGCTGAGTACGTAACACAGTGCTGGACATATAGAAACACTTGGCAACTGTGAGCTTTCAGTCTCTGAAACACACTAGCTTTTTAATCTTTATTTATTTAGCATAGATTTCGCTTAGAAATCATCCCAGCTAACTCATTCATGTTTTTTAGCCAGTACCTATGAGTGAGTACATCCATTGCTTCCAGTCTTTGGTACTGTAAATAATAAAATAAAAGCTAAAAAAAAAAAAACAGAAGAAAAACAATGTCATCATGAACATCTTTACACACACATCTTTGTGATGTGCAAATATATGTAGCATAAATCTCTGGAAATGACTGTGATTTTATTTTTAAAATTTAATTAATAATTAATTTAAATTATTTATTTATTTTTTGAGACAGGGTCTTGTGCTGCCACCCAGGCTGGAGTGCAGTGGCAGCACAATCATAACTTACTCTGCAGCTTCTAACTCCTGGGCTCAAGCAATCCTCTTGCCTCACCCTCCTGAGTAGATGGGACTACAGGTGTGTGCCACCATGCCTGGCTAATTTTTTGTACTTTTTGTAGAGATGAGGTTTCACCATGTTTCCCAGGATAGTCTTAAACTCCTGGGCTCAGAACAATCCACCCGCCTCAGCTTCCCAAAGTGCTGAGATTACAGGCATGAGCCACCACTCCCGGCCTGGATTGTGATTTTAAACTCAGAGAGCTATTGACAGATTCTTCTGAAAATGGGTTGTCCTCATTTGCATTCTCCCCACTAGTGTGGCTTCTCTCTCTGTAGTCTACACTCATGCCTTCCCTCATGACTTAAAGAATATTTTCGTCCAGAAAAGATCGTATTCATTAAACAAGCTAAACTAAAGCAGCAATGCTCAGAGTGCCCGTCACTGCCTTGCGGACTCTCAGATCCATCGCCCCACACTCCCCACTGGTCTATATGGGGTTGAGGTGAGGCTGTGGATGCAGACTCATTTCCCAGGCTCCCCTGCTCATTGCTTCTGATGAGATGTGGCCAGTAGGAGCAGAGGAAGGGAAGAAGCCAAGACATTGCTTCTCTCTGTTTCTGGTGGCATTTTCAGCAGTCACTGTGACTCCAGTGTCCCTGAAGTGGTTGCTCTCTCCAGGGTTCCATTGCAGCTGCAGGCTTGCCAAAGTTTCCTGGCTCCAGCTGGGTGCCCTGGCCCCCGGGCTTTGGCAACCCCGCCTCCACCATTTGTCATTCCAGCCATGGGGCTTCCCGTGGGAAGCTTCTGGCTGTTGGATTGCTCCATTGTGCCCAGGTTGCCCTTTTAGCTTTTCCAATATCTTTGTAACTGGTTTTCCATTTTATTTTTATTTAATTAATTTATTTATTTGAGATGGAGTTCCACTCTTGTCCCCCAGGCTGGAGTGCAATGGTATGGTCTCGGCCCACTTAAACTCCACCTCTCGGGTTTAAGAGATTCTCCAGCCTCAGCTTCCCGAGTAGCTAGGATTACAGGTGCCCGCCACCACGCCCAGCTAATGTTTGTATTTTTAGTAGAGACGGGGTTTCACCATGTTGGCCAGGCTGATCTGGAAAACCTGACCTCAGGTGATCCACCCACCTTGGCCTCCCAAAGCTGGGATTACAGGGGTGAGCCACCACACCCAGCCTGGTTTCCCATTTTTAATCACCTCTGTTGAACTATCTATTTCAGTTTTGTCTCATTCCCTCACCTCTTCTTAACTGGACACTGACCCGGGGTTGACAAGACCGAGGAGAAATGGCCACATTCTTATACTGTTGGTGGGAATGGAAATTGTTGCAGAATTTTTTGGCAGGCAGTTTGGCAGTCCATACCAAAAGTTTTAAACATGTGTACTCTTGCCTTATCTTTGAGAGATACGTGTTAAATACTCATGAATGAAATGACATGCTGTCTGGAATTTGTTTCAAAACAATCCAGGGAGTGGGGATAAGTAGGATCTCGCATAGATGCAACAAGATGGGCCACGAGCTGACAGTTGTTTGAGCTGGATGACGGATACGTTGGCACTCATTACTCTGGTCCTCTTTACTTATAAATGTTTGACTTCTTCAATAATAAAAACTATTTTCTGGCCAGGTACAGTATCTGATGCCTGTAATCCCAGCTCTTTGGGAGGCCTAGGCGGTAGGGTTGCTTGAGGCCAGGAGTTTGAGACCACCCTGGGCAACACAGTGAGACCCCATCTCTACAAAAAATAAAAAAAATTAACCAGATGTGGTGGTGCAGGCCTGTAGTCCTAGCTACTCAGGAGGCTGAGGCAGGAGGATCACCTGAGCCCAGGAGTTAGAAGCTGCAGTGAGCTATGATAGTGCCACAGCTGCACTCCAGGCTGGGTGACAGAGTGAGACCCTGTCTCAAAAAAAAAAAAAATTCCCAAAACCCCCTGATTTCCAAAAGCAAAATCTTGGACCTTGGAGAATGATTTAAAAAAACAAATTCTCTTCAAGGATGGGTTTTAACGGCGTTGTTTATAATAACAAACAATTGACAACATTCTGATTTTCCAGCAGTGGGATGGTCCTGTCATAACTTACAATATATCCACACACAAAACACGATTCCGACTTGAAAAGATGTTGCAGCATTCGTGATTTTTTTTTTGGATTTGTGATATTTTAAGTGAAAGAAAAGATATCAGCCTGTGATATTACCATCCAATTAAAAGATTTGTGTATGTGTCTAAGGAGGATTTGTGCCCAAGCGCGAAGGGTGGTGCCTTCGAATGGGCGGGCCTGTGCTCTTTCTTCCTTTGACTTGTTTGTGCTCTCTGGTTGGTTTGTTGTTATGTACAATCATTACTTTCAAATTCTAAAAAAAAAAAAATGAATACATTCTTTCTTCCTTCCTCCCTTCCTTCTTTCAATGTCTCTTTTTTTTTTTTTTTTGAGACGGAGTCTTGCTCTATTGTCCAGGCTGGAGTGCAGTGGTGTGATCTTGGCTCACTGCAACCTCCACCTCCCCAGTTCAAGTGATTCTCCTCCTTCAGCCTCGCGAGTAGCTGGGACTACAGGCGCCCACCACCACGCCCAGCTAACTTTTTGTATTTTTAGTAGAGATGGGGTTTCACTGTGTTAGCCAAGATGGTCTCCATCTCCTGACCTCGTGATCCACCCGGCTCTGCCTCTGAAAGTGCTGGGATTACAGGTGTGAGCCACCGTGCCTGGCCTCAATGTCTCTTTTCAAAGGGGCAGGGCCCTGGTTGACGATGTGCATGTATTGGGGTAGGGAAGCCAGTGGGTCCCACCTTGGCTTCTTTTTAGTAAATGTCAGTTGTCTGCTCAACTTTTCCAGGCAAGGCTTAGGAAAAAAATGGGCATAGGCTAGGGACAGAGGGAGGGAAGAGAAAAAGGAGTACTAAAGAAGATGGGGTGGCCACAACATCTTCCACACAACAAAGTGGCTAAACACAGATGCCACAATCAAGAGTGTGGGTGAGGGTGTGCAGTTGACAGTGGGAGGTGCTGCCTGGCATGGCCCCTTCCCATGCCCCCAGCCATCCTGGCCTTGTTCCCTCTTGCATGTTTATGTCTATTGTACTACGTGGTCCTCCCTCCTGGACGCTGCCTCTGTTTTGCCTTTGCATTTGACTACTGACACCTGCCCCTCAGCATGTCAATCTCTCTCTCTCTTTTTTTTTTTTTTTGAGACAGAGTCTCACTCTGTTGCCCAGGCTGGAGTGCAGTGGTGCGATCTCAGCTCACTGCAACTTCCACCTCCCAGGTCTAAGTGATTCTCCTGCCTCAGCCTCCTGAGTAGCTGGGATTACAGGCACCCACCACCACGCCTGACTAATTTTTTTTATATTTTTAGTAGAGACAGGGTTTCACTATGTTGGACAGGCTGGTCTCAAACTCCTGACCTGTGGTTATCTGCCCGCCTCAACCTTCCAAAGTGCTGGGATTACAGGCGTGAGCCACTGTGCCTGGCCCAGGATGTCAATGTCTCTTGATGATCCTTTTCAATATCTGCTTTTCCACCTGCTGACCCATTTTTGGCAACGTGGTCTAATAATAAGGATAAATAACCGAGCACTGGGCTATGTCCCAGAAATGTTGTCAGGAGCTTCATAAACACCATCTCACCGAATCCTCCCTGCACTCTGCCGTGGTGATAACATTCCCCCAAAGCACAGACAAGAAGGCTAAGACAATCAGAGAAATGAAATGACTGTCTGAGGCCTCCCCAGACAGTGGGAGGCAGAATGAATTTGAAACCCAGGGCTCTGCTCATTCCACTGCCTGGGGCTGCCTCCCCGGCAGACTCCTCTGCTCCAGTATGAGTGCTTGAGAGCACAGCTGCCCGGGGAGGTTCCAGGCTCTGCTCTTACTAACTCTGTGACCCTGGAAAGTGACAAAACTCCTTACACTCCCTGGACAGTCTTGACAATAGGGTGGTCGTGAAGATGAAAGAGCTTATGCAGGGAAAGCAGTTTGAACAGTGCCCAGAGGAGTGGACCTCCACTTTGGGTGTCCAGTGCGATCGCTCGGAGTGCTTTAAAAATTCCTGAGCTGTCCACCCCTACAATTCTGATGGGACTGCTCTGGGGTGCAGCCTGGGCATCAGGATTTTCTAAAGCTCCCCAGGTGATTCTAACCTGTAACCAGGGCTGGGAACCACTGCCTCTAGCATGCAGGAAGCACCTAATAAATGTTGGCTAGAACTCTTTTGTCCTGTCTGGCCCCCACACCTGCTTCTGCTCTGAAGCCATGACCACTCCCCTCCCCACCCTTGCCCTGCCTGGTTTCCCAGCGACTAAGGGGTTGGCTTTGGGCTTTTCCAACAACATGGGCACATATGCCAGGATGGTCCATCTGGGTCCTTGGATTCCTGCCGTTGCAAAACCCCAGCCTACCCTGGGGCTACCAATGTTTGGCTTAGAGCAAGCTTCATACTCAGTCCAGGAAAGACAATTCCAGGAACTGAATTCACAGTTGTGTTAATGGGAGTGGGTGTAGAAGGAGGTGGCACTTTCAGCTTTGAGGGGCCCTAGATAACTCTGGGACTCTCCTATGACATCACTCACCTTGGCTACTTTCAATGGGAGGGGGCTGTTGCTTTACTTCGGAAGCTAGTGCTGACAGCATTTGGTAGCAAATGTGCCACTACTAAATCACATTGTGCCTGGCAGTCAGGTTCTGGAGGCAGTGCTTATGTTTGTAAAATTTATTTTAGTCAAAATCACATTTGACAACCTTTCTTTTGTTGGGTACCAGATAAAGGCATTGGTTTGCATTTAGAGCAAAAATAAAATACCTATTTTTAAACACTGGAAGACCAGAGACAGACAGAAAAGAAGCAAACTCCCATCCGCTATCTTAAGTACACCCCGGGCACATTTTCACTGCATCCAAGGGTGGATTAAGTTGCTTACAGTATTCATGTCTTTACACTTCTCTCTTTCCCCCTCCACAGCAGGACACATATTGTTGAAGGAGCCTAAGTGAATTGTGAATGTGCTACAACTTCACCGTAGTCCAGTTGTTCTCCACTGTGGGTAACTTCATCTCCAGGAGGCATTTAGCAACTTCTGGACATATTTTTGGTTGTCATAACAGGGGGAAGGTTGCTACAGTCATCTAGGTACTAGGGCCAGGGATGCTACTCCACAGCCAAGTATGCACAGGGCTGTTCCCTACTCCAGGGAATTATCAGCCCAAACTCTCAACTTTGTCGAGGTTGAGAAACGCTTCGGTAACCTCTGAGGTTTATTGAGCAGCTGCCATGCACTGCGTGGGTGCTAAGAATAGAGTAGGAAGCGAAGCAGATCCATTCTCTGCTCACCCAGCGCCCACAGCAAGTGGCATCCTGATTCTTATCAGTGGCTCCCCTGAGCACCAAGATCTAAGAGCAGTGAAGGTAGGGGCTGCTGTACCCACAGGAGGGTCTCCAGGACAACCAGCCACCCAGGAGCCTGAGCAGGAGGAGCCTGTAGGAAGTGAGCTGGAAGTCAGGTTAAGAAAGTCGCAGAGGCTACTCATAGGCGCCAGCTTTGTCTCCATCTTCCTCCTTCGTCATGCAAAGTGCTTCTGTGAACTTCATGAGCATGGGGTTCTTAAGGCCCATTGGGTAGAGGCTTTAGGAACCCCATGATCATGCTGCACACAGCCAGGCTCCATCTCACAGGCAGGTCCTTGGCATGGCCTATCTTGAGTCTGGTGTAGCTTTTTTTCAAAAATTGCCTTCTTATCTCCTGTCTCAGCTAATTGGTTCCTTCATTCACTTACTTATAACAAAAATTTAATGAGAATACATATGTGTAAGGACCTAGATTTAGGTTTTAATTATGAATAGTTCTTATTGGATGCATATTCCAGACCCATTTTAGAAATGGAAAATGTGAGATGAAATAACTTGTTACAGGTCACTTTTCTTTTACTCTGGAGCCCGTAATCATTGCCCCTGCAGTGATTTCTCTCCTTCTCTTTCATATACTCAACCAATATTTATGGAGGATCCACTGTGTGCTGGGCATGCACTGAGCACCAGGGCTATGATGGTGGACAAGACAGATTTCATTTCTGCTGTTATTACCTACATTGTATTAGTCTGTTCTCTTGCTGCTAATAAAGATATACCTGAGGCTGGGTAATTTATAAAGGAAAGAAATCTAATGGAATCACAGTTCCACATAGCTAGGGAGGGCTCCCAATCATGGCAGAAGGCAAATGAGGAGCAAAGTTATCTCTTATTTGACTGCAGGCAAGAGAGAGCTTGCGGAGGGGAACTACCCTTTATGAAATCATGAGATGTCATCAGACTTACTATCATGAGAACAGCATGGGAAACACCTGCCCCTCATGATTCAATTACCTCCCACTGGGTCCCTCTCATGATGTGTGGGAATTATGGGAGCTACAATTCAAGATAAGATTTGGGTGGGGACACAGCCAAACCATATCACACATTTTCAACTACTTTATGGAAACTCCCCCTGGAGAGCTCACCTCAAGCGCTCCAGGTCCCAAGCCAGCCTTCTTCTAGAATCTTCTCCCCATCCCTCCCATTCTTCAGAGGGAGTCTCAAAAAGATTTTCTTGGATATTGCTGCATGAAATGGTGAGCATTGTACACAGCACATTATGCAAACCAACACATCAGAGGATGGCTGGTGTCATATCTGCTTGAAAGCTTTCAGCCCCAAACACTTTGGCATTCCTGCCATTTCTGCCAAAAACAACTTCGGAGAGAGGCTGGGGAAGGAGGCTAGGTGAGATCTGTTGGATTCCAGAGATTCAAGTCAGCACTGGTGTGACTGTGAGTTACCACACAGAGCTGGGGTGCCCGAAGGAAGAGACCCTCTTTCTGCCGAGATGTGGTTTTATAAGGAAAGAGAGACATTCCCACTTCTGAGTGGCTTTAGGGGGTACAGACATGCCAATCTTCAGCACATCTTACCTACCGAAAAATTTCCATCTTTTGCTGTCAAAACAAGTCATATCTTAAAGACCACACACACAGAGAAAGTTGGCTTCTCTACTTCATATCCAGAAAGTTCTCAGGGAGAAAATATGTAGCACTAAGGTGAATAGAAGTCAATGTAGCCGGGCACGGTGGCTCATGCCTGTAATCCCAGCACTCTGGGAGGCCAATACGGGTGGATCACCTGAGGTCAAGAGTTAAAGACCAGCCTGGCCAACATGTTGAAACCCTGTCTCTACTAAAAATACAAAAATTAGCTGCGCGTGGTGGCAGGTGCCTGTAATCCCAGCTATTCGGGAGGCTGAGAGAGGAGAATCGATTGAACCTGGGAGGCAGAGGTTGCAGTGAGCTGAGATCATGCCACTGCACTCCAGCCTGGGTGACGAGAGCGAAACTCCGTCTCAAAAAAAAAAGAGGAAAAGAAAAAGAAAAAAGGTAAAAAAAGAAAGTCAATGTAAATCTGTGGAGCCTCTATTTACATATTTCTTTTTACTGTGTTCTTAAAACATCCCCTCAGCATATGACTATGATCGGAGGCTGAGTGCAATGGAAGTGTTCACTTCTAGAACTTTCTCTCTGTAAGGACAGGAAGAAGATATATATGTGGAATGGACTGATGGATATTGTTCATTGTCAAGTTTGGCCTACATCCAGAGACCATAAATGTCACTCTTCTATCACTGAGTGAAGAAAATCATGCACTTCAGAGGCAGAAAGGGCTTGGGACCTCCAGGCCAGGGATTCCCATTATAGGCTCTGCCATTTAATAACTTCATAACCCTGGGAAGGTTCCTCGGCTTCTCTCAGCCTCACTTTCCTCATCTAGAAAATGAAGGTGAGACTCCTACCAGATGGAGTTGTGGGGGATTCACGAGACAATGGAGCAAAACCACTGGCACACAGTGGGTGATCCATAATGGTGGCTCCTGGCCACTTGTACTACAGACACAAATAAACAAAACCAAAAACCTTCCACAGTTAGAGAGTTTTCACTGGGAATTTTGACTTCCCTCTACAATTCAGTCTCCTGCTGTGGACTTTAAGTGGTCAGTGGTGTTGAACAACTATTATCTAACTATTGGCATAGTATTAAGAGATTCAGAGATATTGACCAATGTCAGTGTTTCAGGACCCTTAATAATGGGTGGGTTTCATGATTCCATTGTCAAGATGAGCTCATTTCTGCTCAGAAGATTAAATAATTGGCCCTGAGACTGGTTATCTATCAGCAGAAGCAAACTTTGTGCTGAGATCCAGGTCACTCTTCCATGGTAGAGGCAAAACTCCTTCCAGTTCTGCCAGTGACCAGAGGCCAGGAGTGAACTCAAACCAGCAACTGCGGGCCTGGAGGAGTTTAAGGAGGTTTTGGGTCTGTTCTCCAATGTTCTTGCCAACCCATAACAAACCTGATGACTGTTGAGTGACTCCTGGAGGAGATTATTATTCTTTTTCTATCTCAGGGCTATGTTACATATGTGGAGGAGGGGGCCACAGGGCTGAGAACCTGTGTAGACCTTAAGGGAAAATATCCTTTCTTTGCTGTGGCTTGAAGGAGCTTGGGGAGGGTCTGGAATGTTGCTTCAGTGCTCTTGGAGTTGGTGGTAAGGTTCACAGGTCAGGCCCCAGGCCCCATCCTACAATGACCCCACCCTCTTGGACATTTCTCTAACATGCCAAGCATGATCCCTGTCATGGGAATGGAAGTGCCATGAAGACAGGGATTTCTTTTTTCTCTTTCCTTCATTGCTATTTCTCACCTATGGTAGAGTTCCTGGCAAAAAGAAGGGACAAATAGGATTGAATAAATAGATTAACCATGATTTCAGGGCATATGTTCTGACTGGTCCCTCTGTTTGGAACATGCTTACCCAGGAGAGTTCCCTGGCTAAAAAGAGATTCCTCTTTTTAGGTCTAAGCTCAAAAGTAACCACCACAGAGAGGCTTTTCCTCTCCACCCCATCTAAAGCTCATTACCCTCGATCACTTTATCCCCTTCCCTTGCTTTAATAGTCTTCTCTATCGTGTATCATGTATCATGAGCTCATCATCACTTTTCCCACTGTTCCATGAGGGCAGAACACTCGTCTCTTGTACATCCATTGCTGTATCTCTGGCACCTGGAACACAACCTGGAGTGAGTCAGTGCTCTGTAAGTTATGTGTTGAGTGAGTGAGTGAATGAATAAATCCACTATCCATGGGAAAACTTGGAACAGTGCTTGCTCATAGCAGGTAAGAGATAAGTGCTCTTTTTATTGATGATCATGATGACATCCAAATGTCACTCTGAGGCTGTGGCACTGTGGATTGGCCTCTGACGTCCTCAGTGTGCATCCCAGTAGGTTGGTGAATGTAAAAGGCTTTCCTTCCCCCCCACCTGCCATTCCTCCCTGCCACCATCAGACATGCTAAAGAACAGTGCTTTCGTCAGCTTCTGCTCCTCCTTTCCCTGGTTGTGGAATTGTGACAAGGCATTGGAGACAGTTCATCCTCTCTCCCCCACTCTTAAAATACAACTTTCAGATCCTTCATACTAACATATAAATGAATAATGGCAGTCTCATCGCTGCATCCCATCCGATCCCAGACACCTGACCTCTCCCAGAATCTGAAACTTCCCATCTATTCACTTTCATTCATGTTATCAAATGCCTAAAGTGCCTCCACTTTGCCCCATTTTATTCCCACAGATACTCTTTCCAAAATCCAGCTCCACTATTCCCTCCCCTGTTACACTCAAGCCCAGATCTTACAGCAGTTTCTGCCTTCTCTCTCTGGTTTTCCTTGTAGCCCTCTCCCCCTTCCTTTATAGCCCTTATCTTGGGCCACTGTACTTAACTAGGCCTTTCTTCTCCAAGAATGAAGAATGAAGGAATGAAACTCATTTCTTCTCCAGAATTGAGCTTTGCAAGGCCGGGGTCTTTCGGGTGGGGGAGGGAATGGGCAGCTCTGACATGAATCAGTAGCGGAGGTTCCTCAACCCTGTAGACTCAGCTGTCAGAGCTCCTGGGTTCCAATCCTACCGGCCCTCTTACCATCTATGAGTCCCTGACAAATGATTTAATCACATTATATACCAGGTGTCCCACCTGAAAACAGGGATCCTAGTTATTATACTTCAATAAACACCAAACACCACTGACCAATGGATACAATTATAAAGAAGGATTCCAGAAAGAGATAACTTGCGAAGGGTGGGGAACTGGAAGTTCCTGTTTAGATTGTTTTTCCATTGATATATGGGGACTACTTAATGAGTTTATTTGGGACCAGACACAGAGAAAACCAAGCAATGTTTGAATGTATTTCTGAAAAACACCCAGAGTTTTATTACCATTAATTCAGCAGAAAGTTCGTTGCACTGAAATTATCACTCTGGCTCATTCAGCTCAAAGACTCTTCGCTGCTCAAACACATAGCTGTGTGGGCCATGGAAATACATGCTGCAGGAAACAGCCTCTGAACATCGCATCCAAGAAAAATAAGGCAAATTCCAAAACACAAAAGCAAAAAATACAAAACTTGTTTAAATATTTCGTTGCACTCACTAAGCACAAAAGTTCATATTTTGGGGGGACTGTAGAGAGCTTTAAAGTATACAGAGGGACTTACGACATGACATCTCTTAAGGGAACCCGTTCTCTTTTGACCTCATTAGCATGACGTGTCCTGCACTATGCTGAGGAAGAATGTGCAGAGAGAGCTCCAAGTCTCTCCACAGAACTCCAGGGCAGTCTTCCTCTGGTTTGCCATATCTGGGTCCTCCACACACTCGGGAGCTTTGGTGGCCATGGTCTGGGTCACTGCTAGGCTAGAGGGGGTGGTCTCTTTGCCTTTGATGTGCTCCCTGGGGGACATCTCTGTTTTCTCCTTCCTGGGCTTTGTGTTCCCAAATAGAGTGGAGCTGACTAGCTTAAGACTGGATTCTGGAAAATCCTTTCTGCACACTCTGGTTTTCACAGCTGTCTTGGAATATCTACAGATGTCTTTCTGTGAGCGCAGATTCCGGGCAACTTGTTTCCAATAGACTCTCTCATCCTTGAGCTTTAGGCATGAGGTTGGATTGCCAGCAAAGACACAGGAAAATTCATGGTCCAATTGAGTGCACTCAACCTTGAGAGAGATGCCCTCCTCCTGCTCAGTAGCAGCCCATCTGCAGTTGGCTTGGTCTTTGGTGACAAACTTGCCTTTGTTCCCGGGCCTGCTTTTCTGCTTAATCTGGGTGTTGCCCAGAGTGTCCTTTTGTTCTGAGACCACTTTGCTGTGAAGTCCATTCTTCACTTTTTTTTTCCCCTCCACCAGGAGCACCTGAGCAGCCAGTAGGAGGAAGGAGAGCAGGGTGAGGCTACAGATCTTCATGGCTGCAGCTGGGCGTTCACCTGTTTGACAAAAGGCAAGTGAGTCAGTGGCAGGCAGCAGTTCAGCTGTGCAGGACTACACGCTGGCCTCCCCCTACCCTGACAGGTGCCTACATGATTTCAGAGTAGACCAAGAACGCTTCTGGCTCCTGGAGTCACTAGACAAACAGCCTGTCTACTCACATTTCCACTTGACTTGAGTCTTGAGTGTCACAAAAGTACCACTCTTTGGAGCCTCACGAACTCTCATTTATCATTTATTCACTCATTAACTCCTGCATCTGCTCACTCCTCACTCTTTCATTCACTCATTCAACAAGCATTTACTGAGCACCTACTATATGCCCCCCACCAGACTAGGTGTTGAAGAAATCACCATGATTGAGAAAGCCTCAGATTTGAAAGAGCTTAGAGACCACTCTTTGGGAGAATTTAAATAGCATTGATCAGGGAATCTATCCCGTCATCTCTGTTTCTGATATGAAACAAGTTACTGCTCCAAACTTTCAGCTCCAAAGGGCTGGATTTCTATCTCATGACTCCATATGGACACAGATGCCCAAAATGAGAAAAGACATGACAGATGCCCAAAATGAGAAAGGATGTGGTAAGCATCATGAAAGGTGATGTTGACCCAGAGTTGAACATGCCTGGGGTTTGGGTGGGGTGGGTGGGGTTGTGGGGGTGGGGGAGCTTTTTGTGGGGAAGTAAGAGTTTAAGGAAAGGTGTGAGGTGGGGTGGTTGTCTGATTTGCCTGGGCAAAGTGAATCAGGGTGGAGAGAGGTGAATTTCAACCAGATAGTTCACACTACAAGATCGAAGACAAGGATCATGAGAAATCATTGAATCAATAGGATGAACACCAACGTCACACTGAACTGCATGAATCTGATCATGTGTACAATAAAAACCCATGCTTAACAGAAGAAGAGAAGTCAGTTTCTATATGACACCTCCTGTGTGCTAAGTACTGGTCTAGGGTTTGATTCCCACCTTGTGAAATCCACACAAGAGCTCTTCCAGGTAGCTATTAATATGTCATCCCAGGTGACAGCTCTGACTCTTAAGGCTCAGACAGGTAAGTAAATTGCTCAGGATCTCATAGTGGGCAAGTTCAAAGCTGGTATGGGTAGCCAGATCAATCTCCTTATTCCTTTCTGTCACCCCTGGTTGATCACTTTTTGCTTTTCACATTTACTCTGCCCTTTAAAAACATTGCCAAAGAATAAGAAAAACAACTATGAACAATGACAATTTAGTTTCATATAACACATAATGATAAGATGATTTGTATTATTTGTGCTCCATTTAAAACAAAACACAGAATTTTTTATAAAAAGAGGCAGACCCAGGAAATGGTCCTGATCTGATTTCTACCCTAGAAGTTGGCCATCTTCTAGGGTTAAGAAGGAGAAAGACAATCACAAAAGGGCAGAGAACAGCAATAAATGGTGAAGAGGAGACTGGATATGCCAGAAAAACACCCAGTCATTTCTCACGGCCCTGGGGCTCAGCCCCCACCTGCCCATGATGGAATGCAGGCCCAAGGAACTCCAGGCCCTTGGTGGAGTGAGAAGTGGCAGCAGGTAATAAAGCTGTTAAAGGAGCGAGGCTCTTACCTTGTTCTGAGCACACGGATCCAGTGCAATCCCAGGCAGTGCGAGTGAATTGCAGGCTGCAGCTGTGTCAGGTAGAGTGCAAGGGGGGTAGACTATTCAACAGGAGCCAGGCTGACTGGGTTTTTATAACACTCACTGGGTTTTTACAACACTGTGGCACGTTACTCACAGCTCCTCCCAGCCACGCCCCTCCGAGGGAGCCGGTTCCTGCAGGGAAAGTGCTGGATGTAATCCAGTGAAAAGGGGGGTTACCTGCATGCCATCAAACGCTTCCTCTAGGCCCTTCCCTGTCCACCCTGTGGCCAGGATAGGAGGACAACTCAGCCTCACAGTGACCCTCCTTGATGGGGAGAGGACCCCAGCAGTGATGTCTATGGAGGAGTAAAATAACTATAATGACATGATCCGAGCTGCCAAACTACTGAGCCCATTTTACCTGAGTTCTCCTTTTCCCTCATCACATCCGCTCTAGTAGGGAGTGCAATGATTCCTCCCCTTTTACAAAAGCAGGAATTGGTTCTGGAGATATGTAAGAGCTTGTCCAAGTTCACAGAGGCAGGAAAAGGAACATCTCAAAATTAAAAGTGAGATTCTCTACATCCATGGTCTGATCTCTTCCTGCCTGCCACTCTCAATAAATCTTTGTTGAATGGGTGACTGAAGTTGCCGAAGTTTTCGTAGTGTCTGAGTTCCTTTTTCCATCTGAAGTTACTACATAAGCAGAGGATACCCTAATTCTAGAGGCAGGGAAATTTACATTAAAAATTCCCTCTTTTTTATCAGGGAATTCTACCAGGCTCTGAGAGGCTGGTAAAGAGGGAATTTTTAATATAAGATTACTGTTGTAAATACTTACCTTCAGGTCTCATTCAGAGAGCTCAGGCTGCCCTGCCTGCTACAGGCACAGTCCCACACCAGAATGACCCAGGTGGAATCCTGGCCACAGCATGTGTTTAGCTGAGTGCTATGCCCAAACCACTTAGCCTCTCCCATCATCCATTTGCAGTGTGCTGACAATAACAACGTCTCCTTTATAGCTGCATACTAAATTTTTACTGGGCTAAGCTGTTAACATAAAGTGGAGCAGAATCGTTTTGCCTCATGACAGGGTCTTAAGTTGTATACTTTGAAAACAGACATTTGTTATTTACATATGCAGCATTTAAAAAGAAACTCACTTCTACAGGGAAGATGTGGCCCTCATTATATATTATCACCTCACCTTTCATAGATTTTCAGAAGAAGAAATTGTTCACTTTTCCTTAATTCAGCCATAAGAAAACTATTGTTTAGTGTGATATTAAATGGCAACTGACTTTTGGGTTTGAGATAAGGCAATAGGGAGTGATGGGGACTGTGGCAAACTAGAGAGTCTCTGCCTCCATAGAGGTCAACACTCATCTCCAATTGACTGAGAAAATGCAGGGATTAGGCTCAGTATTGTCACACTGTCTGATTTTTAAAATGACATCCCCAAATCCAGATGTGTTTATATGAAATTGGTTGGCAGCTAATTAAAATTTTCTAAAAATAAAGCTGTAGCTCAACACTATGCAGGCCAAAACTTGTAACTGTGTTTGGATTTTATGAACGATCCACCTGTTTGAGAATTCCGTGGTCATAGCTATAGATGTTGACCAATTTACTCAGAGGCTCAGTCTCTGCATGAATCTGTTGGAAGAAGCCATTTCTGAAGCTGTGTGCCTCTCTCCTAAAATTGCCTCACCCAGGGGTCCGTCCTCACTATCCTCACAAACACCCCGCTGAGGCCCTGACCTCCACGAACAGGCTCTCTCATGCGGTATTTTGGAGGATTATTTGGACATAGGCAAGGCAAAGCTGCTTTGCTCAACAAGGGGAGTCTCCTACAAAATGGAAAATTCTACTTGATCCTTGGGAGGCAGGCAGATTCTTTCTGGAGGCAGATTGCAGTTGGAACACAAAACATATTTACAAGGAAACATGTGGACTCCGGGGTCTTTCTGGGAAGTGCTTCTCTGAGCTTTGCCAGGTAACACTGCACATTCCCCACTGGCTCCTTGTGGCCCTTCCCCTTCCTGTGACTCCCATCCCAGCGTCTGCTTTGCTCTTTCCCTTCTAGACTCAGCAGCACAGCATCAGAGCAGGCTGTGGGGCAGTCACCTCCTTGGCTCATCCTGCCCTTCCAACCTCATTTCCAGGTACTCACACGCAGACACATAAATACACATACACACTGACACACATACAAAGACACACACAAACACACACTGACACACTCAAACACACACAAACACACTCAAAGACACCACACTCATAGACACACAGAGACACACACATACTGACACCTAGACACATTCACACACATACTCATAGGCACACACACACAGAATCACACACAGTGACACTGACACACACACAGAGACAGACACACACACACATGCACACACACACTGCAATCTGGCCACACTGAAACCCTGTCCCACCATTTGCAGATACTCCATGCATGCGCCCACTTCCTGCCTTTGCCTCTGCTGTTCCCTGCACTTGGGATCCCCTTCCCTTCCTTCTCTGCCTGGCACACACCGCCTCATCCTTCAAGGCCAGGCTCCAATGCGAGCCCCTCTCTGTTGGTGTCATTGGCTCCTGACGCCCTGCATGCCACCCACATCTTTAAGAATGTCCACGGGGAGAAATGGCACACTTCCTCCAATGAGCTTACAGCGTGCCAGGCACTGTGCTAAGGCTGTTTCCCAAGCTTTCTTCGTATCTCCATGAACTAAGGAAACGATGTCCTTTTCCAGTGGCTCTGGGGAGACTGCAGAGGACATGGAGCCCCAGCCACGCAGTGCATAGCAGGTTCCAGTAACTTCAGGCCCCTCCACCTCCCCATGCTCCCAGCACTGAGGGGCTCTGTAATTCTTGGGGATGAGTACATAAAGGCCCATTGCACAAGAACCCCAGGAGGAAAGTCGGCCCAGGTCCTCATGGGACAGATGTGGAGGCAAGGCTTAGGGGGACTAAGCACAGTGTCTGACACACAATTAGAGAAGAATTATCTGGAGGCCGCTGCTATCATTCTAAACACAAATGAGGCAGTGTACGCATACACTGATAAATTGTGGAATTCTCCTCTCTTTGCCCCTTCATACCTTCCCTTTAAATTTTTTTTTAAAGTTTTAGAATAATTTTAGGTTTACAGAGAATTGCAAAGATAGTTATCATTCCAATTCTCACCTGGGTTCCCTATTTACCTGTTACATTACTATGGTACGTTTGTCACAACTGACAAACATTGATACATTATTGTCAATTGAAGTCCATACTTTATTCAGACTTGCTTAGGATTTACCTGTTGTTCTAGTTTTTATTATTATTATTATTATTATTGACAGACTTTATTTTTTAGAGTAGTTTTATGCTCATAGCACAATTGAGTGGAAAGTATCAAAAGTCCCATATACCCCTCCCCACACGCAGGCACAGTCTCCCCTACCTTCAACATCATGAACCAGGGTAGTACATTTGCTGTAAGTAATAAACCTACATTAACATGTCATTATCACCCAATGTCCATCATTTCCATTAGGTTCACTCTAAGTGCTGTACATTCTTTGGGTTTTGAGAAATGTATAATGACATGCATAATATCAATTAACTAAGAAAGGTATAATGACGGTACCCACCACTATGGTATCATACAGAATAGTTTAGCTGCCCTAAAAATTCTCTGTGTTCTGCCTACTTACCACTCCATCCCCTACAACCCCAGGCAATGCTCATCCTTTTGCTGTCTCCTCAGTTTTATCTTTTTAAGAATTTCAAATAGTTGGAATCACACAATATGTAACCTTTTATATTGACTTTTTTACCTAGTAATATGCACTTAAGGTTTCTCTATGTTTTTCATAACTTGATAGCACATTTCTCTTAAGTGCTGATAAAATTCCAAAGATTGGATATATCCAAGTCCCTTTATTCATTCACCTACTACTAAAATTCCATTGATTGGATGTACCCGAGTTCATTTGTTCATTCATCTAGGACATTTTGGATGCCTCTAAATTTTGACAGTGATGAATAGAGCTGCTATAAACATGCATGTGCAGGTTTGGTGTAGAATTAAATTTTCAGCTCCTAATGTTCTTTTTCTGTCCAGGATCCCAACATGACACCAGGTTGCATTTAGTGATCGTGACTTTTTGGGTTCTTCTTGGCTATGGCTGTTTCTCAGATGTTGCTTGTTTTTGATGACTATGGCAGTTTGCAGAAGAATTGGTTAGGTGTTTTGAGAATGTCCTTAATTTGGAAATTGTCTGGCATGTTCTGGTTAGATTGGGATCATGTTATTCTTCTCATGATCACACAAAACTTAAATGATGAATACTTTCTTTGGGATTGTGAAAGGAAGTCTGAACACAATTGGTAAAAACACACTGGCTAAGGCTGGTAATTGAATGCATGTCTGGTCACCAGCTGGGGATTTGAAGTTCAAAAGCTGATTTTACTCTCATGCCTGTTACTACCACATAGCTTCTTGACCTAGAGGCCTGGCCCTACTTATGCAGTCACCAGAGATTATTCATATAATGGGTGCAATTTGGTTCTGAGGTAAGTCTTAACTGTGCCAAACTTATTGCCAGGCCAAAGTTGTCAAAAATCAACCCTTCCTTCAAACGTTACTTTACAAACAGACATTGCAAATGCTGAGCTGCTGCACTAAAGCAATATTAATTTGTTGGGCAAATAATGTGCATTAAAATACATTTATTATCAGAAAATAAGGAAATTGGGCTAAGCAAACATCAGTAAAATCTAATTCATCTGGCAAAAAGCATTAATCTTAGACCTACTCAAGAATATTTGCATTCTGGGAGGCCAGGGCAGGCGGATCATGAGGTCAGGAGATCGAGACCATCCTGGCTAACATGGTGAAACCCTGTCTCTACTAAAAACACACACACACACACAAAAATTAGCTAGGCATGGTGGCGGGTGCCTGTAGTCCCAGCTGCTCAGGAGGCCGAGGCAGGAGAATGGCGTGAACCCAGGAGGCGGAGCTTGCAGTGAGCCGAGATGTGCCACTGCACTCCAGCCTGGGCGACAAAGTGAGACAAAAAAAAAAAGAATATTTGCATTCCAAATTTAAAGTGCTCATTCATCATGAGATTTCAGGATTCCTGTTCAGGACAATGAAAGTTTTATTTCTTTAGAAAATGAAGAGATAGCAGAGTGTGGATTCTATAGTATTGGGTATGATTGCAAGGTGAAAACCTATTAAGTTTATTTACTTTAGAAAGAATGTTGTTATTAACCACATAATATTAACACATTTCTTAACTTTTATTTTAGGTTCAGAGGGTACATGTGTAGATTTGTTACATGGGTAAATTGCATGTCGCTGAGGTTTGCTGTACAAATGATCTTATCACTCAGGTAGTGAGCATAGTACCCAGTAGGTAGTTTTTCTAACCTTGCCCCCCTCCATTTCTCCCCACTCTAGTAGTCTCCAGCCCTATTTTTGCCATCTTTATGTCCATGCTTACCTAATATTTAGCTCCTTCTCTTTTTTTTTTCTTTCCGAGACAAAGTCTTGCTCTGTCACCCAGGCTAGAGTGCAGTGGCACGATCTTGGCTCACTGCAACCTCCACCTTCTGGCTTCAAGCAGTTCTCCTGCCTCAGCCTTCCGAGCAGCTGGGATTACAGGCACCTGCCACCATGCCTGGCTAATTTTTTTATTTTTAGTAGACACGGGGTTTCACCATGGTGGCCAGGCTGCTCTCGAACTCCGGACCTCATGATCCGCCTGCCTCGGCCTCCCAAAGTGTTGGGATTATAGTCGTGAGCCACTGTGCTCGGTCTAGCTCCTTCTCTTATAAGTGAGAACATGCAGTATTTGGTTTTCTATTCCTGTATTAATTTGTTTAGGATAATAGCCTCCAGCTGCATCCATGTTACTGCAAAGGACACAATTCATTATTTTTCGTGGCTGCATAGATAGTATCCCATAATGTATATGTACCACATTTTCTTTTGTCAATTCACCTTTGATGGGCATCCAGGTTGATTCCATGTTTTTGCTGTTGTGAATATTACCACAATGAACATATGAGTGCATATTGTTTTTTTAAATTTTTATTTATTTACTTTTTTGTAGAATGATTTTCATTTGGGTATATACCCAGCAGTGGAATCATATCAACATGTTTTTAGAAACAATGTTTAATGGTTGGTTCTGATTCTCAACACATTTGAAACCTAACTCCAATTTTTGTGTTAGGTTAAATCATACGAAACTACTATTTGTAGTATGTCAAAAATGCTAGAATATCAGCCATTTGAATGAAACCACTTAATAATAATAGGTATTTTTTCTCAAGTAATAGGGCTATTTCAAAGCCTTTTACAGTGTTTTCTTTTTGTAAAAGTTTTTTTTTTTTAGCTCTTCTATAATCAATTGCCCCTACAAATCAAGTTTTTTGATCACTTCTTTGCTTTTTGGATCTTTGTTTTTAAGTAAATCATTCTTAAACAGTCAAACACCCTTTAAAGAGGTCTGTGTCTTTTGGACAACATTTTTCAAGGTACCCCCACATACATGCACTTAAGAAAGCACTCACATATACACACCCATTCCCACACACATGCTCACACATCACAAAACCCCACACAAGTACACATTTCTGTATGCCACCTCTACCTCCCTTCCTATCTTGGAGAAAAAGAAGGACCTAGAGAGTCTCCCTTTTGGATTTTCAGCCTCTAGCCCATGTGTGCTACAAAGAGCAACAGTTGCTCCCTTTGAAAGCTGAAAAAGGGAGAAGGTAAGCTGCCCTTTCTTGGTGTTAAGGCTGAGAGTCACGAGGCACATTGGCTTATGACCACATCCCTTTCTTCACATGAAGAGATGACAATATTTAGAAAAATCAAACCAGAAAAGCACCTCTGAAAAGACCTGTAAGGGCATTCAGCGCTGAAGGATACCAAATTTGATTCCAAATTTGGAATCAAATGGGTGAGTATCTTCAGAGGGTCCTAATGCTCAGGGGCCCAACAGTGAATGTCAACCCGTGATGGAGTGTTCAAGGAGGACCTCACCTCACAGAAAGATACCCTTCTGTGCTGAATGCCCTTACACAAAGAGCAAAAGGACTCACACATGTGGCATGCTGCTTAGGAGAAGACAAGAATGAGCAGGGGAATGAGACTCTGCAAGGCTGGACCCTAATGCGACCTCATTTCTACTACCACTCAGTCATTTTTTCATTCATCCTAAAAGCACGCATGAAGCACCTACTATGTCCAGGCCCTCAGTGTTAATGATTGCCTGGAAGTGCAGTCAAGAAAAATGGTCCTTACCCTTGAGGAGTTAGCAGACAATAGGGGAAACGTCAAGGATATCAGTCATGACCACACAGAGGTTAATGACTATGTTGGAGGGAAAGCTGTGGTGCTTTGAGTTGGGACATCTAGCCTACCAGAGGCAGACAAGAATTTCTCAAGAGCCTGCAATTATGCAAACACAGCTCAACAGTGGGGGAAAGGGGATGTTATCTCTTCAGTCATTATTCAGTAACCACTCTCAGCAAGGTGAAGTATCAGGCACTCAAGGGAAGATAAGATGAACATGGTTTGGCTCTTTTTCCTAGACCTGACCAGGTGAGTCTATGGCTCACACTTTGATGATTGCTGTAGTGGTGATACCTCATCACTCCGACATTTTGACATCAAATTAAGAGGTGATGTTGTCTGGGGTGGTGTTATTTTTGTGATAAACTTCTGAGTAAGGGCCATGTCCATTTGGAAGGCCATATCTTTCCCAACTAAGTACCCAGTGGAGTTGATGTGAGTCTTACCATTGGCCATGTTTGGTTAAAGCAATGGCTTATTAGGAGGGTGTGAGCCATTGGATCATAAATTAATGAAAGAACCCAGACTGACTTCTTAGTACATTTTCTGTTGCTATAACTGAATACTTGAGACCAAGTAATTATAAAGAAAAGGAGTTTATTCGACTCACTGTTCTGGATGGTGGGAAGTTTAAGATTGGGCAGCTGCATCTGGGAAGGGCTTCATGCTGCAACATAGCATGGTGGATAGCATCAAGTGGTGAGAATGCCTGTGAGAGCAGTGAACAGGCATGTGCAAAGGAAACCAAACACAAATGGGACCTAGCCTTATAACAACCCACTCTTGTGTTAACTAATCTACTCTCATGAGAGTGAGAAGTCATTCCCACAAGACAACATTAATCTTTTAATGAAGACAGATCCCTCCTGACCCAAATGCCTGTAATGCCTCTCAACATCATTACATTGGGGACCATGCCTCTATATGAGCTTTGTTGGGAAGGCACAGACCAAGAGTAATAAAATCAAAAGTCAACAGAATGGTGTGCAGGATGACACCAGGTAGCTTCAATTATGATAGAAGAAATCAGTCTCATATCTGCCTAGCCCTTGGGACAATTTATGGTAATTGATCCCTGTAGAGTTTGGGCCCTACATTTGGCCTCCTCCCCTTACGTGATGGAGGCAAGATGGAATTTTTATAAAGACACCTTAAGTCCTGGGCAAAAAAGAAACTCATTTAGGTGTTTATCTGATGGCCTGAAATTTTAAAAGAAGTTGTTTGAGGAGGCCATTTTGTATCTCAACAACACCAGTTTTCTGAGACCTATAATCTCCTGTAGCACAATGACATCTACCAGGTGACTGAGAATGAACAAAGCTACAACCCTATAGAGATAGAATATGCCCAAGGACCCAGTATTGGCTCCATCCTGTCTAAGATGCCCTCAGTAGCTGTGTGAAGCTTGTGGGTACTGTACCTATGACCCAAAACATAATGAGTATAGAGGGTCATGGGCTCAGGTCACAATAGCAGCAAGGCCAGTAACAACAAAGAGATTTGCCCATATAGCAATATTTAAGGTTTCTAGGAGTCACAGTTTTCCATGGGGAGACACCCTACACCTCGCCGCCAACCATTAGAGATGGGCCTGTCTAAATTTGGAATCAAATGGGTGAGTATCTTCATAGAGTCCCAATGCTCAGGGGCCCAACAGTCAATGTCAACCTGTGATGGACTGTTCAAGGAGGACCTCACTTGTCCAGGACTTTGTCCACCAGAGTAAGAGAAGATTTGTTACAAGAAGGGAGTTGTGCCTGGGCCTGAATGCCCAGCTCCTGAATTCTCTATGGTGAGCCCTGTCTACGGTCTTGGCAGGCAGGTCATCAGTCTCGGTGCCCTCAAAGCACCCTAGGGGCAGCCACTCCCTGCTCCTCCTCTCTCCAGAAAGCGTTTACTGTACTAATTACCCAAATTGCCTGCTTAACCTCACATCTGCCTGGTCACTTGGTCCAGTAAGGTGTGCACTGGGGACCTCTCTCACTCCCAATGGTACTACTACCTGTGCAAAGCAAGATCTGAGGTCCTTCCCTTGCCACAGTTTAGACTAGAAAACTGTGAAAGGGCACAGCAGAGGTAGCACAAGGCAATGGCAGCCAAAGCACAGGCACCCCACCGGCCGGCAATGCCCTCCCAAGTAGAGCTAATTCCTCCCTGGATTAGCTAATTCCTAAAGATAATACAGTATATGTGGTTGGCACAGTCAGCTAACGAGCCAAGAGCAGAAGGAGGCACGGTCCTTATGGAACACTGAGTCACCTTGCCGGCTGCTCAACTGTCCCAAAACGTACCTGTGGGATTTTAACTCATGAACGTGACTGAATGATGACACAAAGAGGCTGGTGCCATTGAAAAAATAATTTACTACAGTTACCTCCTCCCCACACCCCCGTATCTACAGGTTTCACATTTGTGGATTCAATCAACTGCAGATCAAAAATATTTTTTAAAAAATTTAAAAAAAACCATGAAAAATAATGCAAATAAATAATACACTATAACAATGACTTACATAGCACTTATGTTGTATTAGGTATTGTAAGTAATCTAGAGATGACTTAAAGTATACAGGAAGATGTGCATAGGTTATATGCAAATACCATGCCATTTTACAGAGGAGACTTGAGCATCTGCAAATTTGAGTACCCATGGAGGTCCTGGAACTAATCCTCCTTAAATACCCAGGCATGACTGTACTCACCTTTCCAAAGAGAAGGAGCATGCCACAGCACACAGGGCTTCAGCAGGAGAAACATGAGGTTTGGGTCAGGTGGTGAAAGCAGGAGCGAGGGAACACCTAGGCCAGAGCCCTTATCATCGTTTCCGAGGGAAAGTTGAGGCTGGATGGAGAATATGGTCTCGGATGTGCTGGTTTTAATAATTCCAGCAGGCTCTGGGGCACGTGGTGTGGCTGTCTGGTCCTGTCTCCAGGTAGATTTAGGGTAAGGGTTAATACTGGCTTGGTATGTGAGAGTTAGATAAAGGGAATGGTTGGTTTACATGTGACAGGCGTGATCCCAAACATACTGTGTCATCTTTAGGAATTAGCTAACCCAGGGAGGTCTGTCTCTCCCTGAATTTATCAGGTTCCCAAAGGTATCAAAACAGCATGAGTTGAAAAAATAAAAGCACATGATTAATACGACCACCCAGTCTCATAGATTAAGGAACATGAATGTCACCATCATGCTTGGTTTTGTATCACCTCAGCTTTTCTCCGCATTTGTACTTTGTTTTCTCGGACTAATTTTCTCTACTTCGTGGGAAACACGGGTGTCACCAGTTCCAAGCCAAGCAGAAGTGCGAACAATCCCAGGGAGAGATATGATAGGTTGGTCTTGAGTCGCATTCCTGCCATTGGATTTGTCAACCATGGCCAAAGAGCAGGATTCTATGATGAATGGCCCAGGCCTCTGAAACATGCAGCTGGGTTTGGAGGAGGAGCAACTATTCTCCCAGAAGGAGAGCGCTGTTCCCAGAAGGGAGAGAACCTATAATGTAATTGCCTGTGCTGGAAGAAAGCTACGGATAAGGTCAACAAAGAGGTTTGCGGGGGAACATTCAAGGTTTCACCTTAGGCTTCATCCAGACCAGGGGCTGTCAACCTTGCCAAGGATGAGGATCCTCTTACAACATCCACACTCTGTGCAGACCTGCCCGTCGCAGCACTCAATCACAAACTGTGACTGAGAAACAATGTGATGGTAAGAGTGACAGCAGCTACCACTTGAGCTATTACTCCTTGGAATTTGTGTGGATAATCTCATGTAATCCTTGAATCACGCTTAGGAGACAGGTACTGTTATTATTCACATTATGGAGAGGAGAAAATAAAAGATCACTCAAAACCAGACAGCTAGTGAACGATGGGCCAGAGTCCAAAACAGGTCATTGATTCAAAAAAATGTATTCACTTAACCTATGTTATCAAAAAGTGCCACACGGCCGGGTGCGGTGGCTCATGCCTGTAATCCCAACACTTTGGGAAGCCGAGGCAGGTGGATCACCTGAAGTCAGGAGTTAGAAACCAGCCTGGCAAACATAGTGAAACCCCGTCTCTACTGAAAATACAAAAATTAGCCTGGCCTGGTGGTGGGCACCTGTATTCCCAGCTACGTGGGAGGCTGAGGCAGGAGAATCGCTTGAACCCAGGAGACAGAGGTTGCACTGAGCCGAGATTGCACCACTGCACCCCAGCCTGGGCAGCAAAGTGAGACTCTATCAAAAAAAGAAAAAAGAAAACAAAAAGTGGCACAATAGTACATGGGATTGGTAATGCCTTTAAATACAGTTGCATTTTATTTACCACAATGCTATCTACGGTCATTTGAAAATGAATTGTACATTTGTTTACAATAAATATTACTAATTTTTATTTTTTCTTTTAAAATATTTTTTAGGCATGGTACGGTGGCTCATGCCTGTAATCCCTGCGCTTTGGGAGGCTGAGGCAGGGAGATCACTTGAGGCCAGGAGTTTGAGACCGGCCTGGCCAACATGGAAAAACTTTCTCTTTAATAAAAACACAAAAATTGGCTGGTAGGGATGGTGGTGAGCCCCTGTAACCCAGCTACTTGGGAGGCTGAGTCTTGAGAATCACTTAAACCTGAGAGGAAGTGATTGCAGTCAGCCAAGATCACACCACTGCACTCCAGCCTGGAAAGACTCCATCTCTAAATAAATAAATAAATAAATATTTTTTAGAGACAGGGTCTCACTCTATCACCTAGGCCAGCATGCAGTGGCACAATTATGGCTCACTGCAGCCTTGAATTCCTGGGCTCCTGTGATTCTTCCACCTCAGCCTCCCAAATAGTTAGGACTGCAGGCACACACCATCACACCCAGCTAAGTTTAAAGTTTTTTTTGTAGAGACAGGGTCTCATTTTGTTGCCCAGACTTGTCTTGAACTCCTGGACTCAGGTGATCCTCCTGCTTTGGCCTCCCAAAGCACTGAGATTATAGCCACTGTGCCTGGCAATATGTTGCTAATTTAATGGCCTCATGAATCCCTACATCTCCCCCTTCTAGCCCAATGTCCTCTATTCTCCCTACCCCAAGCCAGGCCCTGCTCTGGAGTCCTTTGGGGTCACCACTTGGAAAACTCTGAGATAACACAGGCTGCCGCTCCCGAATGACCAAGGGGAAGAAATTCCACTGGGGCACTGGAAGAGGAAAAACAGTATAGGCATCCCATAACCAGCTCATCCTGAGAACTTGTACACCATTTCAAACATGGCGGAGACAAACCCTACAGAAGGACGGTGTCATCTGAGTGTGACAAAGGGAGGGATAGAGAATTAGACTCCTGCCCATGGGGCAGGTTTGATTTAGTAACATGTTCCCCCTTCTTTCAATGTAAATGATCTGAAAACAAAAAAGGGGCCAGAAACCTGTTTCACTCTCCCTTTAAAACAATTATCTGAATAAATTCAACAACTTAATTTGTCTTAGGCTTAGAACTTACACTAACAAAATGTTGTGACAAATTTCCATATTTAGCAGTGATGTGATTTCATATTTTGCAGTGATCAGGCTGATTTAGGCTCATGTCTTTCCCAGATTTGGTTGCAAGACTCATATTTCCAGTTTTCAGAAGCATCTGTGACTCCATTGAGATAGCATGTGGCAACCTTATCCAGGAAGACCAGTCTGATGTATGAAGAGTTTTTCCTTCCTGTTTCATCAAGTTTATCTGTCTACCTGATTTATAATCATACTATGAATCTGCATAGCACAATATCATTGTCAAAGCCCTTCACTGTGTATTATTACTATATTAGATCTTTTTAAAATTATTTTATTTATTTGTTTGTTTGTTTATTTATTTTTGCAGAGACAGCATCTTGCTATTTTGCTCAGGGTGGTCCTGAACTCCTGGACTCAAGCAATCCTCCTGTGTTGGCCTCCCAAAGTCCTGGGATTACAGGCATGAGCCACTGCTCCCAGCCCCATCTGATCTCGATAGTCCTCAATAAGGAGTAGCCATTATTATCACCTGAAATAAAGATGAGGAAACTGACTTCTTTAGTGACTTCCCTCAAGTTTGTTGAAGTGTTTCATTTCAACAAGTACTCGTTTGCTAAAGTTAGGCCCAGCTCTCCCATTCTAGTAGAGAAAATACAGTATTTTTTTCTTACTCTGGTGGAAAAAGATGAAAAGTGATACCACAATCCAAAACTAAATCTGGCAGTAACTGATGCATGCTTCTAGGAAGAGTCCAGCAGAAAGCTGCACAGGGGAAATCTTGGTACCTCTTCAGTTCACAGCCTGACCTGGTTTGGCTTCAAGAAGCAGAGAGGACCACAGAAAAGGAGAGAAAGAAAGGGAACAGATACTTCCAGGGAGGTGTGAGACAAAGGGTGAGTAATTCAAAGGCTAGAGAGAGATGGTGAATATGTGCTCACATAAAACAGGTCACTCTCATTTAATAGGTCTAAAGACTTTCTCAGCTCTAATTTCTAAGGTGTCAATAGCTAATGACTTCATGGTAAGGTAAGAAAGATGTTGTTTAAGGAACAGCTACAAAACCTCCCAGCTGCCTACAGAAGGGCATTAGGCTTGATCTAGAGGCAAAATATGTCCTTTAAGAGTTCCTCTGTGCTGATTATTAACTGTAATCATTGTGGGGCACAAAAATATGTTACATATTAGTAGTTAGAAACACAACAAAGGATTTTTAGTTTTTTTTTATTTCTATAGATTTTTGGAAAACCGGTGGTATTTGGTTACATGAATAAGTTTTTTAGTGGTGATTTGTGAGATTTTGGTGCACCCATCTCACAAGCAGTATACACTGAACCCAATTTGTACTCTTTTATCCCTCACCCCCTCCCAACGCTTTCCCCCTGAGTCCCCAGAGTCCACTGTGTCATTCTTATGCCTGGTGTATTAGTTTGTTTTCATGCTGCTGATAAAGACATACCCGAGACTGGGAAGAAAAAGAGGTTTAATTGGACTTACAGTTCCACATGGCTGGGGAGGCCTCAGAATCATGACAGGAGGCAAAAGGCACTTCTTACATGGTAGCAGTAAGAGAAAATGGGGAAGAAGCAAAAGCCAAAATCCCTGATAAACCCATCACATCTCATGAAACTTATTAACTACCGTGAGAATAGCATGGGAAAGACCATCCCCCATGATTCAATTACCTTCCCCTGGGTCCCTCCCACAACACATGGGAATTCTGGGAGATACAATTCAAGTTGAGATTTCAAAGGGAACACAGCTGAATCTTATTATTCTGCCACTGCCCCCTCTAAATCTCATGTCCTTGAATTTCAAAACCAATCATGCCTTCCAAACAGTCCCCCAAAGTCTTAACTCATTTCAGCATTAACCCAAAAGTTGACAGTATGAAGTCCCATCTGAGACAAGGCAAGTCCCTTTTGCCTATGAGCCTGTAAAACCAAGCTAGTTACTTCCTAGATACAATGGGGGTATAGGTATTTGGTAGATACAGCTGTTCCAAATGGGAGAAATTGACCAAAAGAAAGGGGTTACAGGGCCCATGCAAGTCCAAAATCCAGCCAGGCAGTCAAATTTTAAAGCTCCAAAATGATCTCCTTTGACTTCAGGTCTCACATCCAGATCACACTGATACAAGAGGTAGGTTCTCATGGTCTTGGGCAGCTCTGTCCCTGTGGCTTTGTAGAGTACAGCCTCCCTCCTGGGTACTTTCATGGGCTGACGCTGAGTGTCTGCAGCTTTTCCAGGCACACAACAGTGCAAGCTGTTGGTGGATCTACCATTCTGGGGTCTGTAGGACAGTGGCCCTCTTCTCACAGCTCCACTAGGCAGTGCCCTAGTAGGGACTATGTGTGGGGGCTCCAACCCCACATTTCCCTTCTGCACTGCCCCAGCAAAAGTTCTCCAAGAAGGCCCCACTCCTACAGCAAACCTTTGCCTGGGCATCCAGGCATTTCCATACATCTTCAGAAATCTAGGTGGAGGTTCCCAAACCTCAGCTCTTGACTTCTGTGCATCTGCAGGCTCAACACTGTAGGAGATCAGTCAAAGTGGTGGGAGAAATTATAGGCAAAGGGCACAAACCTTTGGAAAGGTCAGAAGGCTCTGCAAAGCTTCAGGGAGAATAAGATAAAGGCAGCTGTTCTCTTACCCTGAGGCAGTGGGTGAGAAGTAGGTACAAGGGAGTGCAGGGGAATTTATCTAAATAGGCTTGTTTACTCATTTTGACCAGAAAAAGACCTTTGATCATCCGCGCGTGACCAGTTCCCTAAAAGGAGAATAATAAATGTTAATTACCCACAGACTGTGTTTGCTCCAGGCTTTCGGCATTATGCCTGTACTAAATAAAAGCAAGCAGCTCCAGCTTATCGAGGCTGCTCTTTTCTTTGGTCCCTAGTGCCAGCAGCCCCCTAGCTGCTCTTACACTGCATGCCTGTGTCTGAGTACTCCTTTCATCTGTCGCTTGGCCAGGGTCTGCGGGATGGACCCAGCAGCTGGTGCCCCTGTGAGACTCAAAACTTCCAAGGCTTGAGGCTTCCACCCTCTGAAGCCACAGCCTGAGCTTTACATTGGCCCCTTTCAGCCATGGCTGGAGCAGCTGGAACACAGGTCACCAAGTCCCAAGGCTGCGCACAGCATGGGGACCCTGGGCCTGGCCCCCTAAACCACTTTTTCCTTCTGGACCTCTGGTCCTGTGATGGGAGGGGCTGCCCTGAAGGTCTCTGACATGGCCTGGAGACATGTTCCCCATGGCCTTGGGAATTAACATTAGGCTCCTTGCTACTTATGCAAATTTCTGCAGCTGGCTTGAATTTCTCCCCAGAAAATGGGTTTTTGTTTTCTATCGTATAGTCAGGCTGCAAACTTCCCAAACTTTCATGCTCTGCTTCTCTTTTAAAACTGAATGCCTTTAACAGTACACAAGTCACCTCTTGAATACTTTGCCGCTTAGAAATTTCTTCCACCAGATTCCCTAAATCATCTTTCTCAAGTTCAATCTCTAGGGCAGGGACAAAATGCCACCAGTCTCTTTGCTAAAACATAACAAGAGTCACCTTTGCTCCAGTTCCCAACAAGTTCCTCATTTCCATCTGAGACCACCTCAGCCTGGATTTATTGTCCATGTTGCTACCAGCATTTTGGACAAAGCCATTCAACAAGTCTCTAGGAAGTGACAAACTTTCCCACATTTTCCTGTCTTCTTCTGAGTCCTCCAAACTGTTCCAACCTCTTCCTGTTACCCAGTTCCAAAGTCGCTTCCACATTTTTGGGTATCTTTTCAGCCACGCCCCACTCTACTGGTACCAATTTACTGTGTTAGTCGATTTTCACACTGCTGATAAAGACATACTTGAGACTGGGAAGAAAAAGAGGTTTAATTGAACTTACAGTTCCACATGGCTGGGGAGGCCTTAGAATCACGGTGGGAGGTGAAAGGCACTTTTTACATGGTGGCGGCAAGAGAAAATGAGGAAGAAGCAAAAGCAGAAACCCCTGATAAATCCATCAGATTTCATGAGACTTATTAAATATCATGAGAATAGTATGGGAAAAAGACTGGGCCCCATGATTCAATTACTTCCCCCTGGGTCCCTCCTGCAACACATTGGGAATTCTGGAAGATACAATTCAAGTTGAGATTTGGGTGGAGATAGGGCCAAACTGTGTCACCTAGCAAAGGATTTTTATGCTCATATTTTTCTTAGCCATTTTATTCAAAGCAGCTAGATGCCATAATTTATGCATCATCTGGAATCACTTAAATTTTTTCTGCAGAAGGTGTGATTGATAATTGTGAAAAATGTCAATAATTGTCCTAGTGTCCAAAATGCCCCCCAAATCAAATAACCTTTGAATTGCTGAACGTAAGTGCAGGAATGTATAGTGGAGATCATGTAGGTCAATGCCACCAGTTTAAATCCATCCATTTGATTAATTGGACAACTATTTGCCTTATTTGTAAAAACTAAAGCCCCACCTGTCAGGTTCCCCTCAAGTACTAAGGGCAGAATCGAAAATGCACAGATTTCTCATATTAAATGGAAGTGGAACACTTCATAGGGCAAGTCTGGTCTCATAGATAATTCTCCTTACACAAGTAAGTTGAGACCTCACCTTTAGGGTCTTCTTGTCCCTCTCTTGATTACTCAGAGGGACAGCTTTTGACTACCTGGAGACCACTCCCAGGAAGTCTGTGAGGATGCTGGGGCTTGGTTTACTGAAGACTAAAAGTGCTGGTGTCCACCTGGTGGCAGCAGCCATCTAGCCCTAGAGACAACTCTGGAAGAGCTGCTGCAGGAGGAGCCCGTAGCCCAATGAGCTATATGGAAAGCCATTACCTTTGCCTTATTCAGTGCTCGTAAGAACCAGACATGCCTTTTTCACCTACTCTTGGGTACAGCCAGCAAGCTGTCTGGTTGGTGACAACTGACCGGTATATTAAGGACACTCCTCTATGGGGCTATAAGCTATTGACAGCCACTACTGCAGCCTCAGGAGACATTTTTGTAACCCTTGTGGATGCCATGGAAGGGATGCATATGAGGTGAGACAACATGAAGCCAAGTGGGTGACTGGACCCTCCAGCCCTGGTGGCCAGCATCACTGCCTCAATCCATTATTGGACTGGAGATGGTAATCTTGCCACTAACACAATAGACTCAAAAGTTAAACCTCATCTGAGTGCCACAGAGAATAAAATGGCCTACTGGGACTGTGGTTCCTCTGGTTCCTCTCCACAGTTGATCTCTCAGTCTAAAGGTGACAGGGATCATTAGCTCTGGGGGTGGGGCCTGACTTTGTCTGGCAAATACAATACGTTGGTCCTCTGCTGTCACCTGGTGGCCATTACTGGTACGCAGTGGCAATTGACAACTGTCATCATGGAGTTGCCATTCTGTGAAGCTGGCAGATTCCGGCCACACCGTAGTGGCACTGGAGACTATTCTCTGCTTGGCTTAGTATCCGGTTCACTTGTAATTAGACGATGCCGTACTGTTCACAGCAATGGTGCCCCCAGTAGTGGGCTAATGGACAAAACATTCAATGCACATTTCATGTCCTTGGTCTCAGGTTGGCGTCATTTTTAAGTGGTAAGATAGACTTTGGAAGATGTGACTGAGAAAATTACTAGACAAATGATGTTATCGGCACTGTGTCCTACACATCTTTAGCAGACAATGTGAGCATTACATGCAGCTGATCCTCAGAGGAAACATTCCCCTTGGAGGAGGTGATTGGAGAAAATCAGGACAGAAGAGGCAGGGATTCAGGGAGATCGGTTCTCTATGTCTATGATTTCACCATAAAATCTCTCAACCGCTGCTCTTTTTCTTTTTTTAAATTGACCCTACCACCTGGGAATCTTCACTGGTTTCATCATTATTTGACACCATCAGTGACAACACAAAGAGGGTGACTCCAATCTGTTGCTTCTACCACTCCCTGGTTTGGCTTATTGAATATGGAAGATCATATGATTAATTGCTAGAATTTGTGAACTGTAATGAACTCTTTCAGTGGCTGAGTTCTACTACTGTTCCCAGCCCTCATGATTGGTGACCCATCAATGAGGAAGGCCTGGGTGTGGGTGAGTACTTGATTAATAAAGATGGATGTAGCAGTTACTGAATTAGAACAAATAGATTATGTCACTGTCGAAGGAAAGGAGCACCCCCAGTATTAGGGAGAAACCACCCTTTACATTTCAGTGTATAAACAAATTTCAGTTCATTTTTTTGTATCAAGTAATAGTAGATATTCATATTTTTCTCATGGATATGCTGTTATTTCAGCACCTTTTGGTGAAAAGAATTTCCTTTTCTTTTTTAAAATTTCTTTATAAAATTCAAATAAAATACGTATATCATAAAATATGCCATCTTAACAATTTTAAGTGTATAATTTGGTAGTATTAATTACATTTGTTATGCAACCATCACTGCTGTCCACTTCAAGAACTCTTTTAATCTTATAAAACTAAAACTCTGTAAACATTAAACTAACTTCCCATTCTCACCTCACCATAGTCTCTGGCAGCCAACATTCTACTTTTGGTATCTGTGATTTTTGACTAGTCTAGGTACTTCATATCAGTGGAATCATGCAGTATTTGTCCTTTGTGACTGGCTTATTTTATCTGGCATAATGTACTCATGGTTCGTCCATATTGTAGCCTATGTCAGAATTATCTGCTTTAAGGTTTAACAAAGCCTTTCCTTTTAGGATGACTGAAATATTGCTTGGCCAATGTTACTCTGCATAAAACACATGGAAATGTTAAAATACACATTTCTGGGCCTCACCCCAGATACTCTGGTTCAGTTTGTCTGTGGTGGGGCCTGAGAATTAGCATTTTTTTTGAGATGGAGTCCTGTTCTGTCGCTCAGGCTGGAGTGCAGGGGCATGATTTTGGCTCATTGCAACCTCCGCCTCCCTAGTTCAAGTGATTTTCCTGCCTCAGCCTCCTGAGTAGCTGGGATTACAGGCACCTACCACCACGCCCAGCTATTTTTTGTATTTTTTAGTAGAGATAGGGTTTCGCCATGTTGGCCAGGTTTGTCTCAAACTCTTGGCCTAAGGTCATCTGCCCTCCTCGGCCTCTCAAAGTGCTGGGATTACAGGCATGAGCCACCGTCCCCGGCCAAGAATTAGCATTTCTAAAGCTCCCCAGCAGAAGCAGATGCCTCTGCCCCACCTGTCACCCTTTGGGTAGCACAGATTTTCATCTTTAAAATCACTGGTCAGCTATATGGTGATGTTAGTTTAAAATGTTGGTGAAAAATGGTCTGTGACAAATCCCAGCCTATCCTGTGATGTTTACAAATTGAACGCCATGAGCATTAGAATTGGGTGAACCTGGATTTCTCTGCTGTCCTGACTCTTAACAAGCTGTGTACAACTCACCTCTCCAGACTTTCAAGTCCCTTGGTTTATAATTGGGAATAAAACTACTTACCTCCTAGGGATGTAGTGAGAGCTATATGAGGGGGTGAGTGAAAGGCTCAGAGCCCTTATAAGAAATAGACTTGGTATGTCACAGTAGATGCTTGATGTATATATATTTTAGAAACTCAACCCCAGCAAACGTCCCCTGGCTGCCCCCACCCACCGCCTTCTGTGTCATCTCCAACACTCATCAATGTGTTGTCTTGGTTTCCACTACTTCACTGCACTTCTAAGATGTGAAACCTAGTTGGTTAGTTCATGTCTCCCCTAGCCAATGTGTTGCACAGTGCCTGGGACATAGTTGATGATGAATAAATATTTCTTAATTGTGTGAACTACATATAGAGGCCATATTAGTAGTCTTCAACTCAGGTTACACATAGAATTGCCTGGAAATTACTTAGGATACACCCCAGAGATTCTAATTCAATTAATTAAGGGCGGTGTTTCTCAAACTTGGCTGCATATTAGAGTCACCAGGGGAAATGTAAAATTGCACATGCTCAGGCCCCATCCCTGGCCAGTTACACCGTAACCTCTGGTGCTGACGTCCAAGCACCAGTGTTTTTGAAAAGTTGCCCCAGGTGACTCCATTATGTAGCTAGGGTTGGGCACTGCTGGGCTAGTTGGGGAAACAATTTAAGTACATCAAGAGTGGACTAGTGGGCCAGGTACAGTGGCTCACGCCTGTAATCCCAGCACTTTGGGAGGCCGAGGCGGGCGGATCACCTGAGGTCAGGAGTTCAAGACCAGCCTGGCCAACATGGTGAAACCTTGTCTCTACTAAAAATACAAAAATTAGCTGGGCATGGTGGCACATGCCTGTAATCCCGGCTACTCGGGAGGCTAAGGCAGGAGAATCGCTTGAACCCAGGAGGCGGAGGTTGCAGTGAGCCGAGATTGCACCACTGCACTCCAGCCTGGGTGACAGAGCGAGACCCATCTCGAATAAATAAATAGCCATTAGAAAAAAAAGAGAGAGAGTAGACTATTAATGTGTTCTTAGGTAAGACAAATACGAAATTAAGAAGTGAGTCACTTTTCGCGTATGTCTAATAAAATCTAATTTTCTTCCTTTCCAACTCTGTTGATTAATTTAATTGCTGAGTGTACAGGGTTGTTCTTTTTCAGGTTCACTTCTCTATCTTTTTGGCTAGTTGCTATTGCTGCATGGTGGCTGTGCTGGGTTGAATAGTGCCCACCAAAAATTTATGTCCATTTGGAATCTGTGAATATGATCTTATTTGGGAATAGGGTGTTTGCAGACATGATGGAGTTAAGATAAGGTCTTTCTTGATTAGGATGGACCCTAATCCAATGGCTGGTGCCCTTATCAGGAGAGGGAAATTTGACACACACGCAAGGGAAAATTCCATGTGAAGACAGAGGCAGGGATTAGAGTGATATGTCTATAAGCCAAGGAATGTCAAGGATTCCAGCAACTTTAAGAAACTGACAGAGAGGCATTGAACAGATTTTCCCTGAGACCCTCCAGGAGAAACTAACTTTGGTGACATCTTGAGGCACTTCTTGCCTCCATCACTGTGAGAGAACACATTTCTGTTGCTTTAAGCCACCTAGTCTGTGTAATGCACGATGGCACCCTGAATAAAATAATAGTGACTTCATGGGTATACATGATCCCTATAGCATCTAGGTATCACGTTCATTAAGAAGACTAAAGTCGTATTTCTGAAATCATTCTTTTATTTTGCACACACATAGCTGCTATTTACTGAACACTGGAAATTCATGAATGCGTTACATATTTAAACTTTCATAGAAGGCTCAGATCAACAAAGCAAAACTTCTACAGATAATAAGTAGTTGTGTATGCTTGTCACTCTTGGGCCCATCAGCACCTGTTCCCTATCATATTGCTGAACTCTGCAAACTCCAGAAAGGAAGGTTTCTTTTCCAAACTTCAGAGAAGCTGCAGATCAAGAATTTGGGCCGTTGCATCTGATTAGAAACTCTCTTCTTCCAGTGTGAGAACGTTGGATTGAAAGCGGCATAATATAAAAAGAGATGGTTGTCTGTCAGGGAGAGGTCAGATCTAAAAAAAAAAAAAAAGAAAAAAAAAGGAAGGGATGAAAAATTCTTTCTTTGTTGTTATGGGTTGAATTGTGTGAATTGTGTCCCTCCCAAAACCTAAAAACCGTAGACTTAAGTCCTAACCTCCAGTACCTCAGGGAGCGTTTGTATTTAAAGATAGGGGCCATTAAAGAGGTGGTTAAGGTAAAATGGGGCTGTTTGGGTGGGACTTCATCCAGTGTGAATGGTATCCTAACAAAAAGAGATGAGGACACAGACCCACGCAGAGGAATGACAGAGAGAAGGCTGCCATCTATGAGTCAAGGAGAGAGTCCTCAGAAGACACCAATCCTGCTGACACCTTGATCTTGGAATTTCAGTCTCCAGAATTGTGAGAAAATATATTTCTGCTGTTTAAGCCACCCATTCTGTGGTATTTTGCTATGGCAGCCCCAGCAAGCTAATACAGTAGTCCTATGCAGCTTATCTGCAGGATCAAGATATTGTTTTGAGCTTTAGCGCCTGTATGCATCTGTATATACGCTGTACATCTGTCTGTGTAAATACGCATGGATGGATGTCTAAATGGGTACTCTTCTGTTAACATTGTTTATCTCTGTGTGGTGGGATTATGGATGAAGTTTTAAAATTCTTTGTATTTTTCTGTTGTGTTTGAATTTTTCAAATGATTTGTATGTCTTATTTGTAGAAAGACCAAAAAAATCACTTTAAAAAGAAAAAAAAAAGGACCTCCTCTCAATAGTAACTTTTTTTGGCTTAAGTGTCCCCTTTTCTCCTCTGGGACAGATCTGAAATCTTAAACAAGCAGAAAACCTCCAGCCCAGAACAGCAGACACCAAAACAACTTTGTTGTGAACCAACATTTCTTGCTGCCTGGGCGCTTGTAGAAAAAGCCTTATTTGTTTGGTGGTATTCGTTATCAAAGTGCTGTTTATCAGGAAATCTGCTTTGTTCCTATTTTTCTTACATAGATAATATGAAAAAAACTCAGAAACTCTCCTTTTAAACTCAAAGTGCACAAGTAAGACTAGAATCCCATGTAAATGAACTCCTTACTGGTGTGCAAAATTAATGAAAGCTGCTACATTTAAGGATAGAGATCAGTAATAAGCCTTATTTCCACAAGAAAAAGTTTGGTCTTTTAAAAGCAATACTTGGAGTTGATTAAATCTGTTATTATTAATTAGATTTTCTCCTCTGTGATGAACAAAAAACAATTAAAGGCTTTGAGAGCTGTGAGAAAGACTTTAAAGACTATTTGACTCAAACTTTCCTCAGTGCACAACACTCCCCACCCTAACTTGACTGTAGGAGAAAAAACTGAGAACAAGACGGGGTGTGGCGACACCTCCACCATGACATAGCACCTCGGCCACTAACAGCTGCAGCAAATGCTTGGTTCATTAGGAAACGTTACCCGGCAGAATTCCAAAGGCCTCGGTCTAACAGTGAGGTGGTTCCATCACAAGGAGATTCTCAACCTTGGCTGCACATTCAAATCACTTGGGGGAGAGTTTTAAAAGTCCACATTCCTGCGCTACTATGTTGGAGACATAGATGGAACGGTCTGGCGAGGGGCCTGGGCATCAGCATTTTTAGAGCTCCTTGTAGGTGATTCCTATGCAACTCCAGGGTCAAGTGCCACTCCGGATGAACTACCTCATCTACACTGCTCTGCAACAGACAGCCTCAAACCCACCCCCAAACACACGCTGAGACTCTGATGTGGTCGCAGCAGCTGTGAAAGTGCTAAGTGCCTCTCACGTAGTCTCTGTATATAAGTATATACACGTAGTCTCTGTATATGAGTAAAGGAAAGGGTATTACCTGTAGGGGTCTTTCACCTGTCACCCTCGGAAGAAGCTGATGAGAAAGGCGCACAGGGCCTGGAAGGGTTTCCAACAATGTTCCCAGGCCTTCTTCTTTGCTTCCTCATTCCCTCCGGGCCTGGGTCCAGGCTGGGTAGGTTTGGCTGTGGGTCGGGTGGTGGGTTTGGCTTTTCCCAGCTCTTCCATCGAGTCCTTTCCCAGCTGTGTTGCTTCTGTGAGTTTCACTGTGGCCTTGGGCCTCAGAGATGGCGTCCCAGCCTCAGGCTGCTGGTTGGGCTCTGGGCTGCCCTTGAGGCTGGAAGTCACCTGCTGCATATGGGCCTGGGGTCCAGCCTCCCTGCACACGGATGGCCTAAGCACCGGGGCCCCCTGGCACGCATGGTGAAGGCGCCTCAGCTCCTGCAGGGCTTGATTCCAGTAAGGTTTGGGGTCAGCAGCGAAAGCCTGGCACATGCTGGGCTGCCCCCTGTACTCACACCAGTAGGTCTGGTCTGTGTTGCGGCAGTCGACACGAAGCCAGACTTCTCCAGCACCTTGCCCCAAGCTGCTGGGACGCATAGTGCAGGAATCTCTCCCTCCAGTCTGGAAATGGAATTCCTCCCCAGTGCTTCCTTGCTTTTGCCTCGGGGCCTGACCCAAAGTCCCCAGGCAGGACAAGGTCACCAGCAGGAGGCAGGGGACGAACTTCATGGCGATACTCCGATAAACTTGCTTGCAACTCTGCACCAGGAGAGAGAACACAAGTGGGACGAGTCACCCTTTAAAGGGTGCTGCACAAAAGACTCTTTCTCTGCAAGGGTGGGGAGGATGTTTTGCAGCAAATGAGAAACATGCCCACAGACCTTAGACACGTAACACTTGGCAAGGGCAGAGCAGCCACCAGGGGCCGCCCACCACAAGCAAAGGGAATGGTTTTCCTGAGTGCCTCAGAGAGATCTGCCCCAGCCCTGTCACGCACAAAGCGCCACACACAGCTTTGGGGCTGAGGGTTTTACAGTTTTCCAACCACAGGGTGCTTGCTCTAAAATTGGCCCTTGTACGGGAACAGCCTTCTTTGTCAACATTTGGTATATGCCAAGGTGTGGCAGTGGTATTCTGGAAAGTGAGGTTTGCAGCTGGGAGTCTGGGCTGCCTCGAGGCTCCCTCCTGCTCCCTGGAATCCCCATCTTGGGGGACCATGGGTTTAGTTAATCCAAAGGAAGCCAGAATTTTATGAGCCTAAGTGTTATGAGATGGCCTAGCAAATGCAAAAAAGACTATGTGAGGTTGTGTGAGGATGTGTGTGCCAGAGGGACACAGAGACACTCCCCCTCCCACCCACCGAGCTGAGAGTCACCTGGTGTGGCCTCTGTGGGGCTGTCCCGCCATCACCGTGGCCACAGGCCACAGTGCTGCAATGTTCACTTCCCTTGTTATTGCATGCCTTACAATTGCACCAACTGAATGATGACGAGGAAGGCATGCAAATATATGTTCACAGTGGGATTCAGTCTATTTTAGACCATGAATTCTATTTCAAATTCAATTGAAATAACACAGTTTTAATTATATCACAGGAAAATATGATTTTAAATATTATTATTATTGTTCTACAATAGAAAAAAAATAAATTGAAAATAACTTTTGATTCTGTGTCAAGAATCATAGTTTGGTATGGTCATAACTGTCTTTTGATGACCCTTCCAGAGGGCACTGTGGAGTGGACTAAAGGTGGCAATTTGCTGTTAGGAATAGGGTTGACGGATGTTGGGGGACTAGTTTGAATGTGAGGGATTTATCTTGGCGATCCCACGTAGGGTAGTTGGTACCTGGCACAGCCTTCCTTCCACCTGGATATCCTGAGTCCTGAGAAGACCTAGTAGGGCTGGAACTAAAGCCAGGCTGAGCTTCGGCAGCCACTGTGTGTGTAGCAGTGAGAGCCTTCCAGAAGAGGGCATCACCCCAGGTGGGGAGCAGAGGAAGCTTCCAAGAAGTGGTGCCAAACCTTCAAGACAAGTCAGTCAATTTGTCAGGTTGAGAAAGGGTAAAGGGCAGGTGTTTTTTTTGTTTGTTTGTTTGTTTGTTTGTTTTGGCCTCATTCTGTCACCTAGACCGGATTGCACTGGTGTAATTATAGCTCACTGTAGCCTCCAACTCCTGGGCTCAATTACTTCTCCTGCCTCAGCCTCTCAAGTAACTGGGACTACAGGCATGGGCTGCCACACCCAGCTAAATTTTAAATTTAAAATTTTTAGGGACAGGGTCTCACTCTGTTGTCCAGGCCGATCTCACACTCCAGGCCTCAAGCAATCCTCCTGCTTCCTTGTCCTCTGGAGTCACTGGAATTACAGATGTGAACCACCACAACCAGCTAAAGGTAGGTTTTTTTTTTTTTTCACACAGTCTTACTTTGCCACCCAGGCTGGAGTGCAGTGGCACAATCTTGGCTCACTGCAACCTCCACCTCCCAGGTTCAAGCAATTGTCCTGCCTCAGCCACCTGAGTAGTTGGGATTACAGGCGCCTACCACCATGCCAGGCTAATTTTTGTGTTTTTAGTAGAGATGGGGTTTCACGACGTTGGCCAGGCTGGCCTCAAACTCCTAACAAGTGATCCGCCCACTTCAGCCTCCCTAAGTGCTGAGATTACAGGCACGAGCCACTGCGCCTGGCCAAGGGCAGATTCTTAAGGCAGGATAATGCTTCCTGTAAAGGAGTGATCCTGGAGTGCAGGTTTATGGACTGCTGAAATGTCAAGGGCAAGGAGGCAGTGGTGAGAATCAGGCTGGAGAGGTGACTTAGGGTGGGGTCCGCAGCCCCCGTACCAATCCACAGGGCCAGTTCTAAGACAGAGGCTTGCCCTTTGTGTGCTTCCAACTCAGGAGCCCCTGGAGTAAACAGCACTCCAACCCAGGCTCCATGTCGTGGCCACAGGAAGGCAGGTGTTCAGCTCCAACCTCCTTTCCCCCACCCACCACAGTGTTGCAGGGAACAGCTTGCTAGACCCATCTAGACACCCTGAGGTTATGGCCAGCCCTTTTCAATGCCCTAGTGAGGCTGAGTTTACCCTGCAATGGGAACTTATCATAAGAGCTCTAATCACGCTCTTCCTCTTTTCGCTTTTGGGACAAGCCAAACCTCAAGACCTTTGCACTAGTGCCCACTGCCTGAAAATCTTTTCCTTGAACATCGCATGGCTGCCTTCTCCCTGCCACCTTCACAGAGGCCTTCCCTCGCTATACAATGTAAAAGAGCTCTTCTGTTCCTCTATCACTTCATCCTGCTTTAATCCTCTTGAAGGCAGTGATTTCTCTCTTTTTTTTTGAGACGGAGTTTTGCTCTGTCACCCAGGCTGGAGTGCAATGGCGTGAACTTGGCTCACTGCAACCTCCGCCTCCTGGGTTCAAGCAATTCTCCTGTCTCAGCCTCCCGAGTAGCTGGGACTATAGGCACATGCCACCACATCTGGCTAATTTTTGTATTTTTAGTAGAGACAAGGTTTCACCATATTGGTCAGGCTGGTCTTGAACTCCTGACCTCGGATTATCCACCTGCCTTGGCCTCCCAAAGTGCTGGGATTACAGGTGTGAGCCACCATGCTCAGCCCAATTTCTCTTCTTTCTTATTTGCTTGTTCATCTTTTAAGTGTGGAGTGTCATGATCAGATTTGCACTGTAAGAGACTGCTGTGTTGAGAAAGGATTGGTGGACAGGGGGACTTTGTACAGGGAGGGTAGTGGGCAAGCTGGCTCTGTATGGGCTGAGTTGCTGTAACAAAAAGACCTTCTCTATTATGAACCAGTCTTCCAGGTTCATGCCTGGAAGTTCTTCAAATTTAACACATGCCTTCCAAGGTTTGTTTGATTGCTGCCATTTCCAGTGGAACAAGTCCAGGATCTGCAGTTTTGTCTTAGTAGACACTTCACTTACTTACTGCTGGCCTAAGCCTAGTCACTCAGCCACATCTAGCTGCAAGGGAGGCTGGGAAATATAGTCCCCACCAGGTAGCCTATGTCTAGCCAAAACTCAGGGGGCTGGAAGCCTAAAAGAAAGAGGGGAATGCCTCGCTAGCCAAGAGACATTATGAAAACTGTAAGAGGATCTCATCAGTGGGGATGGAGAGGAAGGCTTTGTGACCAAAGGTAGATGGAAGGGAGGGGGAAAGCAGACTTAAGAGTTCCTCCAGCTCCAGTGATAGGGTGAAGGTGGAGAAATTCAAGAAAGGGAACATGGTGGGGAGAACCTGTGGCGATGTGCAGGTCAGGACAGTGGTTTAAGGCAGGGGCCACAAACTGTGGCCCATGTGGCCTGCTTTTGTAATTTTTGAAGAACACGGCAATATCTATTCACTTACGTATTGCCTATGGCTACTTTTGTGCTGCAACAGAGTTGAGGAGACATAGGCCACATGGCCCAGAAAGCAAAATATATTCACTGTCTGACCCTTTTCAGAGAAAGGTTGCCAACCTCTGGTTTAAGGTGCATCTGGGTGGAGACATGTCATGAACACAGGGTTGGCTGGAGCTCTATGTGATGAGAGAACCAAAGGGAGCAGGTGAGGTGATGAGTGAATGAAATTACCCAAGGAGAGAGTGAGGGGCACACCAGGAGAGAACCTGCGAATGCCACCTAAATTTAAGAACTGGAGAGATGAGTGTTGGAAGGAGACTGAGGAATAGACAGCCATGCCCCAAGAGGACACTGGAGAGGGCTCTTTTGGGAGCCTGAAGGGAGATCTTTGTAAAGGGGATGTGTTCACAAAAGTCAAGTCCTCGGTGACCCCGACAATAGCCCTTCAGGAGTGGTGGGGACAGAAGGCAGGTCACAGGAGTTGAAGAACCAATGGAAATGAGAAAGTGGACAGAGATGTGTCGAGAGTTCTTTCAAGGAAATTATTTCCAAAGAGAGAGGGAAAAAAGAAAACATCTTGTACTACCAGGCTGAGTGTGCAATGGGGTTGAGGAAAGGCTGATTTTTTTTTCTTTTTTGAGACAGAGTCTCGCTCTCTCAGCAGGCTGGAGTGCAGTGGTGCGATCTCAGCCCACTGCAACCTCTGCCTTCCAGGTTCAAGCGATTCTCCTGCCTCAGCTTCCCGAGTAGCTGGGACTACAGGTGCCCACCACCACACCCAGCTAATTTTTGTATTTTTAGTAGAGATGGGGTTTCACCATGTTGGCCAGGATGGTCCCGATCTCCTGACCTCATGATCCACCCACCTCGGCCTCCCAAAGTGTTGGGATTACAGGCGTGAGCCACTGCGCCCGGCCAGGCTGATTTTTTTTTTTTTTTTTTTAGCAAAGATAAGAACTTTAGGCTTGAGATACTGAAAAATAAATAAATAAAAGTTGCAAGAGTGACACTAGGAGTATTAAGTTGGCTTGAATAACTTGAATTAATATTTAAATGGGTGATACAAAAATCAGGTTTTCAAAAAATGGGAAGTTAAGAGATAATTTCCTCCAGAAGAATTATACACTATATAGTCTTGTTTAAATTGCAAGCCTCTTGTGTGTTGTTTTAAAAAAATTCATTTTTACTGGTGTATGTTTAGGATTACATCAGGCAAAGTAGAGTTTGCCTATAGTTGGTATCCAATTGTATATATTGTGACCTGGACAGTTCCCTAAGAAATGATGACTTCAGATCTGAAGAAGATCTAAAATATAGCCCACTTTGACCTTGACCTTGAATTACTTCTGTATAATGGGCCCTTTAATAATAATTAATGGAATTCACAAATAACACATGCTCAAATTTCATCATCTAAGTTGTGAGTCGCTGGATCTACTCAAGGAAGTAACATACAGACCATGTTTTCCAAGTTCCTTTTTATTCAAATGAATCAGAACTGCAATCTGCACATGAAAAGACCTGGGGGGAATGCCTACATCTGGAATTTCATTACATCAACGTTAAATTTTGTCCGACCAGTTCTTCATTGCTGATCACTTTTGATAATGACAGATCCAACATGAAACTCCTGAAGCAAATGAATATTTACCTTGTGCTTTCATGCAAATTTAGGGACCAAACTCAAAGGTTTCATCCATGCTGGACACCAGATCTAAGAATTGTGACAGGATCTTCTCATATTTCATTTTAGAACACTTGATACTAGTCTGATGATACTCATGTTAGCTGCACTCCAATTAATGTTTATCGTAATGCAACAGAAAACTCTGTTAAACTGTACACCGTAATTGGCATCTGTTAAAACAACTCCACTTTTGAACGAACAGCATTTCTCTCTCAAGATCTCTCTCTCTCTTTTGAATTTGTCAGATGGAGTTACGCAGGTTTCTCTATGATTGCTTTTGCATGCCATTTCCAAGTGGAACATGGCCAATCTTTGATAAAGTATAATAGATGAAAATCTCTGCGTGAAGAATATGCTGTAGGTTTCACACACTTTTAGTGAAAATGGATTATTTTCAACAGCACCAAGAAGTCAATGGTGACTTATTTAGCTCATTTAGAAGAAAGTCCTATAATACTCATTTGTTTAAAAAACTCTGTGGTAACAAAAGGTATATACACCGTTTACTGTACACAAAATGCATCTTTCCTGTAAACTGGTGTGTGTTCAGCACACTCCACACATGGCAATATGTTAGAATCTAGCCATCACATTTGATAGAGTTTTGATAGAAATGCATCCAATGGGAACAAACACCCCATATGTTGTAGTGTCTAAATAGAAACTCAGTGTAAAAAAGTAAAAAACAAAAATAGACAGGAAGGGAGGGAGTCATCCTTGAATAGTGATGGACCATGGACTATAACGTGATTGTGTTCATTCTTAAAGCACTACCCAGAGACCAATGGTGCCGTTGCCTTGGTGCCCGCCTGAGTCACTACGTTGCCACTGGCGTTGCTCCTGGATTTGGAAAGTCCTTGTAGACCCAGAAACTACCAAAAATCTGTGATCCTTTCCACTTTGAGTATCCTGATGCTGAAATGAAAGTTAAACACAATTTTAGAAATTGCTTTTGAATTAATAAAGAGAAAACCAGGAATGCATAATCCTAAAATGGTCCCCACCAGGAGCCTAAGAACTAAGGAAAATATAAACTCGTTCAAGAGGCACAGCAATATGTTTGTTGCAAAGCAATCTGTTAAAATATAGCAATATAGAAAAAAACTTTGTGGTTTTTGTTTATTTATCTTATTTTATTTATTTATTTTTTTGAGAGGGAGTCTCACTCTGTCGCCCAGGCTGGAGTGCAATGGCGCGATCTCAGCTCACTGCAACCTCCGTCTCCCGGGTTTAAGCCTCAGCCTCCCAAGTAGCTGGGACTACAGGCACCTGCCACCATGCCTGGCTAATTTTTATATTTTTTAGTAGAGATGGGGTTTCTCCATGTTGGCCAGGCTGGTCTCGAACTCCTAACCCCAAGTGATCTGCCCACCTCAGCTTCCCAAAGTGCTGGGATTACAGGCATGAGCTACCATGCCCAGCCAGAAAAAATTTTAAGTCCATAATACTCAAGGTACGTGGTTGGTACACAGATTTCTATATTTTTGTTTGTTTGTTTGTTTGTTTAGAGATAGGGTTTCACTACATTTTCCAAGTTGGAGTGCATGAGTGTGTTGGCTATTCACAGGTATAATCATGGTTCACTGCATCTTTGAACTCCTGGGCTCAAGCAATCCTTCTACCACAGCCTCCCACCCCAGTAGCTGGGACTACAGGCAGGTACCACCATGCCTGGCTTATTGTTTTACTCTAAAAAAACACTTTCTTTTCTTTTCTTTTTTTTTTTTTTTGTGATGGAGTCTCACTCTGTTGCCCACGCTGGAGTGCAGTGGTGTGATCTCGGCTCACTGCAACCTCTGCCTCCCAGGTTGAAGCGATTCTCCTGCCTTGGCCTCCTGAGTAGCTGAGATTACAGGCAGGATTACAGGGGCCCCCCACCACACCCGGCTAACTTTTTTTAGTAGAGACAGGGTTTCACCATGTTGGCCAGGCTGGTTTTGAGCTCCTGACCTCAAGTGATCTGCCCGCCTCGGCCTCCCATAGTGCTGGGATTACAGGCGTGAGCCACCGCACCAGCCCTTATTTTTTTACTTAAAAAATCTTATCTTTTTAAGTAAAAAAATTTTATTTTTTTAATATACACCCACATACTCACTGTGTGTGTGTATATATATATATAAATACACACACATTTATATAGCAATGCATATATATACAGAGAGGGTCACTGTATCGTATGTATACATGCAGTCGTCCCTCTGGATCCATGTGGGATTGGTTCCAGGACCGCTACACACATCCTCCTACATACTGTATATCATCTCTAGATCACTCAAAATACCTAATACAATGTAAGTGTTATGTAAGTAGCTGTTATACTGTATTGTTTTTATTATTTTTATTTTTGTACTGTTATTTAAAAAAAAATTTTTTTAGAGTATTTTTGATCCACAGTTGGTTGAATCAATCGGTGGATGTGGAACCTGCAGGTACAGAGGGTGGACTGGACATATAAAATATCTTGTCTAATATGCTGATCTAGATTTCCCACTTAATGTGGCAATGTATTAGGAATAGCTATGTTTTGATGTTCTAAAAACTAAAAACTATAGTCCTGTAGATTCTCTTCAATGAAAGCATCAAACTTACCTCAAGCAGTTTCAACATCAGCTATCAATGTTGTGATGGGCTAAAAAACAAAAAAATAAAGAAATATAATACCCCCAACAAAGCTGTGGGTGGTTTCATCACCTCTGTGCTAAGAAGCAGGCATGTGACTAAAGGTACAGACGAATATAAACCACACCTCATAAAGTTTATCAAGAAGAATGTGTCAGACAAAACACTGGTTACTCTAGCTTCTGTTTGTATTGCTTTTAAAAACAGCATAGAAGATAAAGAGGATAAACAGACTATGACAAGTAAGAATTGTGAATATTCACAATCTAAGGTTAAAAGTGTTAAGAGTCACTAAGAATACGTGTTGAAGACATTAGACCAGCAGCAACACAGCAGTACACATGTCTACCACAAGAGTCTTTCTAAAGTCCACTTCTAGGACAGAAGACAGAAGCAAATGGAAGTTCCGCAGGGACCTTGTTACAACTACAAATTCCTGGGTGTAAGATCAGGCAGTGCACACGGCCTCTAAGTGGCTCTCTGGGTGAACCATCAACAGTAGCCCTAGTGTCCTCTAAAGTGACTCTGTGATAATGGCCTTGACAACCAAAAAGGTATACGCCAGGGGGAGACTAGTGAACTCCATCTGGAAGGTCGGCAGTTTCAACTCTGGCACACCCTGCCCGACTGTGACTTCAGGTGGATCACAACCCCTCTGAACCTGCAGGATCCACCGTGCCTCACTGCAGTGCTGCATCAGACACATGAGGTTGGGGGAGGACATGCACGGAGGACATCAGGGCATCTGCCAGGCAAGACATTCCTTCTAAAGTTTTTCACTTTAGAAAGTGCACATGCTTGGTTCTGTGTGCCTCTTCTTGCACTACCTTTTATGCTTTCGGTAAAGAAACAAACTCTTTATCGAAAGGGCTCAAAGGGCCCCTGGAAAAGGGTGCAAGCAGGGGCTGGCTCAATCTCTTGTTACTGTCCACCTCACCAGGACCTGGAGCTGAACATTATGAAGGACTGTAGGCTCTGGCAATCATTTCCAAAGAACATCTACATTTGCCTTATTGAGCAGAGGGATGCTGGGCACACTAACAGGATCACTGGTTCTTCTCCTCCTGCCTAGCATTGCCTCTCCTCCAGACAGTATATCCATCCTATCCTGGAAGAGAGGGAACTCTGGAGACCTCAGAAGCAGGAAATGAGCAAAACAAGCCAATTTAAGCAGTGTCTTAGTATGTTTTCTGCTGCTATAACAGAATATCAGAGACTGGGTAACTTACAAAGAAAAAAATATGTTTTTCACAGTTCTGAAGGCCACGAAGTCCAAGAACCTGGTGCTGGCATCTGGTGAGGGCTTTCATGACGCATCATCCCATAATGGAAGGGCAAATGAGTGCAAGAGACAGACAGGGAATGGGGTCGAGCTTCCTCCTTTTATCAGGAGCCCACTCCCATGATAATGGCATTAATCCATTTATGAAGGCAGAACTCTCATGACTTAACCACCTGTCCAAGGTCTCGCCTGTTAATATAGTCACAATGGCAATTAAATCTCAACATGAGTTTTGGAGGGGACACTGAAACTATAGCAAGTAACTAAAACTAATCCTGGAAGCTCCTGATGTAAGAGAAACAAAGGGCCTTAGGTGAGACCATAACTGGAGGATACATTTCTTCAGGCCATTAGGATTTGGGCTCTGAATGATAACTTCCTGGGTGCCCAACACAATAAAGCAATAAAATAAAGAAGGCCAATACATGACATCTGAGACTCTCCTGTCTCCAGAGTAGACATCACACACTGATGACAGTACTTTTGAGTCAGTCTGGATTAAACCTCCAGATTTCAATCAACACAACACAACAGGGCTCTGAGCAGCCGGACAACAGAGAGAAGTTGGCCCAGGAGGTGGAATCTGTTTGTCAATGATGCACTATCCCCTTCACAGAAAAAGGAAGGTCCTGGCCCCCGAAGAACCTGAAACATCACACAAGGGAAGGGGCTCCAAGCACCCTCTACAAGACCTATGCAGCCAGAACCTACACAGGTGAGGGTCAGCTGCTGTTTATGTAGCATTCCCCGGGATCCACCTGCTTCCTCCTCTAGGCTGCAGAGGTGCAGCCATGCGGACCCCTCCTACTTCTATCTAAGAATCTGGCCAAGCGCAGTGGCTCATGCCTGTAATCTAGCAATTTGGGTAGATCACTTGACGTCAGGAGTTCAAGACCAGCCTGGCCAATATAGTGAAACTCCATCTCTACTAATAACAGAAAAATTAGCTGAGCACGGTGGTGTGTGCCTGTAATCCCAGCTACTCAGGAGGCTGAAGCACAAGAATCGCTTGAACCCAGGAGGTGGAGGTTGCAGTGAGCTGAGATCACACCACTGCATTCCAGCCTGTGTGACAGAGTGGAATCTGTGTCTCAAACAACAACAACAGCAAAGAATCTACAGAGCATGCACAATGAACACCATCTACAGCCGAACTAGCAAGAAGGTGGTTCACAGACATATTTTGTTGGGCCCCCATGGTGTTTTTTTCTCCACATTGTTTGCTAACATTAAAAAGGGTAATTTCATATGAAAATCAGATTTCTGTCCTTTTCAGATAGAGTTTCTAGCAACACTTGCCTCTTATTTGTTCCCCTTTCTGCCAATTTGATAGTCTTCAGAGTGAAGACTGGGAAAAATAATCAAATTTTTCTGTGGTCTTTCCACCCGTTTTGGGAACTTTTCTTTGCCCACCTGCCTTTGGGAGAATAGGAGAAATAGCTCAAATCATAGCTTGGCCCTGGCTAGCTGTAGAGACCTGGGCATGGCCTACACGTCCCTGAGTCTATCTGCAAAAGACAGACAACAAGGCGGTGACGACAGCCATAGAGGGCCGATGTGGGGACTGCGCAGGATGAGGCAGGGTGGTCATCCTGCCCGGTTCCTGGGGCTGCTGGACCAACACTGGTGTTTGTTTGCTCTCAAGCCTTTGTGGTCTCACAGGAAGCAACTTTCTCTCCTGATCTCTCATCTCAGAGCTAGAAAGAGTAAGTTTACACACACACATACAGACACACACACACAGACACACACACTCTCTCTCTTTCTCTCTCTCTCTCTCTCTCTCTCTAAAGAACTCCCTAGCAGCTGAAAGATCACAATCCGAGTGACCTCTAGTGATCCATGAAAGGCCAGGAAGAAGATTCAGAAACAAGTCACCCAATATTTCCTGAAATGAAAATGCCTCCACTTGCTCCGCAGACTGTGGGAGACAGAAGCATCGTTGGAAAAAAAAAATCCAGGCTTACGTAGGTTTATATGAAAGTCTATTAACTTTTCCTTCAAACAAAAGCAAACAGCCACAGACTGTATAATGGACTAATTACAGTGTGCGTGTGTGTGTTTAAGAAATAAATAGAAATAAAAGAAAAAGAGACCAAAAAAAACTAGTTTATGAAACTGAGTTTGCCACTCAGAAGCAGCCCACTTCATGGTTCTTATTTAAGAGAATTCTCCTGGGAAACGCTCCATGAAGCAATATTAGTTGTCAAACTGCTCCTCACTTGGTAAGTACTAGTGTCCTGGTTTGCAGAAGGCTTTTCTTTTGTTCTTACATTAAATAATTTTTTTTTTCATTTATAAACACAGGGTCTTGTTGTGTTGCCCAGGCTGGTTTTGAACTCCTGGGCTCAAGTGATCCTCTGTCCTCAGCCTCCCAAGGTGCTGGGATTAAAGGCGTGAGCCACCGCATCAGCCAGAGTCTTTTCTAGAATAGCCTAGCACCTTCTCTTTGCACTGATCATTTTCCTCCTAAACCTAGCTTTGTCCTGAAATGCAGGCAACACCTGAAAACTGTTGGCGATAAACACTGGGGGAAATCACAGTCTCAAGCTGTGTGAAGGAGGCACCAATTCGGGCTCATTTGTACAGAAGGTATCATGAGGTGTCGGCTAATATCCAGAGCCCAGTTGGTGTCATCAATGGAAGCTAAGTGGAGCTGGCTCAGCTAACAGATTAGAGCCACACTTAGTTATCTTCTGAATCACCTTTGGGTTCCTTCCATTGGAAATGTTAAGGTAATAAGAAAAGATTATGGTCATTATAGTGAACCACAAACCCTTAAGTAAGGGTTTACAGTGGTCAAAGGGTGAATGTTTTGCCTTGTTACCTCATTGAACCCTCACAACCCTACGCAAACAAGGCTCTTATTTTTATTTATTTATTGAGACGGAGTCTCACTCTGTCGTCCTGGATGGAGTGCGGTGGTGCAATCTCAGCTCACTGCAACCTCCGCCTCCCGGGTTCAAGCGATTCTCCTGCCTCAGCCTCCCAAGTAGCTGGGATTACAGGTGCCCGCCACTACGCCCAGCTAATTTTTTGTATTTTTAGTAGAGATGAGGTTTCACCATGTTGGCCAGGCTGGTCTCAAACTCCTGACCTTGTGATTTGCCTGCCTTGGCCTCCCAAAGTGCTGGGATTACAGGCGTGAGCCACCACACCCAGCCTCAAAGCTCTTATTATTCCCTCCTTCTACAAGTGAGAAAACTGAGTCTCAAGGACATTAAATAGCACTTCCACAATGACACATGGAGGCAGAGCTAGAATCCACTCCAACTCAGACCCCTGGGACCTCTAGGAGGGTCTGGGTGGAAAAGAAAGGTGTCCCAATGTCCCTAGAGTTTCTGGGATGTCATTTCCTAACCTTCTGCAAATAAACCAAATCAAAACTATGATTCTTCACTGACTGCCTGTAGACGGGCTGAACATCCAGGAGACTTGCCAGGGTTCCCACTGGAGGTGGGTGTGCAGGAATGAAAACAAGTCTCGATTTAATTGTTACCATGAAAGATGCTTCAGCGAAACTCACATAAGGTGTCACTCAGTCTTTGGGATTCTTCTCTTACTGAAACAAAACACTTCAACCCACCCTTGGAGTTCTACTATAGAACACAGAATATAGAAAGTAGAAAAAAATTCAAGTGTGCTGTGGACCGTTAAGGAAGGACGTCCAACATTAGTATATCCCTAGCCCCAGGCTTCACAGGTGTATGAAGTGCTAGGCCCTTAACAAAGACAAGTCCTTCCAATGTCTGTCGTAAGCAGAATGACCACAGAATCATCCTAAAGCTTCATTTATGTATTTAATAGAACAATGGCATTTAATCTAGTTCGAATTTCAACACTAAAAGCCCAAGATGAAATGTTCATTAGCAAGTGAGAAGAGTGGCATTTCTCAACACCGACTAGGGCTGTTTTCTAACATTTTCCTGTTTTCCATCATCATGCCTTTTTTCTTGTACAGCAAGTTAAATCCAAGAGTTATCAAGTCTTATGCTGTTCCAGCAATGTGAGTAAAAACTAGTAAATAAGGAGAGCTACGACAACCTTCTTGAGCCTAGAGAATTAAGTCTTTGACGCTACACGCAGGACATCTGTGGCACTAATAGGTGCTCGGTTATTCTCTTCTAGATGCTAGAACTGGAAGTCTACCCTCCTTTGTGGGAAAGGTCTCACGTGGTGGCATAAGACAGAAGACAGCTGACGCCTGCCTATTTCCAGCACTCAGATCTGAAGCTGGGGATTAGCCAGAGTCCAGTTGGCTGTGATGATCATGCCTAAGTGACAAAGGTCTGTGGCAGTACTGGTGTGCTGAGAGGACCCTGGCATCTCAAAGGCTGTCTTGTCAACTTGCACACTGACACCTCCCTTTCAATTGCAGGAGGACTTATTGGATGCAGCACATTCTTCCAGGCCTACCAGTGCATCTGCTTCTCAGGGAGCCGTGGAGTTGTGCCTTCTAGATTCCCTTTTAGGAATGACTTGCCTCCAGCTGGGGGCAGCATGGTCAGCAGAGAGCCTCCAGCTGTCAGAGCCTACCACTCTGACAGCAGAGCCTACAGCTCTATGGCAGTGCTGCTCCAGCCCTGGGAGCAGTGACTGGGGGAGGAGGGGGTGCAAAGACTTAGCTAATCTGTAATGATTAGCCCAGTGTGGGCAACTCCCTACAGGCCATGCTTGATCCAGAGCTCCTGCCTAGTCGGGCCAAGGCTTTGGCAGGCCAACCTTGACTTCTCCCCCTTTTTTTCACAACCATGGCTCCTCATAAACATCCTGCACTCCAAACTCCATTTGAGCACTGCTTCCAGAAAGCCTGCCTGTGGCAGCCTCCACCCAGGCTTGCATCTCTCTCTCTAGCATCTTCCAGGCAGCCTGGATGACTCTTCTTAGAACAGAGAGTACTTTCAGTGCCTTCACAACCAACAGGCAAACACCAGGAAGCAATTCTACAAATTCAAAGCAGTCCTAGAAGATCCGATGTTAGGGCAACATAGGTAATTGAGAACAGCTGTCCTCTGATCTTGAAAATTTCAGTCCATATATATAAGACACCCTCCAAGCATGCTACACCGCAAAAAGGAAGGCCAGGACATTATGCAGGCAGCCGTACTGTCTACTCTCCCCAGAGCACACCTGGCTAATTGATACTTAAATCGATCTTCAACTCTGTCACAACACAGCACTCTAGCCACCAAGCCTTGCATACTGGAAGTATCAGATGAGATGAAGTCAATTTGCCATTTCATGACTTTATTTATTTATTTAGAGACAGAGTCTCCCTCTGTCACCCAGGCTGGAATGCAGTGGCACGATCTCAGCTCACTGCAACCTCTGCCTCCCGGGTTCAAGTGATTCTCCTGCCTCAGCCTCCCAAGTAGCAGGGACTACAGGCGTGTGCCACCATACCTGGCTAATTTTTTGTATTTTTAGTAGAGACAAGGTTTCACCGTGTTAGCCAGGATGGTCTTGATCTCCTGACCTCGTGATCCACCCGCCTCGGCTTCCCAATGTGCTGGGATTACAGGCATGAGCCACCGCGCTTGGCCAAGAACTTGATTTTTTTAATTATCACCATTTCTTCTCTGATCTGAATGTTTGTGCACTCTTAAAATTCATACATTGACGTCATAATCACGGTGACGCTTTAGGTCATGAAGGCAAAGCCCTCATTAGTCTCTCATTAACGCCCTTAGAGAATAGACCCCAAGGAGCCAGCTTGCCCTTTCCACCATGTGAGGATTTGGCAAGACAACGCCACCTATGAGAAAGTGGTCCTTCACCGGACACCGAATCTGATGGCACCTTGATCTTGTATTCCAGCCTCCAGAACTGTGAGAAATAAACCCTGATGTTTATAAGCTACCCAGTTTAAGGCATTTCATTATAGCAGCTGGAATGCACTCAGTTAACTTCTCTTCCCCTAAATGGAAAATCATAATGAAAAGTTCTGATTTTTTTACAATGTTCAAAGTTTTAAGTTCAGGAAGCCATTTACCTCTTGAAAGGACAAATTTTAATGACTTTCTGGTTCTGTTCATCTTGAAATCTGACCAAGGTGGAGCATCAACTGTTACTAGGTAATATTGCTTAAGATAAGGATGTGCCTGACTGGTAAGCAGCTTCTGGCCTGGGAGGCTCTAAATATAAATACCTGGTGTGAAGCCAAAGCTGTGGGCTTACCTGAATGTGGGCACTTTTAACTGGATGCCTCCCATGTGGAGCGTGGGCCTTCTAAGGTGGATCTCCCCCATGCACCAACGTTAGACTCACCCTTTTGCATCTGAGACATCACTGTGGGGAGCGGGCTCGGGGGAGCACTGGCGGGCCAGCTGTATGGGCGTGGGAAGGATCACGCCCACTGAAGAGGACAGCCCACTGCTGCCCTGCTGCCCTGCACACTATGTCTCCACCTCTTATAAGCAGATAGGTCCCTGGCTGACGTGTGGGTCTGAATTCTTAGTAGAGCCTCAGAAGAGGACCGACCTCTGGCAAGCAAAGCTCAGAGTTACCTGACATATGATATATCCAGAACCACAGAAGCTCCTTAATTCTAGAGAATGTAAATTCATAAAGATTTCGGAGGAATAATTGAGGTTCTTTTTCTGGTTGGTTACAGTTAATTTATTGGAAGGAAGGAAAAAAGGAAGGAAGGAAGGAAAGAAGGAAGGAAGGAAGGAAGGAAAGAAAGAAGGAAGGAAGGAAAAGCTTTGAAAACTGTAACTACTCAGGTTATTTGGTGCAGAGAAATTCTAAATGCAAGGTATGCATGCATTTAATCTGTAATGATCTACAGCCATACATAGCATTTTAAGATGACACCAAATTTTAGTTGCTGAATAATTCCATTGTTTAGAAATCGACTGAACATTTAAACTCATGGCATCATGGAACACTATGTAGAGCATGATTGGAGACTAGCATTGATAAAGTATCATACAGAGAGAAGTGAAGGCATCAGCAGCATGCAGAAAATTCAGTGCTGATCTATAGGAGATGAGACGGTTTATCATAGGGCGGGCATGCACTTCCAGACTTTGCTTTACCTTGTCATAACAGGATTGTGAATACCATATACATGATCTTTATGATAACCATTATTACCATTTTCCATACTGTAACAGAAATAAATACACCAAAAACACCATGTTATCTCTAAGATGAAGTATTTACATCATGGATTACAAAGACAATGTAATGGTCATGAAAAGTATGTAACAATTTGTTAAATCTAAAAAAAAGACAAATGAGTAATTGACATTTTGCTCCTTTTAAACTTCAAAGACCAAAGGACTACTTTATAGATTAATAAACTTAACATATAAAATTTCATTAATTCATCAAGTATTTCTTGAGCACCCTCTATGTGCCAACCCTCTTTTTAAGACCATTGCAATTTATTTTTGCCTGTACAGATCTGCTGTTTCTACATAATTTTAAGATGTTAATAACTTAATTTTTAAAGTCCATTACATAATAATATCAACCTCCCCCATCCCATCTAGGAATATAGTTTTTTTAAAAAGGCTTACTTTTTCATGGGTATAGTTTCAACACTATAAAATACAAAAAAGGGAGATAAAATTAATTTTTTTAATTATTATGAAAGCTCAGCAACTACATCCCCCAAATATTTACTCTAACACGGATACTGACAGTGCAAACTCAGGAAAGACCCATGTTGAAAGATAAGTGAAGTGAAAAACAAGGCATACACATTCACCAGACACAGAATGAGGGGCAGACTACAGAGCCAAAATGGAAAGTGTAAAAACAGTTATCATAAAGTGAAATGCCAGGTCCCCGAGAGAGAGGAACTGCAAACAAGAAATAAAAAGGCTGGTTAGGGAAGCTGAGAGGATTAAGCAAGAGGAAAAAAGTAGTTAAAACAAGTATAGAAAAATCAGTACCAAGAAAAAAAAATTCACCTGAACAGAAGTGACCCAACTACTACTAAAAAAAAAAAAAAAAAGAAATCAACTTTAACCTCATCAGAACTCATCTTTAGCAACTCTTTGAAGACAGCACCACCTAGAAAATGACCCCCACGTCTGTGGAAGCCCACATACTTACTCATCGTACACGTCCTCCGAATCCATTCGACGATAGTACTTAGCCAGTTTTACCGCAAAAATTAGAGCCGGAAGTAAAAATACAGTAGCTTTTCCTATGCCAAACCAAAACAAATTCTAGGAAAAAAAAATCAGAAGAATTAAATGTTTGAAGATAAGAAATGGGAAAAACAGTTGTTTGGGGGATTTTTTTTTTTTTTTTTTTTTTTTGGAATTTTTAAAAATGAGTTGTCATTTTGTTCTTTAAAACAATTTGAGAATGTCATGTGGACCAGGCACTGTGTGAAGTGCTACGCACATTGTTAGGATTCATTTCATCTTTCTAAAAACCTTGAGTAGATCCTATTATTATGTTTATTTTACAAACGAGGAGCAGAAACAGCAAGTGGTAAAGCCAGGATGCGAATCTAGGCCACTCCAACCCAACTTCTAACCACCCCAAACAGATTCCCTTTGTTGCCCGACCATCCAGTAATCAGAGCATGGATGGCCAGCAGGTTTGAGTTTCAGTCCCTCTTATGAGTTGTTATTTATTTATTTATTTATTTATTTATTATTTTAGACAGAATCTCACTCTGTCGCCCAGGCTAGAGTGCAGTGGTGCGATCTCGGCTCACTGCAAGCTCCGCCTCCTGGGTTCATGCCATTCTCCTGCCTCAGCCTCCTGAGTAGCTGGGGCTACAGGCGTCCGCCACCACGCCTGGCTGATTTTTTGTATTTTTAGTAGAGACGGGGTTTCACCGGGTTAGCCAGGATGGTCTGGATCCCCTGACCTCATTATCTGCCCACCTCGGCCTCCCAAAGTGCTGAGATTACAGGCGTGAGCCACCGCGCCTGGCTGAGTTGTTTGTTATTAAGATGACAAATTAGCCAGGTGCGGTGGCTCATTCCTGTAATCTCAGCACTTTGGGAGGCCGAGGCAGGCGGATCACGAGGTTAGGAGGTCGAGACCATTCTGGCCAACGTAGTGAAACCCCGTCTCTACTAAAAATAGACAAAAAATTAGCCAGGCATGGTGGTGTGTGCCTGTAATCCCAGCTACTCGGGAGGCTGAGGCAGGAGAATCACGTGAACCCAGGAGGCGGAGGTTGCAGTGAACCGAGATTGCACCACTGCACTCCAGCCTGGGCAACAGAACGAGACTCTATCTCAAAAAAAAGAAAAAAAAAAAAGATGACAAATTAACCCTTCTGGCTTTGTTCTGCATCTGAGCAGCTGAGATGCTTGCATCTTCATTCCATGACATTACTGTGTCAAGAAGTTAGAAACAATGTTCACTGCATGCTAGGGTCTCAATCAATGTTTCACGTTTAATTTAACCAATCTTGAAGGTATATAGAAGGTAGATGACCATGTTTTGTCTAAAGAGCAATGTTAAAGTATCCTTTTTTAAATAGTTGCCAACATTTTTAAGTCAGATTTCACATGTAAACCTGGATTTACATCCTTTCTTGAAAATTCTAAAGTTCCATCTCTTAACATTGAACCCTTATTCCCACAAAGCAAGAGTCTGGAAGTGGTTCTTCCTTCAAGGGGACATTTGTCCTCAGTGGTGACACAGTCTACACCACTCACATCTGCAAGGTGATATTCCAAATGATGTAACCTTATGGACCAATCAGGACAAACACACAATGTATAGATGTCACGGGCTGAATGCCACTCTGGCCAGCATCCTACACTTGGCCTGCTATGTAAATCTACAACCTGCCAACTTCCTACGTAAGTTCGAGTCTGACAATATCCCTGCCTTAGAATAATGCTGTCAGTAACACTAGAACGACTCTCCCCAGCCCACCATGAGGCCAAATGCCACTTGGAAATAACACCTGCTTCACCCTCACAGCTTGACCCTGCATTTCTGCTTTGCTCCTGGCTGAGTTCAGAATTACAGAGGTGGCACCACCTCTTGGCTCCTAACTTCCAGTCAATTTGTTCCCCCTTCCCTCTATGTTCTGTTAGATTTCTGTTTTCAACCTTGTCTTGAGAAGCTTTATAACTTTATAACAACCTTATCCTTTTTCTGGAAGCTGCCTCAATCCTTTTGGGGACAATTGAGATACAAAATAAACATGTTAGCTAGCCCACAGTCTATCGTATTGACTAAATGGATGCCCAGAGCTCTTCCTTACGATGTAAACCCTCTGCTACACAGCTCCAGCCTATGATCTTCCTGAGCAGCCTCTAGGCCTCCCCTCTGTCCCTGGTGATCTGTGGAAAGGCATCTGGTGGCTATGTGGTTCGACTGAATGGGGTGGGTGGTGGAGGCTGGACATAGAGAGACGTCAATTCAGAATCAAGCAGGTTGGCTCTGGACTCCCCTAATGAAGGCTTCAGCCAAAGCTGGCGGCAGGGGCCACCAAGCACAGGACAAGAAAAGTAGTTGCAAGAAGAAGGAAGCATCCAGGAAGCAGGGCCTAGGGTCTGCGTGGTTGGGTCGGAGGCAGAATCCTTTTCACTCAGGCATGAAAGACCCTCCAGCAGACAGATGGACAAGTGAACGAGGGAGGTGGACAGACAGGGCAATAGGGATGAACTGTGCCAGAGAGCTACCTGACAATGCATCAGTGATACTCTGTGCCAGGTATTATGCCAGACAACAGGGACACAGCCTTGAATGCACTGGTGACTCATGGAGTGGAGAGTCTAGAGTGTGCTGGAGAGACAGGTCTTAATCAAAGAAACATATAAATATGTAATTGAAACAGCAATAACATCTCTAAAGGAAAAGCATAGAGTTCTACAGGAATGAGGAAAACGGAGCTCAGCCTAGTTTTGGGGATCAGAAAAGGCTTCCTGGAAAAAAGACATGTTTGAGCTAAGACCTGAAGGCGGAACAACAATAGTAGTGAATATTCATTGAGTGCTGATGTTCCAACAGCGTGAAGGGCTTCACATGTGACCTCTCACTGAATCATCAAAACAGCCCATGTAGGCGAGGAACTCAGAAAATTTCAGGAATTTTTCAAAGTCACAGAGTTCTGAAAATGTAGAAGTGGAATTTTCATTCAGAGTTGATGTTCTCCACCATTGTGTTACCAGACCTGGAGGAGTTAGGTCTTAAAGTGGGGAGTGGGTAGGTGGGAAGCGGAAGAGGAGAGAGAAAGAGAAAGGCGGCGTGTGCCCATCTCCAGTCCAGGCAGAAGAAACGGCATGTGCATGGGCCCTAAGGTGGGGAAATTGAGATTTATTTGATGAAGTGAAAGAAGATGAGTATGTCTGGAGCACAGAAAGAAAGGCGGGCAGGCAGAGAGCACACAGTGAGATCTGGAATGGGGAGGCTCAGCCATGCAGAGCCTAGTATGGGCTATGAGGAATCCTGATCTTTAGATAGCAATGGGAAGCCACTGAGGTGCTTTCAGCAGAGGGAGAGGATCCACTCACAGAGAGAGTCAGCATCTGTTGAGGAGGGAACAGAGCTGAGGATTAAGCCTGACTAACTGGAACTTACCATCCCAATAGTCACATTTCTAAGGGCTTTTTAATGACAAATGAAATTTGATGCAACTTTGGGGTTGTAAATGTAGTTGTACTGAGTATTCTTTTGAAGATGAGAAATCTGCACACCCGTGACTGTCTTTCTGATTATTCTGAACTAACAGGAGTTTTCTCCCTGCAGGTCTCCTGACTCATAAATATAATCCTAGTGAGGAAAGAAGACAACCGCCCAGAACTTTGACTTTTCTAGTCTATTAGCATCTCAATACACTGATCAAAATATTACATTTTAGGTTTTGGATTCTCTCAAGCAGAAAACAAATATTATAATGTATATCATAATCCAGAAAAACAACCAAAGATGATGGATTCATTGTGTCTTCTTTTGAAAGATGAAATCTTACCAAGGGGTCGATAATGTAGCTACACAGAAAGACATCAACAGCAGTATCTAGAGCGGTGGCCACAGGTTTGCACGATGCCACTTTCTCACTGATCTAGGGGGGTGGAAACACAGGGAAACTTTGAGCTGCATCCACAAAAACCCAAAGGAATGAGACGTGCCATTTACTTTTGACTTGGTGTCACAAAAAGGATCTCCATGTCCTCTAAGACAGGGGTCCCCAACTCCTGGGTCACAGATGGATACCAGCTAGTACCGGTCCACAGCCTGTTAGGAACTGGGCTCCACAGCAGGAAGTGAGGGGCGGGTGAGCAAGCAAAGCTTCACCTGTATTTACAGCTGCTCCTCATCTCTTATGTTACTGCCTGAGCTCCACCTCCTGTCAGAGCAGCAGCAGCATTAGATTCTCATAGGAGCATGAACCCTATTGTGGAACTGCACATGCGAGGAATCTCAATTGTGCTCCTTATGAGAATCTAATGCCTGATGATCTGTCACTGTCTCCCATTACTCCCACTGATTCTACACTGTGGTGAATTGCATAATTATTTCATTATATATTACAATGTATTAATAATAGAAATAAAGTGCACTATAAATGTAATGCCCTTGAATCATCCTGAAACTACCTCCACCCCCGGCCTGTGGAAAAACTGTCTTCCACTAAACCAGTCCCTGGTGCCAAAAAGGCTGGGGACTGCTGCTCTAAGACATGGAACTGACGGCTGATGTGCATGGATGAGTTCTGCATATACAGTTACAGTCGGCCCTCCATATCCCTGAATTCTGCATCCATGGATTCAACCAATCATAGATTAAAACATATTCAGAAAACAATGGATAGTTGTACCTTTACTGAACATGTACAGACTTTTTTTAATACAGTATACCAACTATTTACATAGCATGTACATTGTATTAGGTATTATAAGTAATCTAGAGAGATTTAAAGCACACAGGAGGATGTGCATAGGTTATGTGCAAATAACTATATCTTTTATATAAGGGACTTGAGCACCCAAGGATTTTGGTATCTGCAGGGGACTCTGGAACGAATAACCCATGGATACTGAGGGACAATTGTATATATTTTAAAGCAAGATCCTTATTCTCTCTGAGCCTCGGTTTCCAGTTTCCTCATTTGTTTTGGAACAGTGAGACCCAGCCTACAGGACTCTGAGAGAATTAAAAAGTTCTCGTGCCCAGCATAGTGTTTTAGTTCAAATTTGTTACCTGGCCCCTTTGTTACCTGAAAAAGGGGGTGGGAAGCAAATGGAAGAACTGCATATGGCAAAGGTGAGCAAAGGGGACCAGGAGGTGGCTGTCCTCTGACCTGGTGGGAAGCCCCAGAAGTCTTGGTCCTGCACATCAATGTCCTTTCACTTACTTCCTACCAAATTATGGGAAATTTAATTTTATTTCTTCCAGATTTTACCCTAGAAAATGGCTATCCTGAAACTTGACCCCCCTTAACATTCATAAAAGATAAACTACTTACAGAGAACTCGATCCACTGCAGATAATGTTCAAAATATCCTATTATTGTTCTCCCATACTTCTTAGTTTCCTGGAAAGAAACAAAAGATGAGTAGAAGCATTAAAATGATGACAGCATACTTAAACATTATAAATATTTAATCTGTAACATTCAAGTGCCCACTTATGGACACGCTTACTTTAAAAAAGAAGGCTCACCTCAATAATAACAGAGGAAGTATTGTTTGTGATGAAGTTCTGAGCAAAATCCAGAGAAGCTAGAATCCTAGTTACTCTCTCCTGAAAGACACAGCCACAGTTATCAGGGTATCAAGTCATAGAAAGTTTTAATTAGACAATTTGCATATTGATTCAAGTACTGTAACTCAGCTCTGCAACACCACGACCTGGACCTGCTAGTTAAGAGGAAGACAGAACCCACCCAGGCCCCTGAGGGCAGGGAAGGAGATGAGCTGAAAGTGAGCATTTACTCTAGCCCAGACACTGGGCTAGTCCTTGATAGGAATGGCCTTGCTGGACTTGCTGGAAACTCACAACGAGGCAGGAAGGAAGGTACTGTTTGTTAGGTTCCCTTCACAAATGAGGCAGCTCAGCCTCTTCACGGTCACCATGCTGGGGAAACATACGACAATGCTGGGATTTGCACCGAACTTTTTTTTTTTTCACTACAAAACCCATAGTCTTTGCACTACAACACAAGCAAAGACGAGTCCTCTGCCAACCCACATGGCAGCTTGGTGCAAATTGGAAATGGGGCCTTTTCTGCCCAGGGACCTCAGGGCACAGAGCCTGGCAACTCAGTCAATGGCCAGTTTCTGCCCTCGACTAACCCCCTTGGCTGGGCCCCTCATGAAAGGCCTTGCACCACTGCACACCCTCGCCCTGTTCACAGAGGTAGCAAAGCACCTGCACGTAGTCACTGGTGTGTTTCCAGGTTCCCCTGGCATGAGACACACACCTATGAAATGGCAACTGTGATCAGAGGCATAGCGAGGGTCCTGGAGCAGAGTAAATCTAAACATCTTCAAAGGAGCTGAGCCATGATGTTGGTCTCACTGAGAAAAGTGGAAGGAGGAACATTTAGTTTTATCCTGTGGGGCTGATACCCAAAACCTGTCATGTACAGACTATTCCGTTCAATGAAAAAATATCTTCTGAGTTGCCCATTGGTACTGTAGATACAAGATGAATACAACCCAGCCTTGCAGCTCTGTGTCTGCTGAGGGAATGCTTGCAGCCCACACATGGCCCCTGTGGTAGGTAGATTGCATTAGCTGTTCAGGATTATTGATATGCTCCTTGGATGGCTTCCCAGAGCGTGGAGTATACTTCCCCAGCCAGACGACGATGTGTGTGACCATGTGACTTGCTTTGGCCAATGGAACGCTGGTGAAGGGGCAGGGTGCCCATTCTGAGCTTAAAGGACAACCTGTGCCTCCACTCATCCCCTGAACTCCTGTCCTCCACTATGAGGACATGAGGTGCCCCAGACAGGAGCTGCTCCTTCAGGCCGGGTCTCTCAATGGGAAGATGTGTAGAGAAGCCTGCTGTCAAACCAGCAGGGAAAATGAACATTTATACTTAGAAGGCACTGAGGTTTGGGATTGTGTGTTAGGCAGCATTATCTCTGTGAAAGGGACCAATGTACCTTCCAAGCTTGCATCCTACACATCAAAACATAGATTTCACCTATGTATCTAATAGCCTGCTAAGATGAGGTCTGCACTTAGAGAAGTACTTGTAGAAAGGAAATAGTAGGAAAGCCCAATTTGCTATTTAAAATAGGTAGATAACTGAGGCTTTTTTTTTCAACTTAAAGTACCTACAAAAATCCACATTTCTAGCATTCTTTGTGTGGTATTTTATAACAAAACCCCATGACAGAAAACAAAGTAAACCCTTACCAACAATCCATTCCCTGTGCGTTGAAGTATCTTGACGCTTTGGTATAGAGTGCTCTGGCAAGAAACAGATAATATTTCCAAAATTATTACATGAAGCAGCAAGATCACATACCTTGTGTCCTCCCTTCCCACAAGATAGCCATCAAATCTGTCTTTACACTGTAATGGTTTCATTCTAGAAAAAATAACCAACACAATTAACAATGTGTACTTTCTTTTTTTTTTTTTTTTTGAGATGGAGTCTCGCTCTGTCACCCAGGCTGGAGTGCAGTGGCACGATCTCAGCTCACTGCAAGCTCCGCCTCCTGGGTTCACGCCATTCTCCTGCCTCAGCCTCCTGAGTAGCTGGGACTACAGGCGTCCTCCACCACGCCCGGCTAATTTTTTGTATTTTTAGTAGAGACGGGGTTTCACCGTGTTAGCCAAGATGGTCTCGATCTCCTGACCTGGTGATCCACCCGCCTCGGCCTCCCAAAGTGCTGGGATTACAGGTGTGAGCCACCGCGCCTGGCCAACAATGTGTACTTTCTATGCCTCTGGTGTAAGAAAACCTGAAGAAAACATTGGATACATATCCTAAAGCTGTGAAGAACAGCAAATCACATGTGAGGCATCCAAGAAATCCCTTTGAATTAGGTTTGATCAAAGTGGAAGGCATTATTTAAAGCAGAGCCTGCCCCGCAAGAGTGGTTAACCTGAATGGTTTAGACAGGAGGTTGACAAACTTTATCTGTAAAACACCAGAGTAAACACTTTAGGTTTTATCTGCCATAGTCCCAACTACTCAACTTTGTCCTTGTAATCAAAAGCAGCCACAGAGAGTTTGCAAATGAGTGGGTGTGGCCATATTCCAATACAATTTTATTTACAAAAACTGCTGGTAGGCTGAATTTAGCCTGCAGGCTGTAGTTTGCAGGGTCCCTAGTTTGCCAACCCCTGGTTTAGATCATAGGTCTCAGGTAGGAAGCACTCTGCCTATTTGTGGACAGGTTGCCCTAGCTCTGAAAAGGCCAAAGGGTCCTGTGTACTTGGGAAAAAAGCATTTAAAAAAATGCAAAACCAGCTTAAAATGTTAACAAATTTGTGTTAGGCATAAACCAGTTACAGAAAATTGTAAATAGCACTGGACACAAATTAAGAAAATTCAGTGACAGGACTTTGTGAATAATCTAATAAATTAGGAAATCGAGAGAGAAAAAAAGAGTATTGGAAATTAGTTCTGGGAAGTTTAGTGGTTGGGATGTTCGGATGTTTGGATGTTGGGGCTAAGTGGATTTACTTGCTTGTCCAAACCTGAGCAAGCTGATTCAGTAACCCAGTTTCCACACACTTCTCTCCTTGATGGCTACAAATACGGCCCACACACAAGCATAATATAATAATTCCTCCTCTTTACTGAGATCCTCTGAGGTCAGGTCCTTCATTTCCATGAACAGGTAAGAGCAAGGCAGTTATTGATCCCAACATTTTTAGATGAGGAAACTGAGAAGCTACAATAGTTTGGAGAGCCAGAAGCAGAATTTAAAACCAGGTCTGTCTAACTCCAAAGCCCACATTCTTTCTTTGTTAGAAACTGCCTTTATTGCATTAAGAAAAGAAGCCAGAAGGTGGTGAGAAGCAAATGGAAAGGATGGAAGAGAGGAGAGACGAAGCAACGCCCATCGAGACAGCAGACAGGGCTAAGTGGATCTACACAGAGAAGCACTTAACCTCACCTTCACATATTTCTAGACAAAGCTCGGAGAAAAAGAATCAAGTGAGTCCACAGCATTGTAGCTAAATGCGGGGCATAGGAGGGCCTGCTCACAGCAATGGAAACTAGAGCAAGGTGGAAGAGACAGCCACAGATTTTATCTAACTGTTCACACTCAAATGAAAAACGGAAGGGAATAAGCAGCAGAGGGAGGTGCAATTATTTTGTCTAAAGGCCAGCTCAACTTCTGGGGCTGAAGCCAGTCAGCTGGGACCTATGAGAGATGAGCATGTGTCGTGAGGCTAAATGAAAGCCAACTAGCTGCAGTAGATTTTGCTCAGGTCACAGTGAAATACAATACGTCGTTGACTGTTACCAGTGATTGTTCTATAGGAAGGACTCGTTGCTGGTGAATTGTTTTAATAGTTTGTGCATCTCTTTTCAGGGAGTTCCTCAAATTTCCTGGGGGCTACAAAAAGAATAAAAAACAAAGATCAATACCATCTTTCCAGACTCAAAGCACTCTCGCTATCCTCAGGGGCCCTGTGTAGCCAGGAGGGCTGCCATGACATAAGCATGCAATGATGGCTGTGAGTGGGCATGGGGGCTGGTGTGAGGGATAGTGCCAAGACACCCTCCTTCAAAGCACAGAACCATGGACTCTCAGCAATAACCCACACCCAAGAGCCCTTCCTGAGTGCCAGAGACTGTGTTCTCTCCACCTCACCATGATACAGCCACTCTCAGTTTCCCATTTTACAGGTGAGAAAACCAAGGACCCATAGAGAAATTTTTATTTAACCCACACTCAATGAATGTTTAATTTATTAATGAATAACAATCCTATAAGGTAGATACCATTACCCCATTTTACAGATGAGGAAACTAAGGCAGAAGGGAGAAATAACTTGCCTAAGCTCCTATACCGAGTCAAGACTTAGACCCAGGTCTTCTTCAAGAGCCCAGGTTCCTCGTCACCATGGCGTGCTGCTTCTTGGACGGGGCCAGTTAAGGCCAAGTAGTCACCAACCAGCAGAGGAGTTGAAAGGGGAAGCTTATGGGGCTGGGGTGGTACCTCTGCCTTCCCTCATCACTTACTATTGGTAACTCAAAGCAACACATGAAATCTTCCTCCCACAGCCCCAGGTACTATTCCCTACACAGCAGGAAAACAACCTGTGTGCATGGGCGGGTGTGTTTAGAAGTGGAGGGGTTGACAGAGGTGGAAACAGATCCAGAGCTAAAGTAGTGAGGGTGCCCGCACTCAGAGCAGAGGGTGGAAGGCTGCAGTCATCTTGAGATAGAAGGCAGGTGGGACTCCGGACCAGACTGAAGACTGGCGGAAACCAGAAAGAGGAGCCCAAAGCACCTCTCCCTGTCCATCACCATAAGGCATGCCCGCCAGCGCCATGACAGCTAACCATTGCCATGGCAACACTGGGAAGTTACCACTCATTTTCTAGCTATTTCTGAACAACCTGCCACTTAATTAGCATTCCATTGAAAGCGGTTATAAATAAGACTACAAAACTGTCCCTAGGCTGCTACTTTCTGCACACTGCCTATGGGGTAGCCCCCCTCCAGAAGAGCAGTCTCTGAGCTGTAACCCTGCCACTGCCTCAATAAAGCAGGTTTCACCTGCCCTGCATCAACCCGACACCATCCTGGCAACATTCAAGGCTCAGAGGGGTTTGGGACACATGGCAATGGCTGTGGACGGAAACGTAATGACACACACAAGAGAGGTGTTTATGAACAAGGGATTACTCACAGTGTGAGGAACCTCTCCAGCAGCTTCCCTAAGAATGGTACTGACATTTGACATCTACAACTACTACAGTATTTAACCGGACGATTTGAACTCACCAAACTGTTTGCTTTTGCTTCTAGATCATATGCAAATGATAAAAGATTCACTCCTGCGGGGGATTTACCAGTCTACAATAGAAGTGAAAAAAATTGTCTTATGGATATGGGATCTTTAAGCCTTAACACAACATCTAGTAGGCAACAGATTAAACATGGATTCATAACCATAAAGTAATCATGTGAGGTCAGAAACTCTTAAACAGGTGGCAACATTTGCATTCTTATTTATACATATAAAGCCATATTTTTATTCAATCATATTATTCAACTATGAAAAGGAATGAAGTGCTGATAATGTTATAACATGGATGAACAGCAAAAACATGCTCAGTGAAAGAAGCCAGACACAAAAGATTATGTGTTACGTAATCTTTTTTTTTTTTTTTACTACCCAGACTAGGTAAATCCATCTAAAGAGACCACAGATGGGCCGGGCACAGAGGCTCACGCCTGTAATTCCAGCACTTTGGGAGGCCGAGGTGGGCAGATCACAGGGTCAAGGGATCGAGACTATCCTGGCAAACATGGTGAAACCCCGTCTCTACTAAAAATACAAAAAAAGTTAGCTGGGCGTGGTGGCAGGCGCCTGTAGTCCCAGCCACTCGGGAGGCTGAGGCAGGAGAATCACTTGAACCCAGGAAGTGGAGGTTGCAGTGAGCCGAGATTGCGCCACTGCACTCCAGCCTGGTGACAGAGCGAGACTCCGTCTCAAAAAAAAAAAAAAAAAAAAAAAAAAAGACCACAGATGGGTGGTTGGGTGGTTGCCAAGGGTTTGGGGAGGAGGAAATGGGGGCAACTGCTTTGGGGTTTGCTTTAGGGTGATGAAAATGTCTTGGAACTACAGGAACTACAGAAGTAGTTGTGCAGCACTGTGAATGTACTCAATGCCACCGAATTGCTCACTTTAAAATAGTCTTACATCATGTGAATCTCATCTTAATAAAAAATCAAAAGCAAAACAGAAATACACATCTGACACTTTAATTTCTCCTAAAGGATCAAGCATGAACACATGCGCCATACCTGAGCCAAGTAGCTGTCATAATTCATTCTGTCTATTCCACAAGCAGCAAAATCCTGAAGGTTTTTTCTTCCTGCTGCACCCAACAGAAAGATATTAAGATTTACCTTCAGACTTTCCAATTCACTGCTTATGCTTCCAGTATGCTGCGAAAAAAGGAAGTTACAAATCAGTCCCTTATTCTCCAAGAATGTCACAAACCAAATGCTTTAAAAGAGCAATAAAAGCTGGATGTGGTGGCTCATGCCTGCAATCCTAGCACTTTGGGAGGCTGAGGTGGGAGGATCGCTTGAGCTCAGGAGTTCAAAACCAGCCAGGGCAACATAAAGAGACCTTGTCTCTATTTAAAAAAAATTTTAAACATAAATTTAAAAAATAAATAAAAAATAAACAGCAATCAAACCACAAAAGACAAAAAAAATGTGCAAGCACTTGACTGGCATCTCTTCCTGGTACTTCCCATCCTGTTCATTTCCCATCTCTTTCTCTATGGGTCCCATGGCTTCTAAGCCTCCAGCTTTGACAAACAGAGAAGCTGAAAGGGACACAGGGTAGGCTGGCATTCCAGGGAAGGGACCAGTACACACAACAGCTGGGAGTAGGAAGAAATGGGAGATATCATTTGGGGAACAGTGTTTAGTTACTTGGGCAAAGATTATGGAAACACGGTTGGTGATTCAGGGTTGTATTGATAGTCAGCAGTTTCCAGCAGCATGGAGTGCCTGCACGTCCCAGGCAACCTCTCCAACTGCCATCCACCATAGCACACAGAGAAGTGACCCACAGCACGACGGGCATCTATTTAGGGTTTGGTTACAAAATTATGTCTGTTTAATGTATATGTATGGACTATTTAGGGAAGATAATAAACATTTCATATACAGCTTTCAAACACAGCTTTTCACATTTGAAAACCATCAAGCCATCATGGCCTCATGGTAACTCTAGCAGCAGTGCGCAAGCTGTGGGGGCTTGGGAATAGCCTCTTCCCTTGGGATCCCTTTGTTTCTGCTCTCATTCTGGAAACCCAAAAGAGAGATGACAGTCTAGATTCTTTCTGGCAGAAAGTCAGAAGAGGCCTCCAGGTACGGGGAGTGGGGTTGGTCTAGGTTAACGGCACCCTAGGCCTGGGCAGCTGAAACTCTTGCTCTTTCTTCAGGCCAGTGTGCCCTGGAATGGTCTTTCCTCCAAATCTTAAGACTCAAGACTGGGGTGTGGGCTCTGGCAAAAGAAAAGAGGAGGTTCTGTCGGCTTCCATCCTTTGCTTTAGTTCACACTGGAGTCCTGGGGCCACCTTGCGACTCATAAGGAAGGAGAACGGTATGGACCATGCTCCTCCACACTGAGTGCCCAATTTCAGAGACTGGCAGAAAGGGAGGCTGGTCTTGGAGTGAGAGCCTTCCTGAGGAACAAATAGGGATTGTTCCCACAAAAACGTCTATACTCAGCAAAATGACATCTTTCCCTGTGAAGTGTCCACAGTGAGACCCCTCTAGAGGCTCTTGCATAATCCACTAGGAAAACTCAAACCACAAGAAAGACAACTGGTCGGGCAGTGAGAAAACGTTTTGGAACCAAATAGAGGTGAAGGTTACACAGCCATGTAAATATACCAAACATCACTTTTAAATAGTTAATTTTATCTTTTGCAAATTTCATCTCAATTTCCAGAAAAGAAAGAAAGACACCTAGATTTGGTGAAGGAATGTGTTATGTCGATTCCATGACGAGTTCTAATTACCTCATTAATGTTGAGATGTTCACTGATATTGAAGCTGTTCTGCAGGTGAAGAGTGCCGTAAGTGCCTCTATTTTTTTTGCAGTCACTGTGGGAATGAACAGAGAAATTAGGACCTAGAAAAGCTGTTGCAGCTACCTCTGTCCACCACTGAAGATGAGGAGAAAGGCTCACTGTTTCTCCTTGTTTAATCTGTGAACACAGAAGTGGGGCTGCATGTCCCCAGTGGCCACACAAATCCCCCAGCACCCACCACTTCTGACTTCTTGCCTTGCTTTACTAACAGTCCTGTTCTTGGAAGAGATGCAATAGGATTGATGAATATATCTTTCCATCTGTCTCCTACATGCTCTAGTTCTGCTGTGGACCACAAGTTTACAGATTGGGAAGAAATAAATTCTCATTAAAAAGAAAAACAATACTTGCTAGAAAGAGACGCACTGCAGAGTAGATTATGAACTTCATTAAATGATTCTATGAAGCTCCTGCCAAGAACATTTCTCCTCTGTATTTCCAGGGCCGAGCGGCACTGACTAAATATACGCTTAGACGTATATCCTCATGGTGAGGACAGAGATAGGGAGGAGACGCAGACATCTCGATGGTCAGCACAGTTTGGCTGTAACCTAAGTCAGCCCCCTGGGTGAAATGGCCTCACCTCACCATGCCTCAATCATATCTCTAAAATAGGAAAATTTGACTTTTTTAGACTTGACTGAGCTAAGAAGGGTAGGCCTCATTGGATGTGTATTCCTGCCACAAAAATAGCGGCATCCAGGAATGTGGCATCTCTTCCTTGCCACAGCAGCCAGGGCCCTCTAGGCCTGAGGGATGCCTGGAAGAAGCAACTTTCCCACATCCCTAGGAGGTGTGATCCTTCCCTCCAGAGAACAAGCGGGTTGGTGTTGTTGGAACTTAGAGCCTGATGCATGAACAACCAGAGGTAAAACTGGAGGGCTCTGCAGGAGCCAGAATCACAAGGAGCTAGCATGCCAGGCTGAGACACTTGGCTTTGTCCTCTCAGCCTAGGGGTGGTGAACGGGTTTAACTGTACAGAGAAAAGCCAATGGATTGCTAATGTATGCCTAGAGCACGCTGTCCAGAAGGAGCCTGAGGCTCCCTGGGCTAAGCAGAAGACCTCGGTTGACTATCAATGTCTACCCTGAGTATGGGGGATGGGCACTGGACACTTGTTAGCTGCCTCTGCCAGAAGCAATGGAGAAACTTAGGTAGGAAGTGACACATGTGGTTGGGTCACATCACATCATGCTTGGAGGTTTGGAGGATGGAATGGGAACAAGGAGACCAGTTGGAAGGAGAGAGAGAGAGAGAAAAAGAAGAAGAAGACGAAGAAGACGAAGAAGAAGAAGGAGGAGGAGGAGGAAAAGAAGAAGAAAAAGAAGAAAAAGGAGGAGGAGGAGGAGAAGAAGAGGAGGAGGAAGAGGAAGAAGAAGAAGATTTAAGAAAGATTTAGAAGACAAAGCCTACGAGTAACATTTATAAGTTCATTCTGAGTGTTGTCTCAGGGCTCCAGAAGCTCAGTTTTCACTGCCATGGGCTGAATAATGGAAACGAGGACTTTTCTCTGTCCTTTAACTTTGTATTTGGCCCCAAAGTGGTAGTGGGATTTTTAAAAGCTCCCAAAGAGTAGCCTACTGCCCCTACCTCCCTGCCTTTGTCTGTGTCCCTCGGCCGAGGTACCTTTTTCCTTCTTGGCCCAGCCAATCCCCACTAACCTACTAAGATCAGCTTAGGTGCCATTTCCCTCAGGTAGTCCTTCCTAATCCCTCCATTCCCACACTGCATAAGACACCCTCCTTGGGGCTTCTAGAGTAGCCTCAATACATTTCTGTCACCTGTAAGTATCACTGTATTCTAGAACACTTCTTTACAGATCTAACTCCCTGCTAGGTTTTCCTTGACAAGTAGGACCAGAGTCTAATTCAATTTTGTATAATATCTCAGGTATACCGTTACCACAGGTGCTCATATAATAATAAAAGCAGTTGTTAGTATGGTACTTAGCTCGCTTTACAACAGGTGCTCATAAAATAATAAAAGTAGTTAGTATGGTACCTAGCTCACAGAGTGGTGTGGATATTAAAGAAGTTTACACAACCGAGGTGTTTCCATCAGTCTTGGCATACAGAAAGCACCATGCAGGTGCTAGCTCTTAGCATTTTGTTAAATTACCACTATTACCACTTAGCATAATATTTATTAGGTAATAGAAATAAACAGTAATGGCCGGGCTTGGGGCTCACGCCTGTAATCCCAACACTTTGGGAGGCCAAGGTGGGTGGATCACCTGAGGTCAAGAGTTCGAGACCAGCCTGACCAACATGGTGAAACCCCATCTCTACTAAAAATACAAAAATTAGCCAGGCGTGGTGACAGACACCTGTAATCCCAGCTACTCAGGAGGCTGAGGCAGGAGAATCGCTTGAACCCAGGAGGCAGAGGTTGCAGTGAGCTGAGATGGTGCCATTACACTCCAGCCCGGGTGATAGAGCGAGACTCCATCTCAGAAAATAAATAAATAAATAAATAAATAAATAAATACTTAGTAATGACACAGCTACATTTGTTTTAAAATAACTTCTGTGGTTTGGCTACAGGAACTAATGACCATTGATTAATTAAATGTGTGCATATTTCAAAATATTTTTAAAAAGTACAAAAAGAACCTTGCAATACCTAAAAGTATAACAAATTCACAAAATGCTTAAGAAGTCTCTTGAATATCAAATGATGGCGAATACTACTAAGCTATATAATAACGCTAGGCATAGGGTTAATACTTGCTTAAAATTGCATAAAGGAACTCTGAGAGAATAATAAGAACACTAAGAATGGTGGTTCACGTGTAGGGCATGGAAGGGCTTCTGTGTCTCTGACTTATGAAGTGTTCTGCTCTCAATGTGAGTCACTATCGCCCTGTTATTTTTAGTTTCATTCACTATGAACACACCATGTTAACACACACATCCTCCGGCCCTTCGGTCTCACAGTGGGAGAAATAAGTGTCACCAGTGTTTAAAAAGCATCCTGTGAACTGATTTCAAATACTCTTAAAGTGACTCCCTTCCCTGTGGCTCATAGCAGAGAGCTGCCCATGGGTTCACACCTAAGATCAGACACCTAAGACTACCAACCATCAGACTAGGAGCCCATTTCACCACTGAGCAAAAGCAGACACTACACAGTGAGCTAAAAGAAATGCATTTCAATGAAACATATATATATATATGAAATGCATTTCGTTCATATATATATATGAAATATATATTCGTTCATTCATATATATATATATATGAAATGCAAACATATATATATATATATATATGAAATGCATTTCTCTTAGCTCACTGTGTAGTGTCTGCTTTTGCCCAGTGGTGAAATGGGCTCCTAGTCTGATGGCTGGTAGTATACATCACCTGAGGTCAGGAGTTGTTATATATATATATACATAGTTTTTTTGTTTTCTTTTTTCCTGAGAGAAAGTCTCACTCTTTTGCCCGGCTGGAGTGCAGTGGCACGATCTTGGCTCACTGCAACCTGCGCCTCCCTGGTTCAAGCAATTCTCTTGTCTCAGCCTCCTGAGTAGCTGAGTCTACAGGCACATGCCACCATGACTGGCTCATTTTTGTATTTCATTTTTAGTAGAGATGGGATTTCACCATATTGGTCAGTCTGGTCTCGAACTCCTGACCTCAGGTGATCCACCTGCCTCAGCCTCCCAAAGTGCTGGGATTATAGGCATGAGCCACTATGGCCAGCCTAGATGAACAATATTAAGAACAGGTATTGTTTATCAAGTCCAAATGATGTGTCAGGCACCATTCGAATCTCATGTATCTTACTTAACCCTAAAACAACCCCAGGGTCAGATTCCTATGATCATGACCCCCGTGGAACAGAGAAGATGTGGAATTGCCCAGGGCACAGAGCCTCCAGGAGGGGGCCGGGGTCAGAGCCCAGGAGTCCTGACAGCAGACAGCTCTCCAACTGCATTGCCTTCCCCCTATCAGTGATCCAAATCACTGAATCACCTGTTCACTATTCTTGTTGGATGGCTTTTACTTAGAGCAATGTGGTTCTTGAACAAGATCTCTCATGGGGTCCCATTAGTGCATCGTAGGGTCACCTTAACTAGTGAGTTCCAGAGATTATTGGAGAGCGAGACCTTGAAACATCACCATTCCAAGGTCTCAAAGGCTTTCAGTAGAAGGAATATATTTTTGATCTAATTTCTACTGTGTCTTTAAAATAATACAGGACAGCTTATCTCTGAAACATGAAAGTCATATAATTAAGATTTAAAAACACTTCAAATGCAAAATTCTCATTCCAGAAAAAGAACATCTTAAATAGCGAAATGTATAATGCAAATATTGATACCTGTAAACTTGTTCAAAAGTGAGCTTCATTTTTGATTTATTAAATAGCTTCCCAGAGAGATAGTATTCCCAGTCTTCATTTAGTAAGTAGGGTGTATCCAAAACCTAGAACACATTAGGAAGTATTTTCGAAAAATCAGTTTTACACTAACATACATACTAATATAATAAAATTAATATTCTGTTGAATGTATTTTGGAAATTTTTCATAACATTATTTTTCTGGTTGATTTCCAACTTATAACTAGAAAATAATAGTATAATTGGAATAAATCAATTTATTATATTTATTGATGGGTAGCATCAATCAAAATTATTAAAATTACTTTTTTTGAGAACTTTTTTTTTTTGAGACAGAGTCTTGCTCTGTTGCCCAGGCTGGAGCGCAGTGGCGCGATCTCAGCTCACTGCAACCTCCCCCTTCCGGGTTAAAATGATTCTCCAGTCTCAGCCTCCCGAGTAGTTAGGACTACAGGCACCACCACTGCCTGGCTAGTTTTGTAGTTTTAGTAGAAATGGCATTTCTAGTAGAAACAGCATTTCACCATGTTGGCCAGGCTGATCTTGAATTCCTGACCTCAGGTGATCCACCCACCTCAGCATCCCAAAGTGCTGGGATTACAGGCGTGAGCCACCACGCCGAGAACTCTTTAATCTTTAACCTTTATCTTAATAAAACAAACACATTATAAATAGAAGCAGAGTAGACCATTTGATCAGAATAGCTAATATACAGCCATTAAGTGGTGGACCCAGTGCTGCGCTATTTCTCTCTCTGGACAAAATGTATTAAAATTCACACACTTGGCCGGGCGCTGTGGCTCACGCCTGTAATCCCAGCACTTTGGGAGGCCAAGGTGGGCAGATCACGAGGTCAGGAGATCGAGACCATCCTGGCTAACGTGGTGAAACCCCGTCTCTACTAAAAATACAAAAAATTAGCCGCGCGTGGTGGCGGGCACCTGTAGTTCCAGCTACTCGGGAGGCTGAGGCAGGAGAATGGCATGAAACCGGGAGGCGGAGCTGGCAGTGAGCCTAGATGGCACCACTGCACTCCAGCCTGGGTGACAGAGTGAGACTCCGTCTTAAAAAAAAAAAAAAATTCACACACTCTCTGCCTCTGCATCATACATATTTAAGATGGGCAAATCAATGCATGACTGTACGCGCTTGAGAAGTAGAAATGGTTTTGAAATATCCCGTACTTAAGAAAAATTATCTTTGAATGATTCGACACTCTACAGGAGATAATGATGCCTGGCTTGATGTCTTTCTTTTATCAAAAGGCCAAATGGAGATCATTTGACCTGCTGGTGATCTCAACTTAATCTCCCTCGACCAGTGAAATAACTAAAATACTGTGACAACAGTATTCTCCTGATTTCATAACAGATCTTAGGCGGAAAAATGTATATACAATGAAAGAGTGAAATAGAAATATATTTTAAAAATCAGAATCTGGAGAAAAAAAAAACACAGAAAAGCCACAATTAGAAGCCAGACACTTACAACAAAATTTCCTCATTAATGAAGAAAGCAAAACTGCCAACTGGTCCCCCGGAGTCGGTGGGAGTTGGACTGAGAGGGAGAAAGCGAAGCTTGAATTCATTTCCTGGTGGCACTACTAGACGTGTGCCAGGTCAGCCCTCTGCCACGAGTCATCCGCTTATCAGTCTCTTTCCCTTCAAATATAGGGCTCATCTGTGTGGACACCTCTGTCACCTGGGAATCTCCCAGGGTGTGTGGGAGGAACCTGGGAACTGATCTTCTGATGTTCCCAGCCACATTTGGAAACTACTGCTGAGGAAAATTCTTTTCTCCCCAAATACTGCAATCCACATTGAGCGGCAGGACTTTAACTCCTGACCCTGATTTCGCTTATGATCAGAAAATAAGGACGCTCCCATATTTTTTTTTCTCTTACAAATAGAAAGGATCTACTGAATTTATTGAATATTTGAAAATTTATTGAATTTAATAATTTCAAGAAATTTACTGAATTTAAACCAAACTGCTTATAAGTTTGCACTGCTCTTAAAGTAATGCACAATATATGAAGAAATCCAAGTTTCTGTTCAAGTCCTTTCATAATGGGTAGAAAATCATATTTACCCGGAATAATTCCTTGCTCGTGTAAGGTTCACAGATCAGTTTTTCCACATTTGCACCAAAGACAAAGGTAAGAACCACAATGATCATCAATATCCAGCAAAAGAGGAAACTTAATCCAACTCCACTGGAAAAAAATATAAAGTTAGTAATTCAACAAAGAATGATTCAATATTACCTACTGATACTTACTAAATCTACCTATACTCTATAAAATAGCCCTGGGGTCTTCAGTGTTATTCAGGTGAAACAGATCATCCACCTAGGAGTGACACAGGGCTTGGGGACCTGGAGAGGGGCAGCTCCAGGACAGGCAAGGGTACACTGGATGGGGGCCTGGGGACCTGGGGAGGGGCAGCTCCAGAGCAGGCGGGGGATCACTGGATAGGGGCCTGGGGACCTGGGGAGGGACAGCTCCAGGGAAGGCGGGGATGTACTGTATAGGGGCCTGGGGACCCACGAGGGGTAGCCAATAAGGGGCTGAAAGCACACGAGGAGCACAACCCGACTTCTCTCTGAACGCAAGCACTCTTGGCACAGTGTAAAGGATAGACTGGACAGGTGCCAACGTGGATGGGACATCATTGCAGAGGCTGTTATCATGGCCCATGAGGGTGGCCTAAGGGGGCAGGATTGGTGGAGAGTTGGTGGATGATGGAGATGTAATATAGGAGACACAGGAGGCATAATATAGGAGGCAGCAGGACTCGGAAAGCGCTGAACACGAGAGGTAGAGGCAAGGAAGGGCTCCAAGGGCAGTGCCAGGGAGCGCTGATGCTCTGGAAGGAAAGAGAAGATGGGCTGGATGTTGGTCTTGTTGCCAGAGACACTGAATGGAAAGACTGTGTAGGAGTCAGTATGTTTGGAGCTCAGATATCTGGGTTTCGGATGTACCTTAGGGAGCCAGCAGCTTAGCCATGGTCATTTATCCCCAGGGCTGGCTTGGAGAGAGAAACAGCCTAGGGCTGGGTCTGGAAGACTTCAACATTTACAAAGATGGGTGGTGGAAGGAGGGGCCAGCAAACCAGACCAAGATGATGAGGCAGAGAAGTAGGAAGGTAACTATGTGGGTGTGATGCCACCTAGGGGACAAAAGGAGTGTTTGCAGGAGGAAGGAATGGTCGGCTGTCACCAACCAATGTGCTGTCTGCATTGCACAGAGAGGTCACTGCCAACTTGAAACAAGTGCAGTCATGGGGGAGGAAACCACATCGGAGTGGACCGGAGAGTCAGCAGGAGAGGAGGGCACAGGCAGCAAGCGCAGATCACTCCTCTGAGAGCCTGTGTGGGGGAAGGAGAGCTATAGGGAAGAGGCAGTGTGGGTAAAGAGTTTCTGCTTTTATTTCTGAAGAAGGGAGAGAACAGAGCCTGGTTAAGTATTGAGTGAAAGTCAAGGAGACAGGAAGAGAATAAAGACATGGAAAAGAAAGGGGATGATCCATTTTATCAGGATCAGGGAAAGGAATGGGATTGAGAATATAGCTGGCGGGATCAACCTGAGCAGGCAGGAATCCCTCTGCTTCTGGCACTGCAGAGAAGGGATGGATGTGTTTGAGAGCAGGTGTGTTTGGAAGTTTGATGATGGGAAGTTGCATGATGGCTTCTATTTTCTCTGAGAAGAAGGAGGTAAAGCCATCTGCTGAGAGAGGGGTGAAGTAGAGGAAAATGGACGTATCAGAGTGAAAAGACTGTTGCAGGAAAGTGTGGGGGGTGTCGAAAAAGAAAAAAAACAGAAAGAGAAGGAAGAAAACAAAAGAAATAAAAGAAAAGATTTGTCAGACTATGGCAAGTCCATTTGAGACAGGAGATCCTAAGTTTGTAGGGATACCCAATGTACCCGGTGCGTAGCTTTTCTCTAGCAGTGCTTAGCTGTCTAGATGTAGACATAGAGAACAAACTCTTAAATCGATCTAGGTGCAGCTGCCAAATCAAATACCATCACTGGTGCACACTAGGAAGGAGCCTCAGAAGGGTGTGGGCTGATGCTCGCAATCACCACAGCATCCCCTCCTAAGGGCACGATTCTCCCCTTTGCCTGCAGATGCCAAAGCCATAATTACAATATTTGTGTATCTTCACTAAAATAAATAGCAAGTAATGTTCATTGGAAAGGCCTAGGTCAGCCTGACTTTCTCTGACCTACAAGGCTTCTGAGTCTGGGAGAGCACAAAGAAGAAGTGAGTGAGGGCCATGCCAGGATCCCTGTCTGAGCATGTGTGTCTGTGTGTTGGAGTTAAACAACTCATATAAACCAAGACAGCTGTCTAAAAAGGGCACCATGACTCTTACTCTAAATCGCATACAGTCACTATCTCCAGCCTTTATTTTCTAAATATGCACATTCCTAGATCAGGGGTAGGGGAACCACTGCCCAAGGTCTGTTTTTCTAAGGTTAGTGAGATAATGGCTAATGTGTACTGAAAATATTGAAAAGGAGGAAGAGGAGGGGGAGAATAAGAGTAAGATGAAAGAGCAAAAGAAGGTGAAAAAGAACAAGAATATGCGACAAAGACTGTGTATGGCCAGCAGAACCTAAAATATTTATTACTTGGCCCTTCTTGGGAAAAGCTTGCTGACTAACCCCTGATTTGCACAGTTAGGATAATACATGCATCATTTTCTGACCCCCTTTCAAATGCATTATCTTAGAAACTTTTGTCAACAAATTAGGACTGTCACCTAGTTATCATTTCAGGGGCCATGTGATCTTCCACGCATGGATGTGTCATAACTCACTTGGCCACTCTTCTACAGCTGGACATGTAGGCTGTTTCCAGTGCTTCACTATCATAACTAATACTGCAAAACACCTCCCTCTTCATGATGATTTCTTCACAGTTTGGCTTACTTCCTTCACCTAGATTCCCCAAAATGGAAATTATTCGGCAAAGAGCATCATGGTCTTTTTACAGCCCTTGCTATATAGCCTGACAAACTGCTTTCCATAACCTCAGAAACTGCCACCAGCCATAGGAATGTGCCCAGTTTGTGATACCTGTGGCTGCTCTTGGCATTGTTGTCAATACCTAAAATGGGAAGTTTTATGATGGGCTTCAAATCACGAGATGCTTGTGCCTCTGTTAGATCTCCTTATCTCTGGAGAGGCCTCCTACGCCCCCCTGCAACAGATAATACATTCACCACTGCATCCTATTCAGCTGCTAAAATGCTCCTGGGGCCAGGGGTAGCGGCTCACACCTGTAATCCCAACACATTGGGAGGCTGAGGTCGGAGGATCTCTTGAGACCAGGAATTCAAGACCAATCTGGGCAACAAAGCAAGACTGTCTCCACAAAAATAAAATTAAAATAAAATGCTTCTGGGACCATCTGAAGATAAAAGATCAGAGCAGAGCCAGGGCTCTCTGACTTTCCTCCTTCCAGATCTTTCACTGGTATCCTTTTGGGAGGTAAGAATTCCTGCTTGGTTTTGAAAGAGACCATGCTCTTGATTGGATGGTGTCACCATTTTTAAAGAGCAGGTGGTGTTTTGGTTGCAACAAAACTACACATACTCTTTCTGGTTTCTACAAGCAAGTAAACAGTTTTAAAAAAAGAAACTGCATTCTTCTAATTAGTCTGATTAGACTGATGACGCTTGTATCATCTCCTCCTTTTGCAATTATCCAGTTGTTTACCAGATACCTCAAGAAGCAGAGAATTCTGCCAAGCACAGCAAAGCGTGCCATGCTGACTGGTTGCATTCAACAATAAAGAAATCATAGCCACCCTAAGTCTGCAGACTCCTTGAAATGAATCAAACAACATCTGACAGTTACCAGCCTTCTTCCTGCTGCTGAGATGAATCCTATGGCCTCCATGCCACAGGTCTCCATGTCTATAGAATTAGTATATCTAAACTAAGGTAGCTTTTAGCCTCCATCAATTTGTTGATGATTTCTCTGTTTTATTTTTTCTTTCTTTGAAGCTTGATATCACATTTTTTGTTGTATCCCTTTAAAAAGTGTGAATAAAATTTCGATGAGGGGTGCACCATTTTTCAGAGCAATTTACCCTACCTTTCAAGTAGTTAAAAAAGATGGAAATATAGGTATATATACACACCCCACCAAAACACTAACAAACAACCAAGTTAAATTGTTGTTAAATTTGTAACATTAAACTTAAAATCAATTAAACATTAAAAGTAATGGCAAAAACTGCAATTACTTTTACAGCAACCTAATAATCTTCTGTTTAATGTATTTTTGTGTATCTGTGTACATTTGAACAAGAAGGGAAGACAAATTCATTTTTCCTTGCAGATGTGATTTCTCCTTTTTTTCTTCTCTGTCCACAGGTACTTGCAGCTAATCTTTCTTTCTTTCTTTCTTTCTTTTTCTTCCTTCCTTCCTTCCTTCCTTCCTTCCTCTCTCTCTCCCTCTCTCTCTCTCTCCCTCCCCCTCTCTCTCTCCCTTCCTTCCTTCCTTCCTTCCTTCCTCTTTCTTTTTTTCTTTATTTCTCGCTCTCTCTTTTTTTTTTTTTTTTTTGACAGAGTCTCACTCTGTCGCCCAGGTTGGAGTGCAGTTGGCACGATCTCGGCTCACTGTAACCTTTGCCTCCTGGGTTCAGGTGATTCTCGTGCCTCAGCCTCCCAAGTACCTGGGATTACAGGTGTGCACCATCATGCCCAGCTAATTTTTGTATTTTTAGTAGACATGGGGTTTCACCATGTTGGTCAGGCTGGTCTCGAACTCCTGGCCTCAAGTGATCTGCCTGTCTCGGCCTCCCAAAGTGTTGGGATTACAGGCGTGAGCCATCGTGCCCAGACAAATATAATTTCTTAAGCTTTGGCCTGTGAGCATCTAAGCTTCTGTTTGTGTGGAGTTCTTTGTCCAGCCCTGGTAGACCTCAGGTCATTAGCTCTAAGGTGATTTTACGACTCTAGTTTGTAAAGGCCTATACCATACTGGAGCCTAATTATTGTAGGGAAAGGATTTATAATCATAGCTTGTAAGAAGCCTGATTTATTGTTCCAGTGACCCAAAGTTTTTTGTTTGTTTGGTGTGTGTGTGTGTGTGTGTGTGTGTGTGTGTGTGTGTGTGTGTGTGAAAATTTGGTTTGAAGACCCAAAGTTTTAAAAAACAAATTAATCAAATTAATGTACAGCATCTGCTCTCCAGCCCGCTCACTCACAGCCCCGTGCTAGTGACTTAAGTGGATAAATGAGAGAACACGACTCAGGTTTTGGTTCTTCACTCCCCAAAGGAATTGTTTCAAACCTTAACCACTGACCTAGAGCCCCATCTCACTCCCTACTGCTGATTCTTCATGATCTTATCAAAAAGAGAATATTGACTTAGAACCCACACAGCTCTCTCCCTGCAGAGCATTCAAAGCCATTACACCACATCCTAGCTTACATTTCTGGCTCTGGCCCCGGTTGCACCTGGCTCATGCCTGCTATGCTTTGTCGTATCCATAGAGTCACAGGTTTTTCAAAGACACTAACTTGGAGGTCAATGTCTTTGAAGCAGGGACAGTCGCTCCAGTCTTCTGCCGCAGGCATACCTCTCCCTGCTGCCTCACACCTGTTCTCACGCCTAATCTAGGCTACCTGTCTAAATCCTAAGGGTTCTGCCTTGGCAGCCTTAGTTCTAAATCAAGTTTCTAGAATTTCAAGCTAGCAATACTGCTGACCAATACTGCTGTCCCACAAGAGATTGGCTCAGCCTCTGGTGAGTGAATAAATGAATGAATGAATGAATGACAAAAAGAAGGAACAATAGAAATCAAGAAAGCAAGTCTAGCTGCTTTTAAAAGGAGCCTGCCATATATAAATAGTGTGCTTAAGCTGGTCTATCAAAATGCAAGTAATTTAGTGTTGTTGTTGTTGTTGTTTGTTTGTTTTTAATGTTTAGGCTTGACAGAAGTACCCAAATCAAGGAAGGTCCCATCACAGCAGGATCTCTCCTCCTCGCGACCTGGGAGCTGGAACCCCGCGTACGTGGCCCAGAGGGCGCCGGGTTCATGTAACACCAGAGTCAGCACCCAGTCTCTCTCCTGCATTCCCACTCCCACATGACAGAGAGGAGCAGACACTCACACCATGAGGAAGACGCCTCCGGTGTTGGAGACACAGCCTCGGGTGGTCGGGGTGGCATGCCTGTCATAGCCGCACACGCCACACAGTAAGCCCAGGTAGTAAAAAATCACGATGAGGGTCAGCAGAGAGCAGATGACCAGGCCACCCAGCCACCTGGAGAGGCAAGCACAGTGTTAGTATACATGACACAGGTGACGCCACCCTAACACAAAAGCTGCTGGACTAAGGCTGGAGCCGATGAGTTATTCTTGGCTTCTAAAATCAGAGTCTTCTATCAATTCCTCAGAGGACAATAATGTTGAGTGAAAAGATCCCTTCACACCCTTTGCCTTCCAATTCAACCAGCGGAGAAACTTTTATTTTGATTCTAGGTTTGCATTGTTCCTGGTGGTCATGGGATCATTGCCTCCTTCCTTTGCTTTGATTCCCACGGGTGTCACACAGGGTTCATAAGCACAGCACACTGAGCTTCTCCAAGGCTACTGATGAAAACACCCTTAAGATTTTTATGTTCTTTTAAGGCCTCTGATGTTCTAAGTGCCTATTATAATAATGAAGGCATATGGCTAGATCATGATTAGACTACAGATAAAGAAATACTGGATTCTTTTCCCTGGGCCTTTTTCTAAAATATTTTGTGGTTGCAGAAATATTTGGGGCCACTGTGTTCTTTACTGAACCAGATTACATGGCAGATGCATGGGGTATTTAGAATTTTATGAGCATCCTAAATCAAATGCCTGCAGAATGCAAATCTCAATTTCATAATGGTCCTGCGAGACATTTAGGATAATGGATCCTCAATTAGGCCTTACTGGCATTCCCGGAAGGGAGAACAACCTTTCCCGGCAGCAAGAGGCATTCAAGGGTAGTAATGCTTCCCAACATTTAAGACACTAAAAAACAAAGAATTTACTTCTGCTTGGTGCCTCTTGACCAAGCAGCACCACTGAAGCTTTTCATTCAATTAAGAGCAATCTCAGTAATTATAGTAATAGCCACAGGCAGCCATTCTGGGGAGGTTTGTTCCAGACAGTGAGGGCACAAAATTAAATAAGCCATGGAGGCTGGCCTCAGAAAACTTTTAGAGTTAAAGGAGCATCTGCTTAGTTAATTTTCTTTTTAAGATAAGTTCATAGTGTCAGGGCAGGGGGAAAAGGAAGGGAGATGGATGGCAGTCAGGTAGACAGGTAATGGTACTATTCTTTCTCGTTTGTGAAGCTCTGATCTCTAATGAGATTATAAGTTCACTGAGAAAGGGTCTGCCTTCTGTTTGTTCTGAGACTTGCTGGGGTGGCCTAGCCCCACAAGGGAATCATGGCAGGTGCTCCCTGGAGCTCGTTGTTTGTGGGGCGATGACAAAAAGCAGAGCCAGATGGAGCTTCAAAACCTACCTCTGCCGTATGCTAGCTGGCCTTAAGGAAGTCACTTCACTTCCCTGAGCCCGTCTCCTTGTCTAGAAAACAGGGTTGTAAATGGAACACAGGCCAGGGGATTTTTGTGAGGATTAAAAGAAATGTGCAGAAAGTGCTTGGTGGGCACACTGAAACTGTCCCATAAATGGTAGCAACTGCTATAATTTTAATTACGTATCCTGTGGTCTTGTATAAGAAATAATCCACATGAGAATGAGTCTCCGGACTCCCCATGGGCTTGGGAGATATAAAGGGTTGCTGAGCTCTTCAGAGAGAGAAGTGCATCTTACCTAATACATGATCCTCTAAATTTCTTGAGCCTCCAAGTCCTTCCCTCCCCAGGGCTCTGACTGGGATGTCCACCACCCTCACCCCGGGTGAAACCCCACCACTCGCATTTTCTAATGGGACAACCAGTGGGCACCACAGCCACTCACCTAAGCTCTGGGAGCAATTCACTGGTTTCAAGGCACAGCTAAGAAAAGAATGCTCTTTCAGTAAGAACCAACCTCTGCATATTTATTTTATAAACCAATGTTTATATTGGTTTATAAAATAGAAAAGAATATTTCCCAGATGTCCTTCTTAATTACTTTTAAGCTTTAAAATCTCATTACATGCCTGGTTTGATAATTATAACTAGTATTCCAGAAACCACTAATGACATCAAAATTGCAAATTATCAAGTATTTGGCTCACGAAGGTCCAGTCTTCAACTTAAAAATAAACGTGGACTGCTTTACAAATTTGCATATCATCTGTACACAGGAGTCATGCGAACCTTCTATGCATTGTTCCAATTTTAGTATATGTGCTGCCTGGTCTAAGCGAGCACTTCAAATTCTAATGAACATAAACTGGGGTTAACATATATCAGGTCATGGCCTCCTTGTACAATTTGCTCTCATAAGATTATCCTGGTGCTAATGTCAGATTTTTATCTCGTTCTCTACAAAGTTCACTCTCGTAGTTCACCAGCTCCAAGGAGACACTCACCAGTATGAATCATACTCTTCCAATGTAGGTAAATTTCTGTGGATGTAACTTTCAGTGTTATTAACATAAACAGAGAATGCTGAGAGTATATCCTGAATAGGAAGACGCTGAGTTACATTGTCGATATCTGAACCAATGGAATTCAAGACCCTTTTGATACCTGAAAACAAAGATACCTTTGTTATGCATTTGCAAACATGGAGGAAATAGAAACTTTGTTTTGGAACCAAACAGAAAAGCCTGAACCACCTTTAGTTTTTCTCATGTCATGTATGTGTTTAAAATATGGTAAGATTCTTCAACAAGCATGAATATAGCCAAGACCATCGAAAAGCAATTACTTAACAAAACAGCAAGCTGTGAGCACTGACTTTAATGAGATGGTACTGAAGTCAAGCCAGTTTCCTTCTTCCACTTACTTTACTTAAAGTAGATCAAGTGATTAAAATGCATGGTGTGCAGACTACGTGCCAGGCACTTTTATAAATAGTAACTCATTTATTTCACTGAGGTAGATATTCTCATTCCCCATTTTGCTAACAGCGACCCGGAGGCTCACAGAGATTCAATTAATTGCCCATGGGTCTTTTAAAGAAAGCTCTGGTAACGGGATTGAAATTCGGGTGTATCTGACTCTAACGTCCCCCTTACATGCTTTTGGGAAAATAAATAATAATAATAATTTCTCCCTCTAAGAAATGGTATTCAGGGCCGGGCACAGTGGCTCACACCTGTAATCCCAGCACTTTGGGAGTCTGAGGTGGGAGGATCACCTGAGGTCAGAAGTTCGAGACCAGCCTGACCAACATGGCAAAACCCCATCTCTACTAAAAATACAAAAATTACCCAGCTGTGGTGGCGCATGCCTGTAACTCGGGAGGCTGAGGCAGAAGAATCACTTGAACCTGGGAGGCAGAGGTTTCAGTGAGCCAAGATTGTGCCATTCATTGTACTCCAGCCTGGGTGACATAGCAAGACTCGCTCTCAAAAAAAAAAAAAAAAAAAAAAAGTCTTCAGGAACAGAGTAATTCTCAAGGCCCATTTAAAAAACAAACAAACAAACAGAAAAACACAAGTGACTCTGGGTGATATTTTTGTTAAAATTTTACCTGACTGATACAAATTGAGACATCTTAGGAAGTACATCTGTGTCTTTTCTATGCAAAAACCAATAGTAGTCTCAGTGGCCAGTTTCTTTTGCTCAGTCGTAATTTCTCAGACAGGAGTTAAGTTCAAAGAAAACCAGTTTTCTGGAGAGTGTCCATCACAACAGGTCCTAAAATCAACTAACCTTGGGTGCAGGATTTCACCTGAACCAACGCTCACATGAGTTCTGAAGGTGGCTGTATCCAAGTGATTCTTGACACGGACATACTAAGAACACACTAATCAGTTAAAAGTCCACTGATCCTGCAAGAGAGGTAAATCTCTTTGCAGCAGCAGAGAGACAAGATTAGCAGTTCTCAAAATATTATCCTGAGGCTCCCGGTGAACTTCAGGTAGAGAACAGAATGGTAGCTTGGTCCAAAACGTAATCACATAAAAATGGCAAGAAACTTTTTGTTTTCTTTTTGAGACAGGATCTCTCTGTATTGCCCAGGCTGGAGTGCAGTGGCACGATCATGGCTCACTGCAGGCTCAACCTCCTGGGCTCAAGGATCCTCCCACCTCAGCCTCCCAAGTAGCTGGGACTACAGGTGTGTACCACCATGTTCAGCTAATTTTTTATGATTTTACTTTTTGTAGAGATGGGAAGATGGAATCTCACCATGTTGCTCCTGGGCTCAAGATATCCTCCTGCCTCAGCCTCCCAAAGTGCTGGGATTATAGCAGTGAGCCACCACACCCGGCCCTGGAAACTTTTTTAAAGTTTGTTTTTCACATAGCTATGACATCTAGAAATCAAAGACACAGAAGCGAGCAACAGAGTGTCAGGTGTTTGGGTGTGACTCGTTAAGAAAGGACTGTTACTCCTTGGGGGCTCATTGCCTTCTCCAAATGGCTCGTGTGTGAAAACACCTGAGGATCCTTGGCCAAAAATGACTCAGTGGGTCTCTTGGTTACTTCTGAGATTTTCAGAGATGGGGAATGCAGCCTTCCCATGTTCTAGGAGCAGCTCCTAGGGCCCCTGCCTGCTTCTCAGCCTGGCTTGCCCTCACGCACGACATGGCTCCGTGACTTTGCTGCTCTGACAACTCTCTATGTGGCTGGTGTCCTCTCTTGGCATATACCCTCTTCAAACCTCTCTCGATGTCCCCTTTTCCAGGCAGCCTCCCACTAGCCTCTCCTCACCTTGTTTCCCTGACACAAACCTGGTCATGGTGCCAGAGTGTGACAACAAGTCTGTGTACACATGGCTGGCTAAAGGACAAGCAGAACTCATGGCTTATGCATCTCACAGCCCAGTGCCTGGCAGAGCCTGGCACAGAGTTGGCACTAAATAATTTGTTCAGGTTGGGATGAGACAACCTAAACACGAGAGCAAAGGACATGAAACTGAACACCTGCTATCCAGGCTGACAGAGCGGCACTGGCCCGGCTCTAGGAAGACACTGGCTTGTGCTCAGGCAATGGCACCATGCACCATGGGCCGCACTCAATGCACGCAGCACAATTTGCTGTGTCAGACTTACAAGGAAGGGCTGCATGTATGGGCAGGAGAGGTCCAGAGAGGGGAAACCAAAAAATTAAACACAGAGATTAGTGAGCAGGTGGCTGTCAGACATACAGCATGCATCAGCCTTCAGAGGTTAGCACATCAAAGTCTGAACCCTGTCCTTAATATCTTAATATTTTCAAGTAGAATCTTATATTATGCAAAAGGAAACCCACAAAACATCTAAAGTGTCATGTAGCAAGATAAAACACTTTTCTACTCAAACTCTTCATGGGTCAAAAGAACACTATTAGGGAAAAATAATCAAGTATCTCTAACATAATATTTTAAAACCACTTACTCAACAGTTAAAAGCAGCACTAAAATGATTTTTAAAAGAAATAGAAGATAGCTTTACATAGCTTCAGAGATTTCTTTTCTTTTCTGTTCTTTTTTGTTTGTTTGTTTTTGTTTTTTTTTGAGAGAGAGTCGCCCAGGCTGGAGTGCAGTGGCACGATCTCGGCTCACTGCAACCTCCTCCTCCTGGGTTCAAGTGATTCTCCTGCCTCAGCCTCCCGAGTAGCTGGGGTTACAGGGATGCACAACCATGCCTGGCTAATTTTTGTATTTTTAGTAGAGATGGGGTCTCACCATGTTGGCCAGGCTGATCTCGAACTCCTGACCTCAGGTGACCTACCCGCCTTGGCCTCCCAAAGTGCTGGGATTGCAGGCGTGAGCCACTGCGCCCAGCCCAGAGATTTCTTCTCCAAGCAAATAATCCAGGTTTGTCTCTAACCTTGCACAAAGAACTGCTTCCACTGCATTCTCTCCCTCTGTACGTTCACCCCAAATCCCATAACCCAAATACAGCATGATTCAGTAATTTGGGTAGAATCCTCTCTACATTGATTCTGTCTCTCCAAAATTGTAAGCAACCTAAGGAGCCTAAAATACTACTGCCTCAGCATCAGTGGACAGACTAAAATCTTCCTAATAGACAAAATAAATTCTTTTACACAGTATTCCTTTAAAAAGTTTGATTTTGGCCAGGCACGGTGGCTCACGCCTATAATCCCAGCACTTTGGGAGGCCGAGGCAGGTAGATCATGAGGTCAGGAGATCGAGACCATCCTGGCTAACACAGTGAAACCCCATCTCTACTAAAAATACAAAAAAATTAGCCGGGTGTGGTGGCGGGCACCTGTAGTCCCAGCTACTCAGGAGGCTGAGGCAGGAGAATGGCGTGAACCCGGGAGGCGGAGCTTGCAGTGAGCCGAGATTGTGCCACTGCATTCCAGCCTGAGCGACAGAGCGAGACTCTGTCTCAAAAAAAAAAAAAAAAAAAAACAACAAACTTTGATCTTAAGTTTGTTTAGAAAATATAATAATCTACAGTTTTTCTCTTCAGTGAAAATCAGAATGAGTTTCCAAACTGTGGCTGCTGTAAGATCTGAAGGCGCACACTCTGGGGACCTGGATCACACTGTGGCTGTCAACCATGTGGCAGCTGCTGGCTGGGCTGGATGATGTTTATCAGTGTTCAATAACAGGTTTGTTCTTGTTTTTAACTGTCCGAATGACACAATTGTAAAGCTCTGATATTTGTTTAGTTTTGACAGCTTTAATGAGAAACTGTTTTTTTAAGAGGAAAAGAACAATGCAATACTTGGCAACACATTTCTCTGTACTGACCTACCAATCACAAAATCACCTCAAACTGTGAATCTCACCTGCTACGACAGTCGTGGTTTGGCGTTGTACTCTGTCAGGTATATCATTAAGGGATTGATAGCCCTGAAAAATATTTCAAAATAAAAGGATGTACACAGTTAAGTCAAAGACTAGTTGACTAGTCACTCATTTTGCAACTCAGTACGAGTAGAGAGGCAAAATAAAAATATAACATTCATCTTAAGGGTGAAATGATCATTATATGGTCATCAAGAGTCTAAAAAAATCCCCTTTAGAGAGCATTGTCTTTAAATTATATCAATCAAAGGTCGTGTTAGAAGTTTTTCATATAGGGGGTCCCCATAATTTTAAAATCAACATATTTACACAGAGCCTAGGTACTATTATGGGTACATACATCTATACCAGTGGTTCTCAACTGGGAGAAATTTTGTTCTCAACTAGGGTATGTTTGGCAAAGTCTGGAGACATTTTGGTTATCACAGTTGTGGGGTGCTGCTGGGATTGTGTGGGGAGATGCCAGGGATGCTAATAAATACCCAACCATGCACAGGAGAGCCCCCGCCGCTAACAGCCATGCACAGTGTCACCAGTGCTGAGGTTAAGAGACACTGATCGGTACACTATCCCATGGGCAGACAGAAAGTGAATTTCTAAAAACAGAATCTTACTTTCTAATTAAAAATAAAATTAGAAATATAGTCTAAACGAAAAAAAAAAATGTCCTAAAGCATGGCTTACAGAGGATACAACTGTGGTGAGGATAAAACAAAAACAAAAAACAACCGTGCCGAGCGATAGGGCTTTGGGGCTAAACCCCCCATGAGAGGGAAATATCATTATTTCCAAATAATTCAACTAAACGTGCAGCCTTTCCTCTGGAAGAGGTTTAGTGGGTGTTTCTTCACTGTCTGCTGGTGTACTTAGCCGTCTGCCAGGGAAAAGTACAGCACTTTCAGCCTTCATAAGACTTATGGTGCCAGCCAGTTTCCACCTTAGCCTAGCTACATCAGATGTCACAAAATGAACATCCATGACTTCCGTTTCCTCCAAGGAGACTAAGCTACTCAGCACACCGGTGCTTGTGTTGGTTTTCTATATGCCTGACTCCTTGACATTCATCTGTGTCTGGACTTGCAGATGTCATGGGGGGTTTCACAGCTGGAAGGTGTCTTACAGATCTCCCGGTTCAATGCCTTCTTTAACAAATGAAGTAACACCAGAGTGCAAAGACCAAGAAATTTGGAATAACTTGTTTAAGGGACCACTTACTTTGTCGGTAAGTAAGTGTCTGGTAAACACATGTAGACAAGTGTTTAATCCATTTATGCTGAAGGTTGCAAATATTTTTTGTGAAAAATCAGAACCTGATGATGACATTTGGCAGTAGGATATAAATAACTCCCACAAGCTTAGCGTTCCAATAATAGAACACTAGGCATAAATGGGTTAATAGAGATTTGAGACTTTTTACATCCATCCTAAAAGACAGAGTTAAGAATAAAACTATTCTCTCATTTTCCCATAGGCCCAGGCACTCTACTGAACCATAATCTAAAAAGAAATATTTATTGCATACTCAGTATCTATTAGTTGAATAAAGAGCAAGATTTGGTAAGCTACTGGGGAAATCAGGGAATTCCAGACCAATGCTGTCCCTGCGTTTTTGGGGGTTTACAGTTCAGTGGTGGGAAGGGAGACATTAAAGAAATAATTACAGTTATGAGGAAATTAACAGAGAATATTTGCAATGCTGCAGGAATGTATTAAAAAGGGTTTGACCTAGTCAAGAAGCCCAGGAAAGGTCTGTTAAGAAGGTGATATATGGACCGGGCGTGACGGCTCATGCCTGTAATCCCAGCACTTTGGGAGGCCGAGGCGGGTGGGTCACCTGAGGTCAGGAATTCGAGACCAGCCTGGCCAACATGGCAAAACCCCATCTCTACTAAAAATACAAAAATTAGCAGGGTGTGGTGGCGTGTGCCTGTTATCCCAGCTACTCAGGAGGCTGAGGCATGAGAATCGCTTGAACCTGGGAGGCAGAGGTTGCAGTGACCTAAGATCATGCCACTGCACTCCAGCCTGGGCAACAGCGCAAGACTCCATCTCAAAAAAAAAAAAAAAAAAAAAGAAGAAGAAGGTGATATATGAAGCTTAAAAAACTAAGTAGCGGCTGGGTGTGGTGGCTCATGCCTGTAATCCCAGCACTTTGGAAGGCCAAGGGGGGCAGATCACTTGAGGTCAGGAGTTCGAGGCCAGCCTGGCCAACATGGTGAAACCTCATCTCCACTAAAAATACAAAACTCAGCCAGGCATGTTGGCGCACAGCTGTGATCCCAGCTACTCAACAGGCTGAGGCAGGAGAATCGCTTGAACTCGGGAGGCAGAGGTTGCAGTGAGCCGAGATCGTACCACTGTACTCCATCCTGGGTGACAGAGGGGGATTCCACCTCAAAAAACAAAACAAAACAAAACAAAAAAACAACTAAGTAGCTAGCTACTTGGAGAGGGGAAAAGAAGAGAGTGCCAAGCAGAGGGAAGAGCATGTGCAAATGCGTGAAGGTGGGTAAGAGCAAAAAGAAAACCAGTATAGCTGACTCACTGGCAGAGGGGGACAGCATTTTGTATCAGAATCAGTGTGGGGTTCAACATCACACCCACTAAATTCTGAGGCCTAGGAAAGCAGAGGTCATGTTCTTCTTGATCTCTCATGGTCTTAGCATGCCACTTCACACATCATAGATGCTTAACAAAAATTCTGGGAACTGGAAGGATGAACACAATTGCCTGGAAGGTAATAGCTATCACCCTTCTTGGCAACCTTTCTCTAGAATTTCACTGCTTTTTTGCTATTTCCTATTTTCTTATGTACTAGTCCACCCTTTAAAATGATATAAAATCAGTGATTGTATTTTTTCCAAAAGCATACCTGTTGGACCAGGCCATCCAAATCTGTCCTAAGAACGTTATTAACGTTGTCAAGTTCTGCATCCACGGGTGGAAGCTGAAAATTTATAAAACAAAATATAAGACAAGGTTGTTACCTTCAAAACAATTCCTCATGAAGAAAGAAGTCATTGTATATTCCAAGTCCCAAAGCATCTATACTACAGGGTACAATCGCAGTTTCTTTTGAACAATAGAGTTTTATTTCGGAAAAACACAGCTCAGACCCTCCTTGACAAGCACTAATTTTTTGATGTCTGGAGGTCTCTTGCTGTAACCAGCTAAAAAAAAGAGGCAAAGAAATGTAACACAAATGTAATATATATGACTTCACAACTTCAAATACTAAAGATGGTCCAATAAAATTGTAAACAACCTTTTTAAAGTCACTTTTAAAAGCAATGTAGTCAGTGGTTATATTAGTGAGTAATCTGGAATCGTTTTTCCACTTACAGTATTATATATGGATTTGAAGTTCTCTAGCTCCTACCAATACTGGGACGAACATCATATGCCTCCCACATGATGTCCAAGAACATAATATCACTACTGTGATAGTTCCCTGGCAAATATGAGTAACTTTAATCCCAAGAAAACATCAAACAACCCTAAACTGAAGACCATTCTACAAAGTAAATGGCCTGTTCAAAAATGTCTGTGTCACAAAAGAAAAGGCATACTTAGAAACTGTTCCAGATTAACAGGAATGAAAGAGACATGACAATAAATGACAATGTGTGATCCTGGCCTGGACCTGAGACTGGAAAAAGAGAAGATAGTTATAAAAGGCATTTCTGGAAAGATCAACATTTGAATGCACACTGTGGATTAAATGGTAGTGTCGGGTCAATGTTATCCTAATTTTGATCATTATATAATGATTATGTAAAGTTAGGAAGGACAATAAAATATTTAGGGGTAAAAAGGCATGATGATGTCTACAACTTATCCCCAACTTACCTTTTGAGAAAAGAACAAAATGCATATTATTTTATGCATGTATATATTAAATGATATGAACAGACAGATAAACTGATAAAATATGATAAAGCAAATGGTGCAAAATCGTGACCCTTGAAGAATGTGGCCAAAGGGTGTGAACAGGGATCCATGCGTTCATCTTGCAAGTTTTCCACATGTTTGATACATATTAAAAATAAAAAGTGCACCCCAAAAGGATCTATCTCAAACAACTCAGTTGCAACTAAGCTCTAAAAAACTGTTCAATCAAAAATGATTATAGTGATATCCAGACACAGATGTCGCAGGTGAAATGTCTGAAAAACAATGGAATGAAATGTAAAAGTAAGAAAAATGTATCTATACTAAAATGTTATTTTATATAAAATGTGAGGTGTCCGGGCGTGGTGGCTCATGCCTGTAATCCCAGAACTTTGGGAGGCTAAGGCAGGCAGATCACTTGAGGTCAGGAGTTTGAGACCAGCCTGGCCAACATGGCGTAACCCTGTCTCTACTAAAAATACGAAAATTAGCCAGGCATGGTGGCGGGTGCCTGTAATCTCAGCTACTCAGGAGGCTGAGGCAAGAGAATCACTTGAACACAAGAGGTTGGAGGTTGCAGTCAGCTGAGATCGTGCCACTGCACTCCAGCCTGGGAAACAGAGTGAGACTCCATCTCAAAAAAAAAAGTGAGGTGTGTATCTAACTAAATCAGTTAGACATCATTAATAGACATGGTCATTTTACCTATATCTCAGAACTTCATGTAATCCAAGTTGTTCCAAATTCTTTTTAAAAAATCTTTTCTTTGGGAAAATCGAATTTTCTTCTATTTCAGCATACATGGCTAATAGACTAGGCACATATTTAAAAATTTTTTAATTCTTAAAGGTCTACATGAATATATTCTGTTTCCTTTTTTCTTTGTAAAGTTGAATTAATTCTGATATGTTTCATTCAATGGCAGAGAACTCTCATGAAGCGGTTCCCTTTTACTCCTTTGCTCCTGCTGTGGTCATTCCAATATGGTGATCAAATGACTCAAGAAGGCTGATAGAGGCCAGGGGCTAACTGTTCTCCAAGTCAGGCCACCATGCACTGGATAGGTCACCCACGCTTAGCCCTGCCCGGCAATCCCCAGCATGCAGCCCTTGACCATGGCAAGCTCATGCCTGCTCACCTGCCTCAGTTCAGGGTTGCTATTCAGCTGGCTTAGAGACAATCTGATGCTGTTGCAGGTTTCACTTGATGGATGCACCAAGCACAGAGGGTCATTGAGAGATGACCGCAGGCTAGTTTTCACGCTGGTCAGACTGCTGCTAAGCTGTGTACTTTGTTGGTGCAAGCTCTTCAAGGTGCTGTTCATGTTCTCCAACGCCTCTTTGGTCTCCTTGATCGCTATGGAAACACAGCCCGCTTCAGAACACACATGCCAAGTCCCTCCTCATCTACAAAAGTGTGTCTAAAGGGACTTGGGATGGACTGGTAAATGACTTTAGATGGCAGTGAGAGGGACACACTGCAAGGGGCAGTCTGAGAGGGGAATACAGGAGCATCGCTAGGCTGCTCTAACAGCTGCTCCAACTAGCTCCACTCTTCCACTTGGGGTCTCTTTCCAACAAGAAGCAGGGGGCAAGCACCAACCCAGGAGCATGATGGGGACACCTCAATGCAGCATTAACTGGCCAGCAGTGGCCAGCAAAGTTGTCACCACCCAGCCTCGAAGAGCTCAGTCCAAACAAGTCAATCCCAGCAGTGTAAATGCACATCAAAATGGATTACGCCCAGATATATTTTAGCTCTATTTATTCTAAGAGTTGGAATCAAAACTAGCACAGTAGTTAAGAGCACGGTTTTAGATTCAGGCAGGTCTAGGCATGGATCTCAGCTTTGCTATTTGCTGTGTGACTAAAAATAGGCTCCTGAACCACTCTGAGCCAATTTCCTCATCTTCAAGTACTGAAACACCACCACATTCATCATGCAACATGGGGGTTAGATCGGCCAGATGAAAATGCCTCAAAGGCAGTGGTCTGTTTAATTTTGCAAACCCTACCCCCTAGGACACATTCTCATACAGAGAGTACCCAACTAACAACAGTTCAATTTATGATTTCTCAACTTTATGTTAGTGGAAAGCCATATGCATTCAGTTAAAATCGTACTTCAAATTTTGAATTTTGAATTTTGAACTTTCCCAGGCTAGTGATATGTGGTAGGGTACTCTCTTGCAGTGGCAGCGAGCCACAGCTCTCAGTCAGCCATGCAATCAAGAGGGCAAACAACGCATATTCTACAGTGTATTAAAAGCATTTTCCACTTAAACAATGTTTTCAGTTCACCATGGGTTTATTGGGATGTAACCCCCATCGTGTATTTGGAGGGGCATCTAGTACCAGGAAACCCAGAAAAATTGTTTGCTATCCTGATCTATCTGGATGATGGAGCTACCTATACATGACTAGGGAGGTAGGGAATTACAACTTTTTTTCTACAGTGGCTTAAAGCCACAGCAGTAAAAGATGTGAAATTTAAATTAGAGGGCTTTGCTCTTCTTCTAAGCAAATAAATCTTCTTGGTCAGGTCTTCGCTCTGTGGTTCACAGAACAGATGGTGGAGGATCAAGCTGCAATTGGGTGTTTCAAGGAAAAGAATGAATGCCCTTAAAAACTGGCTTCCCCACCCTTTCCTGGCAGCCACATAACAGAAAATACTTGAGTGTTAAAAATACACACACACACACACACACACACACATTTTAAAAATGTTTCCGTGTTGAGTCTAGCCAAAAGTAGCCCGAGGTTGCATCCCAGTTCTGCTTCTACCCTGCTACAGCACATCTGGCAAACTCTCACTTCTCAGGACCTTGGTCTCATCTATAAATTAGGGAGTGTGTTGGGTCACCTCCTGGTTACTAGAAGAGTCTGATTCCAGGTTGTGCCCTAATAGCTTGTGGGGCTGAGCTCTTAGGAGATGGTCTCCCCCATGCTCACTAGGTCTGGTTAGATACTGCAACCTAGCTTTGAGGATGTACCCAGAGACCTGGGGAGGCTTCCAGAATTGAACTGTATCCTCCTTGGTCTCAAATTTCTATCACTTTACCTGAATAGAAAACCTTAAACTCTGCTTCAAACAGTATTTTCTCTTGAATTTCAGTCTAATCATAGCTTAACAATATTTAAGGTTGTAATAATATTTAGGACTATCGAAGAGCACCCTGGGTATCAGTTTTTCATCTCTCCCACCTATCATCCAGTATTGTCGGTGAAGCATGAAGTCTGGTATCTGGATCATAGCAGAAGCTCAATAAATATTAACCACAGCAAAACAGAAAAGAACTCAGCTGCAACCAGAAATACACAGAAATACACCAGAAATACACAGAAATACTCAGAAATACACAGAAGAACACAAAAGAGCAGGCTAAAACACACTTCATGTTTTAATGTTCTGTGGTTTACTCCTCACGGCCCTTTTCACTTTGACTTCAGGATAAGTTATCTTAAGGCAAGAACCACCACCACCACCACCAACAACAACAGAGAATGACAGGTGATAAAATAAATGCATGGCCCAGGAAATGTGTATTAAGCACTGTTCATAGCCATTCTAGCCCATGGATAATATTCTGTCATGTCACACGGAGGACTCAGAAGTAATAAATACATGTTTTCCAAAAGCTTCAAAGTATTTTATGTCTATAAACTATTAACTGGGTTGTAACTCTGGAAGTCAGTCCAGGCCCACCAGGATCATATATGTTATGTATCTGAAGTAAGTGGAAAAGATATCTAAGGTTCTTAATTTTACTTAATTACCATTTTGCCAGCCCATAGTATATTTCCTTTATAGGTCCTGATCTGCAGTCCAAATATGATTTGCACACCAAAATAATTGCATGTTTCTGCTCTCTCCAAAACCCACTAAACACACAGGGCTGCAAATCATTTTTAGCCAAAAAAAAAAAAAAAATGCTGGAGTAGTTTATTAAGCATGTTTTAAGAAGTTCTGGCAACACCAGAGGCTAAATTTTAACTTATTCCAGCTGAATTAAAAAAACAAAAAAAAAGAACTTTAATAATAACACACGAGGCACTGAAGAGAAAAAGAGAATCTTTGAGTTATCTTTTACCTAAAAAGTACTAAAATTCAGTTACTAAAAATTGCAAGAACATTGGGCAAAAAGTAAAGGTATGCATCAACCACAGTCCATCATTCATATACTTTTGCCCAGCCTTCACTGTTACTTAATTTGGGGCTGGAAGAGACCTTGGATCTCTTCAATATTGCGAACATAATATATGTGATCTCTTCAACATTGCAGTCACATAATATATGTGAGCTTGGTGGGCCTGGAATGACTCCCAGAGTTACAACCCAGTTAATATGTTATAGACATAAAATACTTTGAAGCTTTTGGAAAACAAAAAGATCTTGTTCAATATTGCAAACGCACTGACGCACGAGGGATCCAGGCTGCAGTGTTGCCTGGCATCATCTGGGGCCATGTGAGCACTGGAATCCCAGATTTCCAATTCTCCCTCCAGAGGTGCATGTGTTGCCTCCTTGTGGATGTCACCACAACACCCGCCATCTTAACACTCTTCAAGGTACTAAGTCCCATCTAGGGTGGTCCAGGTAACACGGGCTCTTGCTAGAACGGGGTCTGAATCCCAACTCCACCACTTCCCCCAGCTACCCAATTGCTATGGACTGAAGTATGTCTCCCCCAGATTCGTATGTTGAAGCCCTAACCACTGATGTGAAGTTTAGGGAGGTAACTAACGTTAAATAAGGTCATAAGGGTGGGTCCCTAATCCAACAGAACTGATGTTCTTACAAGAAGAGGAAGGGACATCAGAGATGAGTGTCCCAGACAGGAAATGAGACTGGAATGATGGACAGGGGCCAGGTGTGCAAGGAAGAAAGGAGTAGGGGAGAGAGGGAAGGAGAAAGGAAGGAAGGAGGGAAGGAGGGAAGAAGGGAAGGAGGGAAAGAAAGAAAGGGAGGGAGGGAGGGAGGAAGGAAAGAAAGAAGGAATGGAGAAGCCACGTGGAAAAAGCCAGGACAGGAAGGCAGGAGGCAATGGTCTCTGAGGTCATATCCCTTCTCTGGGCCTCCGTTTCCTTGCCTGGAAAGAAAATGGTTGGTAATGAAGAGAACAGATGTCTAGAGAAATCTAAGCCATCAACAACAGAGGATGTTGTTCGTGATGTTATTGTCGATGTCGAGAATGTTGTTGTTGGCTGGACCCTTTGCAGGGTCAAGGAGAAAGGGAAGGAAAGGCCTTTCAATTAGTTAGGACTCATCTTAACAACTCCTGGCCTGTTCTGCACGTCCTCCAGTTTCTGCACATTTGTCTCAGTTGTTGAACTATAAGGCATGCCAAAAGGAACTGGAATAATTTTCCAATTTCCACGCAATTCTCTTCTTTATGGACTATGTTCTCAGGGATGCTAGCTCATGAAAGTAAAATTCATATTGGCAAAATGAGTGTTTTACATAGATGTAATTGTCCTCTCTATCAAGTACCTAGCAAGGACATTTTTCTCAACATTAGGAAGGGCCTAGGAGGTCTTTTTTCATTACAGTGGAGCATGCAGTTTATTAAAATCAGTATATCTGTCACTTATACCATTGACCATGGAGGCTTAAGATATATATGTATATTTCTTGCTTCTAAGTTTCTCTTTCAGGAAGGAAAAAGGAATCAATTTCCCTCTGATTGACCTAAATGTCTATAGGTTCCTCGTCTTCTGTATCAGGGTCAACAAATTTTTCTATAAAAGGCCAGATAGACGGTAAATATTTTAGGTTTTGTGGGTTACACTATGTCTCTTCCAACGACTCAACTCTGCCATCATAGCACGAAAACGGCCACAGATGATATCTAAACAAATGCGTATGGCTGTGTTCCGATAAAACTGTGTTTAAAAAACAGGTGGTGGGCCCCTAACAAATTCCGCCCTATCATCTGAAATGGCAACAGCTTTGGCACAAGCTTTAATAAAGAGCACCACCAAGCTATTGCAACACAGTGTCTTGACCTGAACTGTCTGCATGGCCACGGACGGTGGCTCTCCCCAAGCCAGCTCTCAGGGAACAAGAAAAGAGTGAGCAAGCCTGCCAAGCCCAGGGACTCCTGGATGGAACTTTCTTTGGTCATTTTTGCCCACTGCTTACCTGTTGCCATGGACTTAATCTCATCAAGAACAGGGATGATGTTGGGTCTCAGTCGGTCAAGAATTCCGCCTCCTAGCACTGAATTGATACCTACATGCAAATAAGCACAAAGATGGTGAGGGTGGCCTCTGCTCATCTCTCCACCCCTCCCTCATTCTCTCCACACTGCCTCAAGCCCCTCCTGCTGCAAAACCCATTTGCATCCTGGACCCTGTCTAGGGGTTAAACTCGTGTATGGAGATTTCTCTTCAGGGTCTCCGCACCAACTGTTCCCCAGTGAAAAATTAATCACTACAGACTCACCAGGAGCATGGTGTTATCATCTTGACCTGTGTGTAACTCTCTGTGTATCTAACCTCTTCGGCTAGACCAGAGTTCGCACCTGGACTGCACTCTGGTGGGGGCTGTTGTGAGCATTACGGGATGCTTAGAGACATCCCTGGCTTTGACACGCTAGATGTTGGTAGCACTGTCCCCACCCCACCTTCACCTCATTGTGACAACCCAAAATGTCTCCAGATGTCACCAAATGTGCCAAACATCAACCCCCAGTTGAGAAGCACTAAGCTAAACCGTGGCATGCAGGGTTGAGCCCTCTCCATCCAGCCATTTCTGAAGCCACCGGTTTCTCTGAGGAGCTGGCTGCGTCTGTGCAGGGCACCTGGCAGGAAAACAATCTTTCCCTCACGAAGGAAATGGAGAATGAGAGCTTGTGACTGCAAGAATGCTAAAGCTTTCCAGTAAGTGTAAAATGAAAAAACAAAAGGTCCTGCTGCCTGTGAAACAGATGCCTTCGATGAGGGCTAGATTCTAATCGCTGAGTAACAAATGACACATTGGCAATAAGGCTAGGGAATCATCTTTCTGTCTTCCCCCAACTTTCACGTACGTCATTTCTTAGTCCATGTTTTATGGGAGATGAGTCAAAACAAAGAAAAAAAATGTGAAGCAACTTTAAATTTTACTCACTGTTCAGATCTGTGAACGCCTTGTCCTTGGTAGTGTTGTACTGGGCCAATATATATTTGATTTGCTGAAAAAAGAACATTCTGTGAAACCTCCCCTTCTAAGGTCCAAAGGCAATAAGAGGGCAAAAAGAGATTTAATATACAAAAGTTTTCCTGAATCAGGACATTTTCAGGTAACCAGCAAGTTCCTAGAAACCTTTCTGCTTTCTGACAAGTTGGAACCCATGAGCATCACACATTTAGGCTGCTTCCTGCCCAGACACTTTTTAAAACGATGTTCTGAATAGGTAATTCATCAACATACTTCTGGAATACAGAAGAAAGGGTACTTCCTCTCCCATCCCCAACCTTCAACCATCCCATTGCCCTTCTCTAAAGACAATTTGTGTGTCCGTGAGTATGTGTACGTGTGTGTGTGTATGTGTGTGTGTGTGATAGAGACTGCTTGTGTGTCCTTCCCAAGGAATTCGATATATCTATGCAGACATTAGCAAATGGATGTTTATAAAGCTGGATGGTTTCATTACAAGAGTAACTTTGTACAAGTGATGGAAAGTTAACTATACTGCCAAAAAGAAAGGATAATAAGGCCCAAAAACTTTCATTTTTTTAAAAAATCATAAGAACCTTAAAAGTGTTAAGTCCTTCTATAATATGTACTGTAATGTTAAGTTATATCTCAATAAAATAAAAACACCAATTCTGAAATTCGGCTTTTGTACTCTTGAAAATCACTTTCCAGGGCTTTATTTATTCATCCAGGACATTAACAGATAACACCAGTCTACGCTGATTCACTGTGTTTCTAGAAGGTTTGATTGAGATTCCAAATATACACAGGAACTCCAAAAAACCAAAAATATAAAGCATCGCGGTACATAGAGATGATGGTTTTTACCTCTGGAGTTTCATTCAAGAGAGTTCGCAAGTCCTTGAAATTGCTATCTGCCAGTTTCCGACTCCTTTTGATCCGGGTTCTTACCTGGTGATTTGCCACAAAACCATAGAAGATGCCAATGCTGCAGGAAAAGGCAGAGAGAAGAAAGAGCATTTACTGTGTGGTCCATGGTTCTTTGTCCAGGTCCAGGCAGCAGAGCAGGAGTCAGGGAGGAGCCCGCAGAAGGACTGGCCTTTCCTCTCCCGCTGCCCTCTCCTCCCACATCCTTCCCACCGCCATCCCACAGTCAAACCACCACCCACGTAGGGGCTACAAAACAGGACTCAGTCCTCTCAGAGGAGGCAAATTTCCATTCTGTTCAAAATGACTCTCGTCAATGGAACAATGTTCACAACAAATTGTGGAGGAAATAGGTGCAAAAAGGTTATAAGGCAGCATGCATGATCCAGTCCCATTCCTGTCCTCATGTGAATGTGTGTACACACCCTCCTGTGTGAACATATGCATGTGTGTGAACACACACACACGCACACACACACACACACACACTTCTGCTCCCTGACCCCCCAAAGAAGGCTATAGAAAAAAACATCAAAATGGTTAAGAGTACTTGGGCTTCTAAGGCTTTTGGTTTCTCTAATTGTCTGTTAGTGCCTGTATTGTCCAGGTTGGAAAGTAACATGAGTTACTTTAGCATTAAAATGGTATGTGAGAAGCCACATACAACAGAGCACCTATGTTTTATTTCATCTACAGAAAGTGCAAAAACAAGTGAAACGGTGGTGCTGGAAGTCAGTGGTTATGCCCAGAGCAGGGGTAGAATGGCAGAGTACTCTGTTCGTGGGTGGATTCACTTCATGGACACTTACGCATATGTACTTGTGAAAAGGACACTTTCCTCCATGTGAAATATACTTCAAAAAAAGCTGCAAAAACGCCATATGAAAGGCATCTTACAGGAAAGCCTTCTCTATGTGAAAAAACCAAAACGTCTTTTTTCAAGCCATCTAAAATGTCTAATGTAATAATTTTTAAGGGCTCTTACTGTTGACTAGTTACTAATAATCCTTTGACTTAAAATAATTTGACCAATTGGCCTGTTTTTGTGGCAAAAAACGTTCCATTAGAAGGTGCTAATTGCCAAGGTTCTGTTGAATTTGGCCACTAGATGGCAGTAAGGAACTACATAAACATAGCCGAACTATTTTTACCTGCAGAAGCAAGTAAAAAACTTGTTAGTTTGTAATCATCCAGTGGAAGATGTAGATATGGTTTTAGAACTAAAGTTTTGCAAATAATAGGCAAACTTTAAAAACATATCAGATGCAGAAAATCAATACATTGCCTCTTCAGCAAAAGCAATGTCTTGAGGCTTTATCGTGCATATAATTACGGGTAGGATGACTAAACATCCCATTTTTTGTACCTAAAATCCCATGTCCCATTTCTCCATCCTGGGTAAATGGGGACAGTTATTCACCCCACTTATAGTATAAATACATTCCAAGGAGCATTGGTTCATTACTGGTTTCAAAACATACTTTTCCTTTGCAGTATAACATAGGTCTATTAGGTTTCCCAAAATGCTCCAAAAAAGTTTATGTAATATAACGTTGAGGGATATTTCCTATGGTCAACAAGTTGCAGTGTACTGAATACTAGACTAGGGGCACAAGATTTGGGTTCTGGGTCCTGTCCTGCCACCACCGTACTGTACAAGCCAAAGAAAATCACTTTCTTTCTGTGGACTCCAGTTGGTACCTCCAAACTGAAAAGATCAGTTTAGATCTTTAGGTGTAATTAGATAAATTAGATCCAGTCTAACTTAGATTAGATAAGTGCTTCTCAAGCTGTAAAGGAGAGTAGTACTGGATGTACACGTTCTCTAAGATTTTTAAGTTTGGGTTAATTCTGATGGTAATCTTATAAAATAAATATTAACAATATTCTGTCCCATTTGGAATGACCGCCTTATAATTTGTCCTAAATTTGCATTGGTATTTTGGGAGTCAATGCACTACAGCAATAAGAGTTATGAAATCAGGCACTCATGCCAAAGAGGTCAAATGACTCAAAATAATGATTTTGGAGTTTTGTGAAGAAGAAACACACACACACACACACACACACACAAAAGTTGAGTCAGCAATGCACCTGGAGCTTGCTGCCATGCCAAATTCAAAACATGCTAGACCATGACAAGTCAGGCTCACCACCTGAACATACCTGATGTTCACAATGGGGACTCTTGCTCTCTCTTCCCAGCATGCCCAGATTATTTTATTCACTCGTCAGATTCCAGATACAAGAAGTCAAAGTGAACTTGGGAGAAAAGCACCAGTCCAAGTCCACTTTCACTTGACCCTCACTGACCCCTCCACCCATCCCCAAGAGGGAGAAGAACCTCCTTGCCTTGAACTCCCAGAGGCTCCCTTTAATTCTGATGGGATATGTCTCACTTCAGACTCTAATGTGTCTTTATTCTTATCTATGTTTAATTTTCCTAAAAAGAGGTGGAAACTACTTCTTTGTTAACTTTGTATAATGCAGTCTTGTCTACACCGGGTGCTCCAGGAAGGTGAGTTTAGGGGTCAAGCTTTGGTTTCATTTGGGCTATTTAGAAGACTGGCCGTATGTCTAAGTGTGAGTCAGAAACTGTCTTTGTGCCTTTATTGAATAAATGTCCTTACTCACAAGATCATCAGTCAGTGAAATGAATTGCAATACATTTCACTACAACACTCGATTTCAATGCTACATATTTTAGACCTACATTTCTACTAATCGATAATAGATCTAATTAAAATTAAAGCATTGATAATTTTTTAAAAAAACTGTACTAAGCTGGGTGTGGTGGCACACGCCTGTAATCCTAGCTACTTGGGACACCGACATGGGATAATCACTTGAGCCCAGGAGTTCCAAGTCCAGCATGGGCAATATAGCAAGACCCCATTATTAAAGAGAAAAAGAAAAAAAATCTCTACTAAGTATAATTATAGAGTAGAAGTTAGTGATTTTCAAAGCTGATTTTCAAACTAATGCACAAAGTAAATTTTGTATTTAAATTCTAATGCCTGTGTAAGCAGGCAGAAAGCATTAAAGAAAAATTGGGTAGCAGGGGGTCATGGGAGCTGGGAGATCAAAAATGGGCTGGAGGAGCAGCTAAATCTGCAGGTCTCAAAAGCACCACCATGATGGCAGATAAATATTACCGTATCTTCCCATTATCCACAAAAATCTGGGAATCTGGATTCTTATGTGAAATATCCCAATTTTTAAATATTAGCAACTAACAAAAAAAATTTAAATACTATGCAGACCAACTGATGGTCTCCATGTGCAATCTCAAATTTAAACCTTCTATTCAAACACAAATAAAGAACAAAGAAATTATGCTTTGAGGTATTGATTTAGACACTCCCTGTTGTTCAGTGTATTTTTTAGCAAAAAAAAGGTATGTGAATAAATATTTTTATTTGAACAACCTCCAGTCAATTATTAGAATACAATGATACCAAGAGACATTTACCTAACACAAAAAGGAAATCATATTTCAGTGAATATCAGTTCTCTGGCATTTGACATAAATGCCTTTAAACAATCTAAAACATATGCTTTTAAGCAGTACAACAAAATCTCTTAGAATTTTTAGCAGAAGATAGGAATTTTTATTTTTATGGCCTTACATCTTCCATATTTTATTATGGAAAAAACAATTTTCTCACATATACACTTACAAGCTTTTTACAGAGTAAGGCTAAACCTTACTTTTAAACCTTTACTTTAAAACTTGTAACTGTATTGCTCTTACCAATTTCTACTGATTTAATAAAATTAGCCAAAGAAAGCCAAACAAATGCTTTCAGTCTATAACAGCTCTCTTATTAAAAAACAGAAAAATTACATTTAAACTGTAAGTAACCAGACCTCATTCACATGAAGAAAGTTTCATGATTTTCAGGACTGCTACATCTAGCTCAATCTTTTTTCCACAACCTTGTAGCCTCCCATTCAGGAATTGGCAATCACGTCCTAGTATAAAATGAACTTTGAAAATAGCCAGCTTCCTGAAAATGACTGGAATTCAATTCACCATGGGAATTATTAGCAAGACTGGCTTATCATACTCAGAAACTTAGAAACATACAAAGGAAGTCAAGTCATGGTTTTTTTTTTTCCTTCCATAACCTTTATGAGAAATGCAGCGGTGACAAGCAAAAAGAAAGAAAGGAGAAGAAAGTTGGCTTTTTCTGGAGTAAGACACATCTGCTTAACAGTCTACAGTGAGGGGTGGAAATTCGATCTTGTGCTGATGGTCAAACAGACTGCATAAACATATGTCAGTGTCTACGGAATTCTCACATTCCACAGCTGCCTCTGGGAACCCTCAGAGAAAGAACATGCCCACGTAGATTGCACATCTGCTAGGGCATCTTTCTCCTTAACACCTATGTCTTCCCTTCACCCCCTAAAGAAAAGATTTACATTTTTTAAAATAAAAAAGGATGCTCAAAACTAACTTGAAAACCAACTGCATTTAATTGTAATATTTTGAGCCACAAAATGAAATTGAGTCCAATAAAAGGCAGGTGGACTGCTCTGGGTTTCTGAAAGAATTTTTTAAAAATCACATGCAAAGATTATTTCTCAATAGTGTCCCATCTCCGCTGAAGTCAATGTCAGCTAGAGGCCCTGCATTAAACAAGAGAGAGTCCACTCTCCTATCTTTCCCTCCACTTCCTTTCTTTCCCTTTCTGCCTTCCAATTTTGTTGACATTCTTGTCCTTCTTATTTTTATCTAATCTTCTGATTTTGTTGACATTCTTTCTTCTCCTGTCTAACTACTCATAATAGAGAAATCTTAACTTTCCCCAGGTCTTTAATCCTCCTGCCTAGCTTGGATTACTTGCAAACAATATGTAGGTATTATGCAACTCATGATGTTTAAGGTATTTGCAAACCAGTGGGGGTTTCAAAAGGAAGCCATTAAAATAGCTACCGTAAATCAAAAAGTTCAAGGCAAAGAAGCTTAAATTCTCATCAGAATTTAAAGTGAGAAAAAAAAATTCACACACTACTCTTATTTAAGCCTATTTATAATTTATACATAAATTCAATGTGCTATATGAAATCAAATTAGTTTTAGTTTTGTCACAATCTCAGTTGATCAATTTTGGTTTAATTATATTGAAATCTAAAATTACAATTTTCACATTAATGTTTTACTTGGGTGGGGAAAAAAATTGTTTTAACTGAATGTGTAGGAGGGTATAGAATCACAGCATGCATTTTTAAAAAGAATTTTCTAAATTAAAATATACTTAGAAAAAACATATATTGATTTGATAGGTCTGAGTTCTCAAGAATTAACAAAACGGTAGCTTTCATTTTATATATAAATGGAAGCCAAGTTTATTTTTTACTTTGTAGCTTTATTGTTGATATATTTTGGCATTTTCAACATAATGTAAATAACTCAATCAGCTGAGAGTGAACTATAACATGCATAACACATAACTATATGTAATGCAAATAAAAGTTCAATTTTGAAAAAGAAACCCATTGTAGTGGCTAGGCACGGTGGCTCACACCTGTAATCCTAGCACTTTGGGAGGTCGAGGAGGGCAGATCATTTGAGGCCAGGAGTTTGAGACCAGCCTGGCCAACATGGTGAAACCCCGTCTCTACTAAAAATACAAAAATCTGCCGGGCCTGGTGGCGCATGCTTGTAATCCCAGCTACTAGGAAGGCTGAGGCACAAGAATGACTTGAACCCGGGAGGCGGAGGTTGGAGTGAGCTGTGATAGCGCCACTGCACTCCAACCTGGGTGACACAGCGAGATTCTGTCTCAAAAAAACAAAGAAACCCAATATATTGGAAACCGATTATTACACATGTAAACACTTATTCAGGTAAATAAATAACTACATTCAATAAAGAATTTTCCTGAAATTATACTATATGTATTGACATCAAGTGAAAATTATTAACTTGTTAAATAAGTAATCATTCTAACTAGAAGCCCTAAGGGCAATATTTTCAGATGATGCTTTCACATCCGAGTCTCATCTTTGAGGTCCAGGGTGTATGGAGCGGGTAAACATGGCTGTGCAAGTGTCTAGACAAATGTGGCGTGTAAGTTTCAGGCTTACAGGAAACACACCAGGGATCCCTGGTGGGTTTGACAGGTTTCAGGGCTGTAACCGAGATTCTTCTGGTAGCTGAAAAAGAGGTAACTACCCCTATAACTAGGAGTCTGTGCATTCCTTAGAGTATATCAAATACAAAGCAGAGAGAGACAGGGACATTTGGAATGACCACTACTGACCTGATCCCAAACTGCCTCTCAAAATCAAATGTGAAAAAAATAGCAAGGATCAAATGATTTTTGGAGACACAGAGAAAGAGACAGACAGTGACAGAAAAATACAGAGAGGCAAGGAGAGACAGAAAAGGGAAGAAAAGAGAGAGAGAGAGGGAGAGAGAGATTGACAGGCAGAGATGCCCACACCCCAATGTCATGGAGACAAAACAAGTAACTCTCAGGCTAACCAACAATGCATGAAGTCAGCTAACACATTCACTTGGATCTTGTTTACACACATATATAGTTAAGGTCGATTATTCCACTATTATGAGCAAAAGTATGTCTTTGCTTAAATAGTCACTGCCCTGGAGTAAGTGGTAATGCATTGGCCTTTGTCTGTTGTGAAGATTTTTTTTGTCACTGTTCAAGTTTCAGTTAAGTTAATTCAATAGGTAATACCCGAGCCTGGTACATAATCAAAAGAGACAAAAAGCCCAGCTACAGCAAGAAATGAGTTTCCTTCCTTCCCCTCCACAACCCTCAATTTCCTTTCCAGAGGCAACCACTGTTGCCAGTTTCTTGTCAACCCTTTCACATCCCATCTGCTCTATAAAAATATGACCCAGTGCTTGTGTCTCCTTCCTGATCTTTTTTTTTTTTAACATAGTTACCATGTTCTACACATGGTCTGCAACCTGCTTTTTCACTTCATCTGTCATGGTGACTGGTATCAACAAATCCAGAGCTGCCCAGTCCTCTTCAATGGGTACACTGCATTCCAATGAGTGGTCACCCTAAGCCATACACATCTTATCAGACCCCTGCTGGTGGCCACACTTAAAGGCTTTCCTTCTTGGGTTTGCAGCTAGAACTCCAACTCACAGGACTTACTGTTTTCTGTTAAAATTCCTGAATATCACTTCCTTAGTAAAACTTGAAAAAAATCTTACGGCTACTGAGCACGTGTGGTGTTTGGAGAAACAACAAAGAGAATGCTGTTGGCCAACCCTTGCTGTGCCTTCATGTCATAGGCACATTGATTTCTGCTGCTGCATGAAACAGTGGCGGAATGAATGAGGAAATGTGGAACAATAACCAAGCAACATAACAAGGGAACACTGCTGTGGCGCACTCATCTTCAGATGAGCAATCTAATTTGGACTCGAAAAAACGTCATCTTAAAAGCAATGTATTTCTGATCTGCCAGTCAACTGGAAAACTTTTGAAAGCAGCAGACACTGCAGCAGAAATACCCTAAATCGTGAAGTGTGTTCCAGACTTAAGGGAGGGTAGCGGATTAACAGCACATAAAAGAAAAATGAGTTTATTATTAGAAAGTCAATTGCATTCTACAATATTTTCAAATTTCCAAATTCAGGGACTGCATCAGTCCATCAAGATTCCTTTGGACTCAACTAGCAAATCAACTTGCAGATCCATCTCTCTTTTCTGCATGCTGCCTGCCTGCAAATAGCTAATTAAGAGGAGTCTGCTGTGCTGGGAGGTAAGTCCTTTCTGCAGTCCAAGATTTCTCAGGATACCTTCAAGAGGAAAAAAATACCAAAGGGCTGGCTCATCAGCTCAGCTGGGGCAGCTTCATTACAACGCTAATGTCTGATGATAATGAGATCCTTTCGAATCACTCTAGACAAGCGCTTGTGCTCTCTCTTTTCTGTTTGGTGGGTTTTTTTTTCATTGTTGCTATTTTGTTTAGTTTTAAACTCATGGTTTAACCATAAAAATGTGAGACACTCTTCATCAGCCTAAAACACAATCAGTTGTTGTCCAATATTGTACTTGCCTTATTATTATACAAATCACCAACAGGGAGATTGCAAAGCATTTCCTCAGGAAGGGCCCATTTTCCTTCTGTCGCTGGTGCATTTCTCCACCACATTTGTTACAGCAACGACACATACAAAAGAAATACCCCACCAGAGGCATCAGAATAATAAACAGCAGCCCCAGGACACAGCATAGAATAATCCCTGCTTCATAGTAGACAATCTGCAATTCAAACAAAAGAAACAGCACATATTGTAGCACAAAATAATAAGTAGAACATTCCATGGTGTACAAAGTTCTTTTTTTTTTTTTTTTTTTTTGAGACAGGGTCTCGCTCTGTTGCCCAGGCTGGAGCGCAGTGGCGCGATTTCGGCTCACTGCAACCTCTGCCTCCTGGGTTCAAGCGATTCTTGGGCCTCAGCCTCCCGAGTACTGTATTTTTAGTAGAGACAGGGTTTCACCATGTTGTCCAGGCTGGTCTTGAACTCCTGGCCTCAAGCAATCTACCTGCCTCAGCCTCCCAAAGTGCTGGGATTACAGGTGTAAGCCACCGCACCTGGCCATGTTTCATTTTTTTAACCTATCTGCCATCATTAGTTGAATCTGAATGTGTACATATATATATATATATATGTATGTATTTTTTTCCATTTTGAAACTCCTTTTTGAAACAGAGGAAGCAGAGAATTGAGTAATTAAATACATGGCCAAGTGGTTACTGGAAGATGTCTTTCAACCCCTAGGAAGATGTCTAAATGCTAGTTTGAGCTGCAAATGGTTTAATTTTAACCCCAAAGGTATTTTGTTTGTTTTTAAATGGATCAATAAATCTTGGCAGGAGTACTTGCATAACAATCTACATATAAGGCGCTTTGCACACTGCAAAAATAGAAGTTAAAGATTCAAAGCACTTTGGATTGGCTGGCAAACAATTACTCAAGAATCTGGAATGTATCTTAATTTAGAAAAAAGGCTCAGACTCTAAGTCAGGCACGTTAAACACAGGCCAGTCACAAGGTTCCTCCTCTGATACACTGGAAATAATAATACGTACCTTGTCAAGTCATTGTGAAAATTAGAGATAACGCATGATTAGAAATAATGTGACAAAGGACCAAGCACTGAGTAGACACTTACTAAAGGTGCCTCTCATGCCATGCCCAGGAGCCAGATCCACAGTGAAGGACCGACCTTGGCAGTCCGTGTCTCAGACGGTTCCTGAGTTCCTAGGAACAGCACAATTTCTAGATACAATCATGTGACCTAAACATATTTTCATAATCACTGCTGACTTTATTCCGGGATAAACGAAAATTAATGCAACTAGATGATGAAACTTGATGTCATTCCAATTCATGCATGTAGCTGCTTATATTTCTAAAGAATGGCAGAAAATTGCAAGTTGGCAGTTTGCAACTAAATGGACAATCTAGACAGCTGCGAATTCTGAAGCCAAGCTGAGCAAAGGAAAATAAAACACGAGTCTTGTTCCTGGGAGCAAATGTGATGTCTTGGAGGAGAGACCTGCTTTACATCCCAGCAGGGGGCTTCCAGGTCCCTAAAGTGGATGGTGTCACATTAGCATTAACTTCATAAACATATTGTGAGGGACAAATAACTAAATGACTGAATGTGAAAACAACTAGCCAAGTGCCCAGCACACAGTAGATATTCAATAAATGGTAGTTAACTCTATGAGCAAATGCTCAAGACTAGTAAATCTGGTGCATCTGGCACTTGAATATTATCTACTTCCATATTAAGATTAAATTGCTTAAAAAAAAGAGTGGCTGAATCTTGCTGGGTTCATCAAGTATGTGCTCACGCTTAAGCTAACCCCCATCCCATGTCCACGAAGAGGCATTATTAGGGGACTTAACCCTTCCTCGAGGACCAATACCACTTGTCAGTTAAGAAACCAGCCCAGACATTCCAAACTCTTACTTACGTATTTTTCCATCATTTCTCAGCAAATATTCTAAATTGTTTACTATTTTAAAGAAATGTAAATTCTATCTGAATTCCAGGAGACACTGAACCAAAACCCAGGAGAGAAGATATATTGAAATGTTTTAAATGCACTAATTTTAGCTTTAAATACAAATTGTACATTTGATAACACAGCCTTTCTAATGTTACTGACTAAATATCAGGCAGTATCAGGAACAAGATACGGCATTTCAAGAGTTCACTTCTAGGCCGACTAGACGAAGGCCTGTCACTACTTAAACTGTTTTTTGATACACCAAGATCTTCCAGTGCTTTGTTGATTGTGTTGAAGATCAACATGTAAATATTACAGAGATATCTTTCTTCAAAGAGAAGGTTAAAAGTGATGGTAAAAACAGAAATGAAACGGATCATTTAAAAATCTTCACAGTGAGGATGACAGTGAAGAACAGAAAGGCTTTCCAAGAGCAACTTGAAATAGCAGACAAGGACTTTACCTTTAGACCTAAGATTACAGTTTCTGGCTGTAGAAGTCAACGCAGGTGAGGAATTTTGGCAGAGGCAGCATGCATCAAGAAAACAGACAGAAAAAGTTATGAGTGATCAACCATAACCAAGAACATTCATATCCCACAAGGAGGAAATTGGGTGATAGAAGGATAAACATGAGAAAGGAATATAAAACTTGAGTGTGAATTCAAGAAACAGTGTTTTAAGTTGCTCTGAGTTCTGAAATTTACATTTGCATTTACATTTGGATTTCCCAAAAGGTTCTTAATCCGTATGCTAATCGGTTACGCAAAGGAGAATTAGAGGGGAAGTTACAAATGCTTAACACACTAACCATGTGATCTTCATAAAATAGAGAATCAGATCTGAGAACTCCAGAACCAACGGCAGCATCTTCCCAAGTGCCCTTTTCTAAAATAAAAATCTGATGGTGTTATTCCCATGCTTAAAGCGATCAACGGATTCCCACCATTTTTATTCCAAACATCTCAATGTTTGATTTTAAATGTCCTTTCGTGGCAAAATAAAATTAGGTGGCTCTATGTCATTTTCTAGATCACTTTTTTGAAATATTCTGGTCCAGGAAATCTAAAAGTGTAGAAACTATTGCCTCAGCTGGCAGATCTTCACAGCTCTGAGGGAACACCATTTGTGATGGGAATCACTTTTAAATGAGGCATCCAAAATACTGGGACTGGGGGGCAGTTCAGATATACCTGCCTCTGGGGTCACACAGGGCATTTTAAATGATCCCGGTCTCCCTTTCTTGGGGAAGGGGCACGCAGGCTTGTTACCAACCAGGGCACAAGCTCCCAAGCTCACCAGACACAAAGAAGCACCTCACAGTGTGTGTTAAAGAAAAACATTGACTCCTGGGCTCCTCTGCTACAGCACATGAGTCAGAAGATATGGGTAAGACCAGGAATCTGTGTTCCCTGAGCCTCCCAAATAAACGACTTGCCCTGGAGTCATTGGTGTAGGGTCTGCTTCAGGGGGAACCAACCCAACACACTCAGCCTTTATCAGACTAAATCTAGTCAGAAAGCCCTCCTCTAGATGTGGCCTGGATCCTTTGGTGCCTTTGTTTAATTAACCTCTTTCTTTGGATAATGGTAGAAAGCATGGTCCAGTTCCACATCTAGAGTAGGAATCAGCTCATTCATGTGGGCTCAGTTCTGCATCTTCTCTCCACTGCACCCCCACCCAGAGTTTTTATTCATTTGCAAAGGCAAGGAAAGAGAGCAGGAGCCAGGGGTATAAACCAAGGTTATGGGAGTGCCAAATCTAATACCAAGTCAAGCACAAAGACCCTGCCAGGGACGGTGGCAGCCCAGCTCCAGCTCAGACTCACAGGTTCCTCAAGGCCACCTAAGGGTCTCAGGACCTCGTTCTCCAAGTCCCGGATCCCACTGAAGCACTGCCCCTACTCTCATTCCTTGGTTGGCATTCGGGCTGGCTAAGCATGTTATGCTAATTTTGAATATAAATATAAAAGCAACTGTCATTTTCTTCCCCCCAGAGATACAGGCCGACGTGACAATCACATTGGGAGATATAAATGAAGCCTGTGGCACTGAGGAATGAAAATGCTTTCCACGGTGCTGGGGAAGGCTGTGAGCCCTGGGAACAGCTCAGTTCATCTTCCACACAGTCTTCCCTTGCTGAATGTAAACAGCCTCTAGATAAGGCTTTCCTCTTCTGCATTTACTTTTCTCTTGAGTATAATTTTCTTGCAAGTTAAGAATATGATGAGGCCATTTGTAACTACCGTATCTGAGGTAACGATTCACTGGGCAAAAGGGAACTGCCTTCTCCCATGCCGGAAACACTAGCATTCAGATTTGTTGTGCAGGCCAGTAAAAAACGTCCACCTATACATCTGCTTACTGGTAGCCCGATAACCGCCTTCAAACCAGGAAAGGAAGGAACAAAGTGCTTTACTTACCGAGAAGGACTGAGAACCTGGCCAACACATTTAACTAATTTTTATTACCTTACATTCAGTGCTACACACTTTTGTCTGTTTGCTTCATGGGCAACCTACAGTCATAACACACCAAAATCGAAAGACCATTCTCCTGTTTAGGTAGGCAGTCGCAGAGGAGTGCATTGGCAGCAACTTGGGTAATAAGCAGAAAAATGCAAGGAGCCTTGATACTTTCTGAAAATACTATGGATTCACTCAAGAGAGGCGTTCAAGGCCCTCCCAGGATCAGGCCCCAACTTACCTTTTTTTCTCTCCCTCTGGCCAGGGGCCTGCTTCTTTCATACCTTGACCTCTTTGCTCACATGTTCTGAAGCCTGGAATGTGAGAAGAGCGCCCACCCATCCCACCGGCTCTGCCCTTGTATGATCCTTGTTACATTAACTAGATAAGGTCCCTGCTATCTGTCTTCTAGCCTCTTGAGACCAAAGGCTATCATCCTTATCTCCACCTTCCTTCATTTCTAGCCATGTCCTCACACAGCAGGAGCTTCATAAACCTTATACAAATGCAAAGCTACTTTTTAACAAACGATGTTTTATAACAGAGTACACAGTCACCATCTCTAGGAATTTTCAAACAATTCTACTTAATGAGGGAGTTCTCATCCCTCAGCTAAAAGAAAAGTAGCGTAATATTTCTTTTTGAAGAAATTTTAGTTTTTATTTATTTATTTGTTTATTTATTTTGAGATGGAGTCTCACTCTGTCACCCAGGCTGGAGTACAATGGCACCATCTCGGCTCACTGCAACCTCTGCCTCCTGGGTTCAAGCGATTCTCCTGCCTCAGCCTCCCGAATACTTGGGACTACAGGCGAGTGCCACCACGCCCGGCTAATTTTTGTATTTTTAGTAGGGATGGAGTTTCACCATATTGGCCAGGCTGGTCTCAGACTCCTGACCTGGTGATCTGCCCGCCTCAGCCTACCAAAGTGCTGGGATTACAGGCGTGAGCCACCACACCCGGCCTTAGTTTTTAATTTTTAAGTAACATACAACTTGAAAGGTTTTCTTCAAATGCCGCTTTTGAACTTTCTGCTATGGTTCAAATGGGATTTGTAAGGTGGTTCAATATTCCATGAAAGTTCTTAGTCAAAAAAGATTACTAAAATTGCAGATTGAATAACTGGTTATTTAAAGATTTACTTTCAAGTCAGCCAAAATTTTTCTCATACTTCGTATTTTTAATAATAAATACACCAATGAAAAATTACCTTGTCATAATCAATTTTGGATTCATATGCCTTCTGTAAGAATTTTCTCAAAGTATCTGGAAAAAAAGCCACAAAATAGCAATATTATTTTTTCAGTAAAATTATAAAATGCATATTTAGAAAAAGATCTTTATATGCTTAAAAATTATTATACCTATATTTCTATTATTCTTATAATTTTATTCTTATTTCTTAATGTAGGTAAATAATTAATGACCTCTAGCCAGAAGCCAAGAATAGAAGACAAATACTTCTGATTTACTATTTTGTCAGTGACAGAATTAGAGAGTTGTCATTTTTAAGTTAGTAATTTATCATAATACACCTTAATATTTACCAGCAAACCGCATACAGCTTATTAATAATCATTTATAAAAATTTTGCTGAAATTGCTAATTCTTAATTGTCTGGAAACACAAATGAAATTTATTGTTCAATAATTCCACATTTGCCTGATATTAATATTTTACAAAGGAATGGATGAAAGGAATCTTAAAATTAACTCAACCCGGCAGGATGCCGTGGCTCACACCCGTAATCCCAGCACTTTGGGACACAGAGGCAGGTGGATCACCCGAGGCCAGGAGTTCAAGACCAGCCTGCTCAACATGGTGAAACTCCGTCTCTACTAAAAATACAAAAATTAGCCAGGCGTGGTGGCGCATGCCTGTAATCCCAGCTACTTGGGAGGCTGAGATGGGAGGATCACTTGAACCCGGGAGGTGGAGGTTGCAGTGAGCCGAAATCGCGCCACTGCACTCCAGACTGTCAAAAAAAAAAAAAAAATTAACCCAACTCGAGTTCTTAACATGGGAAATCCTTCTCTTCCTGTCTCCAAGCAGTGCATAAAAACCTATGCAATGCAAACTGGAACTTTTCCATAAATACTCATTTAGAGTATTTGCAAATTCTCACATAGGCCTGGGACCAAAAAAGACTAAGAGCCACCTCTTAACCCTGAGCAGCCATCTAAGAATGATATGAGACAACTGAGACATGGACAGAGAGGGTGACATAGTGATTCGTGAGGAGGCCAGACCAAGGCTCAGGACTTCCTTCTCCTGTGCGGGTGCCTTCCCGCCACCTGTACACTCTCTCTCACCCCAGGAAGGAGCTTCTGCAGTGCTATCACTATATCCATCACGCCTGAAATGTACTAATGGGGGGGCAAACGAAACACTACATCAACTCCTTTTTTGATGCAAAAAAGTTCAGATTAACATATAGGAAAACAAAGCAAGCCACTTTCCCACAAGGCTTTCTGCAAAACAACTTTTCTCCTCTACAACTCAGAGATATGGGCTGATGTTTAAAGATTATGCTGCAGGAACAGAGATTTTCAAACTGATATGTACCCAGGGAACCCCAATAGTTTCTTCACAGTACCTCGGGGGCTGCCCAAGGACCAGAGGGACACTGAGGCTGTCTAATCCCCTTCCGACAACACAGGCTACTTCCCCCTTCAACCAGTCAGCATTACTTTGGTCTGTTTTACAGATCAGGCTTTAACATTTCATTGTTTAAAATTTCACTGAATGAAAGAGTCTACTGTTGATTTAAAAACTGAGAAATCATCTGTTTATTAAAATATACTTAGCTGCACAGCATAATATGTTGCAATTTGGGATCTTGATCTAGCAACGAGTTAGAAGGGAATCCAAGCTCCGCCACTTAACTGTGTGTCTAATCTTAGGTGAATAACTGCTACGAACATGCTCATGTGCAAAATAAGACGTCCCTACTCTCAAAGGACCACTTAGGGTGAAGTGAGAAAACATTTATAAATAAAACAGCACCGGGCCTGGCACACAGTGGGCACATGGTATATACCTGCTATCATTATATGAAGGAATTTAGAGCATGCAGATCACAGAACAGTATCCATGGTAAGTGCAGTGTGGAAGACTGTTATTTTGGCCATTCAATATCCATTCACTTTTTTTTTTCCCTTACAAAACAAAAGCAAACAAACAAAAACAAAATGAAAAACTTTGGATTTCTTCTGGGGAACTGCTTCTTCCATCCTCTCAGGCCACGTGGACTGGGGAAGCCGTGAGCCCAGCACCTCAAAGGTAGATCCTCACGGGTCTGAACCAGCGGGTCTCCAAGCATGGGCTGTGGGAATCCCCAAGACATGTTCAGGGTGTCCATGAGGTCAAAACACAAGATGTTAATTGCTTTTTTTGTTGTGTTGACATTTGCACTAGGGTGCAAAGGCGGTGGTAGATAAGAATGCAAGTGATTTGGCACAAATCAAGATGGCAGCTGATACTCATTATATTCTTTGCCATCAGGCACTCATGTTCAATAGTCAGTTACACTTAAGAAGGCTCTTGATAAAGCATTAAAAATTATTTTTATTAAATTTCAACCTATGAGTACAGCTCTTTTTATTATCCTGTGTAAAAAAAAATGGTAACTACACATAAAGCTCTTTCATATACATCAAAGTATAATGTGCAAAAAGCATTTGTGCAAGTGTTTTAAGTTGTGAGCTCAACTAGCCACAGTTTTCATGGAACACCATCTTTACTTGGAAGAAAAGTTGATGGCCAGGCACAGTGGCTCACACCTGTCATCCTAGCACTGTGGGAGGCCAAGGACAGAGGATTGCTGAGCCCAGGAGTTTGAGACCAGCCTGGGCAACTGGGTAACATAGTGAGACCCCACATTAGTCAAGTGTGGGGGCATGCACCTGTAGTGGGAGGCTGAAGTAGGAGGATCATTTGAGCCCAGGAGTTCAACTAAGCCACAGTTATGCCACTGCACTCCAGCTCGGGTGACAGATCGAGACCCTGCCTCAAATAAATAAATAAATAAATAAATAAATAAATAAATAAATATATATATATATATATATATGAAAGGCTGAGAGACAAATTGTGACTATTCAGACTTAGATATACCCAATCTCAGCCCTTAATCGTGGTTCACTGAAGGCTCAAATTCCTGGACTCAAGTTATCCTCCCCTCTCCCCTCAGCCTCCTGCATAGCTAGGACTACAAGTGCACGCCACCATGCACAGATAACTTTTTAATTTGCTTTTTTGTAGAGATGGTGTCTCACAATGTTGCCCAGGCTAGTCTTAAACCCCCGGCTTCAAACGATCCTCTCACCTTGGCCTCCCAAAGCACTGGGGTTACAGGCGTGAGCCACCGTGCCTGGCCAGCATTTTCTCTGAAATGAAAGAAGTGGAGCTTGCAAGTTTAAGAAGCCACTGACAGGATTTGTTGCCAATGATAAAACTAGAGCTTTCAAGCAAAAATCAGAATTTTGCAAAGTGCGTATCCACCACCATGAGCTTGACAGCATTCCAGTACTTATGCCTTTCTAACGTGATCAGTAAGGATATTAAAGAATTTTTGATACTATAAAATGAAATATGTCCACATTTGGGAGATGTGCAAAACTCAGTGAACGAATATTTTCCAAAAGATTCATGCATCATGTCACAAAAGCCTGCGTGGAAAAAGATCCATTCAAAGTGGAAGACAAGGAGGTGGGAGGAGGGTAAATGATTAAAAATTACTTAATGGGTACGGTGTACATTATTCAGGTGATGGATACTCTAGAAGCCCTGACTTCACGACTATGTGCTGTATCCACATCACAAAATTACACTTGTACCCCATAAATTTATACAAATTTAAATTTTTTTAATAAATAAATACAGTGGAAGACAGACCAGTGGCTGTTAATAGATCAAACTATAAAAAATTAATTCACATGGTTCCAGATTCCACATTGCAAATAACCTTTAAAAACTAGCACTTGCACAGTTTTAGTGTGGTATTAAAGAAAAATATCCACAATTATCTGAAAAGACTACTAAAGTACTGCTCTCTTTTACAACTACCTATCTCAGTGAGAGCAGACGTTCACCCTATACATCAACGGAGCTAACACCCAGTACCTCAACGGGAGCAACCCAGATACAGATATGAAAATCCAGCTGACTTGCACTAAGCCAGATGTTCAAGAGATTTGCAAAAATGCAAAAACCAATGCCACTCTTCTCATGATTTTTGCTTTTGGAAACTATAGTTATTTTTAACAAAATTAAGTTATTTATGGAAAGGGTTTATTATCGTTCTTTTTAAATGAATTGACAAATATATGTTAAGGTGTTCTCCATTTTATCTTCAAATATGATAAATATTGATAAACAAAATCTCTCTGGGGCCCTGAATAATTTTTAAGAGTTAAAGCGGATCTGAGACCCACAGTGTGTGAGTGAGACCTTCTGGTCTGAGCCAAGTAACATATCCACCCAACCCCTATAACTTGGTTTAGGAGTCAACAGATAATCCAGCTTCAGCCAGTGAGAGACAGACTCAACAGACTCAAGTCTTGGCTTTTCCTGCTTTTTGTTTGTTTTGTTTGTTTCATAGAGATGGGATCTCATTCTGTCACCCAGGCTGGAGTGCAGTGGTGCCATCATAGCTCACTGCAGCCTCAAACTCCTGGCCTCAGCCTCCAGAGTAGCTGGGACCACAGGCATGCACATCACACCCAGCTAAGCCTTGGCTTTTTCCGGGGAGAAATGCTCACTAACACCACCCTTCACCAGGCCCCTGCTGGAAAGGACGTTGGTCTGGAGTCACTGCCACAGTCCTCCAAGCGCAAGGCAAGAGACTGAGAATTGAAGCCCCACATGAGAACCAGCCCTGGCAGCATCACGGGAGCCCCACTTTGAATGGATATTTTTCTGGACTGCACATGCTGAGAAGGTGGCAGGGATGTGTACTGTAGCCCGAAATACAGAAAACAAGGGGAGCCTGCTCTTGAGAGCACACAGGTTGCCCCATGACGCTGTCTGGGATGTGGTTCTGCGCCTCTCCATCCATTGCTCTGTCCATAGCTCTGACTGCCAGCCTCTCCAGGGTGTGTGGCCTGGGAGTGAGCAGCCCTGTGAACTTCAGTATGGACCTTCTGTGGCCAGCAGCCAAGTCTGCAGAAATGAGTTCTGGAACTCAGGGCCTCTCTGTCTGTCTCCCTCTCACACACCCCCCAGGTCAGGGGACAGCGCTGGCAGGATGTCTTAGCTTCGTGGGATTCTCTTGCAGTTTCTCACTACACTTCAACAGGACATGCAGCAGGAGCTTCTCCAACAGGCTGCGTGCGTATGTGTGCGATTTATGAGTTTTGTGATGTCTGAGCCACGGAAGTAAGCTAAAATAAGAAATGTGCCTTGTGCAGGACCCATATATTATAACAGATCCGTCTTCTTTATGTGAGTCAAAACTCATCTTTGACTAAGATATTTCTGTTCCCAAACTGGCTTCTCTGAATACATATGTAGATTCTGGCCTAAGCTGGGCCTAGTGAAATTCTATCCCTATAATGTTCTCTTGTAAAATGAATAGAGAACTTAAAATCCCCTGTTGTTTGCAGTAGATTTATCAGATTTGTGCCAAGCTTAAGTGCTCTTGGAAAGATTTTGCTGATAGTGTCTGTAAGTCAGCTTGCTTGGGCACTTGTGTTTACTTAGAAATGTGATTAATTAAGAGCATAAATAGTGTTAAGTGCCTCTCTGCGGAGAGACCACAGGGTCCCTCTTTTGCCTTTGGTGGCCCCATCTTAAACACACATAGTTCAGGGGGTCTTGCACGTGGCTCTGTGCTAAGGATTTAATATGTTAACCCATACATTAAAACAACACTGTTCAAGTGAAAGAGATTATTCATATTTTCCAAAAAGACACAGAATAAAATAATATTCAATTTAGAGACTTGCAGAAACTAGGTTTGTACATGCATCATTTTTGTAAATTAAATACTAATTAAAATGCAACTATAATTGTTTCTTTCCAGGCATATAAGACTTTCTGCAGGCACTTCCAAATAAATTTCACAACTTGCCCCTATCTAGACAAAATTCCTGAGGGGACAGGGGGAAGTAGGCAAACCAAGTAGAACTGACAAGCCCAGAAAAAACACAAATCTACATGGTTCAAAAAGTGGTAAGTCTCTGGCTGTGCTGGCATTACACAGGCTATGGAAGATTGAGAGGCATCTTGCCCCAAGAAAAGTGTCCAGCACAGTGCCTGGTATATAATATACGGAGCACTACAGATGCTAAGAGACATGTTAGCCTCTCCCACCTCTACTCTGGGATCCCACGGCCTTCAACACTCCACTCTTCCCTGCCGGCCCTCAGCAAGTGGCACAGAATGAAAGTGTCCCGTGCCATCTGTGTGTTGCCTCTTCCTCCTTGACCCACAGCCCGACTCTATTCCCCAGCTCTTTTGCAGCTAAGAGGGACCAGGGGACTTGAGTTCTGGCCAGCGGAACACAGATGGACATACACGCACACCACTTCCAGGCCTGGCCTCTGAAACCTCCCAAAAGACCCTGCATGTTTGCCCTCTTTATTCTTCTCTCAGCCAAATACAGAGGATCCAGTGGAGAATTCCGAAGCCCAAGTGGCTGGCAGAACCATTAGGTAGAGCGAGCCGCAGTCCCCAGACCACACCACCCAACTCACGGCAGCCTCTATGTTGGACTGAGCAGTGAACCACAAACATTTTGTACTGAGATTTGGGCTTGTTTCTCTTAGCAAAGGGTGTTGCTTACCCTAATACAACACACCTTACCGAATTAAGACCCCCAACATTTTCTAGCTACGTGCCTCCTCTACCAGTAGCCTATCCTGTCAGCTTTGACTAAACAAAGAATGAGAAAAAACAAAACAAAACTTTTTTTTCAGCAGAAAGTAAACATACACATGACACATGCAGAGACTCACTGAAGCTTATAGACCAGCACCCACATACACTGAGATTTTTAAGACATCTTCACTGAAATATATGAATTCCTGTATTCATAAAAGAGAATGCATGAAAAGGTACTTGCACTCATAAAAATCATGACCAAATACAGTGGAGCATTGCTCAGATGAATCACTCTTCCCGCCTGCTTCTCATTCATGGTCTACAAAGCTTGGAGAGTCATCCCAGGCCTGAGACACATCCAATAAGCCTACCAACTGAATTGTCCTGATCTACAAAACACATGTTCATAACCAGTTTAAACCACCAATTCAAACAAGTCTCTACTGCCAAAATACTTAAGGAAAATGTTCTCAGGTAACAGTGTTATCCTGGGAATAGTGCATCAGATAGGGGTCAAGGCTAAGTTGGCTTAAGATCTCAGTAGAATCTCCAAGAGTTATGAGTACAAATGGCTGGTAAAATGAGCTGGGAGCACCAGCTTCTGGGTCCAGCCTGCCCTTTCTGGAGGAGAATGCAGATTTAACTCAAGAGGCAGAGCCAGTTGGTGAAAATATAAACATTTACATGGTTTATATGTGGCCACCAGCACTTTCTCCAGGGTTCCCATATGGAAGGGATCTTAAATTACAAACAGAGGTAACTCTCCCTCTGAGTCTTGTCTTCCCTCATTGGGCTAGGCCCGCTGGGTTTTGTTTTTATGCTTTAGAACTTCCTGATTCCACTTTCCAAAATGAAAATTTGTCTTCTTTAGATAGGAAAATACCTCATGACTTTAAACAAATTCAGAAATGTCTAGTTATTTGCATAGCTTAACTCAATTTACCTTTCATCAAGGAAAACAATGTTTAAGGAGCCAATTCATTGCCTGAAAATGTTTAAATCTACATTGAATCAGCGTAGGAGATATAATCACTTCTGTTAGGTTGATCGGAAAAGAAAAAGAAGGAAAACAACCCTTAGATATTTTATTTTAACTTATTTAAGACATACAAATACACATGCATTTGCCTCTCATCTGGTGCAAAGCCAGTCACTTCAGCTCCAAATCACAAGCTCGAGGGAGACAAGAATGACCCCATCGACTCACGGAATCACACTGTCTACACAGAGTGGGTACTTCAGAGACAGCACTCAGTCATCACAGACTCTGTCTCAAGACACAGGTGACTTTGCTCATTTGATTCTTCGGTGACTAGAATAGGCAGAGGGCTAGGCCCTCATCCAACCACGCACTCCTTCCCACCCTCATTCCCAAACACTGGGAATAACTGCCTGTGTCTGTCATGGTTCCCTAGAGAGACAGAGCCAATAGGAGACAGTAATATAGATATTCAGAGACTTATTCTAAGGAATTGTGGGACCTCGCAAGTCTGAGATCTGTAGAACAGGCTGGCAGGCTATAAACTCAGGTAGGAGTGGACGCTACAGTCTTGAGGCAGGATTTCTTCCTCCTCAGGAAACCTCAGTTTTTCCTCTTGAGGCCTTTCAACTGATTGGATGAGGCCCACCCACTTTATCAAGGGTACTGCCTTTCTTTTTTTTTGAGAGAGAGAGAGTCTCTGTCGCCCAGGCTGGAGTACAGTGGGGCAATCTCAGCTCACTGTAACCTCTGCCTCCTGGATTCAAGGGATTCTCCTGCCTCAGCCTCCCAAGTAACTGGGATTACAGGTGCATGCCACCACACCTGGCTGATTTTTGTATTTTCAGTAGGGATGGGATTTCACCATGTTAGCCAGGCTAGTCTAGAACTCCTGACTTCAAGTGATCTGCCTGCCTCAGCCTCCCAAAGTGCTGGAATTACAGGTATGAGCCACCATGCCGGGCAGGTACTTACAGTGTCTGGCCGGTACTGCCTTTCATTTAAAGGTTGCAATTAGTTTCATCACAATTAGTTTTGTTACAATTAGTTTCGTTAAACTAGTTGTAGATGTTAACAACATCTATAAAATACTTTTAGCAGCAACACTAGATTAAGGTTTGTTTACGTCATCATCTACTATAGCCTGGCCTAACTCCACCCCAGCCAGCTATTGCTCCTGCTGGATGGTTATACCTCATGGGTGCTGGAGCAGAACACCTCTGAGCAGCTGTGTTTCAGAGCAGGTAGAGGAACTATCATTAATGACAACTGCTGACAACCTGAGCCCCCTACCAAGCAAAGGGCAGCAATCGGGGCCCAGTGAGCACAAGGGCAAGAGGCCACACATAGTCTCTGAGGACAAGGATCTTGAATGCGGATCCTTAACCATCCCCCTTAAAAAGTTGATTTATATTTGGTGTGCACTCAATTCAAAGGCCTGAGTTCAAATAAATGCCTTTTGAAAAGACTTCCATGGAAAATACTAGAGCCAAAGAAGTTTGTCACTTGAAGGGTTAAGTGTGGCTTCTCTGAAAAATATACTTATCACCTCCACCTTCCAGCACTCCCATTTGGTTAAATGTGTTCATTATTTATAATGAAGTGAACACAATCTGTCCACTCCTGGGCTCACATTTTCCCATGGCTGGTATGGGTGAAACTGAGACCAAATAAGTGATTCTGGGGGGACCCAAACAGTACGATGGCCTCGGGTCCTGGAGTTCACCAAATTTCCTGACTGAGCCTATTTCCTTATGCTGTGGCTGAGTTGCACCTGTCTGAGTTTAGTACCTGAGTGATATGCATTGAAAAACCATTTTCTGCTACAACAGGGCTGTACTTTTCAGTTTCTCAGAGCACTTTCGTTAAACCCTTCAAATCCTCACATCCACATGACTAAACTGTTCAGTTTGGTTTTTGATAAAAGGATTGAAGCTTCAGACTTTTAGAAGCCAAGCCATATTTATCAGACGTGTCGAATGTATCCCCGGTGCCTCCACAAATATAACAAAGTACCCTGGAGAGGGAGGTCTCCCTTTTTTTTTATTTAAAATGCAAGTTGAACACCTTTAGGGTACTTTTTTCCTATATCAGTTCCTCTCCTTTAGCTGACTGGAGTGGCTTCTCCCTGCAGGACTGACACACGTTGGCTTTTACTAGAATTAATGGTGGCACGAACTCACTCTGCAAGTAAGGAGCTCAGAAAACATGCTGCCCGGGAAGCTATTCCTGTGAAAACATCTGGACCAGTCTGGCCTGTGTAGCTTCCTGGCAGCCATGTGCTCACAGCCACGTGTGGACTGTGATTTTACTTTACCTGGATGTAGCATGTGGTACAGCCCAGCCCGTAACTGGGAAGATTATCATTTCCAGTTCCTTTAGAGGAAGCGAGTACTCAGGTTGCACAGGGTGAAGGGACGCTCCAGGGATCTCCTGGAGCCTGATATCCTGACCATTGCAGTGCAGCCACCCTGATGATGGGGCGGCTGGGCTGGGGCTCCCCGACAGTGCGATGGGCCATGGGCCGGGTTCCTGTGCTGCCGCCCCTGGAGAATCCAGAGAGTGGGGGTTAAGGACCACTGCCAAAATATTTGTGGATTCCGACGGCATTTCTTTCCCTAAGACATTCCTGGAAAGCATAATTCCATTTACAGCCTTTGTCCCTGCTGTTCCTGGGGGAAAGATTACTGGGAGGACCTTTGAAAGGAATGTTATTTGAATCTGTGTGGAGGTCCATGTGAGATCACAAACGCTGCTGTGAGAATGTGAATCAGCCAAACCCTGTTCTGTTCTACATGGAAAAAGGCTCAGCTGTCAACAATGGCTTCCCCAGGACAGGCAGTATGATTAGAAGCAGTTGTGAAGGGGAAATGATTTTCCTTATATATAGTTTGAGCTCACGTAAATTTGTTTTAATTAAATGTTTAAAATAAAATAATTTTATTAATCTGGTACTCTATCTCCCTCTCCCCCCACCCACAAATAAGAAATACGCACTTCTTGACAAAACAAAGTTAAAAATGCTGGTTCCTGTAAATCAGATCTCACCATATTCTTATGTAGGATATGTGACCTAGAACAATTTTTACAGTATTTCAGCATGTAGTGTTTGTCATAAGAAACTTACCAACTACCAGTCATAATTGTACTGAATAAGAGGACTCTGATCTCCTTAAATTTATATATATATATAAGATATGTATATATAGTTTATTATTATATTCAATAGGACATGAACAAGATGATGAATTTTTTCTTGTAAATTGATGTGGATGGTCTGCCACTGCAGGCTTCAGCTTCAGCATTGTCTCATTCCTTCTTAAAATGAGTTACCCATTTGCAAACTGTGATTTCTTTGAGGCATTGTCCCCACACAATATGTGTAAAGCATCCATTATTTCACTATTCTTCCACCCAAGCTTCACCATAAATTTGATGTTTGGGCAGGGCGCGGTGGCTCACACTTGTAATCCCAGCACTTTGAGAGGCCAAGGTGGGCAGATCACGAGGTCAGGAGTTCGAGACCAGCCTGGCCAACATGGTTAAACCCCGTCTCTACTAAAAATACAAAAATTAGCCGGGCGCGGTGGTGGGCACCTATAATCCCAGCTACTCGGGAGGCTGAGGCAGGAGAATCCCTTGAACCCGGGAGTCAGAGGTTGCAGTGAGCCGAGATCATGCCACTGAACTCCAGCCTGGGTGACAGAGCAAGACTGTCTCAAAAAAAAAAAAACCACACACACACACACACAAAAACTGATGTTTGTTCTTGCTTCAGTTTTAGAATTCATGTTGCACTGATACAGGGTGTTTGTTTGGTTTTTGTTTTCTTTGAGACAGGGTCTCAGTCTGTTGCCCGTGCTAGAGTGCAGTGGCACGATCATGGCTCACTGCATACATGATCTCCTGGACTCAGGTGACTCTCCCGCCTCAGCCTCCTGAGTAGCTGGGACTACCGTCATGTGCCACCACATCCAGCTAATTTTTGTATTTTCTGAAGAGATGAGATTTCGTCATGTTGCCCGGGGTGGTCTCGAACTCCTGGGCTCAAGTGATTTCCCCACCTCGGCCTCCCGAAAAGTGCTGAGATTATAGGTGTGAGCCACCATGCCCAGCCTAATCCAGGCTATTTTAAAACTGATGTCTTATCCTTCTTAGTGAACCAAACTAGTACCTATTCAGATATCTTAGAAGAAGTTAATATAAGTTTATTCTGATGCAAAAAAATTTTGAAATCCATGCATAGTTTTTTCCATATACACATTTTCCATGAACGTTTTGAAATCCCTTCATATATTTAATGGCATGGTCAGACTATATTCCCAAAAATGCTTAATAGGCACAAATACATTTCAGAGTCTGTACTGCATTCTAAGGATACAAGGATGACAAGATGCAATCCATGCTGTTAATAGGCTCACTGCCTACTGGGAAGACAGATAGTAAACAAAATAAAGTAGGTGTGCTGTGTGGGGAGATGCAGGCATATAAGGCTCAGCATCAGCTGGCTAGGTTGGGAGAGTTATGAGGAGTAAAGACTTACTAGAGCAGATAATATGTGAGCTGCGTCTTAAAAGAAGAGTAGAAATATCCAACTACTAAGTGAAGGGAAAAAACTCCAGGGACAGGGAACAGCATGTTCAAAGTTATTCAGACATGAGACAACATGACAGGCTGAAGGAAATGCAAGTAACTGGCACTGCTTAAATAAAAATGCCAGGATGGGAGATGAGGAAAGACAGGCAATTACCATAGCAGTTAGGAGCAGAGAACTCCAGCCCTGCTATTTAATGGCTGTGTGGCCTTGGGCAGGTGGCTTAGCCACTCTGTGCCTTCGTTTCCTCTTCTATAAATGTTATGCCATTATTATCACTAACAACCTTTTGAGTGCTGGGAAACATTAACAAATGATCAGCTGTGAACTCTCTAACCACTCTAAATATCCATCGTCCTGTGAGGTGAAGAAGGCACCTATTGTGTGCCAAGCCCTCTCTGAGCACGGAATGAGTTGATTTTACGCTACAAGATGCTGAGTGTGGGGTTTTGGCCACAGGTTGAGTGCAACACGTAAGGCCTCATCAGGATGTGCTTTGTGAGTTCAGACTGTAAAGTGTCTTCCCCTTTGTGCCCAACAGCAGAGCCACTAAGGCTGCCTGGTCAGGTGGTCAAGACCCAGACTGTCTTTGGACACGGAATGGTTTTTCTCCCAGCCGAGCAAACTGGAACCAGGTTTCTGACCCTGGTTTAATGAGCCCGGCATTTTAACAGAGTCTTCCAATTATTCATCGCAGCTGAGAGCAGAGTCAGAAACTCCAAATGAGACTGGGATTTGTAAGAACTCGGTAGCCCTCCAAGAAACTTCCTAGAATCCAATACAAACATGACATCTTCTAATTTGCTTTGAATCTCTCCTACATAAAGTTCTATATAATGTCCGAAAACAAAACCCCAAATGAAAAGGGAGGGAATGAAATGCCCAAAGGCTACCTTCTTTCAATCTAAACACAAAACAAACCAGCTTCTCTGTTGGATCTATATCTACGCCTGTTTATGAGCTATGGGATTGGAAACCCACAGCCAGTGTGGAGATGAAAAGGAATGCTTTGTGAGAGCTGAGCCTGAACGCTCGTGAACCTCCACTGAGAATGCCAGGCTAAATCAAGCCTCCTTGGCAACTGAAGAAGTACCCAGCCTTTCCGACTGCTTCTACATCTCCACGTCTCCAGCCTTACTCACTGCACTCCCACAGAATCCACAGCCCTGAGCTCTGTTCTGGCCACTCACAAAATCACCATCAGGTCCTTGGGAGATACTGAAATAAGCAGATTTCCCCATTTCTACAACATGGTATCAGAATGCTCCCGACACAGCAGAATGCCCCCTAATAAATGGAAAAGAAGTGACAGAACACCACCACTTTACAGCACTATAGTAAATGCTTTATTTTTTATTTCTTGAGACAGAGTCTTACTTGGTCACTCAGGCTGGAGTGCAGTGGTGTGATCTCGGCTCACTGCAGCCTTAACCTCCCTGGGCTCAGGTGATCCTCCCACCTCAGTCTCCTGAGTAGCTGGGACTACAGGTGCACAACACCAACATGCCTGGCTAATGTTTGTATTTTTTCTAGAAACGAGGCTTTGCCGTGTTGCCTAGGTTGGTGTCAAACTCTTGGGCTCAAGTGATCCGCCTACTTCAGCTTCCCAAAGTGCTGGGATTACAGGTGTGAGCCACAGGGCCTGGCGGTAAGTGATTTATTAAGGCAAGAATAACCTATGAATGCTAAAAGCCCTAGGCAAATGATTGTTGGGGAACAGGATAGTATATGGAAAAATCTGGAAGACACTACCTTACCCACATTGTTAATTTCACCAGTAATGAGACAAATTGACATCATGAGCCTCCTACTGTGATAACAGTGAAAGGGCATGTCATTTATGTAGTGCCACAGACGAAATATTTAATTTGAATAAAAGCTATAAAAAAATTAATGTAAATATTTGAGAAATGTAAATATCAACTGTTTGGGAGACAAAAGTGTCATAACAATGCGAAATGTCCTGCATGTCATATTTGCATGTGGTTATGTAAGAAAATGACCTGAGGTGCATGCTGAAGTATTTCACTGTGTGGCAAAATATTAACAACTGTTGAATCCAGGTAGAGAATAAGCAGGTGTTCATCTGTACTACTTTTGCAATGTTTTTCAGGTTTGAGGTTATTCAAAATAAAAGTCTGAAATGAAAAAAGTTGTTGGACCTCTTTCTGTTTTTCTCTACAATCACTTTCCCTTTTCCAAACTCCACTTGCCAGTTAACCAGCTAACTAATTTTCCTCGTTTATCAAGCTCAAAACTTTTTGACTCAGTTTTGGAGAAAAACCACAATGTTTAAGAGTTTCTTTCTCCCTTGTTGTGATTCCGATTCAAGGGAAGGAAAGAAACAGTAAAAAAGATAACTGAGAAAATATGGGCACTAAACTTAATGATGATACTTAAGAGTAAAATAATTAGAATTCTTATTAACTTTGGTAATTTGGTAATGACACTATGGATAGTCAATATTCTCTAGAAATGCACGCTGTGGTGGGAGGGAAAATGACGTTATGTTTGGGTTTGCTTTAAATGCTTCAGCAAAGAAAAATGGAAAGAAAAGATAAATAAAGCAAATATGATAAAACCAAATAATTTTTTATCTGGGCCACTGGCATATGGGGATTCACTGTATTCTTTCTGGTTTTGAGTAGGTGTGGAATTTTTCATTATAGACAATTTATAAGGCCGGGCACAGTGGCTCACGCCTATAATCCCAGCACTCTGGGAGGCCAATGCTGGTAGATCACTTGAGGTCAGGAGATCAAGACCAGTGTGGCCAACATGATGAAACCCCTACTCTACTAAAAATACAAAGTTAGCCAGGTGTGGTGGTGAGCACTTGTCATCCCAGTTACTTGGGAGGCCAAGGCAGGAGAATCGCTTGAACCTGGGAGGTGGAGGTTGCAGTGAGCCAGGATTGTGCCACTGCACTCCAGCCTGGGTGACAGTGCAAGACTCTGTCTCGAACAAAACAAAACAAACTAATTTATAAGACGTCTTACCTCCCTTGCATTCCATCATCCAGTTCAGATCTCCATCACATCTACCCTACTTTTAATGAAGTCACTCACTAATTATTCTTTTGGCCTCTCATCTCTCTTCTACTCCATTCCATTCTATACAGCGCTATCAAGTTAATCAGTCTATCTAACCCCTTTTACGCGGCCTCCATCAATTGTCTTTAAAGCTACCCACAATGTAACCCTACCCTTCCAATTCAAATCAAAGTGAAATCAGGCTTTGGAGTCAGAGTGACCAAACACATATCTTGATTTGTCCAGACAGCCCTGGTTTACATCTGCTGTTCTAGCATAATCATTACCAGCGCTCTCTTTTATTCTCAAAAGGTGCCGGTTTAAATGACAAATATATGGTCACCATAAATCAAGTGATCCTGAGTTCAAATTCCAGGTCAGAAACTTAATGCTGTGTAACTTTAGCAAATTATTTAAATTCCCTGGGCCTCAATTTTCTCATCTGTAAAATGAAGGTAATAATACTCATCATTAAAAAATAATGTGTGAAAATCTTAGCAAGATGCCCAATACATATTGAGCAATTAATAGAGTTGCTATAATTATGTCTCCCTTCAAATGAGACCCCTTCAATCCAGCCAGATCCCCGACCTCCCAAAGCATGCCTTTGTTCATGCCCCCTCTGAGGTCTGCTGATGCTATTTCCCCACCTATCAAAACCCTCCCTATAATGGTCAGTACTCGAGTTCCGGGGGGGAAAAAAATCATCCCTATCCTCAAAGTTAAATGTGAGGTCCTCAGCTGATTTCCCTCATCACTAAATCCCTGCAACTCATAACTCACTTGTGACATTTAATGATCCACTGGCTTACATGTTCCCTGGACTATTTATTCTACGTAAATACATTTGTCTACTCTGCTAGAGAGACTGTTCATTCCTTAAAGCAGAAGATGTTCTCTCTGCCACACAAATCCTGTAACTCCTAACCCAGTGCTGTCCACCTGTAGCAATTGCTTAGTAAAACTTGCATGCCCCAAATGAGACATCTAAATGAGATCTAAGAACCTAGCATTCTCCTAGGCAAGACTATTTTCCTTGGAGAAACAAAATGTGGATTCATAATCACAGTACCATTCTTGATAAATTAGGCTGGTCATGGTGGCTTACGTCTACAGTTCCAGCTACTCAGGAGGCTGAGGCAGGAGGATCACTTGTGTGCTGAGATAACCTCCCAGGCAAAAATTCCCCTTGTCCTCTTTCTGGCTTCGTTATCCTACCAGCTCTCATTTGGCTGCAGGGTCTTAAATGAGCAGGCTTCTCCTATCTGGGCCTTTGTGTTCTCATCTACAAAATGGAAGTAGGGAATTGAATAATTATTTCTGATCGGAAGATCTCCCCAAACTCACAAATTCCCTAGAACCAAATAGCCTAATACCAATTCACGGTAAACAGCCTAGGGAAAGGGTTTTCGTCTGAAGAGAGGCTGTCACGGAATCAATAATAAAAAGACTAAGACTCTGCTACATAGCTAGGCAGAGGCATTTCACAGACAAACCCCTTAGAAAGGAAACAGATGTGAAAACGGTCAACCTTGACGGTAATGAGAAATATATATTTTTAAAAATGCAATGTCATAGCCTTTACAATTCCATTTTCTAAATACCCAACACATTACTAGTGGTGGCATAAACATCACAGACCTTCTGGTGGATTGATAATTCTTTCAAAAACTTGGAAATTAATCGTATCTTTTGGCTAAGAATGTTCTGGGAAAAGAATCCTAAACACAAACAAAAACATTTCCTGCATATCTAACCCTAGTAGAAATCTGGAAGTCAAAACAGGGAGGGGTGAGTGAGTCTGCAAGTGACTCTGTCCATATTCTCCATGAAGAGTAAGGTCTCTAGCTGGCAGAGGAGAGTTCAGGGTAGAGATTTGAGAAGAGAAGAGGACGTGTGCAAGCAGGGGGTTAGGAAAGAGGATTGACTGAGAAACAGGTCAGAGCTGTCAGGAGTACGAGCATCCTCGTGGGGGCTGTGGATATTCATTTAAGAGAGTCCAGCTGGCACAGTCGCAATTGTTTCTAGGAGCAGTCGGCCGCTTGGGTGTAGGCCTGAGGAAGTGGAGTAACCAGAAAACGCTGCAACCAGATTTAGGATTCCACCAAACAACAACCATGGTGGCAGAGGAGGGCAAGAGGATCTTTATAACGCAGGACTGTGGGTGCTCACAAAGGGAAGAGGAGGGGGCCCTGAGAGGGTACACAAGAGTGTATCCGCTCTTGCACGCAACAATTATGGGGTACTTGCTGCGTTGTGGGCACCACTCCAGATTCTGGGGCTATTGTATGGAGGAGTGAACAAAATCAATAGTGTTCCCCTCTTCAAGATGTTTAGAGTCTATCAAGTGAGATAAACAAATATTTATTGTAATACCAGAATAAATGCTATAAAGAAAAATGAAGCAAGGTGAGGGGTGTTGGGGTGGAAGACGATCTGTCCCTCTGAGATGACATTTGAGCAAAGGCTGGAAAGAAACAAGCCATGAAAAAAAAAAAATCGAAAGAAGAAAAAAAAGAAACGAGCCATGCAGAAGAGTCGTCCAGGCAAAGGGAATAGGCAGAGAAGCAAAGGGTCTGAGGCTTAGGAGCGTTTGGCATGTTCCAGGGAGTCGGCTGGCCTAGCTATTACAGGGGTTTGGGGCTACTACTGCAAGCTGCTGCCCATTCTCTCTGCCCATTAGGAGGCCCTGGCCATGGTCCAGGGGACTGGCAGCCTCAGCTGGGAGAGGGCAGTCCTGGTGGTCAGAAGGGGACAGATTTGAAATACACTCTCACACGAGAGCATGCGATTTCCATGCGAGCAAATTAGTCTTCAGGAAGACTGGCCTGCTCCTGTTTTTGCAATACAACGCTTAGGAAGCTGTCATTTCTGAAGTCAGGGAGCTATTTACTTGAATTTCAGAAGGAGATACTCATTTCTTCTCAGTTTTATTTCTATGCACAAGTTATATTTGGAATGGCTCTTTAAAGAAACACAATTCCTTGCCAGGCAGGCATCCGGGTAGTCAGTCATTTGTACACAGATCTGGCACATAAAACTCAGCATGTCACAATCAATCACCCTTCTGGAAGCCTGCTGTCCAAATCTCATTAGGCTGAGCTTCTGGGTCAGCCAGTTTCCAAGAGGATATAAAAACGTATACAACCTCCTCTTTCCCAGGATGCAGTCAGGTTCGAAGAGAGCCTTCATCTCAATTAGTAAACATGTCCTAATTTCATCAGTGACAGCATCAGATTGAAACATTTCAAATCATAATTCGGGAACTTAGAGACTCCTACATGAAGTAATCAACGCTAAGGAAAAACCAAATGTGAACAGTCACATCACCACCTTCTGGCTCCCAGGGTGAGCTAAGAAGCTTCTTCTCCACAGGCTTCTTCAACAGAATCTTTGTCTCTCCAGCCATTTTCTGTAAACTAATCACCACTCTCCTTGCAAGGCTAAAGAAACTTCTTTCATCCAGGCTGATGGGGAAAACAGATCTTCTCTATTTCCCTTCTCTAGTTTTAAATTATCGACTCTTCTTATTTTAATCCCACTCAAGAAAGATTAGGATTTTTATTTCTATTTATATCTACCTAGGTTTACAGAGATACATATAGAATTACGATAACATAAATAAGAAGAAAGAAAAAGAAAGAAAAGCAAGCCCGGGGACCTAAGAGGAAACAGGAGCTCCATAGAGTCAGATGCTCTCTGACTGATGGTTCCATCCCCCACAGCATTCATTCCTTACCTGTTTGCTGAACAAGGAACATACGAAGCAAAAGGTACAGCAGAGTCCTATACCTGTGGCGAAGGGTGATTCACTGTTTCAAAACTTCCCAGTAGCAGCCACCTGAAACTGTCCAGGCCAATTGTTCAGGAAAAAAAGACTAGAAAGAAGGTTTTTTTCCAAGGGCTCTCACAAAGAGGAAACTGGGACATAATCAACAAATGCCTCAACAACTGTAATGGAAGGAACAGGTTTCACTGTGCAGTTCCAGAAAACAGTGAGGAGAGAGTGAAGGGGCCTTATGAATCGCTCTAGGCATCCGGCTCACAGCTCAGGACAAAGCCCAGTGGACTTCAGAACACAACCACTGAAGGCTTTAACATTTTTTACTGAACTAACTATAACAACTCATACTTTTTAAAAAATCACTGCTTTTCAAAAAGATAAAATTCATTCAATATTATTAGCCAAATGAGTAAAGAGGGGAATCAAAACTCAAATGATAAACTATCAGAAATGAAAAATGATGCCAACGCAGGTGGATCACCTGAGGTCAGGAGTTCAAGACCAGCCTGGACAACATGGTAAAACCCCATCTCTACAGAAATACAAAAATTAGCCAGGCGTGGTGATGCATGCCTGTAATCCCAGCTACTGAGGAGGCTGAGGCAGGAGAATTGCCTGAACCCAGGAGGCAGAGGTTGCAGCGAGCCAAGATCACGCCACTGCACTCTAGCCTGGGCGACAGAATAAGACTCCATCTCCGGGAAAAAAAAAAAAAAATGAGAACACCGCATTTAAAAACTTAGAGGAGGAAGCCAAAACTGTCCTCAGGAGTAATTTTACAGACTTAAATGCATTTATTAGGAAATAAGCATAAAAATAAAATAATTTACCTCAAAAGGCTAAAAAAAAGTAAATAAGCTTCCAAAAATAGAAGAATTACTAAAAATAAACTAAACAAAACAAAGATAATTTTTCAGTTAAAAGGCACATTAGGAGGCATAAAGCCCAGCTCTTAACTCTGGAGCCTAGTCATGTTGCAGCAGGGAAGACACACCTGGAAAACAAGCAGTACAGTGTCCAAAAAGGTACCTTGGGAATGGGCTAAACTCCACTGAGTAATACCTGGACAGAACCTTTATATCAAATGTTCAGAATCACTCCACTTGTTTTTCCTTTCTAGACATCTAGGAAGTACTGGAACTTACAAAGCATTTTCATGGAATGCATTGTTCAACCCTCCTAAATGTATTATGTAATAGCCTAGTCTAAGAGGATAATGAAAAAAACAAGATTCTGAAATCAGTCAGATATGAGTTCAAATTCCTGCTCTGCCCACTCACAAGCTATGTGACCCTTGGCTAAGTGAGTTACCCTCTCCGAGCCTCCATTTCCATGTACATAAAATAGAAATGTCCACCCCACAAGACAGTAGACAAAATTCAGTGAGCTGTTTCTGCATTTTTCTGATGTATAGGTAAACTGGTTCAACATTTATGGAGTGCCATTAGGTGATATCTATCAAAAGTGCAAACTGGCCAGGCTCAGAAGCTCACATCTATAATCCCAGCACTTTGGGAGGCCAAGGCAGGAGGATGGCTTGAGCCCAGGAGTTCGAGACCAGCCTGGGCAACATGGGGAGATCCTGTCTCTCTAAAAAATAAAAAAAATTAGTCGGGTGGGGTGGTGCATGCCTGTGTTCCAGCTACTGGAGAGGCTAAGGTGGGAGGATCGCCTAAGCCCAGGAGGTGGAGGCTGCAGTGAGCTACGATTGTGTCACTGCAGTCCAGCCTCAGTGAAAAGTCACTTAGTGCAAATTCATGAAATTATAAACTGACCTGGCAATTCTATTTCTAGGAGTTTACCCCATATATATACTTGCATATTTGTGAAATAACTAAAATAATTTATAACAATGTATATAACAGCAAAATGGTTGAAATTAATTGATAAATAATAAACTACCTCACAGCAATTAAAAAAAATGGTAGTAAGACTGTTAGGGGTAGATCTAAAAAAATAAGGATGAGAGGGCTCTCTAGGTGCTAATATAAAATAATAATCAAGCTGTATGTTTAAAAAGAAAGCAAGGTGCCAAGTAATATATACAGTATTTTTTCACTGATGGAGACAAGACCATATACACATGTTGGCTTCTACATGCATAAAATAGGTCTGAAGAGACACAGACACACACAAACGCTGATAACAATGGTTGCCTATAAAGGGAGGCGGGGGGCTGAGAATCAGGAATGGGACTGAAGCTTCACACTGCATATTCCTTTGTACTTCTGAATTTTCAGTCATATAAATAGGTTATCCCTGCATTTTTTTTCCAAATTAAAGAGAAACGCATGACTAGAATTATCTACCAGATATATTAAGTTTTAAAAGCAAGGAGCAGAAGAGCATGTCAAATAATTCCTTTTTTTTTTTTCCTTTGGGACAGGGTCTTACTCTGTTGCCCAGGCCAGAGTGCAGTGGTGCAATCTCGGCTCACCGCAACCTCCACCTACCTCCCAGGCTCAAGCAATCCTCCCACTTCAGCCTCCCAAGTAGCTGGGACTACAGGCACGTGCTACCACGCCCGGCTAATTTTTGCATTTTTTTGTAGAGATGGGGTTTCGCCATGTTGCCCAGCTGGTCTCAAACTCCTGGGCTCTCAAATAATTCCTTTTGAAAAAAAAATATGTGTGTGTGTGTGCATGTGTGTCTAAAACATTTTGTGGATGTTTATTTCCCAGAGCCTAAAACAGAGCCTGACACTCAATAAACATCTACCAAACGAATGAATGAATGGTGGCATACAAAACTTGGTGATCATTAATTACCTCTGGAGAGTGAAGTAGGGTTATTTTACTTTTCCTTTTTCATCCTTTAAGTGATATTTGCGTTTTTCCCAACATATATATACATTGTTTTAAAATTTAGAATAAACTTAGTTTGAAATTATTTTAGCAAATATTGAACACGAAAGCAACATATATAATTGAGCCCATTCGATGATTCGGATTTAATTTAACACTATGTCTTCTCATTTCGGGTATACCCAGGAGCCCTTGTCACCTTTGGTCTGCATCACACAAAGTGTTCCTCATGTCACAGTTGTCCCTTGCCCCTGAGCTCTTTGCAGATATTTAATTACTGTTAAGTAGTTACTGTTAAGCTGGGGACTCCTGTTGGCTTAAGTATTATAAACTTGAATTTTCCCATGGAAGTAACAAGCAGTTATCTTGGAAATAAATTGTTAAGTCCCTGAAATAGAAATAGCCATCACAAAATCCAGGCACTTTGAATTCTACAGGAAAAATGGAGCCCCCCACTGGAACTCATCCAGAGATTTAAATGAATCATTAGGATTTTAAGAAAGGAGAGATGCATTATCAGCTGACTACAGAGAAACAACAACAACGGAATGTCAACCCTGAGAGTAAGGGCTTCTTCTAGAATACTATGTGATCTAGCTGTAGAACAGTAGGAAGAATCATGTGTACTATTTAAGCTATTTCACTTTTTCCTTTTCAGCACATGGAGTTGAATCTTCATAATTAAATAGATAATGTGATTCAAATGTATGTATACACAATAGAATATGTAGGATAGAGATCCCAGGAGCTAAAGCCCACTTTCTCGGCTGACCAGATGACATGGACATCAGTTCCGTCCCTCAGAACACATGGCTGTGCTCTGTCCCTCCCCATGAGGTGACCACTCTGTCGGATGCTCTCGGCCCTCTGCGAATACAGCTCATTTATCCACTTATGGGGTGAATTAGTTTTCTGGTGCTGTTGTAACAAAGTACCACAACGGACTGGCAATGTATTGTCTCACAGTTCTGAAGGCTAGCAATCCAAGATCCAGGTGTCAACAGGGCCATGGTCCTTCTGAAGCCTCTAAAGAAGGATCTGTTAGAGATCTCTCCTAGCTTCTGGTGGTTCCTTGAGTTGTAGCAGTGTGATCATCCCTTGGCATTCTCCCTGTGTGTGTGTGTTTACAAATTTCCTTTTTTTTTTTTTTTTTTTTTGAGACGGAGTCTCGCTCTGTCGCCCAGGCTGGAGTGCAGTGGCGCGATCTTGACTCACTGCAAGCTCCGCCTCCCGGGTTCACACCATTCTCCTGCCTCAGCCCCCGGAGTAGCTGGGACTACGGGCGCCTGCCACCACGCCCGGCTAATTTTTTTGTATTTTTAGTAGAGACGGGGTTTCACCGTGTTGGCCAGGCTGGTCTCGATCTCCTGACTTCGTGACCACCCGCCTCGGCACCCCAAAGTGCTGGGATTACAGGCGTGAGCCACCGCACCCGGCCACAAATTTCCCTTTTAAGAAGACACCAGTCATATTGGATTAAGGACCCAGCCTACCCCTGTATGACCTAAAAGTAACTAATTTCATCTGCGACAACCTTGTTTCTAAATAAAGTCACATCCTGAGGTACTTCGGGTTAGAAATTCCACATAATTTTCGGGTGACACAATTCAACCCATAACATTGGGTTTGCTCCCAGGCCCCTTTCTGTATATTAAGCACAATTGTTAATGAATAATAAATAAATACTACACCAACTAAAGACCCATGAACATAAAGAGAAGGAGCATTAAAAACCTAAGTCAAATGTCCTATAAAGACTTATTAAAGGCCAGTCATTTGAATGAAATTACATGTGAGTAAATTTTAAAAGTCTGGGGAGACAAACAACAAACTAAAAATCTAGAACTCTGAACTCTTAAGTGTTTTAGTTTTTGCTATACTTCAAAGAAACCAAAACAAAGAAACCACAAATTATAAAGGATGCATTTTGAGTATGATTTATATTAGAAACACTAAGTTTGAAACTTCTAACAATTAACGCCTAACAAAAACAAATTTTAAGCCTTGGCTCTACATCAAAAGATTGGTGAATGTTTTAAGTTCTTTACTTAAAAAACTTTCTTAATTTAGGCAACACCCTATTAGGAACAGACATGGAAAGATGCCCGTGATATAATGTTAAGTAAAAAGTTTAAGTTACAAAATATGCAAAGTATCCCCCCTTTTCCCCTAAAAGTTGCAATATATTTGAGAGCATGTTTGTGAATGATTTTGAAAGAATTGGGCCCATTATGAATGAATAAATCTAGACAGTGATCATCATCACTGCCAACGTCACAAAAGATACAACCAGAAACTATCCATCTCCTGATGTAAATGTAGGACACTATCTATAAAGGTGTTTTTCCCCCAAAATGAACCTGAATCTGATCTCTATAAGTACTAGTTTACAGGAAATGCAGTAGACAGAGGAACATGATAAAGAACACCATAAAGGTGCAACCAGCAAAATGCAGCCTAAGGGAAATAGTGTAGGAAAAGCAACGTGGTTCTTCAACAAATAAATTGCAAGAGGGAAAAAGACATAAAGGTGCACCTTATAAATCAAAAATAGATGTAAGGAGGCTGGGCGCAGTGGCTCACGACTGTAATCCCCCACTCTGGGAGGCCGAGGCAGGGGATCACTTGAGGTCAGGAGTTCGAGACCAGCCTGGCCAACATGGTAAAACCCCGCTTCTACCAAAAATACAAAAATTAGCCAAGCATGGTGGCACATGCCTGTAGTCCCAGCTACTCGGGAGGCCGAAGCAGGAGAATCACTTGAACCTGGGAGGCAGAGGTTGCACTGAGTCCAGATCTCGCCAGTGTACCCCAGCCTGGGTGACAGAGTGAGACTCCATCTCAAACAAAATAATAATAATAAATAGATGTAAGGAGATATATCAACCAATTACAATGTATGGACGTTATGTGTATCCTGATTCAAACAAAAAAAACTTTTAAAAATGCAGCTATGAGAAAATCAATAAAACTGCACATTTCCTGAATGTCTGATTATAATGAGGATATACTGTTAACTTCCACAGCATATAATAGCATTGTTCTTATTTTTGGAGACACATTCTGAAATACTTACAGATGAAATGACAGAACAACTGGGATTTGCTTCAAAGTAAAAGAAGGGGGTAGGAGGAGTGAATAGAGGTAGAACCAGAGTAAGACTGGTAATGAGTTGAAAGTTGTTGGAGCTGAGTGATGGATAAACAGGGACTCATTAGACTCTCCTCCTACTTTTATACATATTTGAAATTCTCCATAATAATGTTTTTAAAAAATTTGCTTGGCATACGCACTTGGGAAAACTTTTTGGCAGTATTACTAGAGATGAAAAAAATGCATACCCCATCGTGCAGCAATTCATTCCTAGATATATGCCCGGCAGAAATGTGTACATATAGTCACTAAAACACATAGGAAAAATCTTCATAGCAGGACTAAGCATAATGGCCCCAACCAAAAACCTCTCAAATGCCAATGCAGTAGGGGGATCAACACACAATGGTATATTCACACATAATAGAATAGTATACAACAATGAGAATGAAGATTTACAACTACACATAACAATATGGATAAATTTCACAAAATGTTGAGCAAAAGAAGCCAGAAACCAAAGAGTATATATCGTGTGATCCCACCAGGAATAATTAATCTATACTACGGAAAGTCAGGCGGGCGTTACCCTTGGGAGGAGGCAGGAGACAGTGACCAGGTAACAAGAGGCAGTTCCTCCGTGGGATGGTTCTTTTTCACGATCTGAGTACTAGTTACACGGATGCGATTTGTGAAAAGTCATCAAGCTGTAAGCTTACACGTAATTTTTCTGTATGCATATTATACTTTAACATTAATATTTTAAATATTTTTTAAATAAAAAGAAACAGAAAATTAGCACTTCGGGAGGCCGAGGTGGGCTGATCACCTGAGGTCACGAGTTCGAGACCAGCCTAGCCAACATGGTGAAACCCTGTCTCTACTAAAAATACAAAAATTATCCAGGCATGGTGGCGGGCGCCTGTAATCCCTGCTACTCTGGAAGCAGAGGCAAGAGAATCACTTGAACCTGGGAGGCAGAGGTTGCAGTGAGCCGAGACTACACCATTGCACTCCAGCCTGGGTGACAAGAGAGAAACACCATCTCAAAAAAAAGAAAAGAAAAGAAAATTCTGATTGAGTTAAGTGTGGGATGGGTCCCAAGAATCTGCATTTATAAAAAGCTCCCTGGTGATGCTGATGCTGTTGGCACCAAAGGCCACACTTTGCATAGGACTGAGCTAAGCCACTAGTGTCCAAATACACACAAGAATTTCCAGAAACAAACTCAGTGGCCAATCCATGCTCCCCATGGCCTCCTTCATGTTGCTTTGGCAGGGTTAGAGGTTTTCTTCTGAGTGATGCTCAATCTCCACTGTCTGCAGCACCCTGACGGCATGACATTCCAGAGCCTGCATGCCATATGCCTCCAAGCTACTCCTCAGACCATGTCCTCACAACCTTCCAGACATGCAGGGAACCAGCCTCACTGCTCCCCAGGCCATGTCCTATGAGCCTGTCTCAACTTGCATCATTCAGGCCTCAGTTCCCTCCACCTGGAATGTTCTCTGTGTCTTGAACTCTTCCACACACTCATAGCTTAGTTTGAATGCTACTTCCTCCAGGAAGCCTTCTCTGATTGCCCCCACCATGACCAATCCCTCCTCTACACAGCTGTGAACACTATTCATACCTCATAGTAAGCACGGACTAGCCTGCCCTGTGCTACAGCTGATTGTGGAGGTGGAGGTCTCCTCAGCTGAATGTCAGCTTTTTGAGAGCAAGGGAACCCAGTCAACACCATCTGCCAAACAGCGTCAGGCTTGGTGCCCAGTAGATGCTTGCTACACATCTGCAGAAGTGAAATAAGCACTTGGAATCAGACAGTCAGGTTTCAATCTGATTCTGTCTTTCTCAAGAAATATGACCTTGGGTGCATTGCTTAATATCTCTGAGCAGCACAAAGTTACTTGAAAAACTAAATAAGAATATAGCAGGAGTAGCAGGCTGAATGGTGTTCCCCAAAATGACAGATCCAAGTCCTAACCCCAAGACCTGTGAACATGACTTTACCTGGAAAAAAGTTCTTTGCAGACATAATTAAGTATCTTGAGATGAGATCATCCTGGACTTGGGGTAGGCCCTAAATCCAGTGCCAGGTGTCCTTAGAAAGGAAGAGACTCAGAGATGGTCCTGTGAAGACAGGCAGAGATGAGAGTGATCCTGGCCAGGCCAAGGAACATCTGGAGCCATCAGAAGCTAGAAGAGGCAAGGAAGATTGTCCTCCAGAGCCTTCAGATGGAGCGTGGCCCTGCCCACACCTAGATTTTAGACTTCCTGCCTACAGAACCACAGAAGAATACACTTCTGCCATTTTAAGCTACCTGGTTTGTGATAATGTGTTATGGTTGCCCTAGGAAACCAATAAAGCGAAGGTCAAATAAATACTTCTTTCTTTGTCCATGTCATCACCAAGACCTGAGATTAATTTCAAAGCTTTTAATAAATATGGATTTTATACATTCATATTTTGACAAACACTTAGTATCTACCAAGCGCTATTCTAAATGCTTTATAAATATAATTTACCTAAACAAATATTAAGATGACCTGAAAAGCAGGTACTATTATTATCATTTCCACTTTAGAGAGGGAAAACTAACGAATAGAGATTATTAAGTAACTTGTGCAATGCAGAGCTAGTGGACGTCAGAGTTGGGATTCAAATCTAGGCAGTGACTCCAGGGCCACTGAGTTTGGGGCTCCTTTCTGAATCTTGATCCCAGGCACAGGCCACCTGTGTCATCTCTCCTGGAAAAGTCATCCTGCTCTAGGCTCTGACCTGGCACCACCCTGCAGACCACACTTTCCCGCCACTTCTCTAGGGGTAAATCTCAAGACTTCATTTCTGCTCAAGCCCAGTGGACAAATGCTATTTAATACCATGGTGGCTTCATGCAGCAGCTGCTGGGCGGCCTCTCTGTATTTACATTCACACTTAATCTCCCCTTTCCTGCATGTATTGAAGGCCTCCTGAAAGGATGTCATCGCTGAAGATCAGCAGAGCAGGAAGCTTTGCTTCTGGTGTCTTTTGCCAGATATTTCCCAGCTGTGCATAGCCCGCCTCGATTATTTATGTAGGGCAAGATAGGACCCTATTTCAGAGGGACTTTGTAGGCTAGATAATAGGCTAAAAGTCTACAGGATGAGTTTTTCAGTTTGGTTACAGAAGACTGCCCTATGAAAGTGAAGACACACAAGGAAGATTAGAAGTATCTATTATAATCTGCAGACACGTCACCTGCCACTCAAACCCACCCACTCACAGGTCACTGGGGACGTCAAATGAAATCTATACAACAGATCTCCTCCTCCATGGAGGGAATAGGGTGCAGCACGGAGGGAAGAGCCTACGTTTGGAGGGCACAGGGTCCCAGGTCTAACCTTGGCTGGGCCTCTTAGCCATCAGGGTGTGTGACCCTAGACACTCCTTAGCCTCTGAGTCTCACTTTCCTCATCAGCGAAAGAAAAGTGGCAATTATGACTTGCCTCTGAAGCCTGCCTGGATTCAAACCCTGCCTCTGCCACTGACCAGCTCTAGCACCTGGGGCAAGTTATTTGATCTCTGAGCCTCGACTTCCTCTTCTGTAAAATGAGATAACAGCAGTTAGCTCCTGGTGCTGTTGACTCGCCTAAATCCCTGAAAGCGGGCACACAGTGAGTGGTGCTTGCCATTCTGACTGTTAGGATGGCAGCTGTAAGTTGCCCAGCAGAGTGACTGACATGGAGGAGGAAGGATCAATAGATATCAGTTCTTTCCTCTGTGTGTGACCTAATTTGTGGCTAGGCCCATTGCCAGCATGAGTCACATGTTCTAAAGGCGACAATGCTGGCTTTGTCTGAATTAAGTAAGGACACGCAGATGTTGGAGCCTGATCCTACGTGGACATGGGCATAGACACGTCGATTTGGCTATTCACTCAGCCGCCCCTTTCCTGGGTACCGCTTCTCTCTGCCTCTGAGGCCATGGTGACAGTGAGGGCCCACAGCAGCCAGGCTCACACAGACGACCCCGGCCACGTGACTCAATGGCTCCACGGTTTATGATTGGTTCGGGTGAGCCAGAAGCCCTCCCTGGGAATTGAGAATTGGGATAGAAAAAGAAAGAACTCCCAGCCACTCTCCAAGAAGCTGGCCTGAAACCTATGATGCTGACAAGCTGGTTCTCCACCATGAGGACTGCAGGGGTGCAGGAAGCCAGAGGGAGAGGGTAGGGGAGGAGGCAGAGTAGATGTACAGAGAAGCCAAGATAGGAGGCAGAGAGAATCCAGGTGAGGGCTGGTCCCTGGTGGCTCATATGTCACTGAGTGCCCTGAGAGAACCCGGAGTCCTGATGAGAAACTCCCTGTTTTTGGTTACCTTGGCTATCTTAAATAAAAATGATAGGAGGCCACTGTTTAGGACTAGGCTCCTGTACTAGGCCCCAACAGAGCAGAATAAAAATCAAAATGGAGTCACCCATGCTAAAGTTCCACGTTACCAAATGGAAACTGAGTTGTTATCTGGCTTTCCAAGAAATCAGGAGAGACAGATAGCAGCCTATTTCCCAAACAGGCCAGTTGCTATTGGCATGATAATGAAGCTCCCTCCATTTCAATCCTTAACCTGAAGTCACTTGATGTAACCAGTTATTTCTCTATTGCTCTGTCTCCATGTCCCTGTCTTACAAGGAAAGTAACTTTGAAGTGACCAATTCAACTTTGTGTTCTTTGTTTCTGCTTTCTTCAGCCCTTTTTCTGAATATTAAGCTAGGCTCTGCTGGACTCACTGCGACATTTATTCAATTTTGTGGAATAAAGTGTCGCTCAATTCTAGAATTGCAAATATAGCCAATTGAGATCTTTCAACTAAATTTGTTATAATTTTGTCCTTACAGCTAATAGGATTCTGTTACCTGTAATGGAGGGAGCTCTTATACTCACTATAACATCCTGATGGCCTCTCAAATTCCATGGAAACAAGGCTTAACTCCCCACCTTCCTCACTTCTACCAACTCACCCAACTCCACTCCCACACACACCAAATCCCACGAGCAAATCAGAATCACCTAAAATATTTTTACAAATAGGCCAACCATCCTAAAATCTAAATTTAAAAACATACCAATGCTGGGCATGGTGGCTCATGCCTGTAATCCTAGCACTTTGGGAGGCCAAGGCATGCGGATCACCTGAGGTTAGGAGTTCAAGACCAGCCTAGCCAACATGGCAAAACTCCATCTCTACTAAAAATACAAAAATTAGCTAAGTATGGTGGCGCATGACTGTTATCCCAGCTACGCGGGAGGCTGAGGCAGGAGAATCACTTGAACCCGGGAGGCAGAGGTTGCAGTGAGCCGAGATCGTGCCACTGCACTCCAGTATGGGCAACAAAGCAAGACTCTGCCTCGAAAAAAACAAAAAACAAAAACCAAAACAAAACAGGGCAGAGAATAATTTTAGAGAATTTATAGGAAACTAACAACAGAGGAGACGTATTTCCTTGTTTGTTCCATTAGAATAGCTCAGATCTGGTCAGAACTTATGCCAAGTTCATCACGGCCACATAAAATTGGAAGTGGCACTACTCATCATCCACATCAGACAATCTTTTACAATGCATACTTTTAACGTGCAAAAATTACTATTTTCCATACTAACCCATGGTCATTTTAAAAGCATCATAGTAAAATAAAAGAAAAATACACACAAGGCAGCTGTGTTTTATAGGAGATAAAACTAGTCCTAGAGATGGGAGTTTCTCAATATGCCACAAGCTAGTGTGTGCCTTGAACATGTAACCTCTTTCTGACTTAGTTTTCCAATCTGTTGAGGAGAATGTAAGAAATAATATCACCACTTACCACCATCATCTACCTTCCAAAGTTATTGGAAGTATTCAGGGAAAAACTTTAGACAAATTAGATTTAATAGCGTTCAACTGAGCAAAGAATGATTCATGAATCAGGCAGCCCTTGGAATCAGAATACATTCAGAACGACTCTGGGTCATATAACATTTATGGACAGATAAAGGAAAGTGATATGCAGAAAACACAACTGAGGTACAGGAACAGCTAGATGGGATACAGCTGGGTGTTTGCTTTATTTGAACAGGATTTGAACTAGTGGCCACCTGCGATTGGCTGAAACTCAGCTAATGCGATTGGGTAAGACTCAGCTACTTGTTATAAGAGTAGGTCGCAAGTCTGTTCACAAATGTGTTTAGGTCACAGTTTACTATGTATGGAGAAACATTTAGGCCAAACTTAAAATATGTAAGGAGGCAGCTTTAGGCTACATTTAATTTTTTAACAATTTCCCCCCTTTAGATCAACCTCTCAAGATTGAGAGGTTGGTAAATTTGGCAATTTTGAGAGGCTGACCAAAACTTTAGGCATTGAAGTCACTCTGTCTCCATCGTTAACGGACTTATTTCATCTCAAATCCCACTGGAAAACAGCAGAACAGTTTTGTAGGTGGAAACAAGGACACAGAAATAGAAAAAAAGAACCTGACTGATTATTTCAGGTTACTTGTTTTTTAGTGGAGTTTAGAGCAGAGGGGACTTTGTTATTATGATGCAATCTCCTGTTTTCAAGAGTTTAAAAAAAATTTGGTCTGTTTTGGGATCTCTCTGCTTCCTTAAAGTTTCAGTTTGATTACATCGCAGTTAGCATGATTGAGTCCATTTTGATTTGGACTGGTCTGTTGGGGCCAGTCTAGAACAAAGACCTCCCATAATTTTGTTTAACAAAAGAATCAAATGAGCAAACACTTAGCAAAGTAAGTCTTACAGCAGATACTGAGAACTGCAGAAAAGAACAAAGAAACCAAGAAAACAAGAGCCTGTCAGATGTAGATATTTTTGCAGAGAAGCAAAGACCAATCAGTAAACTAGCATCACATCCAAACCTTGGCTTCTAGACCCTGTTCCGCTACTGTCAGGCTTGCCAAGGGAACACGGCCCACTTAACCTCAAAAGTGAAGGGACTGTTTCTTACGAGGCAATGCCATGTAGAATGTTCCTAAGGGAACAGCAGCAAGGACAGTTCAATGATCCCTCCTGGAGACACCTTCTGATTCCTAAGTCTCCTCCCTACATCAATCGTGGCATCAAATTGATTGTAACTGTAATCCACTTTATGTCTAAGAGAAAAAAGGGTCTGAAAGTTAGACAACTTAGCCAAGATCATTCAGCAGTTAACAGGCAAGAGCTAGGATTTAAACCAAGTTCCTGGGACATGGAATGGACACTGCATCCATTTCCCCTATTCCCTTTTGTTTCATTTTGAATTCATTATTACCTCCCTCCAGACCACTACAAAAGCCTCCACCTCCCTGTGCTCTAACCTATCAGCTGTTGATGGGTTCTCTTCCCCAAACTGAATTCCACGTACACCCTGGCTGACAGCATCCAGCAAGGTGTACCGCAGAACGCAGGGACTTTCAATAAATGCTTGTCCAACAAATGAAACCTCTGCTGGAAGGCTTCCTCACCTTCCTTCTCTCTCTAAAACTCCCTGGAGATCAAGGTCCTCCAGCTCTGGTTCTCCCTAACTTTGGTCAATTTATTCCATGAATACCTATTTCACCCTCTGTCACGTCCTGAATATCTGTGTCCCCTGACATTTCTGTGTTGAAGCGTTAACCCCTGACATGATGGTGTTTGGAGGTGGGGATTCTGGGAGAGGTAATTAGGTTTAAATTAGGTCATAAGGGTGAGACCTTCATGATGGAATTAGTGCCTGATGGGATTAGAGAAAGAGAAGATATCTTTTCACCCTCTCTCCAGGAGCCTGCACCCAGGAAAGAGCATGTGAGCACACAGCGAGAAGGTGGCTGTTCACAAGCCAGAAAGTGAGCCTTCCCTAGACAGCAAATCTGCCAGCACCTTTATCTTAGACATCCCAGCCTCCAGCACTCTGAGAAATAAATGCCTGTTGTTTAAGTTACCTAGTCTATGGTATTATTCCAAGAAACTGAATGGAGTAGGACACTCATATTGGAACCACAGTCTCCTACATGCCCTAGACATGCCCTACTCTCTACCTGGAACACCCTGTCCCTAACTTCCTCTGATCACCCTGCCACCAATATCCTTTCAGGTTTGAATGAATGAACAAGAGACTCTTCTCAAAGGTAAGGCACAGCTCTCTTCTTAATGAGCCTAAGCCCCCTGTGTAGAGTAATCCTTTTGCAGCTTCAGGCCAAGGCAAGCATTTATGAAATACCCACAGCAGGTTCTAGAATACATTCTGCCATGTCAACACAGGGGTGGTTACCTGTGTTCCTTGTCTAATTTAAACTAATCTCTTCTGCCCAGGAAGTAAGGCTTTGTCTCAAGTCCCAGCTGAATAAGACCTTTCCATTTTATGTTTATTAAGCTGGAACTTGAGAAAAAGCCTTACTTCCTGGGGATACAAGAAGGGTTTCTCTTAGAGTTTCAAATGCAAAATTTGGCAAACCAATTGATTGGACACAGAATATAAAAGTGAAAAACTTTCCAGTCAGATGGTAAGAAAAGAGGAAGCACAGGCTCCAGGGCTGTCCCTATCTCTTCTATTCCTTGACCTGTACTGGAACTTTGCATTCAAAGCACCACTACTCTTGAAATCACCTTTGCAAAAATTATAACTGAGAAAATTATTACAGTGAAAGAGATCTGACCTAACCAACTCCATCTTGCTTCTAACCTCCAACCTATCCTTATTCATTCCTGGCCATAGGCCCAGCTAACTTTGGGAGGAACTTAGTTTATAGTTTAACTTTGAAACAAAGACAGTAACAGACCTTTCCCAAGACAAACCGCTTCTTGATGGGTGACTACCCTGCTCTTGCAGGACTAAAAAATTAGCCACAAGATTAGAAATTATGGTTTAGGAGTTATACAGCTAGAGGTCACAAAGTTCTAAACCTCCCAGTTGCTCCTAGGGACAACATCACTGTTGTAAAGCCTAAAATCAGTGCTTGAGATACTTTGCAGATACTTTGCAGAGTACTTTGCAGACCCTGTGTTTTGAGGCATCAGCTGATGCCACCCAGATAGATAAACTGGCTCACCTGGTCTTGTGACCCCCACCCAGGAACTGACAGTGCAAGAGGACAGCTTCTATTCCCTATGATTTCATCTTCTACCCGACCAATCAGCACTCCCCACTTTCTAATCCCCTACCCACCAAATTATACTTAAAAACCCCAATCCCTGAATTTTGGGGGAGACTGCTTTGAGTAATAAAACTCCAGCCTCCCATTCAGCTGGCTCTGCTTGAATTAAACTCTTTCTCCACTGCAATTCCTCTAAATTGATATATCGGCTGTATCTGGCCAGCAGGCACGAAGAGCCCACTGGCCAGTTGCACGCTTTCAAATGAAAGGATATATCTATGGGAGAATAGCTTCTATGAAGATATTACTCCACAGACGACCTGTCCTGAAGTCTTGTGTTTGGTTAATGTACTAAGGTATTAAACTAATAAACAATATATAGGACTCAATCATGCACATGCTCTCACTCTTTCTGTTTTGTTTTTTGCATCTTCAATTATGAGGGCATCTATTTATGACTTGGTACTTGTGAAATGCATTGGCCCCAAATGGAAAAATCATGATTATCTTATATGTGTCCTCTACATTGCAAAGCACCCAGTGGGCACTTTAAGACCACTAGGAAATGTAGTAACTAGGTGAAAGAATACAAATAGGATGATGGAAGAAAACCAACACCCCAAGATTCATCTGTTAAACTCAATATTATATTACTTAAGCAACCTAATAATTTTTCCTCCCAAAGAGGTAATGCTGGTCTGCCCTGGTCTACTGTTGAAAGTTGAGAATTTCCTTCTCCAAGGTAATAAGTATTGATGAAGGTCAAGAGACAAACTAGGCTAATACCCTCAGATTACATTAGGATTACAATTCTTCAGTTCCCTCCTTCGGTCTAACAATGTTGTTGCAGTTCAAAACCTTGTAATGCATTGGAAGTTGTGTAAGCTAAAAGACATCTTCGAACTTGATCACCAGAATGAAGACCTTAAAATACATTGCTTTTCCTTATTAAAAAAAAAAGTATGAGGAAACCTTCCAATCAAATCTAAAGGGACCAAAATAGAGCAACATATGGAAAGAGATTATGGGATTAACTAATTACATGATATGCCTTAGAATGAGACACGGGAAGCTTTCCAGTCTTTTTGAGGAAATGATTGTAAATTCATATTCGACAACTGAATTCTATGCCTTTTATATTAAAACAAAACCAAGAAGCAAAGACTAAAAACATTAGTAGGAAACTAGTTTAAAAGGATGAATAAGACCTAGTATCTGATAGCACAACAGGATGACTATAGTCAATAATAATGTAATTGTACATTTTGAAATAACTAAAAGAGTAATTGGATTGTTTGTAACACAAAGAATAAATGTTTGAGGAGATAGATACACCATTTTATATGATGTGATTATTACACATTGCATGTCTGTATCAAAATATCTCTTGTACCCCGTGAATATATACACCTACTAGGTACCGACAAAAATTAAAGAGTTTTTTTAAATAAAAATGTTAGTAGGTTATTTTATTCAGTAACACATATTAAGTCTCCAAATAAGCCAAGAGATGTCTATTCAGAAGAGTGAATTTGCATCCAATGTTAAGAAATAAACTCTAATTTTCTACTTCTGTCTTTGGAATTTCCAAAGTTAGTATTTTTAACAGCAACATAAACAGTAAGTAGCATTCGTTCAGGATTCTCTTCAATGCCAATAACCATTCAAAGAGATTTGTTTTGGTGAACTGAAATTTAAATTAGCAAAAATTGACAACTATACTTCAAGCTGTTTTAATTGCCCTAAGACAAATAAGTGTTAAAAAACCAATACAAATGTATTTTAATGAAAATATATAAACTCCCCATAATATAAACATGTGATGATATTCACTAAATACATCCTGTCTCTCTTCCTCCCTCTCTCTCACACACAGGCATGTACACACACCAGTAGGACTCTTACAAACAGTAGCTGAACAGCTAAGGAAAATGATAAGAAAGATTACAGCGAATTCTATAATCAATGATTGTAATCAAATCTTTGTAACTAAAAGAACAGGCTTAGGATGGACTTACTGTTAAGCCAATCAAAAATTTAGGTGCCAAACCCTAGTAGCAGATATTTCCCACAGGCTATTTTTACTTTCATAATCCCTTTTCTATGAACACATACCCTGAATTCAGAAGAGTATGGAAAACAACAAACATTAAGAAGGCGAAAATGACAAACAGCACTGTGTGTGATGAATAACAGCACTATGGCATGACAGTTCTGGAAAGTGCCAATCCTCTTCCTCACACCCAAGCTCTTAGAAATGAAGAAAACAGCTGATCAAGTAAACATGTTTGTCCTTACCCTAAGCAATGTCAAAATTTGCATATTGTGGTGGGCAGAAGAGAGTTAAATTTTTAAGCGATGAGGTGGCCATCAGTTGCTAGTTATTCGTTTCTCCTTTGATGACACACAATTTGCATTTTTACCCTAACTTTACTCTAACTTTTACCTTTGGTAAGTGCCTTAGAATAATTCATTGCTCTAACCCAAACAAAGCAAAACCAAGCAAAACAAAAGGTAAAGAAGTGGAAAACCAACATAGCAACATCGTTTGCTTCCATTTCTTATAATAACATTCCTCGCAACCTATGTAACCTGGTACAAGTCTTCTTAACTTCTGTCTAAATGCTTTCTGCTTCTGTGCAAAGCAATCGCTAAAATACTGAATATATTATATATTGATTGCATTGACATTAAAAAACAATATTGTGGGTGCGTTTGGAGATAAATCCTATCTTTCCCTGCCATCAGCACTTACCTTCTGGGAAATCACGCGGCTGTACCACATAGAGAAAGATATGCACTAGTTCAAAGAGAATGCCAATGGGTCCAGCTTTATGGGAGTCTTGGGTCTCATAATTTGTTGCAGGCAATTCATAATTCCAAGCCTTAGGAGCATCTGTGGATGAAGGCTGCCCTCCTGAAAAGGAGTTCCCGCACAGCCCCAGCAGCAACAGGGAGCCGAGTACGAGGGCCATAGCTAGCAAGATCCTCCAAACATGAGGTAGAACTTGGTGCCTCCTGCCTCAGAGCTTCTGGAAGCCTTGGGGAAGGCAAGCGTGTTCCTGGGCAGAAGAGGAGCAGGAAGCACTGGATCTGCTGAATCTTCAGTTTTCTGTCTGAGGCTGGCTTGAGGCGAGGGATGCGGAAGAATGTTCTCCAAGGGGGTCATTCACTCAAGGCACCATCCCTGGCAGGGAGAGAAACAGCAGCAGAGTCATCAATGCGTGTAAACTGCCTGCACCTGGAGCTGCCCGGAGAGGACGCTGCAAAGCTTTAGAGCAAGGCCTCCAGCCTAATCCGGATGGGTGGGTGGAAACCAAGCACACAACCTGCTCCAGAGCCACAGGGCAGGTGCTGGCATCAAAGCCATGACTCACAGAAGGTCCCTTCTCAGGAGGGCCAGACTCAGAACACAGACCCTTTATGGGTTCGGGAAATACTAAATATTGTAGAGAAAGCTTGAGATCTTGGAAACTAACATTTATTGAGCACTTACTATCTTCCAGGCACTGTTCTCCATGCTTCATAGATAGAAACAAGGTCCTCCTTGTTTAAGGCATTATTCCATTTTGCAGATGAGGAAACTGACACAGAGAGGATTCTGGTGACTTGCCCAAGGTCACAGGTGATTAACCATGTGGCCAAGAGTCAAACCCACTAGTTTGCCTTCAAAGTCCAAGATCTAACTATGACATCAAGACACTGTCCCTTCAGTGCCCTCCCTAATGTGGGGAAAAGAAAGAGAGATCAGATTGTTACTGTGTCTGTGTAGAAAGAAGTAGACATAGGAGACTCCATTTTGTTCTGTACTAAGAGAAATTCTTCAGCTTGAGATGCTGTTAATCTATAACCTTACCCCCAACCCCGTGCTCTCTGAAACATGTGCTGTGTCCACTCACGGTTAAATGGATTAAGGGCTGTGCAAGATGTGCTTTGTTAAACAGATGCTTGAAGGCAGCATGCTCGTTAAGAGTCATCACCACTCCCTAATCTCAACTACCCAGGGACACAAACATTGCGGAAGGCCGGAAGACCGCAGGGACCTCTGCCTAGGAAAGCCAGGTATTGTCCAAGGTTTCTCCCCATGTGATAGTCTGAAATATGGCCTCGTGGGAAGGGAAAGACCTGACTGTCCCCCAGCCCGACACCCGTAAAGGGTCTGTGCTGAGGAGCATTAGTATAAGAGGAAGGCATGCCTCTTGCAGTTGAGACAAGAGGAAGGCATCTGTCTCCTGCCCGTCCCTGGGCAATGGAATGTCTCGGTATAAAACCCGATTGTATGTTCCATCTACTGAGATAGGGGAAAACCGCCTTAGGGCTGGAGGTGGGACATGCGGGCAACAATGCTGCTCTGTAAGGCATTGAGATGTTTATGGGTATGCATATCTAAAGCACAGCACTTAATTCTTTACCTTGTCTATGATGCAGAAACCTTTGTTCACGTGTTTATCTGCTGACCTTCTCTCCACTATTATCCTGTGACCCTGCCACATCCCCCTCTCTGAGAAACACCCAAGAATGATCAATAAATACTAAGGGAACTCAGAGGCCAGGATGGATCCTCCGTACGCTGAACGCTGGTCCCCTGGGCCCCCTTATTTCTTTCTCTATACTTTGTCTCTGTGTCTTTTTCTTTTCCAAGTCTCTCGTTCCACCTAACGAGAAACACCCACAGGTGTGGAGGGGCAACCCACCCCTTCAATTAACCATGCGGCCAAGAGTCAAACCCACTAGTTTGCCTTCAAAGTCCAAGATCTAACTATGACATCAAGACACTGTCCCTTCAGTGCCCTCCCTCTCAGGCTCTAGTACGAGCCACTGGGGCCCCAGCAATCCAGTACATGCTTATATGCTTATTTCTTCTCCAAGTGTGTGTTGTTCTCTTTGCCGCTGGAGATATATCTTACTCTGCCTTATATTCTACTTATTTACTCACTAATCTCATTTCAAACATCCCCCTCTCCACCTCACCCCGAATCCAAAGTAGAAGGGCATGGCCTCAAGTCTAGGGACCACACCGTTTGAGGCTGGACACATGTGCAACACTGGAACCTGTCTTTCTAATAAGCTTACCAAGTAATCCTGATGGAAATCTTCACCCTAAGTCACCACCTCTACAACTAGGGGTCTCAGAGATGAAAGCCAGGGCAGAGGGAGACTCTTACCTACCCCTTGGGAGACGGAGAAAGACACAAGAATCCTAAAAGCAGCTGTGGCTCCAGCATCTGGGAAGGGAATGGGACAGAAAGTGCCTCCAAGATGGACTCTGTCCTACTCTTCTTTCAATCCCCAGACCTTAACACTGGGCATGGCACGTAGTCGGTGTTTAGTAAGTGCCTGCTGAGCAGCTTGTTTCACTCATGGCACCATCCCTGGCAGGGAAAGAAATAGCAGCAGAGTCACCAATGCATGTAACCTGCCTGCAGCAAGAAGTGCCCCAGACAGGAGGCTGCAAAGCTTTAGAGCAGGGCCTTCAGCCTAATCCAGGTAGGTGGGTGGAAACCAAACACAGCCTGCTCCAGAGCTACAGGGCAAGTGCTGGCGTAGAAGCCAAAATATGTTATTTCCTTGTGCGGTTTCATGAGACTAGGCAAATCAGCACAGAACCTGGAAGGATCCCAAGTGTACCACTCTTCCTCTCTGTATTAAGTGTCCTGGAGCAAGAGCAAGCTGCTGTCACTTTGTGAGCTAGATACATACTTACTAACTTTCAAGATAAGTACAGGGTGCTCCTGAAACACATACTGTAAGAAAGGGAAGGGGGATGATGAAGAAGGTGACATACTTTGCAAGAAGCCAGAGGACCCACTACCAATATTCCAAGTCAAAGAAAGCTTTGGACAACAGATGGGATTTCTTGAGCTATTTGAACAAAGATGTTAATTCATATCTAATCCCTCCATTGCCTCATCTTCTAAGTCCTGTCCCACTCCAATTACTCCTGCACAAAGCTACCAATACAAGGGCCCCAAATTCTTCCTTTGTCAAATCATGGGCTGCTCAGATCCCAAGTGGCTGCCAGTACTAACCTCAGGCCCACGCTTCAGGTTACGCCCACCGTCACATCCACAATAGACACCTTGACCCTGGTGTTTCCAAAGGGCTCCCTTCAAACATCTACTGCAAGCACAACACACCACATGTACACTTTATCTTGGTTTTTTTTTTTGCTAAAGGACAGGCAGAGAGCTAAGCCTCCAGCACAGCAGCTGGAAGGATTAAAGGCTCAGATGCTGAGAAGGCCCACTTTCTGGTAATTCCACCAAACCTCAGCCCAGGACAGAGAGAAACTGCCAAGGGAAGAACTATGAACAAACAGGCTCTCCAACTCCCTCAGTGACAAAGCAGGGGAAGGGAAATTCCCAGTGAAGTGAAACATAACTGCTCACCGCAGCAAAGATGGGAGACAATGACTTGAGATAGACAGCAACTGCAGTTGCACTTCCAGATTTCTTTACATCTTGCTCCAAAATGTAGGTCCCTCTGAAGTTTTAAAGTACATTTTAAGAAAGTATTAATATCTCACTAACTATGAAATACTAGAAACTGATTAAAGTCAAGTCAAAGAGGAAGAGTTTTTTATCTCGGGTTTAATAGGTTGTGCCAAAAACAGAAGCTCTGAGTATTTACCAGCTAAACCCCACTAGGTCCGAGAGCCACTGAGAGTAGCATCTGTCTCGGGATAAAATGGGGTGTTTAGTTGAAATGCAGACTATTAATGGACCTAATTTCTGGGATGAAACCCATTAATCTGCATTTTTAACAAGCTTTCCTGGGGACTGATCCTTCAAACAAAGTTTGAGAACAGTTCTGTTCCTGGAGTACTCTGATCCTGGAGTACCCGCCTAGTCAATTCATGTCACTTTCCAAGGACACTTCAGGCTTCCCAAACACATTGGAAAATAACACATGTAAGGTGAAAGCTCCCCAAATGCCCTTTTCATATTGCTTTGAATTGATCTACCCCAGCTGCTGTGCAGGTCCCTGGCTTATTTCTGTATCCCCAGAGCCTGGAACACAGTTGGTACTCAATGAAGAATTGCTACCAGCCTGGGCAACATAGAGAGGCCCTGTCTCTACAAAAAAAAAAAAAAAAAAAAAAAAAATTTAAATTAGCAAACGTAGTGGTGCACAACTGTAGTCCCAGCTACTCGGAAGTCTGAAGCAGGAGGATTACTTGAGTCCAGGAAGCTGAGCCTGTAGTGAGCCATAATCATACCACTGCACTCCAGCCTGGGCGACCTTACATGATTTTGAGCCTGGAGTCCAGAGAACTGCATTTCAATACTGGTTTAAAAGCAAATATGGCCCGGGCGTGGTGGCTCAAGCCTGTAATCCCAGCATTTTGGGAGGCCGAGGCGGGCGGATCACGAGGTCAGGAGATCGAGACCATCCTGGCTAACATGGTGAAACCCTGTCTCTACTAAAAATACAAAAAAAATTAGCCAGGTGTGGTGGTGCACACCTGTAGTCCCAGCTACTCGGGAGGCTGAGGCAGGAGAATCACTTGAACCCGGGAGGCGGAGGTTGCAGTGACCTGAGATCATGCCACTGCACTCCAGCCTGGGTGACAGAGACTCCATCTCAAAAAAAAAAATTAAAAATGAAAAAGCAAATATGGTGATCAATCACCTTCATTTCTTCTTTTCTTCTTTTGATGGAACTTCTCAGAATCTTTCTTTTTAAAGAAGAGCTTTGTAGTGGATTTTTGTCATCTGGAGTGCTTTTGGCGGGGGCATGGGGGATACCCAACATCTGAGACCACGTTTGTGAGCTGGGTGGGAGGCAGCCCTGCCTTGCATTGTGAGGTCAGCTGAGGCGCCCAAACTGTGTCCTGGTGGAGCTGAGCCATGCTGGGCCAATCAGAAGCTTTCTTCTGGGCCTGGGCCTGCGCACTCTGAAGCAGGACAGTATCTAATTCATTCCAGCAATGATGGCAGCAATGCCAGTAGCCACATCCAGGGTCCTGTTCTGGCAGCCGCAGCCACCCACCCATCAGGGGTCCTGTGGCATGTCCTAGATTCCTAAGCCTGGCTAGCCAGCCTTGCTGCCACTTACCTAAGCCACCCAGGGACCATCCTTTCAAGAAGTCCTTTTATATATATACATATACATATATATATGTATATGTATATATATTTTTTTATTATACTTTAAGTTCTAGGGTACATGTGCACAATGTGCATGTTTGTTACATGTGTATACATGTGCCATGTCGGTGTGCTGCACCTATTAACTCGTCATTTACATTAGGTATATGTCCTAATGCTATCCCTCCCCACTCCCGCCACCTGACAACAGGCCCCGGTGTGTGATGTTCCCCTTCCTGTGTCCAAGTGTTTTCATTGTTCAATTCCCAACAAACGGTGCTGGGAAACCTGGCTAGCCATATGTAGAAAGCTGAAACTGGATCCCTTCCTTACACCTTATACAAAAATTAATTCAAGATGGATTAAAAACTTAAATGTTAGACCTAAAACCATAAAAACCCTAGAAGAAAACCTAGGCAATACCATTCAGGACATAGGCATGGGCAAGGACTTCATGTCTAAAACACCAAAAGCAATGGCAACAAAAGCCAAAATTGACAAATGGGATCTAATTAAACTAAAGAGCTTCTGCAGAGCAAAAGAAACTACCATCAGAGTGAACAGGCAACTTACAGAATCCAAGAAGTCCTTTATCTGATAAAAATTACCCCCGACTCAGCTTCCACTGTTTTAACAAAGTATCTTGACCCTTAACAAATCTCAGAAATAGCTCTTTGCTCCCTGAAAAACCTATTTCCTTTATATTTTAAACAGTACCAACTTGGTTTAAAGTTTTCAGCTTGTCCTCTGATGCATTTGTTCACCTCATTGTACTAAAACACAAAGAAACTGTCTCGTATAAAAATCAGAAGGAAGTTTAGAAATCAGAAAGAAGTTTAGAAAAGTTTAGAAATCAGAAGGAAGTTTAGAAAAAAATTATGGAACACATGAAAAAAAAAACAAGAATAAACTAAAGGGCACTGCTGAATAGACAGACAACAGCAACAGTAAGGGGGCTCTGGTCCCCCTTACTAACTCTGCCAAGATGACAGTTGTTTGAATTCTCCAACCCTTCTTCTGCTCCTCTGTCAAAGGAGGATTTCGCATAGGGTTCGCAGGCTAGCGATCTAATAGGTAAAGCACCTGGCACGCAGCTGGAAGGCTATCTGGGGTCTGTCTGCTTCTGCTAGCATCAATACTCTGAGCTCAACTCCACCGGGGCTCCTAGGATAACCGGGACAGAAAGGACGGTGAGAAAAGAAAAATGAGTAACATCACACAAGTTGAATCATATGAGGTTGACGATATTCACATCTTCCATCCAAAAAACCGACAATTTCTTATGATTCAACCCAACATATCGCAGCGGTTGTTCGTGTCGCATGAGTCTCGGGGGGCACTCAAGAACTACGATCGTGCACTTGCTTTCTTAACAAAGAACAGCTGCCGCCCTCAGGAACTCCAGCAAACCTTTCTCCAGAAAGGTCAGTCGCCTTAGCGGGCTCCAGGAGCAACCTGTTGCAGAATGAAGCCTGGGGCGCCGGCTTCCCCGCCCTTTACCTCCAAACCACCTCCAGGCCAAGCCCCCTCCAGGCCTAGCTCCCTTCTGGGCGGAAGCCTCTCGCGAGCTGCGGGACACAAAAGAATGAGCGGCGGGGCGGGCGCGGGAAGCCAAGAGACTCCAGGAATTCGCAGCCGCGCAGGGGAGGGGGTTGCCGGAGTAACTTGGCTGCTCTGAGCGCGTCGGCGCCAGTTCCCCGCCGCGGCCCCTGTTGGGCACCGATCGGGGGCGATCTTGCCAGAGAGAAGGGGTTCTGGAGCTAGTTCCTCCCTCCGATCCGACTCCCTGCCCCTCCAGACACGGGCTTTCGGGGAAACTGATCCCGAGCCTCTGACTTTCTACAGCCGTGAAGCTCCTGGTCTGTCCACGCTCCTCTTTGTTGTCCGGTCGGCGTGTTCTGGCAGGGTGCGCCTTGAGCACCCCAGTTCTCCATCTAGCGATAGCCGCGGGTCCCCGCGCATGCAAGCAGAAGGGCCGTGGAGCGAGAGGCTGGGAAGGTGCTTCAAGCCAGGGGTGCATGCTTTCTCCCACGGACGCGGGGAGATGGCCTCGCTTTGTACCCCCATATCCCTACTCCCGCTGTGGTCGGCTGCACAGTGTTGGCCCATTTCCGCACTCAGCCAGGGAAGCTCAGCGCCTCACGTCCCCGGGGCCATCCCTAGAGTTTCCTTTACCGCAGACTCGTTCCCAAGACCCTGGCGAGTCTCACCTCGGTCACCGTTCTCCCCGAGAGCGAGTCCGAAGTCTCTGGGGCCCCGGTCCAGTTCGCACACTCACCTCCGACTCCCGCTCCGGAACCACGGCCGCCGGCTACCCCCACCCCCGCCCCCATCCCCAGTGGATGGAAAGAAGACCCAAGCGGGGCGTCGCGGGCCACCACTCAGACTAAAAAGTTTGGGTTGGACGGGCACCGGCACCACCACGCTCTCCCCGCAGTTCCTCTGGCCCCCAGCCGCTGTCCGGGCCCGCACCACCTGCTGAGGGGCCAGGGAGGCGGCGCAGATGGCTAGGGTAAGGGGGGCGCAGAGCGAACCCGTCCACTCCTCACTGTACACCCCCAGTACAGTGGAAGGAGTGCGCTCAGCCCCGCGCCTGGTCAGCAGATGCCTCTCTCGCTCCGGGATGAGGACCCAGCTACTCACCGTGCACCCGGCTCCCGCTCCTGCTCCCGCCCTAGTCACCGCTGCCGCCGCCCTTCCCTTAGCTCGCCAGACCCTGGCTCGTGAATTATTTATGACCCGGCTTCTGGGACCACCGCGACGGCTTTCGGAGAGCCCGCCTCCCACTGCCGGCCGCGGAGGGGCTCAGGCGGCGCTGCGGCCGGACCCTCGGACGTGGCGGGAGGCAGGAGAAAGGCCCGGGTGCCCGGGGGGACCCGTTGCGGCTTCCTCTGTCCCGGACGGGGACCTAGGTATGGGGCCGCCGTAATGGAAAGGATTCCTTAAACATACTCACCGCGGCGGGAGAGCTGAGAGCATGGCCAGGTGCCGCGTGGGGATCTGCCTCAGTCACTTAAAGATCGCGAAACCCGAGCCCTGGACGCACTCTGATTGGACCGGCTGAGCTGCTTCGCCACGTAGCCCTGGGGCGCCCACCAGCACCTGGACAGCATCCATTTCCTGTAGAGGTGCCTGCTCAACCCCCTGCACTCCCTTCTTGCAACGCTTGCGCCTCTTTTCCCCCCGCAGAGTCCCTTACTTAGAATGCAGCTACCCTCCTAAAAACTCTCCTGTCTCATCCCGGCCGCATTAGACCCTTCTGTTGCCTAATCCCAATGCAATTTAAAACAAAACAAAACAAAACAAAACAAAACAAAAAACAAAAAAACAATCATTTGGATCCTTAGTGTGCAGCAGTACCAATGCTAGTGGCTGAAGCGGTTGAAAAACAGCATAAAGCCATATTCGCTCCCATGTGTACACACAGGCATCTGCTATAACGTGAAGCCACTGCAACTTCTTTTCTCACTGCCTATTGGTCTTCCCGCTCTGTGAGTTACAACTCAACCTCGGAGTCTTCACCTTGCTACTTAGCTGAGTGGTGGAAACCTGTCAGAAGTAATCACTCGGTGTCTAAGTGTCCTCACCAATTTGCACTTCACTCTTATTCACCACTTCTTATCTTGAATTGAGAATACTGTACTCTCCGGCAGGCAAAAAAAAGACTTAGGGAAGAAATGCACCTTCAGGATGGTGTCTAGCATACAGCAGGTGTTTAATACATGTTTGTGATATGGATAGACAGATGAAAGGATGGATGCACAAGCTACAAATGAATGATAGACAGGAACATTAAGTCAGTACCTTTTTCTTTTTACCCCAGAATCTAACATAAAACAGGTACTGGAAAATAAGCATTTTTTGTTTTTAATAGTTAGATTGATCTTGAGTGTGTATATTTCTAGACAAGAAATGTTAGTTCAGAAAACTTCCAAAAAGTACAGTAGGACATGGCAAGGTTAGATGGTTTGGCTCTGTGTCCCCATCCAAATCTCATATTGAATTATAATTCACTGGGAGAGGGACCTAGTGGGAGGTGATTGGATTATGAGGGCGGATTTCTCCCTTGCTGTTCTCATGATAGTGAGTGAGTTCTCAGGATATCTGATGATTTAAAAGTGTGTGGCACTTCCCCTTTGCTCGCTCTGTCTCTCCTTCTGCCATGTGAAGATGTGCTTGCTTTCCCTTCTTCCACCATAATTGTAAGTTTCCTGAAGCCTCTCTGGCCATGCCTACGGTACAGCCTCTGAAACCCAGTCTCAGGTAGTTCTTTATAGCAATGTGAGATCAAACTAATATGGGTGGAAAACAAATCTCTTCTAATCAGGGCAGATTTCCCCTCTGCAGCCCCTGCAGGTCAGAAGTTTCTGGTTGAACATCTGCTGGGGTCCCATAAACCTTCTCCTAGATAGCACTTTTAGGCTGGAGCTAGCAAAAGAGGTGATTTCTCAAAGGAGTGGGTCCTGATCTCCGTCAAAGTTTGGTCCCGCCTCTTTTAATCGCTGTGACTTTGGCTGCTTAATATTTCTCTGAGCCTCAGTTTCCTGGTCTGCAAAATGAAGACAATTATAACTCACAGGGCTCATTTTCATTCCTAATAATATCAACAACAATAGTATCAGTAGAAAGGGGTGAAGCAAGATGGTCAAATAGAAGGTTTGACCACCCACCCCCCACCCCGGCTAGGAACACAATTTAACTGCTATCTACACACACAAAAAGCACCTTTATAAGAACCAAAAATCAGGTGAGTAACCACAATACCTGGTTTTAATTTCATATTACTGAAAGAGGCACTGAAGAAGCCAGGAAAGACAGTTTTGATTTGCCAATGCCGCCAGTCCTCCATCCCCCAGCAGCAGCAGCCTTGTGGCTTGGGAAAGGGAGAGTGCAGTGATTGGGAGACTTTGAATTGAACTCAGTACTGCTCTGTCATAGCAGAAAGCAAAACTAGGCTGAACTCAGCCAATTTCCCTCAGAGGAAATAGCCCATACCAGTGGTGAAAACTTGAGTTTCAGTAAAGTGCTCTGGGGCCCCAAATAACCTTAAAGGCAGCCTAGGCCACAAGGACAGCAACTCCTAAGCAAGCCCAAATGCTGAGCTCAGAGCCAGTAGACTTGGAGGGCATGCGACTTACTGAGACACCAGACAGGGGAGCTAAGGGAGTGCTTGTGACACCCCTACCCCAACCCCAGGTAGTGCTGTTAGTGGCTCTTCATCACTGCATGCCCTTTTCTAGCACTCATGCCTCTTTTACCCCAGCAGAGCTCTCTACTTGGAATGCAGCTACCCTCCTAAAAATGCTCCTCTCTCAAAAACTCTCAGCCACATTAGACCCTTCTGTTGCCTAATCCCAATGCAGTTAAAAAAACAAAACAAAAATAATCATTTGGATCCTTAGTGTCTGCATCAGTCCCAATGCTAGTGGCTGGAGTGATTAAAAACAGCACGAAGAGACCCATTCCTTCTGCTTGAAGAGAAGAGGGGGAAGAGTAAAGAGGACTTTGTTATCTTGAATATCAGTTTAGCCACAGTAGGACAGGGCATCAGTCTGAGTCATCAGACCCCCATCCCAGGTCCTAACTTGTGGATAACATTTCTAGACACATCCTGGGCCAGAAGGGAAACTGCTGCCTTGAAGGGAAAGAAACAGTCTGGGCAGGACCCATCACCTGTTGGCTAAAGAGCCCTTGGGTTCTCAATAGCCAGAAGCAATACTCAGGTAGTACACTGTGGTTCTTGGGTGTGACTCTGAGATCTGCTGGTTTCAGGTGAGACCCAGTATATTCCCAACTGTGGTGGCTAATGTGAGAGACTCCTTCTGCTTGACAAAAGCAGAAGGAAAAGTAAAGAGGATGTTTTCCTTCCCCTTAGGTACCAGCTCAGCCACAGGGAGGTAGAGTACTAAGCAGGCTCTTGGGGTGGTCTTCAATGCCCAGACACCAATGAATATCCAAAAGCTTCCAGACCACCCAGGAAAACATGACCTCACCAAACAAACTAAATAAGTCCCCAGGGAACAACCCTGGAGAAATAGAGATATGTGATGTTTCAGACAGAGAATTCAAAATCAATATCTTGAAGAAACTCAGAGAAAATTAAGATAACACAGAAAAAGAATTCAGAATTCTATCAGATAAATTTAATAGAGATATTGAAATAATTTTAAAGAATCAAGCAGAAATTCTCAAGTTTAAAAATGCAACTGACATACTGAAGAATGCATCAGAGTCTTTCAATAGCAGAATTGATTAAGGAGAAGAAATAGTGCACTTTTAAAGACAGGCTATTAGAAAATACAGTCAGAGAAGACAAAGAAAAAAGAATAAAAAATAATGAAGCATGCCTACAAGATCTAGAAAATTACCTAAAAAAGCAAATCTAAGAGTTACTGGCCTTAAAGACAAGGTCGAGAAAGAGATGGGGTAGAAAGATTATTCAAAGGGATAATATCAGAGAACCACTCAAACCTATAGAAAAGTATCAATATCCAAATACAAGAATTGTATAGAACACCTAGCAGATAAACCCAAAGATGACTACTCCAAGGCATGCAATAATCAAATTCCCAGAGGTCTAGGATAAAGGATCCTAAAAGCAGCAAAAGAAAAGAAAGAATTAACAAACAATGGAGCTGCAATACATCTGGCAGCAGACTATTCAGTGGAAACCTGACAGCCCAGGAGAGAGTGGCGTGACATACTTAAGCTGCTGGAGGGAAAAAACTTTTACCCTAGAATAATATATACAGCAAAAATATTCTTCAAACATGAAGGAGAAATAAAGACTTTCTCAGACAAACAAAAGCAGAGGGATTTCATCAACACCAGACCTGTCCTACAAGAAATGCTACAAGGAGTTATTCAATCTGAAAGAAAAGGATGTTAACAAGCAATAAGAAATCATCTGAAGATATAAAACTCCCTGGTAATCGTAAGTACACAGAAAAACACCGAATGTTATAACACTGTAACTGTGGTGTGTAAACTACTCTTATCTTAAGTAGAAAGACTAAATGATGAACCAATCAAAAATAATAACTACGACAACTTGTCAAGACATAGACAGCACAATAAAATATAAGGAGAAACAACAAAGAGTTTAGAAGCAAGGGGAGGAAGTTAAGGTGTAGAGCTCTTATTAGTTTTCTTTGTTTATGTAATCAGTGTTAAGTAATTACTAACATAAAATAGTGGGTTATAAGAAGATAGTATTTGCAAGGCTCACGAGAACTTCAAGTCAAAGAAACACAATGAATACACAAAAATAAAAAGCAAGCTATTAAATCATACCACCAGAGAAAATTACCTTTGCTAAAAGGCAGACAGGGAGAAATGAAAGAAGGAAGAGAAGACCCCAAAACAACCAAAAAGCAAATAAAGAGCAGGAGTAAGTCCTTACTTATCAATAATAATATTGAATTAAATGGACTAAACTCTGCAATCAAAAGACATAGAGTGGGCGAATGGATTAAAAAATAAGACCCATTGGTCTATTGCCTACAATAAACATATGTGACCTATAATGACACAAATAGACTGAAAATAAGGAACATAAAAAGATATTCCAAGCCAATGGAAACCAAAAAAAGAGCCGGAGTAGCTATATTTATATCAGACAAAACAGACTTCAAAACAAAAACTATCAGAAGAGACAAAGGTCATCATATAATGAGAAAAGGCTCAATTCAGTAAGAGGATCTAACAATTGTAAATGTATATGCACCAAACCCTTGAGCATCTAGACATATAAGGCAAATATTATTAGAGCTAAAGAGACTGCTAGACCTCAATACAATAACAGCTGGAGACTTCAACATCCCACTTTCAGCTTTGGACAGATATTCTAGACAGAAAATCAACAAAGAAACATCAGACTTAATCTGCACTGTAGAATGAGCCTCATAGATATTTACAGAACATTTCATCCGATGCCTGCAGAATAGACATTCTTTTCTGCAACACATGGATCATTCTCAAGGATAAACCATATGTTAGGTCAAATCAAGTCTTAAGACATTTTTTAAAAACCTGAAATAGCATCAAGCATCTTCCCTGACTACAGTGGAATAAAACTAGAAATCAATAACAAGAATGATTTTGGGGACAGATACCCCATTTACCCTTATGCCTTATTACACATTGCATGCCTGTACCAAAATATCTCACATAACCCATAAATATATGCACCTACTCTGTATTCACAAAAATTTTAAATTAAAAAAAAAACAGAAGTAGTGAGAGTAACACCCACACTTAACGAGCATTTACTATGAATGAGGCGCTGGGCCCAGTGCTTTAAATGAATTATTTTATGTAACCTTAGCAACAACAGCAGTTTGAGATCATATTATCTCTATCATAAAGATAAGGCTAAAATAGGTTCAGTAACCTGAGGTCACCAAGGTAGTAAGTCAAGCACTAAATTTGAACTCAGATCTGGCCCATGATCACCAATGCACCAGAAGATAACATAAAACCTTTTCAGGCCACTGCCACATTGGATTGAAATGGGTGGCTATCTGCCTTACGGTAGGGCACCAAATGCTTCAACTGTTTTCACCCATTTCCATACCATATACCAACATCTCCACCTGGACCATTGTGGTTGTTCAATAAGTGAGTGAATTAATAATAAACATAGAACACAATATTATGACCTAGTCTGGGCAGCCTTTTGCAGGCAGTGACAAGACCTAAGGATTTGTTCCATTCAATTCCACTTGGAACTCTCATTCTACAATCCAGCAATTTAGCTCAACTGAATGCCTATGTCATTTGTTACATGCAAGGCTAGAGGGTGAGATGTTTATTCCGACACACACACTCAGAGTCATTAGATGCAAAAGCTTAGATGTCCCTTTCTGAAATTACTGCTCATTTTTCCTGCCCAGATGAAATCTAATCATGAAATAGCATGATGTTCTAGAAAGAGAACTGGACTGAGAGCCAGGAGATTCATTCAGGCTCCATCAGCTGCCAACATGGGCCCTGGTAAGTCAGCAACCTTCCTGAGCCTTACACTCCTCATCAGCACAATAGCTGTGCTCAGTGACCACATGGGCTAGCGGCTGAGGAAAGGTTTTAGTTATTTTTCTCTGAGTCACTAAGACTAAAACAAAATAGGTTTGTGCTCAAATTATTCCAATTAACCTAATAATTTCTACCATGAATAACCATGCTTTAAAAAAAAAATTATGTGTTTGTATAACCAACACACATGGCAGGATATGACCCTGAAAGAAAGAGAGCTGTGTCATCTCATCACATGCTGCTCTGTTCTCTTAAGACTGAAATTTGTGTACCAGATAGTCAAGGAGAGAGGGAGAAGAAAGGAGAAGAGGAAGGAGAAAGAGAGAGAGGGGGATTGAATAGCTTCATGCAAGCCACAGTTGTCCTGTAAATATTTAACTTCATGAGTTCCTGTTCCTCTGGTCTTTTTGGTTTTTTTTTTTCCTTCCTTGCTCTGCACTTGGATACCAAAATAGCATTGCTGGTGTTTAATAACCAAAAGCCAGGAAAACATTCTTCTTGTACTTCAAGCACCTTCAGGTATGATTCGTAACTTGTCATCAAACCCATTCCACACTAACTCAAAGGCAGAGGAAGAAAACTTCAATCCAGCTTGAACAAAGGGGAGGAAAGGGCAAGATGGAGCCTCAGAGCTTGGATTCGGAATGTGAAAGCTGGGGAGCAGTTGGAAAATTCAGTCACACGTTGATGGGGGCTGTGAAGAGTAGTTTTATCTTTCACGAGTCAAAATCTGGTTTTCAATGATCATTTCAAATAAAGTTCTCATCTCTAGAGCCAGCTTTCATCTGTGCGTTTCCCTCTGACATCATTTTTAATATGCGCCAACTCCAATGGGGCTTTGTAACTTACCTTTAGTAACCATGTGGAAAAAAGGAGAGCAGCACAAAAAGCATCCGGGTACTTTCTCTCACTTGCTCCAGGAAGGGGAGATTCCATCCACCGAAGTGCTGTGGAGGGATTGCTGAAGCGGGCAGCCAGGAGAATTCCATAATTTCTGATTCTATAGTTGTCAATTTTTATCATAATCCATAAAAGTTTCACCCAACAACTTACAATTTATAGAACAGCAAAACATATGTCAATGATAAGCAATGTTTTACCTTTCTGGGAATAATTACTATGACTAGCTTTCTCTAAAGACTTATTAATTTGCCCTTATTCCCATCATCATCTGAAAGTACGTATTAAGCATCTGTTAGTCAGTCATTCCATCAGTAATATTCACTCTGCACCTATTATAGGTCGGAGTTAGGGACTCTAGTTACTGAAATGACCTCTGGCCCAGAACATACATGTGAAAATAAACTTTTTATCAAATGCTGTCTTTTTTTCATACTGACCCCTTGCATATTTACCCCATGTGAAACATTTTTCTTAAAAGCAGTCTCTGCAAAATTCTCTTCTGCTTCATATTTTATCTGCTACCTGAGCTACAATCAGATAATTATTTTAAACCCAGAAAACCTCATGCTAATTCAAGCACTCTTCCTTTTTGCCAGAGCAATCAAAGTGTTAAATTATAGTGCCAGCCAGCCACTTATATACAGAAGTGAAAAAGAATAGCAATTTTTATATAGTGGGAAAACCATGGGATGTGAAGGTCAAACAGACCTGGGAATGGGTCCTAGCTCTGCTATTCCATTCATTCTCTCATTCATTCACTTACTCATGCATTCAACAGATGTTGATTGTGTCATTTCTGCAGGACAGACTGAGCAAAGAGATATGGCAGAGAAGAAAACAAAGCCCCCTGCCCTCCCAGAGATTATCGTCTTACAGAGGAGAGCACTAAACCAGCCACCAAATCTATAGGCATGTCACTGTATAGCCTTAAATAAGTTCACCTTAAATACTTCAGCTCTCTGAATTTCAGTCTCCTCACCTATAAAATAGAGGTCTTGCAAAGATTAAATGAGGTTATATATGTGTAATACCTGGCACACAGTAGGCAATAAACGGTAGCTATTATTTCTGCTCTATTTCTTTGTCAAACTCTCTGTCACTCCCACCACATCCTCTTTTTAAAAATTTTTCCAGTTTCCTAAATTAATAATACAGGGCTATTGAATCCACAAGCTAAATCTTCATTTCACAAATATTTACATATTACATCTTGAGGATTTGGAAGGTTCCAGGCTAGAAAGATCTAAGGAGCTAGAAATATGCTGTAAGCCTGTAAGCGGGACCATCTAAGGGAATTACTCTCTATAATTACCCTCTAGGAATCACTGGAGTCTCGAAAGGTGAGTGCCTTGATTGTATTTCGATTGGCTAGGCTATATTTCAATTGGCTAGGCTATATTACAATTCTGCAAGAGTAGAAGTTAAATTTTAGAAGACCGATAGCAATGCTAATGAATGTTCTCCAGGAGGTATCAATTCATCTCTACCCTGTAGAAAAGATCCCAAACATAGAATTTTATTGCCCTATAGGATACTGAAAAGTTTTACATCTATTAGAAAATATTCATTTCAGGGGGCAGAGCAAGATGATCACATAGAGACCTCCACTGATCACCACGGGAACACCACATTTTAACAACTATCTGCATATAGAAAAGCACCTTCATGAGAACCAAAAATCAGGTAAGCAATCACAGTGCCTGGTTTTAACTACCTATCACTGAAAGAGGCACTGAAGAGGGTAGTAAAGACATCTTGAATCACTTATGCCACCCCCCAACATCCCTCAGAAGCAGCCATGTAGCATGGAGAGAGAATCTGCACATGGGGGAGAGAGAGCACAGTGGCTGGGGGCTTTGCATTGATCTCAGTGCTGCAAAGAGCAAGAGCGGAGAGGAAAACCATGCTGAACTCAGCCTGCGCCTACCCACAGAGGGAGCATTTGGATCAGACCTAGTCAGAGGGGAAGTGCCCATCCCAGCAGTTGGAAATTGAGTTTCTAGGAGAGCATTGCTACTGCAGGCTAAAGTGCTCTGGGGTTCCACGTGAACTTGAAAGGCAGTCTAGGGCACAAGGACTGCAATTTTTAGGCAAGTCCTGATGCTGTGCTGGACTTAGAGACAGTGGACTAGGGTAGAGCATGATCTAGTGAGACACCAGGTAGGGTGGCAGGGGGAGTGCTTGCTCCACCCCTCTCTCAATCCCAGGCAGCGTAGCTCACAGCAACAAAAGTGACTCTCCTTCTGTTTGAAGACAGGAGAGTGAAGAGTAAAGAGGATTTTGTCTTGGATCTTGGATACCAACTCAGCCACAGTAGGACAGGGCAGTGGGCAGAGTTGTGAGGCCCCCATATCAGGCTCTAGCTCCCACAGGACATTTCTAGAAACACCCTGAGCCAGGAGGGAACATGCTGCCTTGAGGGGAAGAATCCAGTCCTGGCAGGATTCATCACCTGTTGATTAAAGAACTCATGGGCCCTTAATAACCAACAGCGATATACAGGTAGAAAACTTGCTTCTTGTGTGAGACTCTGAGACGTCCTGGCTTCAGGTATCAGGTAGGTCACAGTGGAGGAGAGCACCAAACAGTCTTTGGGTACCTGAGTCTAGGCCCAGGCACTTGGACAGCATTTATAGACCTGCCATGGGCCAGATGAAAGCCCACTGCCCTAATGGGCAGTATTCACCACAAGCTGAATGAAAAGCCCTGGGCCTTAAGTGAACATCATTGGTGGCCTGGCAGAGCTCCTTGTGGGTCAGTGGTGGTGGTGGCCACAAGGAGAGGTTGATCTGCCTCTGAGAGCAGGAAGGAAGAGGGAGAAGGACTTTGTCTCATGGTTTGAGTAGCAGTTTAGCTACATTAGAATAGAGCACCAGATGGATTACTAAGGTTTTTGATCCAATCCCTGGCTGCAAGACAGTATCTGTGGACCCACCCAGGGCCTGAGGGAGCTCGTTGCCCTGAAGTAAAGGACACAAGCAAGGCTAACTTCACCAGCTCCTGATTGTAGAGCCCTACGGCCTTGATTAAACATAGATGGTAGCCAGGTAGTGGTTACATTAGGCAGTGGAGAAGACCCAGTCCAGTCTCAGTGGTGGTGGCCACAGGAGTGCTTGTGTCACACCATCCCCAATATCCAGGCAGGTAAGGGGAGAGAGAGAGAGAGAGAGAGAGAGAGAGAGAGAGAGAGAGAGAGAGAGAGAGAGAGAGAGACTCCATAAGCTTGGGAAAAAGTAAGGAAAGAGAACAAGAGTCCCTGCATGGTAATCCAGAGAATTCTTCCAGATCTTATACAAGACTACCAAGGTGGTACCTCTACAAGTCTGCAAGAATCATAACATTACTGGGCATGAGACCCAAGTCACTTTGAATAACTGGAAAGCATTCCCAAGAAGGATGGGCACAAACAAGCCCAGAATATGAGGACTACAATAAAAACCTAACTCTTTGATTCTCAGACACCAGTGAACATCCACAAGCATCCAGACCATCTAGGAAAACATGACCTCATTAAACAAACTAAATAAGTCCCCAGGGAACAACCCTGGAGATACAGAGATATGTGACCTTTCAGACAGAGAATTCAAAATAACTGTCTTGAGGAAACTCAAAGAAAATTAAGATAACACGGAGAAGGAGTTCAGAATTCTATCAGATAAATGTAAGAAAGACATTGAAATAATTTAAAAGAATCAAGAAGAAATTTTCAGTTTAAAAATGCAATTATCATACTGAAGAATGCATCAGAGTCTTTCCACAGCAGAATTGATCAAGGAGAAGAAAGAAATTGTGAACTTGAAGACAGGCTATTTGAAAACACACAGAGGAGACAAAAGAATAAAGAATAAAAAACAATGTGTAACTGCCCAAATTTGTAACCACCCAAGGGGTTCACCTTGCCCGCTACCTAGATAGAACTGATTTATCAAGACAGGGGAATTGCAATAAAGAGTAATTCACACAGAGCTGGCTGTGCTAGAGTCTGGAGTTTTATTACTACTCAAATTAGTCTCTCCAAGCACTTGAGGATCCAAATTTTTAAGGATAATTTCATGAGTAGGGGCCAGTGAGTTGAGAGTGCTGATTGATTGGGTCAGATATGAAATCATAGAGAGTCAAAGCTGTCCTCTTGCATTGAGTCAGTTCCTGGGTGGGGACCACAAGATCAGATGAGCACTTATATTGATCTGGCTGGGTGGTATCAGCTGATCCATCAAGTGCAGGGTCCGCAAAATATCTCAAGCACTGATCTTAAGTTTTACAACAGTAATATGATCCCCAGGAGCAATCTGAGGAGAGTCAGAATCTTTTTTTTTTTTTTTGAGACAGAGTCTCGCTCTGTCGCCCAGGATGGAGTGCAGTGGTGTGATCTCAGCTCACTGCAACCCCCGCCTCCTGGATTCAAGCAATTCTCCTGCCTCAGCCTCCTGAGTAGCTGGGATTACAGGCATGTGCCACCATGCTGGGCTAATTTTTGTATTTTTATTAGAGACGGGCTTTCACCATGTTGGTCAGGCAGGAGGCTCAGAATCTTTTAGCCTCCAGATACATGACTGCTAAACCATAATTGCTAATCTTTTGGCTAATTTGTTGTCCTACAAGGTCAGTATAGTCCCCAGGCAAGAAGCGTTTGGTTTTGGGAAAGGGTTGTTATTGTCTCTGTTTCAAAATATAAACTAAGTTTCTCCCAAAGTTAGTTCGGCCTATGCCCAGGAATGAACAAAGACAACTTGGAGGTTAAAAGCAAGATGGAGTTAGTTAGGTCAGATCTCTTTCACTGTCTCAGTTATAATTTTGCAATGGTGGCTTTAAATGAAGTATGCCTACAAGATCTAGAAAATTACCTAAAAAAGACAACCTAAGAGTTATTGGCCTTAAAGAGGAGGTAGAGAAAGAGATAGGGGTAGAAAGATTATTCAGAGGGATAATATCAGAGAACTATCCAAACCTATAAAAAGGTATCAGTATCAAAGTGTAAGAATGTTAGAGAACACCAAGCAGATTTCACCCTGAGAAGAGTCCCTCAAGGCATAATCAAACTCCCAAAGGCCAAGGACAAAGAATCCTAAAAGCAGTAAGAGAAAAGAAACAAATAACAGACAATGAAGTTCCAATACATCTGGCAGCAAGCTTTTCAGTGGAAACCGGACAGGCCAGGAGAGAGTGGCATGACATATTTAAAGTGGTGAAAGTCAAAAACTTATACTCCAGAATAGTATACACAGCAAAAATATTCTTACAGCATGAAGGAGTAATAAAGACTTTCCCAGACAAACAAGTGCTGAGGAATTTCATCAACATCAGATCTGTCCTACAATAAATGCTAAAGACTTCAATCTGAAAGAAAAGGACATTAATGAGCAATAAGAAAAATCATCTGAAGATACCAAACTCACTGGTAATAGTAAGTGCACAAATAACACGGAATATTATAACACTGTAACTGTGGTATATTAACTACTCTTAAGTAGAAAGACTAAATGATGAATAAATAAAAAATAATAACTACCACAACTTTTCAAGACATAGACAGACAATGAGATATAAAGAGAAACAAAAACTTATAAAGCAGGGGGATGAAGTTAAGGTGTAGAGTTTTTATTAATTTTCTTTCTGCCTGTTTGTTTGTTTATACAATCAGTGATAAATTGTCACTAGTTTAAAATAATGGGTAATAAGACAGTATTTGCAAGCCTCGTGGTAACTTCAAATCAAAAAACATACAACAGATACACAAAAAATAAAAAGAAAGGAATTAAATCGCTAGAGAAAACTGTCTTCACTAAAAGGAAGACAGAAAGGAAGGAAAGAAGGAAGAACGACCAAAAAAACAAAAAAACAAAACAAAACAACAGGCAGCAAATAAGAAAATTGCAGGAGTAAGTCCTTACTTATCAATAATAATGTTGAATGTAAATTGAGTAAAATATCCAATAAAAAGTCATAGAATGGCTAAATGGATTTTTTAAAAAGATCCAAGAGTCTGTTACCTATGAGAAACACACTTGACTTACAAAGATACTCAGACTGAAAATAAAGGGATAAAAAAATGTATTCCATGCCAATGCAAACCAAAAAAGAGCAAGAATAGCTATACTCATAGCAGACAATATAGGTTTCAAGACAAATACTATAAGAAGAGACAAAGAAGGTCACTATATAATGATAAAGGAATCAATTCAGCAAAGGATAAGACAATTATAAATATATCTGTATGTACCCAACACTGGAGCACTGAGATATATAAAGTGAATATTATTAGAGCCAAAGAGAGAGATAGACCTCAATACTATAATAGCTGGAGACTACAGCATCCCACTTTCAGCATTGGACAGATCTGCCAGACGGAAAATCGACAAAAAAACCATCGTACTTAATCTGCACTAGAGAACAAATGAACTTCATAGATATTTACAGAACATTTCATGCAATGGCTGAAGAATATACATTTTCTCCTCAGCATATGGATCATTCTCAAGGATAAATCATATGTTAGGTTACAAAACAAATCTTAAAACACTAAAAAAAAAAAAACCCTTCAAATAATATCAAGCATCATCTCTGACCACGGTGGAATAAAACTAGAAATCAATAACAAAAAGACTTTTGGAAACTATACAAACACATGGAAATTAAACAATGTGCTCTGGAATGACCAGTGGGTCCATGAAGAAATTAAGAAGGAAGTTGAAAATTTTTTTGAAACAAATGACAATGGAAACACAACATACCAAAACCTATGGGATACAGTGAAAGCAGTACTAAGAGGGAAATTTATTGCCATAAGTGTCTATATCAAAAAAAGAAGAAAAACTTCAAATAACCTAACAATGCCTCTTAACTAGAAAAGCAAGAGCAAACCAAACCCAACATTAGCAGAAGAAAATCAGTAATAAAGATTACAGCAGAAATAAATATAATTGAAATGAAGAAAACAATACAAAAGATCAACAAAAATAAAAAGTTGGTTTTTTGAAAAGATAATCAAAATGAACAAATCTTTAGCCAGACTAAGAAAAAAAAGAGAAGACTGAAATACATAAAATCAGAGACGAAAAAGGAGACATTACAACTGATACTGCAGAAATTCTAAAGATCATTAGTTGCTGCTATAAGCAACTATATGCCAATAAATTGGAAAACCTAGAGGAAATGAACAAATTCCTAGACACATAAAACTTATCAACATTAAGCCAGGAAGAAATCCAAAGCCTGAAAAGACCAATAACAAGTAACAAGACAGAAGCTGTAATAAAAACTCTCCCAGTAAAGAAAAGCCCAGAACCCAATGGCCTCACTGCCAAACATTTAAAGAACTAATACTAATCCCACTCAGGCTATTCTGAAAAGTAGATGAGGAGGGAATACTTTCAAACTCATTCTATGAGGCCAGTATTATTCTGATACCAAAACCAGACAAAGACACATCAAAAAAAGAAAACTACAGGCCAATATTATTGGCAAATATTGATGCAAAAATTCTCAACAAAATACTAACAAACCAAATTCAACAATACATTAAAAAGATCGTTTATCATGACCAAGTGTGATTTATCCCAGGGTTGCAAGAATAATTCAACATACACGAATCATTCAATGTGATACATCATCATATCAACAGAATGAAAGACAAAAACCACATGATCATTTCAATTGCTGATGAAAATCATTTGATAAAATTCAACACTGTTTTGTGATTTAAAAAAAAAAACCTTTAAAAAACTGGAAATAGAAGAAACATACCTTAACATAATAAAAGCCATATACAACAGACCCACAACTAGTATCAGACTGAATGGGGATAAACTGAAAGCCTTTCCTCTAAGATCTGGAACAAAAGAAGGATGTATATTTTCACCACTGTTATTCAACGTAGTACTGGAAGTCCTAGCTAGATTAATCAGACAAGAGAAAGAAATAAAGGGCATCCAAACTGGAAAGGAAGAAGTCAAGTTATCTGATTTTCAGATGATAGGATCTTTGGAAAAACCTAAAGACTCCACTAAAAAACTATTAGAACAGATAAACAAATTCAGTAAAGTTGCAAAACAAAATCAACATACAAAAATTAGTCACATTTCTATATACTAATACTGAACAATCTGAAAAAGAAATTTAAAAAATGATTCTATTTACAACAGCCAGAAACAAAAATTAAATTCCTAGGAATTAACAAAAGAAGTAAAGGCTCTCTACAGTGAAAACTATAAAACACTGATGTAAGAAGTGGAAAATAGCACACAAAAAATGGAAGATAATCCATGTTCATGGATTGAAAGAATCAATATTGTTAAAATGTTCATGCTACCCAAAGCAATCTACAGATCCAATGCAATCTCTATTAAAATATGAATTACATTCTTCAAAGAAATAGAAAAAAAATCCTAAAATTTATATGGAACCACAAAAGACTCAGAATAGCCAAAACTAGCCTGAGCAAAAAGAACAAAACTGGAGGCATTACATTACCTGATTTCAAATTATACTACAGAGATATAGTAACCAAAATAGCATGGTAATGGCATAAAAATGGACACACAGACCACTGAAACAGAATAGAGAACCTAGAAACAAGCCCATATACCTAAAGTGAACTTGTTTTTAACAAAGATTCCAAGAACAGACACTGCAGAAAAGACAGTCTCTTCAATAAATGGTGCTGAAAAAACTAGATATCCATATGCAGAAGAATGAAACCAAACCCATATCTCTGGCCATACACAAAAATCAAATAAAAATAAATTAAATACTTAAATCTAAGACCTCAAGCTATTAAACTACTATAAGAAAACATTGGAGAAACTCTCCAGGATATGGGATTAGGCAAAGATTTCTTCTTTTTTTTTTTTTTCTGAGACAGTGTCTTGCTCTGTCACCCAGGTTGGAGTGCAGTAGCGCGATCTCGGCTCACTGCAAGCTCCGGCTCCCGGGTTCACGCCATTCTGCCTCAGCCTCCGGAGTAGCTGGGACTACAGGCGCCCGCCACGACGCCCGGCTAATGTTTTGTATTTTTAGTAGAGACGAGGTTTCACCGTGTTAACCAGGATGGTCTCGATCTCCTGAACTCGTGATCCGCCCGCCTTGGTCTCCCAAAGTGCTGGGATTACAGGCGTGAGCCACCGCGCCCAGCCGTAAAGATTTCTTGAGGAATACCCCACAAACATAGACAACCAAAGCAAAAATGGACAAATGGGATCACATCAAGTTAAAAAGCTTCTGCATAGCAACGGAAGCAATCTACAAAGTGAAAAGACAACCCACAGAATGGCAGAAAATATTTGCAAAGTACCCATCTGACAAAGAATTAATAACCAGAACCACTTTATAGTAAAAATATCTAATTGTCCAATTAAAAATGGGCAAAAGATCTGAATAGTGTGGGTGTGGTGGCTCATGCCTGTAATTCCAGCACTTTGGTAGGTCGAGGCAGGTGGATCACTTGAGCTCAGGAGTTTGAGACCAGCCTCAGCAACATAGTGAAACCCTGTCTTTATTTCTGAATAATAATAATAATAATAATAATAATAATAATAATAATAATACAAAGATCTGAATAGACATTTTTCAAAAGAAGACATACAAATGGCAAACAGGGATATGAAAAAGTGCTCAGCATTGCTGATCATCAGAGAAATGTGAATCAAAATAACAATGAAGTATCATCTCATTCAAGTTAAAATGGCTTTTATCTGAAAGACAAGCAAGAAACATTGATGGTGAAGATGTGGTGAAAAGGGAACCCTCATACACTGTTGGTGGGAATGTAAATCAGTACAACCACTATGGAAAACAGTTTGGAGGTTCCTCAAAACACTAAAAATAAAGCTACCGCATGATCCGGCAATCCCACTGCTGGATATATACCCAAAAGAAAGGAAATCGGTCTATCAAAGAGATTTCTGCACTCTCACATTTGCTGCAGCACTGTTCACAATACCCAAGATTTGGAAGCAACATTAAGTATCCATCAAGAGATGAATGGATAAAGAAAATGTGGTTCATGTATATAATGGAGTACTATTTAGCTATAAAATAAATGAGATCCTGTCATTTGTAGTAACATGAATGGAACTGGAGGTCATTATGTTAAATGAAATAAGCCAGGCACAGAAAGGCAAACTTCACATGTTCTCACTTATTTGTGAGTGCTAAAAATGAAAACAATTGAACTCATGGAGATGGAGATCAGAATGATAGTTACCAGAGGCTGAACAGGGTAGTGGAGCAGGGAAAGGGTGGTAAGTAGGGATGGTTAATGGGTACAAAAATTAGAAACAATGAATAAATCTAGTATTTGCTAGCACAACAGGGTGACTATTGTCGAAAGTAATTTAATTGTACATTTTAAAATAACTAAGAGTATAATTGGATTGTTTGTAACGCAAAAGGATAAATGCTTGAGGGGATGGATAGCCTATTTACTCGACGTGATTATTACACATTGCATGCCTGTATCAAAGTATCTCATGTACCCCATCAATATAGACACCTACTATGTACCCACAAAAATTAAAAATTAAAAAATTTAAATATTCATTTCAGAATCCCCAACTGCTTGTATAAATGTTTGTTCTTCAAATTTCCCTTTGAACCAGTCTGGTCATAACATCTTACTGGTTCCTTCATTCATTAATGAGTTGAGTAAAATCTTTGACTTGTGTTCAGTGTATATTTGCATGAAAGTCTTGTTTGTAATTCCTTGAAAATAATAATTTAGAAGCCTTAATGGGGCTTATGATCTCTAGGGATGCAAATAGCAAATTGTAAACATTTTGCAATTAATTTGTAGTTAAAATTTGAACAAACACTGGAAAGGTGAAATGCACGGCTACCTCTAAACCTTTCAAGAGACTCTTATTGATCTGGGATTATAATAGCCCTTTAGCTGGGACACAGGTGCTGCCAGCTTCACACCAAAGATTCCTATCGAGTGTTCTTCTGATCTCCCAACAGCAATACCATTTAGAGCAAGCTTTGACTCAAGGCTCCAAGGAACTGCTAGAGACAAAGGGAAATATTAAAAGAGCTAGATTCTAATAAATTCCTTTTGACCGCTGAGAACACAGAATGATTTGTTGCTTTTTCATTAACAGGGACGAAGTTCTTGAAGATCAAGGAAAGTGGGAAGTAAGTTCAAATGTTGACAAAATATCCATCCTCAGAATTTAAATAGAACTCCCCTGCCCATGAAGATCAAGACCAGGGAGCATTAAGGCAGGTTTGGCTGGATGGAGTATATTTGCAGAAGCTGTGCTTGGAGAGTGAATAAAATAGTGAGACTGCCTAATGCTTTCCAACCTGGGTTTAATAGCATCCCTAGATTCAACCCCATGAGTGGCAACATCTCTCACTCCCGACTGTGACAACCAAATATGTTCAAAACCTAGGGTTTCATTTTTTTTAAAGTCACAGGTGAAATGATCGAGTTCAGGCAGAATATTATCAGATATATTAAGCAAGGGGTCCCTGGCGGCTGTTCTGGCAAATGCTAAGGACTGTGGTCATGAGCTGAAGCAGACTTCCCTGTGCATCCACCCTACTTGACCCAGTTATGGTACCTACCTGGCCCTGTGGGCAGGTGAGTTTCTTCTGGTTACAGGATTTTTGCAGTTGATAGATACTTGTTTTCTCCTGTAATCTTCAAAACAAGCCAACTGGGTAGATATTGTTAGCTCATCGGGCGGATGGAAGAGTTGAGGTACAGAGAATACGTGATTTGCCCAGAGTCACGGAAGGGGCAGACCAGTGCTCAAAGCTCTCAGAATCCTCATCGGGACCCTTCCTACTACAACACAGAAGAGAAGGTTTGTACTGCCCAAGAAGGTTTGTACTGTACAGAGAGAAAGAAAAGGCTTTTGTGGGAAACTTGGACTTCACTATGGTGGGTAATTAAGCTTCTAATCATACAGACCTCTTAGTTGTACACCCTGACAGCCAAGACAGCAAGAGTAAGAAGTTCATAAGGACGACGCTGGGGAGTTCTCACATTTATGCCGTATCACCCCCAGTGACAGTTTGCCCCAGAACAATTACAAAGTGAACTGTTTCAGGGATTGTACTCGCCTCCTTGTATTCCTCACTTGGACGTTTGCAGCACACGGGGCTGGATGCTTGTTACGAATGTAGCCCAGCACTTGCCAAAACTCCAAATTTTACTCATAAGTTTGATTGAGCATAGAAGCACTTAGAAAGAAGAATAGAAGGACTATTAATAAAATATCCTATGGACTGAATGAGAAATTGCTTAGCAGATGATAGCCTTCAATAAATCCCAGAGGAAAGCAGAGGCAATAAAGTGAAATTATAAGCTCTTTAAGCAGACAAATAAATGTAGCAACAGCAAAAGTTGTCTAAAAGATAAATGAAATATATCCACGGGGCAGTTTTTTGTCCTTGTTGCTGTCATTTGTCGACTATCTACCATTTCTCAGGCATGGAGTGAAGTAGTTTCCATACATTCTGTTATTTAATTAAACCCTCATAGGGTGCTGTTTTTATCCCCATTTTCCAGAGAAAGAAATTGAAGTTTGCAGAGCCAGGCTCTACACTGTTATTTCTATAGTAAGAGGAGCAGTAGAGCAGTTACCCTTTGTCCGGGAAACCATTGCTCTAATCACCTTACACACATATTTCATTTAATGTTTAAGATAATCCTAGGAAGTAGGTATTATCCAGCAAACCAAATAGAAGCACACTGAGTAACTGTTATGCACCAGGATGGTGCGAGGTGGTGGGAATACACCAGTAAACAGTCCCTGCCCTCACAGAACTCACAGTTTAGAAAGAAAAGTAGGCATTAACAAACACTTTCAGATGCGGTGAGTGTTACATACGCGGGCATATCCATAGATGTTATGAAACTATATAAAATGATGTCTGTATTCGTTTCCTGGGGCTGCCATAACAAAGTACCACAGACTGGGGGGGTTTAAACAACAGAAATGTATTGTCTCACAGTCTGGAGGCCAAAATCAAAGTGTTAGCAGTGCTGGCTCCTCCTCAAAGTGGTGAGGGAGAATCTGCTCCAGGATTCTCTCCTAGCTTTTCGTAGCCCCAGATATGCCTTGGTTTTTAGATGGAATTCTCCCTATGTCTGGCCATCGTCTTCCTTGTGTACACGTCTGTCTCTGTATCCATGTTTCCCTCTTTATAAAAGCACACCAGTCAGAATAGATTAGGGTCCACCCTCATGACCTCATCTTAACTTGCTCATCTGCAATGACCCTATTTCCAAATAAAGTCACATTCACAGGTACTGGCATTGGGACTCTAATATCTTTTAGGGATACATAATTCAACCAGTAACAGTGTCATTATTATAGATGGAGTAATTGATGCTCGGAGAAATTGACCTGTCTAAGGTCATCCAGCTGACAAGTGGTAGAAGTGCAATTCTGACTTGGATCTGACCAGTCCTGGAGGCCAAACCTTTAACAACTATGCTAAACCAGCTATCAAGGAGACAAGTCTTAAAGTGCTTCAGAAATTCTTGCTCAGTGATTACCTCTGTGGACACAAAATCATTCATTCTTTTATTCATCCAACAGTTATTGAGCATCTACAGTGTGCCCATGCCAGGCTTGGTGCTAGCATTTGGGATCTATCCATGAAAAAAACAATAATCCCTGACCTCAACATTTACACACAGTCGCTAGAAGTTGATAAGTGCTCTAAAAATAGAGAAGAAAAGAATGAAGGAGAGAGCTTTGGAAGCATTACAGCAGGGCTCACTGAGAAAGGATTTTGGGTTGAGTCCTGCACGGGGTGAGGAGTGAGCCAGGTGGTGAGGACAGAGGACAACCAAAGCCAGGCCCTAAGGCAGGAGCAGGCCTGGCCTGTTCAAAGAGCTCCCAAGAGGCCAGATGAAGTAACTGAGTGTGGATAACTGGCAGAAAAGACCTGCTTGCTCAAAGTCAAAGCCAATCAATGGCTAATGTGTTTTCAAATCCCACCTCCTGCTTCCAAGATGGAAGGCCTTACCGTGAAAATACAGGTGGCGATGTGCAGACCTAGGGCTGGAAGTAAAGACATTTTCTCCAGGAGCTTTCAGTGAGCATTTGGTCTGTGACAGCCAGGCTCTCTCCTTGACACTTACGGACATAGAGGTGACTTCAACCCCAGCCCCAGAAACTTTTTGTTTGGACCTGGCTGCTTACACACTGTAGGTACTCAATTAAACTCTATTAAATGGCAAATAATGATAGTGGTTAGCAAAATGCAAAAGGAACAACAACAAAAGAAACCTGGATCTATCTGAATGTGACAAAGTAATGATCATAAGCCTAAGGAAACAAGGCCTTGGAAAACTGAGCTGAGGTTAGAGGATTTTAGAGATTAACTGAGTTACAAATTTGCAGAAGGTTAACATTTATATGCATGTCATTCTGCATGTTTCAGGAGCCATTTAATACTGTCAAGAAGTACTAAAATGCACAGACCTAAAAAAAGGATTTGTTGCTTTCAGAGATACCTAATTTGAAGATGGGTTAAAAAAAAGAAAACAAAGTAAGTAAAATTAACATTGAATTCTAAGGAAAAATTCCCCGGTAAGGAGACCTAGAGATGGAAGGAATGCTAATGAACATTGTAAGGGTACACTGAAGTCAAATTTAAGTCAGTAAAATTATTAAAGCTGGGTAATAGGTATCAGGGGTCTGTTTGGTGCAGGTTTGAAAGTTCCCATCATAAAAAGGTAAAAAGAAAAGGGAAGAAAAAAGTTAATGGCTGGAATGCTGGAAAATGGAGGTGGCACCAGAGCCCCTTGTATTAGTCCATTTTCATACTGCTATGAAGAAATACCTAAGACTGCGCGATTTATAAAGAAAAAGAGGTTTAGTGGACTCACAATTCCACATGGCTAGGGAGGCAAAGGTATGTCTTACATGGCAGCAGGCAAGAAAGCGTGTTCAGAACTGGCCTGCATAAAACCATCAGATCTCATGAGACTCATTCACTATCATGAGAACAGCACAGGAAAAACCCATCCCCATGATTCAATTATCTCCCTTCGGATCCCTCTTATGACAAGAGGGAATTATGGGATCTACAATTCAAGATGAGATTTGGGTGGGGACACAGCCAAACCATATCACCCCTTAACAAGCTGCAGGGAGGGTGTGCTGGAAGCAGGGTGCAAACCCAAGGGCTGGGTGAATCCAGAGTAAAGACCAGAGTCAGCAAGCAAGCAGAGTGCTGTCATTGATATGCTCAGCCATTTTCATCACATGAAGTCTTATGGAAGGAAAATGTCAAATACTCAAAGGCTTAATGAATAAAGGATGGCTTTTATTGGCCAGGCAGCAACAGGGTCTCTGGGGTAGACCAACTTGGGTTCAAATCTGATTCTGACACATCTAACTCCATATGTCATCTTGAACTTCTTATACTTAACCTTCTACGAGCCTCCATTTCCTCAACTGTAAAGTAGAACTAATAATGGTAGCACTGCTGGGTGGGTGTCATGAGTCTTACATGAGACAAGGCATGCATGGCACCTGCACAGCAGAGGGTTCCAGTAAGAGTTGGTGCTCTCCTCCTGACCATTCAACCTCTGATTGTATTTAGGGCAGCACAAGGATCCTTCCTTAGAAGGATCCTTGCTCCCTGCCATCCTACAGGTCTATGACTGGTTAGATAAACCAGATAATGTAATATCATAAAGATGCTAGAGGCACGGATCATAGCGCAGCTCTGACTCCACCCCAATCCCACCCCTGAGAGAGGCAGCTCTTTGGTAAAATTGTGCAGGGAAGTACAAAAGGGCCTCAGTCTCCCCACAGCTTGTCCTCACAATAAAACACAGTCCAAATGCATCCTAGATGGGGCCAAATACATTCCTAAAAGTGAAACCAATTTAGTATTTTCCTTCTGCCATTTAAAAAAAATACAAGTTTGTTCCTTCTCCAGAGTTCTCTATTTTAATTAATAACTTCAGTCTCCCAAGAGGAAAATTCAGCCTCATCTATGGTATTCGTCATGTGGATCCAACCATGCAACCCCTTTTCTTGCTGGGGACCCCCCATTTGTGTAGAGTAGCAGTGGGACACAGCTACTCACTTTTCACCACAAAAACCTAACAATCGTCGTTCCATGCACCTGTCACACACCCAAGCATGACCCTTTCAAGGCCTGGCTCGTTGGCCACTTCTGCCCGGGACTTTGTCCCTGGAGTGTGTGATGCAGGACATGAGGCCAATCAGACATCAGAGTAGCGGCAGGGGTGGTGGTGTGGGTGGTGCCAGGTGCCAGCAGTGGTGTCCTGATCAGGCTGTACCTGACCTGGAGTGCTGATTCCGAACTGCAGCCTCCTGACAGGGCCAGGAGCCATCCAATACCCTTTGGATATATTCCTCTTCTGAGTATGATTAGCCAGAGTTGGCTGCTGGTGATCCCTGATTGATTAACACACCACCTTCAACATTGCCCTCATCTTCCTTTTGTAATCCATCCCCTCCTCTACAGTCTCATGGTGGCAGTGCTAACTCAGCCACTCGTGTACTGTGTGGACTCATCATATTCCATGTACTGTGTAAAGTCCCTCAAAGTCGCAGCTCATTGCTCACTCACTGGGATTAAGGGGAGGCAAGTGATTTGCCATGCAAGTACAGGTTCAGATCCTGTCTGTATGTTAAATTCGAGGCATGTGTATCATGGAGCTTGAGGCATAAATATGGATTTTTAAAATATTGCATTAAGTATTATTTACTATAATTAATGAGCTATTTGGGAACGCCCTTAAATTTTGTGCTGGCCCTTGAGTGACTATGCAATACTGATCAAGACCATAGCTCATCCACACGCTTTCCTTCCTTCACTAAACAAACTCTTCAGAGCATTGCTTTGCATCCAACTGTACTAGGCTGTAAGGATGCAGAGGTAATTAACACCAAGTCAGGCCTTCAAGAATGTCATTTGTCTAGTGGGGGGGAACAAATCAATGCCACTTTGAATTCTACATGCACCAATAAAGGGAGAGTACAAGATAAGCATGCCCATAAGGCAGGAAGTCTCAGTTCAACCCCGTATGAAACCTTCCAGAAAATGTTTCCCAGGGCTATGATGCTCCAGCTAACTCATTAGAATGAAAAGTGTGTCCGATGAAGAACAAGGCTAAGAGGAGAGGTGCCCTGGGCAGAGGAGTTAGCACACACAGGCGTGTCCAGATTCAGTCAGTGGTATGGTGGGGCTGGATCGTGTGGGCTGGGACATAATGTTGGTAAAAAATGAATAATGATAGAGGAATCTAGAGCAGTAAGTTGGAGGGGCTTGGGATGTGGAGGCGCTCACATGCCATGCTGAGGAATTGGGACCATCTGAAGGCAATGGGGAGACATTGAGGATTGTAGAGGAAGAAATGATTGACATTAGCTGTAAGAAGATTACCCCAGAAGGAGGGTTGGGGAGGAGAAAGGTGTGGGGAGAGAGGAGCCTGACAGGAGTCACCCAGGTGGGTACTCAGGGCTGGTTCATGGGCTTGGCATTTTGGAATAATCCATTAGGTTTAACCTCTTCTTGTGCTGCTTCTTTCCCCCTAGTTGCTGGCAAGCAAAGTGCAACTATTATATGTAGCAACTGTCCACTGGCCTCAACACCCTGGGTCTACAAAATAAGGTCTCCTTTACACTTACATCCCAGCTAGAAAGACTCCATGCCCTGCCCTCCTCTTGCCTCAGCAGGAAATCAAGTGCCTCTTACAGCACCTATGCAGCATTTCTGGGGGTCCCCCACCACTCAGGGCCTGACATGTTCTTAGGCTCTAGCTCTGATGGTCATGGCCAACAAAGCCACCTGATGAGGCCCTTCCACTGCCCCTGCTGACCGAGCCCATCCTGAGACACCAACTTCCCTGCCACCGCTATCTCCAGATTCTTCCAGAGCCCTCAAAACTTGGAGCTCCAGGGACTGCTGCATAGATCTTGGGAGAATGGCCTTCTCCCCCAAGCGGGGCTATAATTCGGACTTCAAAATGGCTATGCACGTTCCTAGAAATTCCTAAGAGTCCCAGGAAGTGTTTCATTAGCTTCAAGATCTTACCCCTCAGATGAGAAGGATGCTAATATTCGCATCTCCCATGGGAGTGGCGGGGCAAAGCCTCTGCCCCGTCTCCCCCATTGTCTTCCAGGACCCATGCCCGAGTTTTCGTCTCCATCCAACTGAGAGCTAGACTTTCCCAACAGTGTTCAGAGCATGTTTGCTTCTTGGAGCCATGGTCTCAAATGCTTCCACCTCAGAAGACCTCTAGTGTTCATTTGCATAGCTGGAGGCTCACTGGGGTGGGCAAGATTTTCAGAAAAACAATGGGACAATCTGAATATATCCAAATGTCCACTTCTTCCAGAGACATGTCAGCTTTAAGTTGCTCTCCCCACTAGGTTTCCAAGAGCCAGGCCCAGCGCGGGTGAAGACTGTGTGTTTCCCCAATGCCCTAAATGTTGTCTGCCAGAGGGAAGCTTCCATGAAGCCTGAGACAGACATGGTAGGAAGCTCAGCCCAACGTGATGGCCCCGAAAGGTCCATCTCTTGGGTGTTTCATTTTGGGCCGTTCCCCTTTCCTCTGATCCACATCACTGAAATTTTAGATTCCCATGAAATGTAAATTCTGCAAGGGCAGGCGTCTTGATCTGTTTTGTTCACTAAAATATCCCAGGAGCCTAGAAGTGTGCCTGGCACAGAGTTGGAGCACAATAAATATGCATTGAATGGGTGAGTGCCTATTCTCAGTAAGCAGGTTGTGTAGTGAAAAGAATATGGGATAAGCATCTAAACCTGGATTCAAATCTGGCTCTGCTACATGTTAGTTGAGTAGTCACTTTAAACCCATCACTTTACCTCTCTGCACCTAAGTTTCCTCATCGGAAATGGGGACTATAGCTGTATTTTAGAAAGAAGTGAGGTATAGGCTGGGCTTGATGGCTCACGCCTGTAATCCTAGCACTTTGGGAGGCTGAAGAAGGCGGGTTGCTTGAGTTCAGGAGTTCAAAACCAGCCTGGGCAACATGCCAAAACCCTGACTCTACCAAAAATACAAAAATTAGCTGGGCATAGTGATGCACTCCTCAAGTCCCAGTTACTCAAAAGCCTGATGTGAGAGGATCACCTGAGCCCAGGAGGTCAAGGCTGCAGTGAGCCATGATTGTACCACTGCACTCCAGCCTGGGTGACAGAGCCAGACTCTGTCAAGGAAGGAAGGAAGGAAGGAGGAGGAAGGAGGAAGGAGGAAGAAGGAGGAAGGAGGAAGGAGGAGGAAGGAGGAAGGAGGAGGAAGGAGGAAGGAGGGGGAAGGAGGAAGGAGGGGGAAGGAGGAAGGAGGGGGAAGGAGGAAGGAGGAGGAAGGAGGAAGGAGGAGGAAGGAGGAGGAAGGAGGAAGGAGGGAGGGAGGGAGGGAGGAAGGAAGAAAGGAAGGGAAAGGAAAGGAGGGAAATAAAAGTGAGACATACATTAACACACAAAGAAAATGAAATGTGACTGTAGTGTGAAGTATATTGTAGGTGCTAACAGATATTTCTGCCCCTCTTTCCTCCTTCCCTTTCTTCTACAAATATTATTGAACACCTTCTATGTGTGTAGGCATCAAGCCAAGTGTTCAGGACACAGCAAGACCAAGATAGTGGAGGGAAAAGTTTACTGTCTAGTTTGGGAGATGGATAAAAAAATCTGGAAACAAATAAACCAAACAAATCATTTCAAAAAGTGCTCAGAACTATCTGCCCATGTCCAGATTTTAATCGAAGTGGAAATCTCTTTTGTTCCTGACCCATGGGCCAATGCTGGGTGCTAACTGGGGTCAGGGGCTGGAGATTCTAGGCCTGACTCGGCCCTTGACCAGAGATACACAGACTTGGGGAACTACCTAATACTTCCAGGCCTCAGCTTCCTCATCCAAGGGCAGAATCTCTGAGATTCTTCTCATGGTCCAGTGGTCTGTGATTCATTTTTTTTCCCCAGGGTCAGCACTATATTGGAGTAAGTTTGTGATTTGTAGGGAGCTTAATATTTTAATTTATGAAAGGACCATTAAATTCCTTGCTAATAGACACTGTCATGCTGCTCAGCAGCTTCGTTAGCCAATCCATCCTGAGTCTTAAATTAAAGCCAGGAAACCCCAGGGTGTCACTCAGTGTTAATGTCTTGAAAGCATTAAGAGGTTTATAGGAGCTTATATTAAGCTTCCCAGCCACCTTCCTTCTTGAGTCAGCTTCCATTCTGCTCCAGCTTTCTAGATGCCACTCAGAGCAGCCCATGTTGGCAATGACTTTGATGGTGGTGTTTCAAAGACATTTTAAGTACAGTCATGTGTTGCTAAATGATGGGGATATGTTCTGAGAAATGCATTGAAGGCTATTTTGTTGTGCAAACATCACAGAGTGCACTTACTCAAACGTAGATGGTCTAGCTTACTACACACCTATGTATATGGTACAGGCTATTGTTCCTAGACTACGAACTTGGACCGCATGTCACCGTACTGAATACTGTAGGCCACTGTAACACATGGGTAAGTATTTGTGTATCTAAACATAGAAAAGGTACGGTAAAAATATGGTATTATAATCTTATGGGATGACCAAGGTGTGTATATGTGGTCCATTGTTGACTAAAATATTGTTATGTGGCACACGACTGTAACTGTGCACTGTAGAAGGCATTGCTCTGCAACAGCATGTCCTAGATGTTTTCGTGACATGACAAGTATGTTATACTCAGGGTCAGCTCTAGACAAAAATGTGGAGTATGCATAGGAGGAAGAACATGGACTTTGGGGCCAAACAGACGTAAGTTGAAGCCTATGTCCGCAGTATCTTGTGCGATCTTGGACATGTTTTTTCATCATTCAGAATTCCAATTTCATCATTGACAAAGTGGGAATAACAGCACCTATTTTACATGGTCATTGTAAGGATTTTATGGAAAGGACAGAGCTGGTGCTCAGTAGATTGGGGGCCTCTTAGAAGCTGCACCTCCATGTCACTCTCTGGAGTCTCTGCTCCCATCTGCTTTCCCCACTGTCCACCCTGGGTATGCAATCTCTGCCTCTTCCTCATTTTCCTGTGTCAGACATGAGCCTTTGAGGTATTCCTCGTTTTCCTATGTCAGACATGAGCCTTTGAGGTATTCAGAGATTTGGGGGAACTTTTCTCTCTCCTTAGCCCCAATCCTAGCACTGGAAATGACTTAGGCTCAAGCATCGCCCCATCCTACCAGCCACCTGCACATGAGAAAAAGGAGATTCCAGGAAGTTGTGTGCATGGAGTGTTTTATATCAGAGGAGTTAAAAGCGTGTGTTCTGGAGGTATATTGGCTGTGATTTACGGTCTATGTCCCCTTGATGAGTTATCTGACTTCTCTGTATTTCCGTGCCATCATCTGTATATTATGGCTAGCACCTAATACAGCATAACACTGTGAGGATCAAATGAGTTAATACACACAGAGCTTTGCCCAGCAACTAACATGTATTATTTCCAACAAGTATTTATTGAGTGTCTGCCCCATGATGGCTGGTGTCTTTTCTACTGTCACCGTGTCAGTCAGTGGGGAACAAGTGATTAAATCCCAGGTCTCTGACTCAAAACTGACCCTCTTCCCAGAGTATGCACATTTCCTCTTTCTTCCCTCCCCATCTTTCAAGCAGGAAAATGGGGAAGAAGGAAGGAAGGAAGGAAGGGAGGGAGGGAGGGAGGGAGGGAGGGGAGGGGAGGGTGGAGGGGAGGGTGGAGGAGAGGGGAGGAGGGAGGGGAGGAGGGAGGGGAGGGGAGGGAGGGAAGAAGGGAGGGGAGGGAGGGAAGAAGGGAGGGGAGGGAGGGAAGAAGGGAGGGGAGGGAGGGAGGGAGGGAGGAAAGGAACAGGTATAGGATTTAAACCTGCCCAGCATGCTCTCCCTCCTCCTCTGGGTTCAACTGAGCCTGAGCTCACTTCCATTGAGTGGAAGACAATGGATTCTATGGGGGTTTCTACATTTGATGTTCATGTCTACCTTTATCACATAGTGTGTGTAGACTCACACTCTCCCCTCAACCACAGATTCTTCATTCAGAATGGTCCAGTTCCAGTTACTGCACAGCTGATAGAGACAGTGAGGCTGGGAGGAAACAGGACAGATTTCACATCCAGGGCAGAACAAATGATTTCCTCCCTCTCATTCATTTGCCCGTTCTTTCATTTAAGAAATACTGACTGACTCTGTGTCATATACTGTGTAGTATTTCATCTAACCCTCATGAACCACACAATGATGGAGGCATCGTCCCATTTGCCAGATGAGAAAGGTGAGGTTCTAGAGGTAAGGAAATGGCAGAATGAGAATAAGTCTGTCTCCCTTGGTCTAGCACTGGATCATTATTGATCAAGCACTGATTATTATTATTATTATTTTAAGAAACAGGGTCCTGCACTGTCACCTAGGCCAGTGTGCAGTGGTATAATCATAGCTCACTGCAGCCTCAAGCCCTTGGGCTCAAGTGGTCTTCCCTCCTCAGCCTCTCAAGTAACTGGGACTACAGGAATGCACCACCACATCCAGCAAATTTTTTAAAATTTTGTAAAGATGGGGGGGTTTATTATGTTGCCCAAGCTGGTCTTGAACTCCTGACCTCAAGTGATCTTCCCACCTTGGCCTGCCAAAGTGCTGGGAGTACAGGCATGAGCCACTGCACCCAGCCCATTGATTATTTTTTAAGTCATCAAACATATTTTCACTTGACTGGTGGGAAATTGTCTAATGTATTCCATAAATTTACCCCAACAAGGCAGAGAATGAAAAAGTCTGAAAAGTGCCCTATTCCTAGATCATAGTGATAAGAAGGTGGGGTTAGTCGATCAGTTACCCCTATCTGAGGGTGCCAACTCCCTGCCACGCACTACTCTTGGGGCGGGTCATCACTCATGTGGTGTTCTTGGAGCACCTTTTGCTCCAGTGTAGGCACCACAGTTTTCTGTGCAGAAGCAACATTGCCCTGATGCACTCTTGTGTTTCAGAAGGAAAAATACCAGCCAGGGATGCAGAGGGCTGGGTCTGGTTCCACCTCTACCACCTACCAGATGTGTGACTTCAGATAAGCTGATTAACCTCTCTGAGCTTCTGCCTCTCCTTTCAGGAGTTCTGAGAGTGTCCTCATCTCTGCTTGTGCTCCTTTTGAGTGTTCCTTAATTTGCACTTGGTCAAAGTTTGTCAGGGCAGAGCTATTTACAGTTGTCCAGGAAGCGGAACTTTCCGTGAAAGTTCTGGAGACTTCCATTCATCCCACAAAATAATTCGCATAAATAAATATCAGGCTCAGATGCAAAGTTTCTTTTTATAATAGAGAGGAGACATTTGAGAAGGAACTGTTGCTGTGCTGAAATAGCCACTACAATCATGTTTTTGCCTCCTCTTTGACCTTTCTGTTCTGGGAAGCTCCTTTGGGAAGGAGTCCCTTAGAAATGTATTTCCAAAACTTATTTGGTGATAAGATTCACCTGGGACCCTTGAATAAACAAACAAATAAACAGAATGAGAATCCCAGGTTCATCTTCTGGAGCTGTGATTCTGCAGGTTCAGGTGAGTATTCTTACAAGTGTCCCCAGGCCTGGGTAATTCTTGTGGTCAGATGGACTGGGGGAGCCTTTGCAGATCCTGGAGCCCTGGAAATGAACTCAGCATCCAACCCTGTCATTTAATAGTTGGGAAAACCGAGACCCAGAAAAACTGAATGTCTTACTCACCAGCTGTCACCAGCTGAGGCTAAACTGAGCCTTGAGTTAAGGTCCAGGGGCCAGGAAGAAGTTGGAAGCAGGAGTTTGATCCTTGATCTGCCCGCTTAGTAGCTGTGTGATGTTGGCAAGTATTCTGTTCACCTCACAAAGTATTCCTTGTCAAGGGTCCAGATATTCCGGACGGTCGTGGTGCCATCAGGTTTTTGGGATTGTGCACTTGGCTTAAGTGCTGACGGGTGAACAAGAGAGAAGTTGACCTGGCCTTGGTGACTGGAGCCCAAAGAAAGAGACCAAAAAGAGCAGGTACTCCCAAAAGTGAGCAGTATGACCAAAGTAGGGGGGGAACCCTAGGCTGTACGAAGCCCTACCCAGGCTGGTCTGCGAGAGGCAGGAGTGGCTTCCCTGAGAAACAGAAGGTTGAAGATGGTTAAGGTGACCAGGTCTTAGCCAGATAAAGAAGTGGAGGAGAACATCGCAGGCATCAGGGAAATGCACACGGGCCAGGTAAGTACCAGAAACACGGTCTCGGGTGGAATCACCAAGTAAGAGAGAGAGAGAACAGAAGGCAAATCCATGGTAGCAAGGCAATGCAGAGGGAGGCTGGTGCAGAACGTGCAGGATCTCGTGGCTGCCCGTGTATATGTTCCATTTAAAGGCAGAGCGAAGTCACCCGAGGATCCAGGAGAGGGTCATGGTGCCATCAGATTTTGGAGGCACATTTGTGAGCTGAGAATCATCATCTGAATATGGCGGGGGGTGGGGAGTTCCTGATTTTCCTCCTGCTTTCTGACCCCTCTGTGGTCTAATTCTCCACCCAGTGTCCCTAGCAATGCTTTCATAATGGAAGCCAAATCCTGTCACGTCTTTGCTCAACTGCCCTGACGGTTCCCATCTGATATAGTTTGGATGTTTGTCCCCTCCAAATCTCATGTTGAAATGTGATTCCCAATGTTGAAGGTGGGGCCTACTGGGAGGTGTTTGGGTCATGGGATGGATCATTCATGCATAGTTTGCTGCCCTCCCAGCAGTAAGGAATTCATGTGAGATCTGGTTGTTAGAAAGAGTCTGGGACCTCTCCACTTCTCTCTTGCTTCCTCTCTCACCTTGTGACATGCTTGCTCTCCCTGCTTCCACCATGATTTTAAGCTCCTGAGTCCTCACCAGAAGCAGATACTGGTGCCGTGCTTCCCGTACAGCCTGCAGAACTATGAACCAAATAAACCTTTATAAATTACCCAGTCTCAGGTATTTCTTTAGAGCAACACAATACAGATTAACACACTATCTCATTCCTTACTCAGCACAATGTGCAAAGTGCCCAGTGTGGCTTGTAACTATCTGTCCTAAGCCCCAACACCCACACCTTCCCCTTTCTAACTGGACACCAGTCGCGCTGGCCTCCCTCAACATCAGGCAGCCTGCCTCTCGAGACCTTTGCACTGACTGCTCCCCATGCCTGGGGGCAGAGGGGTAAGCCCCAGACACCTCCACAGCTCCCTCACTCCCCAGGCCTTTCTCGACTGCCTGCCACTCGCTGACCGAGCAGCTCAGCTTTCCTTTGGTGCACTCACACCTGTCATCACTTACACGCATTTGCCCAATTCTTTCCTGAATGCTTGCCCATTAGAAGGTAAGCTCCATGGCAGCAGGAACTTGGGTCAGTTTGCTTCTGCTCTCCCCATGGTCTGGCACAGAGCCACCAGCCAATAATATTGTTGGGTCAATGGCTGAACAATACCTACCTTGAATGTTTATTGAAAAGCTTGAACAATAGAATTACTATACACATAGCACTAGTTGCAGTACGTGGTCAGTGAGTAGAAGCTTCCTCATTTCTTTCTATTGCATCCTCCCTTCCAGACTTACAATTAGAAGTTATTTGCAGGACATCAGTCACCCCTGGGTCCCCAGCTGACTGCACTAAACCCTCTGCCCTGCCTGCCAGCACCTGGCTCTGTCCTTGACTGAGCTTGTTGTTTGCATTTATCTTGTGTTAGCTTAGCTGTGTCCCTAGGGAAGGAGATGTTGGGGGGACGGGGGAGTGGCAGGGCTGGGGGTGTGCAGTTACTGTACAGTGCGTTGGGATGGTTGGGAAGCTGGTGCCTCTCAGATCCAGTCATTGCTCTGGTTCCTCTGGACCCTGTGTGATCAGAACCTAGAGGTGGTCATCACACCCATGTGACACCAACTGCATGCCAGAGCACGTAATGAATCAGGACCATTGTGCAGGGACAGAAAAAACAAAGCCTTCCTTGAGCCTTGACTAACAGGTTCTTCTCCACTGACCCCAGCACAAATAGACTGTGCTCATCTGGATGTCTCTGGCAGTGTGGACTTGGGATCATGCACAGAAGCCTACTTTCCTCCCCACTTCCTATAGCATGGCTTGAGATTCCCAGAGTTAGCAAGGCTGTTTGTAGTAGAAAGGCCCAGATGACCATCTGAGAGGGCTTTCTCCTCATTCTTTCTTTACGTACAACTCACATTGACTCAAATAATAAATGGAGACATTTGCAAGCTTCTTTGAGAAGGCAGCATTGCAAACTGTCAAGGAGTCTGATACCTAGTTCAAGATGTTTAACCTGAGAGGCTCCTGGATCGCTAAGGGATTTGGATGTGGGCCCTGAACTTGTATGCAAAGCGTGGGTCTATTGTGGATATTTGTGGAAAGAGGGTCTGCTGCTTTTCTCAGATTCTGAGAACCAACCTGTGAAAACGTCTGGCCTAGAGATGAGAAATGACTCACCTGACTCACAGCATCACTGGCCGCCCAGCCTCCACCTCCATGTCTGCTGCTATCCACAACCTGTGTCTGTGAGGTCGTTGGCACTGTTGAGAACAAATGATGAGCAAATAAATAACAGCAAAGCCAAGGACTATGAAAACCAAGCTTAGGGAAAAGAAAATACATCAACACGTTAACCATGATTGCCTCTATGAGCAGTGGGGCAAAAATCTTTTTCTTTTTTCTTCTCTATTTAATTTTTGTGTATTTTCCAGATTTTCTATGAAAAAAACATTTAAATTTAATTATCATCAAGAGGAAAACTTTAAGAAAAACAAATAACTGTAAATATATAAATGTAGCTCCATCCAGCCCTTCTTTATATAGTTTTTTAGGGTTTTTAAAAGGGTTGCTATTGTTCAAAGTTTATAGGTTAGATATTTTGGGAATCAGCTTTTCTGGGGAAAAAAAGCATGAAAGTTTTAGAATGCATTCATTTTCTCTCTGGAGGCATTTAGTTGAAGAAGGAGTTAGTGGACATGCTTTAAAGGACAATTTTCATGCTCTGATATATTCTATTAAACGGCAAGCTGCATCCATTGGAAAGATGCCTTTTTACGATTAGTTTTGATATGGCAAAGATTTTGGTTCACTTAACTATTGTAAAGTTTTACTTCTTTAGGGACCAAGCTAAATTCAGTGAGCTACATTTGCCCTGAGATACCACACCAGGGTAGCCCTCTATTTTTCTACATTTTAGCTTCAATGGAGGTTTTCAAATATGAATTCTAAACTGTTGCTTCAGCTGATGAACTCAAAGTGACAGCTATTAAACTCACTATTTATAAGATTTCCTAGAATAAATTTAATCGTCATAGGAATACTTGCAGTCAGCTGTCACTGTTGCTATAAATACCTCTCTTGCCTTCTCAAGTCCCAAGTGAGCCAACACTAGCTCTGGCCTCAAGACAAAAAGTTAACTAGGTATCACTAATTTATGTGACCTCACCGTAGTCAATTGTTTTGATTCACCTGGGGTAGTTCTCTGTGTAGTTTAGACTCTCTCCACACAAAAAGACTATATAAAAGTATTCTCATCCTCATGGAGAAAGGACACATGGCTTTTATTTACCCTTTGGCATGTTAAAACCAGGCTTCCAAATCTATGCCTGATGTGTAGCTATGCTGTCTACTAGAATCCCATCTTGAATCTGTAGGGATAAAAATAATTTTAATGAGTATAAGCCATTTTGTCTTTAAATATATAAATCTGACTTCAAACCCTGGTTCTGCCTGTCAGTAGCCGTGTAACCCTGGGCAGCTCACATAACTTCTCTGACCATCCTCTGCAAAACAGGGATGGTAATACACTTCAGTAAGATTGCTGGGAGGGTTTTTGGAAATAAAGTATATTATCGCATTATTACCACAGTGTATAGCATACAGCACACATTCAAATTCATTTCATTTTCCCCACCTAATTCTCAGAGAATAATGTCAATTTTATTCAATTAAGCAAACATTAATTGGGCATTTGTTATGTGCAAATTACTAGAGATACCAGCACTTCATTCATGCCTGTAAGAATCCTAGCCAGGTGCTGTGGCTTGCACCTGTAATCCCAGGGAGGCTGAGGCGGGAGGCTCGTTTGAGGCCAGGAGTTCAAGACAAGCCTGGGCAACATATGGAGACCTTGTCTCTGTTAAAAAAATAAGAAAAAACTTAGACAGGCTTGTGCCTGTAGTCCCAGCTACTCAGGAGGCTGAGTAGGGATGATGCTGGAGCTCATAATTTGAGACTGCAGTGAGCTGTGATCATGCCCCACTTTACTCCAGCCTGGGTGACAGAGTGACAGAGTGAGACCCTGTCTCAAAAAAAGAAAACAAAAGCAAAAACAAACAAACAAACCAAAAAACCTCCCTATCTTCCAGGGAGGATAGAGCCTTTGTCCTTTTTTATGTCTTAATTACATCAGATTGTAAAAATGCCTTAATCAAACTATCAAGAAAAGGTTCTGGGATCCAAGGAAAAGGAATATTAGTTTCACCTGGTATGATTTTACAAACAAGGTTACAGAGCCTTCAGTTAGCCCTTGAAGGATGAATAAGTTCTGGCCTTAAAGAGGAGTAAGATTTTGGAAAGCTGAGAATGAAGAGGGAACAGTAAGATGCAACAGCAAGAGCACAGCAAGGAAGAATAAATGTATGGAGTGGAGTCAAAGAATCCTCTGAAGGGACAGATCTTGGGAGAAATGAGCAAGTAACAGAAAGATAGCGGGACAGATAGGAGAAAGGGCCAGGTGGAAATAATCGTGGCTTTTCACCATTGCATCTGGAGTGTCCCCACTTCTTGACGCAAAAGTCTTAGAACTGTAGTAGAAGCTAAGTTGACACCTGTTGTCTTCATTCACTCAACAAATATTGATTGAAACTTCTATGTGACAGGTCCTATTTGAGGTGCTTGGAAGTCAACAGTGGTCAAGACACAGTTCCTGTTGTCATGGTGCTTACACTCCACTGTGGCAAACAGACAATAAAGAGAGAAACAAATAAACATACTGTAGAATATAATTGTAGGAAATTAGTGTTGTGTAGTAAGAGAATGTGTAAGGGATAGGTAAGAGTTGTTCTTTTCCATGGGGTGGTCAGAGACCTCTCTCTCAGATATTTGAGAGGACTTGAGTAAAGTGAATACCCAAGGGAAGCACGTTCCAGGCAAAGTACAGTGCAAAGGCTGGGAAAAAGGGGCCGGCTTCATGTGCTCAGGCAACAGCAAAGATGCCTGGATGGGTCCAACGCAGGGCTAGGAAATGAGACCAAAGAGATATGGAAGAACACTGATAAGGTTTCCCAACCCCAAGTTCTGTAACCCACTCTCTGCTCCTGCTCTGACTCTTGGAGTCTGGAGTTTAAACCTAGGCTTTCTGGGACAGATTCTCTTGGCTCCCTGCTGGCTCCCTCTGTCCTTACAAACACCCCTGACCCTCGGCACACAATCCTTGACCAGTCTTTGGGCAGAAAACCCACTGAGAAGGGCTTCAGTCACTGGGGTGGCTCTGCCTCCCTCACTGGCATCCTGATCAAATGCTCCCCTCGATTCTCCAAGGTTGGCAGCAGCCAGGGAGATTCTCCACCATGGGAGGGCCTTTCCCTCGGGGACCTCACTAGTGTCATCGTATCCCTGGCATGGTGAGGCTTGCCTGTTCTTTAAACTCTGATCTATACCTGAACACAGACTCTTCCCTCAATTTGCCCCAACCCAAATGAGATCAAACCCGATTGTTTAGCAAGATTTTACAGAAGACCTAAACATAAACAGAGTAACTGACAACTGCCCACTGCTGCCCACGGCTGCTCTCAGAACCTCAAGGCTGCCCATAGCTGTCCCCTGCCTGGCTCAGCCTTCTCCAGGGCCGTGGCCACCGCCTCCATCACCCCCATCACCTGGCACCCCTCCTCTCTATGCCTGGGAACTCCTGGGGTCCAGATCCACGAGAAAGGAGCCCACAGAGAAGAAAGCAGCAACTTCTACCAGCCTAAGGCCCACCTCCAAGCTACTTCCTGTCCCAGCATTCTACCCTTCCTGCCTGATTGACACTGGGAACAGCCACTCTCTGGGGAGACACTGCCCAGCACCCTGGAAGCTTGGAATCCCCCTCAGTCTCATCAGAGCATCAGAGCAGTGTCCTCTCAGGGTCATTCCTGAGATCACAGATATCCCCACAGGAGGGTTTCTCATGGCCCCATTTGGTGCACTTGGATTTGGTCTGTCCCTGCCCTGAGCTGCTTAGGGTGGGAACTTTCACCTGGTCTGGCCCCTCAAAGATCAGCTCAGCTCATCAGCACCACGCAGCACTGGGAGTCAGGAGCCTGGCAAGGCAGCCTTCCTGCCCACACTCTGCCAGGACAGATGCTGCATCTTTGGGAGGCAGCTTTGGGGCAGAGTGGACTCACAAGAGGGTTTCTTGAAGACCTGCTCAACTCAGGGTGGGGACATGGTTCCTTTTACCCATCGGGATCTGGCTGAGGAACTCTGACCCTATTTACAAGACAGATTCTAAAGTCAGTGGTGCAGAGTAGTGCAAATTCAAGTGGGATATGAAGGGAATGGAGCCTGAATGAGTTGCCAGGAGAACAGAGACAGAGAGAGGTCATACTGCATTACATAGTTGTATACACCAATATTGAGTATATGTAAACTTGGTAAAGAAGATACAAGAGCAAACTTTAATTCAGGCATAGAGGCTGTGATTAATTCTGATTTCCAAGATGAAGGGCCATTGCTGAGGAATGGAGGTGGGGGGTTGAAATGCAGATTGGCTGACTCTGGGCCTGGGAGTTTGGTTACTTCAACAGACTGCTTGTGAAATGAAGAGGTCTGAAGCATGAGGAAGAGAAAACAGGGTCTGGAAGAATTCACCCAGCCGGGGTGCCCTATGACATTTTATGCTGAGTTGGGACCACTATGACATTTTATGCTGAGTTTACAGCACATGTCCCTCCCAGAGTGTACAGTGGAATCATCTGCAGTAGGGTAGGGAGTCACCCAGCAAAAATCCTATGTGAGTTGCTTCTATAACCCAGGCAAGATGAGGACAAAAAATGTCCCCGAAAGGAAGCCTCCCTTTCCTCTAGGAGAGTGACATTTATGAATGCTTACCCATCCCTGATTTCCTGTCATCATTGCAGCTACCCTGTTACGGGCTAACTGGTGTGCCCCAAAACACTCATACATTGAAGTCCCAATCCCCAGTACCAGAGAATGTGACCTTATTTGGAGACAGGGTGTTTATAGAGGTAATTTGTTTAGTTAAAATGAACTCATTATGGTGAACCCTAATCCATTATGGCTAGTGCCTTTTTAAAAAGGGAAAATTTGGACACAGAGACAGACATGCAAAGAAGGAAGACAATGTGAAGAGACACAGGGAGAAGGCCACCTACAAGCCAAGGAGAGAGGCCTGGGACACATCCTCCCTCAGAGCCCTCAGAAGGAACTGTTGCAATCTAATCACTCCTTAGTTCAGCTAGGTCCAAGTTCTTGACATGCAACCAAGAAGAGTAAGGCACGTGGCCACCAGAGAGTGAGTAGAGCGGAACAGAGTTTTATTAAGCAACAGAAAATATCTCAGCAATGAGAGACAATCCAAGGAGAGTTAACAAAAATGGGGATGAGTTCCGGGTCTTTATGTGGCAAAGACAAGGAAGTCTTCTGTGGGTTCTGCCCACGTGGGAGGGGTAAAGTTCCCCCTTGGGGATGTTGCATCTGTGCAGGCCAAGATGAGAACATTTTTATTGTCCTCATCTTTCCTGGGTGGTAGAAGCAACTCATGAAGGATTTTTGCTGGGTGGCTCCCTACCCTATTGCAGGTTATCCCACCATACATTCTATGAGGGGTTGGCCATAGTGACTTCATCTTGGTTATCACTCATGAGTGCCTAAGTGAAACATACATCGGGGAGAAGGGAGGGGGAGGGCTAAAACACAATGCTAATGGCATGTCAATGACATTATAATGAGCTGGGTTAAGTTAAGGACTTTTAGGTTAATTCATTGCGCCTGCACCTAGGTTGGCACAGTCCCTTCTGAGCAACATCCTGGCATTAGAGGAAATTCTTAACCACATTTCTTTCCACCAGCAACAGGGGTAGCGCAGGCGCTGTCCCACGGGTATTTTTCCACTCCTGAGACCTGCCCTCTCTATCTGGCTAACCAGCCTCTAACTGCCTTCTCTCTCAGAACCAACCCTGCAACATCTTGATCTCAGACTTCTGGGACAATACATACCTTGTTTAAGCTACTTGGTCTGTGGTACTTTGTTACAGCAGCCCTCAAAAACGAATCCACACTCTGTGAGAGAGGAGTTATTATCTGTTTTGCGGATGAGGACACTGAGGCTCAGAGAGGTTGGATGTTCCCCTCAAAGGCCCTCATATCCAGTAAGAGGCAGGGATTTTGGCTTCCATGAAATTTTCCACTGCACTGAGCTGCTCCTCTCGAGGCAGTGAGAGGTTTGGGGTCCCTGGGGTTTTCCCACACCTGGCACAGGCTGCACTCTCGCGCTGTAAACAGAGAAGGCTCTGTAATTAGGATTATTCTCCACTCTTCTGTGGTTAGGTAACAATGCTGCCAATTATCTCCCTGGTGCTTACATGGGACAGAGCACCTGCCTCTCTGAGGGGGTGCCAGGATCCCATTCCTGGCAGCCAAGAGGATGAAAGGCCCAGCAGTGTGTTTCCTTGTTTACACTGCAAAGCTGAGGAAAGCCTTGGTTGTGAGGCACCAGCTCTTTCAACCCGAGGAGCCCTTCACCCACCTCAGCCTCTCACACCTCTGGGAGCCAGAGGCTGGGCTTTTATTTCCCCCTTTCACAGACAAGGAAACCCAAGCTCAAGGAAGCAGAAAAACTCACCCAAAGTCCCCCAGCTAGTTACTGGCAGAGCTGAGAGGCAAACACAACCTTCTGTTGTCTCTCCATAGAATTCATCTAGTAACCATTACTGAGCACTTGCTGTTTGCACTGAGGAAGGCGTGGAAGGATGTAATCATGAACCAGCCTTTCTACACCATCTGGAGGTGTCTCCTCTGAGTGTCCTTAAGGCTGCCTTACCAATTTGGTTTCTCAAAAGTGTTGAAACGGAATCAGGGTGCTCCTATGTCAGATGCCCCAAGACCCACATGCCCTGAGGCTACAAGGCAGGTCTGATGCGACCACAGTACCTTGCCAGCTTGTGCGGAACAGGCTTTTCCCAAGAGGCAGCAAAGCGAGGAGAAAATTCCAGGTCAGAAGATTGCTCCGGACATCCAGGTTCTATTCCCTATTTCAATTTCAATAATGCCGTGAGAGCAGCTTTCCAATTTTTTGCTCAGTGAGGGTCGGGGGTAGCAGGTTTGAAAGATGGAGGGGGTTTAAGGGGGGAAATGATTCACCTTTAATGTCCACATTACAGGTAAAGAATTTAATGATTATGTTCAGAAACAGGCACATTTATTCATTCCCCCATCCTGCTGGGCCCTGAAGGGACTGTTGCCAGGATGAAGACAGGATTCTGGGCTCTGAGCCATCAGTGGAGTGGAGGATGGAGGTAAAAGGCAGGCCCAAGAAAAGGGCTGCAAGGCGCCAAGGGACCTGATGAGTGCCTCCTCCTCCTCAGGGGTTGTGGGACCACAGACGGAGGGTCCGGCCCCTCCCAGAGGGTCAGGGAAAGCTTCAGCAGGGGAAGTTCTCAAATGAACCTTCTCCCTGGAGGAGGATGAAAAGGAAAGTTACTTCCAGTGCATCAAGTCACTGAATAGGAATTAGCTACCTGCATGACCCCACCCCCCTCTCTTTTTATTTTTATTTTTTTTACATTGAGGTGAAATTCACATAACAAAAAATTAACCATTTAGAAGTGAACAATTCAGCGGCATTTGGCATTTTCACAGTGTCGTGCAACCACCACCAGTATCTAGTTGCAAACTTTTCATCCTCCCAAAAGGAAACCTGTTCCCCTCAAGCAGTTGCTTCCCATTCCCCCGCCAATCCCTTGACAATCACCAGTCCGCCTTCTGCCTCTATGGATTTACCTCTCCTGGGTATTTCAAATAAATGGAATCATTCAACACCCCCTTCTTAACAGCATGCAGAGCATCAGGCTAAGGGCTGGATTGGGGTTTCTGTTTTTGTATATTTCAACCACTGTTGAGACCATTTTGTGTGTGAAAATCAAAGTTACACATTCTGTGGTAGAAAACCTGGAAATGGAGAAAAGTCCAAAGATGAAACTTAAAATGACAAATTTCACTCTGTTATTACCTTATTTATAGAAAGATAGATAGAGCATATTAACTATGCTAATACCTCAGAGACACACCTTCCATTTTCCCCCTTGCGCAAAGGTGGATGGGCAAATAGGCTGCTGTGTGCCCTGGACTGGTTTCTTAAACTCTCTGTATCTCATTCCCTCACCTGTAAAATGACGATGTGAATTGTACCCACTTCATGGGTTTATTGGGAGGATAGAATGGGTGAAAATGGTGTGAGCCACAGAGCAGTGCAGCACACATCAGTTATCATGTTTTTCTGTGCAACTCAATGACACGAGGCTTGTTATATCTCCAGAGGAAGAAATTGAGGAGTCAGGAAGGTGTGAAGTAACTTGCCAAATGACAAAAGAAAGCAAAAATTCTTTTCTGAGTACCTCTATGTGCTAGGTCATTATTGTTGGCCCATTTACCAGAGAGGGAAATTGAGGCACTGAGAGGTTGAGAGTGTCCCAAGTCACTCAGCTGTTTCAGGGCAGAGCTGATTGACATGGCAGGCTTTGTATGTTCCTCCATCCCGCCCCACTGCCTTTTCCTGTGTGACAATGCCCCTTGTCTGTGACTAAGAGTCACCCGGCCAGGGCCTCTCACCTCTGGGTGGTTCCAAGCATCTGCTTCTGCCTTCCTGCTTGCCCAAGGTTGCTGTTTACCTCTTCTCTGGCTTCTCACTGTGGTCATCTCCCGGCTATAACTGCAGGCACTCTTGCAGTGCTTCCAGGAAGCAGAGGCAGGGGCCAGCTCTGTGGAAACAGGTGTGTTGGTCCCTGAGTTTCTGTCCTCAGAGTGTTTCAGGCACTGCTCTGAAGCTTCACAGGGCCCTCAGGCGATCCCAGGCCAAGAGACACTGTCAGTGTCAGATACTGAGCCTGCCCTTCCAGAAACCTCTCATATAAGCCTCTCAACTCTGCCCTGGGAGAAGGGTTAGGCCCTCAGAAATACAGGAAAAAAGCCTCGAGGCCTTGTTGAGCAAGGAAGACACTGTCTATCTCAGGTCTGGCTTCTCATCCAGAGATGCCAAGAGCTCAGGGTGGTTGGTATTTGGTCCTGTAACCAAAACAATGTGATCAGCCTGTAGGGCATTCCCCGAGATTCCACAGGAGGGCCACGAGACTGCAGCATTTTCCCAGGATGCTAATTAAAAACACGGAGACCAACATAGCATCATAAATAATTCAACTTGGAGAGCCCCAGGGACCCAGGGTCCATGCTATTGCTCAAATCCCTCCAGAGCAGGCTGGTTCTTGCAGTTCTTCATCTTTCTAAAGAGCTTTTGGAGATGAGGGCACTTCCTGGTAGGCAGCTGCTTCCCAGTCCCTGGGAACCCCAGGACTAGAGGCCCATATAGCTGCCTGGGTCCCGGCATCCCCAGGGACATGAGAACGTTCACTGACTAAGCCCACCCTGGTGGCACCGCCAGCTTGGCCTGTAACTTGTCAAGTGGGAGTTGAGTCTGGAGGCAAAATTCCCTCTCCTCAGTGAAATTTCACAGCATCCACTTGGCATGATATTGGGCAGGCCATCTGCTTTCTGAGCTCCCAGCAGGTCCACAGGTAAATCCTGTATGAGACCAGCTTCCTGTTGTCATCTATGATCTTCTGGGACTCAGCTGGCATTGCTGGTGGGCTGCACGCCCTGTTACCCCCATCAGCTGAAACTGTTAAGTTGCCATTGCATCTGCCTGAGATCATGGTTTTGAGAGGTAGTGGAAACAGGTGTCAGGATAGACCTTAGTACTGTTTGTTCTGCATTCTCTAGCATCATCATCTTCACCTTTGTCCAAGGTAAACATTTACTGAGTACCATTCTGCTCAATAAGCTGAGCCCTTTATAAGCAAAATAGCATTTCATCCTCCCCCACACTCATGAGGTATATGCTGTCATGATCCCCATCTCACAGAGACCCACTGGGGTTCACAGAGCTTAAATGCACTGCCCAAAGTCACACCTGGTTGGTTAGTAGCGGGCCAGGGGTCAAGATCAGGCAGGCCGACTCCAAAGCCCACAGTCCTGACAAAGGCTGCTAAGATCTACCAGTCATGGGATGGTCTGTAGGATTAATAATCTGTGGTAGGAAGAAGAAGATATATACAGACTGTGAGGATGAGACAGGATGTTTAGTTCCAAAGCAAAAACCTTCTCAACTAAAAAGAAGAATATGAAGGAGGAACGGCAGATAACAGCAGAAACCATGGGGAGACTGACAACAGGGCTCAGCTTCCCAGTGTGAGAGCTTCTTAACTGTAGACGGGTCAAGGGGTGACTTTGATGCACACTCGATGTGCTCACCTGGGTCCCCTCTTCTGCCTCTTCCTCCCCTCAAACTAGATATAAGGTAGATCCCTGGTATCTATAATTTAACAAGCCATGTATTAACCTGCCATTTTCCTGAGCTAAGAATTTGAATGACAAACAATGATGGGTGAAATCAGCCTCCCAATCAAAATAGTTTTATGTCATATAACCTAAAAGTTTAACAGTACACAAATACTGACTCCTTTCCTTTTCAGATGCTTGCCTAAACTTTTCCCTTGTTTATTGTTTATCTCTGTTTTCAAAATGTACATCTCTTTTCCGATATATACTTTACCCTGTTTACTATTATTCCATCTGATTTCAATGTATATACTTATGATGCTTGTCAAACATGCATTGCATGCTTATTTACTTGTAAGCACCAGGACCTGCCTCCAGATGTATCTCAAAACACAAAACAAGAAACTTTCTGGAAAGGTGCATGTGTAGGGTGGGTGGAATCCTGAGTTTCACTCATGTATAAAACAGAACCTACAACCTGAGAGGACCAGTCACTTGCCTTCTGGCTGCTGGATAAAAAGCCCACACTTCTTCCAGCATGCACAATTTTTGTGAGACAGCTAAAGTGTTATCTCAAAACATTTTATGTCAGCGATTGTTCCACAATAACTCCATGGGGCTATTGTACAGAGTCATTGACAAGTGAATGTGCTGAGCTGCCTGCCCAGCGCCCACATCTCGACTTAGGTGCTTATTCCTTAGCATGCTTGTTGTCACTGATGTGAAATATACTTGGTGCATTTTAGAGGAAATGTACATGCTGTAGTGGTATTCATGAATTTAGGAATTACAGATACTTCGGAAGCTATCCCTTGAGATGTCAGGTATCCACTAGGTGATGAGATAACTGGCATATGTAGAATTACTATTCTGTGCCAAATCGATAAGGAAACCCTGTTGGTGTTATGGGTATGGCCTTGACAATGGAGAAGATTTGGAGCTCCCACACCAGGTAGACCTGTGAAACATGTGATGTTTCCTGCGGCCTCTGAGAGGAGTGAACCCCTGCCCACCCAATCCCCTTCCTAGACCTTTCTGAGCCAACAAAAAAACTCACCTGAAACACCTTGAAACATCTGTTATTCGTGACCCACGACGCTGGTGCTGGTCCAGGCCTCAAACTTTGAGTAGCTGTGGCTCAAACTAATTTTAGTTGCATGCTTTATTACTTGCATCCAAATGCATCCTATCCAATCAGTGCTTTTGGTGGGTATGTGACAAAGAATATTTTTACTTTATATTTACAAAGCTCTGATACAAATATTAGTTCACTTGATCCTCACAACAGAACTAGGAGGTAGCCTATTTTGCAGAAGAGCAAACTAAGACTTAGAGAATTGCATTTGTCAGAATACTTCTTCTTGCAAGTGACAGATAACTAACTCCAAAGAAATTTAAACACAAAAGAGAAGCTGACTTAGGTATCCAGAAAGAATAGGGGCAAGCCTCTGGCACAGCTGCATCCAGTGACTCAAGTTATTTTTCTAGGGCTTTGTTAATTTTATTCTTCTCTACTACCGACCAGCTTTCTTCAAGAAGTAGAGAACCTGACCATTAGCAACCCAAGGCTGCTATCTCGTCCTATAGGATTCAGACTCCAGAGGAGAGTATTTTCACCTGCCCAGTGTCCACATACAAAACCCCTTGAACCATTTACAGAGGGTAAGAATGGATTGGACACAGTGTGAATGATTTGGAAAGGCCCTTGATAGACAGGCATGAGATTACGTGGCTTACATTAAGGTGGAAGAGGGGGAGGTTATAGAAAGCAGTTGGATGTGCGTAAGTTGGGATATTTTCATGTAAATATATTTTAAAATCAGAAGAAAAATACTTTATCAGAATTCTTATTGCAGGGTCTGAGCCAGAAAATGGGATCCCCGTGGCTGTAGCACTTATTTGATCCTACAGCTTGTAAATGTACATTATTACCTCCTCCACCAGATTACAGGGACACTGACAACAGGAAACATTTCTTTCATGTATTCATTTACTGAACAAATATTTGTTGCCCTGCTGTGGGCCTGGCTCAGGGAATGTCACTGATAAGGCTGAGTCTGTTTTGATTAGGAGGTCTTATCTGAACAGCTGGCCTTTCTGTGTGCCTGGTGTCCTAGGAGAGGCAGCCTTATAGCTGAAAGAACCACTTCATCACATTCTCCTAAAATAGAAATGTATGTGATCACAGTTTTGCTACATTCACACACACACACACACACACACACACATCAGTTAAAGAGTTTCACTGCAAATACCTTAAACAGATATTGAGAAGGAAAGAAAAGGAGAAAAGATGCTGAGAAGGCCACTAGCTGTGTCTGCCATGATATATATTTGTAATAAGATGTTCTCATATTGAACCTAATGTTTTCGAAACCTCAATACAGAGAATTGGAAACACATTAGTATTTTTACATACAGGCAGATAAGGCAGACTTTATCTTTGGGCAAAGACGATACATTGATTTTTGTTGTTGTTGTTGCTGTTTTTGAGACAGGGTCTCACTCTGTCTCCCAGGCTGGAGTGCAATGGCATGATCACAGCTCACTGCAGCCTCAATCTCCCAGGCTCAACTGATCCTTCCATCTCAGCCTCCTGAATAGCTGGGACCACAGCTACTGTCAGCATGTTGTCAAGCCCAGCTAATGTTTTTAACTTTTTTGTAGAAACAGGATCTTACCATCTTGCCCAGGCTGATCTCAAACTTCTGGGCTCAAGGGATCCTCTTGTCTCAGCCTCCCAAAGTACTGGGATTACAAGCATGAGCCACCATGCCCGGATGACACATTGATTATGTGAAGACACCGTAAAAAGACTCCTATAATCTAACACAAAGACCAAGACCTCTTCTGAACTGAAGAAATTCTGAATGAAGTTTTGCTAACCATAGGCTGCAAAATGATACAGGTGGATGTGTTCATTGATAGAGAGTTGCATTGCTTTGAGGATCAGGTTTGATCTGTCTCTTTGGGGTCCAGGACTAAAAATATCTGAATCTGGCAAGGAGAAATGGCAAAAGACTGTCATCTTGTTTGGAGACCAAGTAGGTCAGAGGTAGATGTGGGGCTAAGGAGAGCCCATCTGAGAGGGATTGGTCCCTCAAGGCGGGACTCAGCCTCTGGATCTGGGAGCCATGATACTTTGTGTCCTGTTTAAGTGGTTTGTTTTCTTTTTCTATTTTTAATTACCTTCTGAGGATATTGCCTACAGGGATATTTTATTAACTCTTCCAGTCTTGAGTCCACTGAGGTCTGGGGATTAGGGAGGCAGGATCCAGGCATGGGAAAGCTTCTGCTGTGAAGTAGTGAGAGAACATCTGCAGAGAGTGAGCAAGGCCTGAAGGGAGGTTGTTATTGAGGTGACAATACACATGAAAGACATATTTTGGAACATGTTGGTGTCCCTCTGGGACCCCTCGGAGAGACTCTGTTAAAACTCTGTATTTTCTGCTAATCAAATAAATGATCTGGGGCTTGGGCCTACACTAGTTGTTTTTTTGTTTTGTTTTGTTCCGTTTTGTTTTGTTTTGTTTTGTTTTGTTTTGTTTTGTTTTTGAGACAGAGTCTTGCTCTGTCGCCCAGGCTGGAGTACAGTGGCTTACTGCAACCTCTGCTGAGTGGAGTACTCAGCTTGAACCGCCTCCCAGGTTCAAGCAATTCTCCTGCCTCAGCTTCTCAAGTAGCTAGGACTACAGGCATGCGCTACCATGCCCAGCTAAATTTTTTTGTATTTTTAGTAGCGATGGGGTTTCACCATATTGGTCAGGCTGGTCTCGAACTCCTGACCTCAAATGATCCGTCCACCTTGGCCTCCCAAAGTGCTGGGGTTATAGGCATGAACCACCATGTCTGGCCCACTGGTTGTTTAAAGGAAGGGTTTCTCATAGGTTAGAGAACTTGGGAATAGCCAGGCGTATACTAGGGGTTCATAGAAGTTTGACTTTGGTCTCAGTGTTTTTCCAGATATACAGTTCCATTTAACCTTGGCCTTTGGAAGGCTCAATAGCCAAATGCCCACCTCAATGTCATATCTGGCACCTTTGAGCTATTATAAACATTCCTCTTATACTTCTACTCCAGGGAAAGGCTGAAATCTGTGTGCATGCAATGAAAACTGAGATGCACTAGAAATTTTGGTGGGATCTTACTGTCTTGAAAACCAATTACCTAGCTTTATTACCACATTTCTAGATCCAAAATTTAAGGACACATTTGTCTCAAAGCATCGTATAAAGTGTCAAGTCCATGCAAAAGTATAGGAAATTTAAAACTGCAAGAAAGGGCAACAATCTTAAGAGCACATTTTTTTTTTTTCTTTTTCTTTTTTTTGTGACAGAGTCTCGCTTTGTCGCCCAAGGCTGGAGTGCAATAGCGCGATCTCGGCTCACTGCAACCTCTGACTCCCAGGTTCAAGGGATTCTTGTGCCTCAGCTTCCCGAGTAGCTGGGATTATAGGTGCCTGCCACTACACCTGGCTAATTTTTGTATTTTTATTAGAGATGGGGTTTCACCATGTTGGCCAGGCTGGTCTCAAACTCCTGACCTCACGTGATCTGCCCGCCTCGGCCTCCCAAAGTGTTGGGATTACAGGCATGAGCCATTGTGCCTGGCACTTTATAAAATATTCAGGAAGTATTTTCTTTCTTCCTTTCCAATCTGTATGCCTTTTCTTTCCTTTTCTTGTCCCATTGCTAGGTCTTCCAGTATGACATAGGAGTGAAGAGAAGTTGTCTTTGTCTTATTTTCCATCTTAAAGAGAAACCATTCAGTCTTTTACCATAGTATGCTGTTAGCTGTAGGATTTTTAAAGAAAATATTACCTTTACTGTGTTAAGGAAGTTCTTTTCTAATCCTAAATATTTGAGAATTTCCATCATGATGTGACTATATGGGTTTTCTTATTCCATCTGCTAAAAATTACATCCACTGATTTTTAAATGTTGAACTAGCCTTGCATTTCTGTAACCACATATATATTTATGTATATATGGTTTTGATTTTGCCAATATTTTGTTAAGGGTTTTTGCATCTATATTCATGGAGAAATATTTGGTCTGTAGTTGTTATTTCTTGTACTGTTTTTATCTGGTTTTGATAGTAGGATAATATAGCCCTCTTAAAATGAGTTAGAGAAGCATTTCCTCTGCTTCTGTTTTCTGGAAGACGTTGTGGAGAATTGGTATTTTTTTCTTCAAATGTTTTGCAGAATTCACCACTGAAATTCTAGTGCTTTACTTTTTTTAAATTTTAATTATCCATTTGATTTTTCAATAACTATAGGTCTATTGAGATTATCTATTTCTCCCATGTTAGTTCTTATAGTCTCTTTCAATGAATTAGTTTATTTTATCTAAGTTATCAAAGTTGTGTGGAAGTATCTTCTTCAAGTGCTCAAAACATTAGTTTATGAAATTGCTTCCATGAAATTGCATCAGCGTCATGAACCAAATTTTCCTGTCAAGGAGGTGAGGAGGCAGTAAGTCATGACCTTAGTTGCTTACTAAAAACGAAAGGCGTTTGAGGAAAGCCTGATAATTCATTGACAACATTACCATCAACCACACCTTACCATTCCTAGGAGAGCTGGCCAAACGGATCTTCCTCTATCAATAGCGGGAAGTGGGTATCTATTTGGTATTAACAAACATGCAAATTAGTGATTTAGGAGCCACACAGCCCCTGATGATGAAGACACATGATTCCTACACTATAATTTCAAGATGTAACATTGAATACTAAGTTGTTTTAACAATAACAAATTTTAAATTAATATATTTGGGATAAAATATCAGATTTATTTTTTCATTGCATAACATCAATCTATGATTATAATATTCACTTTTTGCCTTGGCTTTGACCAGAGACAGATTTTACCATTTGCCAATTTGGAATCTGGTCAAATGCATATTTACCGGGCACCTCTAGAATATACATGCATGGACACACACACACTCCTCATAATCTCAATGTCTCCAAGCCTCACCAGGCTGTATTTATAATCACATTGAGAATAATGCCTGTGGCTTGCAAGTAGTTCTTCTGTTTATATACTAGGCCCTTTGCATCCCAAAGTGCATGTTAGTTGGGTCACAGTGGATTTATAAACACAACCTCACAGAGCATTTGCAGATCCCCAGTGCTCCTGTGTGGTCCCCAATCTTGAATCTGACTTGTTTTGTCAAAATCCCACTTCTCTTTTGAATTCTCTTGCAGGGTGCCCACAGCACTCTTGGTAGCTGTGTAAATTCATTCATCTCTCAGTTCGTAGAAAGACAAGAGAATCACAGTTGAAGTTTGTCTGCAATGTTTGGGACTCATTTCACATCTGTATCATTCAGGGCTTATAATTAGCTTTCTTGCCTCTAAGCAAACACTAAACAGTGGCTTAAACAAAATCGATGTTTATCTTTATCTTATGTAAATGGAGTCTGGAGGCGGACTGCTCAGGGCAGAATGATGACTCCATAGCCATTGTGGATTTGGTTTCTATTTTTTTGCTTCCTCATTCTGTTGTACCCTCAAGGTCACTACCACATCCAAGAAGGCTGTTGGGGCTTCACAATATCTGCACTGGGGGTCATGCTACTGTCTGAATGTTAGTGTCCCCTCCAAACTACATGTTGAAATTCTAGCTCCAAAGGTAATGGACCTCCTAAAGGCTCCACCTCCTAATACCATTACCCTGGGGGTTAGGAGCCATCATGAATGGGATTAGTGCCCTGATTAGGTCGTGGGGGGCAGAGCTACCATAAACAGGATTAATGCCTTGATAAGAGAGACCCCAGGGAACTTGCTCACCCCTTCCACCATGTGAGACACAGCTAGAAGGCACCACATGACAGCAATATGGAGGCAGAAAAGAAGTTAAGACCAATTAAGATGGAAGACTGATGGTCACATAGGTAGAATCAGGAGGTCCATGGGGTAGATAGATGTGGCCCTGCTGATGATAGTAGGTGTGGACTTGCTGCGATATCCACGTGGTGCAGCCACAGCTGGTCAGAACAGCCACCTTAGAAGCCTCAGCTGAAAAGTACTGCTTGAAGGCACAAGAGAAATCCAGCATGTCTAGAGAGGAGAAAAGACACAGAAGAAAACTCTCCCTGGGGGTACATCCAGGTTTGAAGGGCAGAGGGGAAGTATAGCAAATGGAACCAGTGAAGAAGACAAAGAAACAGCAGCTGGAGAAATAGGGGCAAAGTAGGGCAGTGTAGAATGGCCAAGATCCAGGGAGGAGCATGGCTGGAGGGAAAGGGAGAGAGAAATGGAGCGGAAGCACCGAGAGCTCGAAGTCAAATGGAGCAGACAACGGCAGAGCAGGCCAGTGGGTCTAGTGTTTAGAAAGCCACTGGCGCCCAAAGAGGGTGTTTTTTTTTTTTGAGGTATAACCAGTGGGACAGATGGTAGTGTCTTTAAGTCTAAGTCAAAATGAGTAATTAAAAAAAAAAGAGTCAGCTGTGAAAGTAATTTTGAAGGTTATAGCCAGCCCTTGCATTTGCATGATGCTTGGTGCTTTCCCAGCAGGACAAGCTCCATAATTTGCAGGGCCCAATACAAATCAAAATGTGGGACTCTTACTGAAAAATTAAGTATTTCAAGACAGTAACAGAACATTAAAATAAGGGCAGAGTCATTCTGAGTCTGGGGCCCCATGCAACTGCATAGATTCCACACACCCATGAAACCCACTTGCTTCCAAGCAGTTTTCCTCTACTCTTTAATTTCAGAGATGAGTTCTGGAGATGGAAAAATCCATATGATTCATTTGCGATAAATATCTTTCTTGACTTCTCAGCATGGAACACCCTTCTTACTTGGGGGATAGAGGGATTTCCCATTGTGTTCATCCAGGTGAGAAGCATGATTCCCTCTACTAGGCAAATCCTCTCCCAACCCCGAGCAACCAGGTTTAGCTAATTAGGTGCTTCTTCCCAGGATTTTGAGTCTTGAGGGAGAAGTGCAAAGATGCAGGATTATTAGAGACAATTTCCTGTGGCGGTGGCAGAATGGAGAGGCCATGGCAGAGGTGAGGGTAGGGCAGGAACAGCAGTGAGTGTCCAGTGGAACCCAGGGGTAGTGTCCCATCCCATATTTCCCTGGGACCTGCTTGGGCATTCTCTGCTGCTGAGCCTTTCTTGACTGTTGCCCATTCTCCACATACAAGTTTATGTTGGGGAAAGGGTCCCTAAGACCACCCTTGAGCTTAGTAATTCACTAGAAGGATCACAGAACTCAGCAAAGCTGTCATGCTTACAGTTTTGATTATTACAGTGAAAGGACACAGACTAAAATCAGCAACAAGAAGAGGCACGCAAGGCAGGGTCCAGGGATAAGCCTCCAATTGTGCTCTCCCAGTGGCATATGTGGACAGTGATTACCTCTTTCAACAATGATGTGTGGTAACACAATGTTGGCAATGCTGATGTGTAGCAACACAAGTATTGCCAACCAGTGAAGCTCACCAGAGCCTTGGTGTCCAGAGTTTTTGCTGGAGGTCAGCCATGTAGACACAGCTGACAACCCACATGGCTGAGATTAGTATCCAGTCTCTCCAGAGGTTGAACTGTGGTCCCAGGGCCCCACCATAAATCACAATTCTAGCATAGCCTATATGACATAGTCCAAGACCCCCGAATAAACAAAGACACTCCAACTCGGCAAAACATTTCAAGGGCTTAGGGCTTACCCCTCAGAAGTAGGGATAGAAGCCACACCTTTCTTTGGGCAAGATAAATCCTTCACTGCACACCAAGCCCTCTTCACCTGCTTTCTCATCCAAGCCCTGGGTTCTCCAAACCCTTTCTTAGGAAGCCCTTCCAAAGAGTACCTGGATACTCTCAATACCTCCTGAGGTGGACACAGCAGATACTGTGATCTCTATTTTTCCAATGAGCCAACAGAGGCCCAGAGAGATCTAGGAACTTTCCTGAAGTCACATAAGTTGATGTAGGGCTCACATGTTCTGAAACCTACCCCAATGTCCTTTTGATTCCACCCAGCTGTCAGGGATGTAATTGCTGTAACAGGCTAGCAGCTGCCCAGGAGGAATCGGAGTCACTGGAAAGGTCAGAAGACTGAGGTTGGCTGAACTTCATCTCAAATATTTGGGGATCTGAATTTTTTAAATTCCTCATAAGCCTGATGAAATTAACCCAGGGTTTGCCCTCCAACAGTATTCTAAGGAGTTTTGTAGATAAATAGGGCTTTCTGTAGATTTTTTCAAACGTCCAATGTTAAGACATTTCTCTATGTTAGGAAGGTGGCCAGACTTTCCAGGAAACATGGCAAAACCAAAGGGCATCCCTACATCCATGGAATGGAAAACAAGCCTTTATAACCAATAGGTGACATCCCTAAGCGATTATCCCCCACCGTGACCCAGAAGTAAAAGTCCTTTGTGGTGGGCAAGGCTTGTCTCCTAGCCAGGGAACAACTTACCCCAGCCCTACCGCCAGCTGCTCCCATCTGCTGCCAGGAGCCCTGGGAAAGAGATGGTCACTAAGGTAACTACAAGACACTGAGGGTTGGGCAGACATAGACACACAGCAGCTGCCACTGCTGGGCACACAGCCCGTGCCCTGCTCTGGAGGGACCCCGGAGGCCTTCTGCCAGCTGAGGCCTCAGACCTGGGGCACACAGGGCTGCCTAGAGAGAGGTGCTTTGAGAACCTTCTTGGTCTCCATAGTGTTCCTGCAGATCATAGATCATGGAGACATCTCTTCCAACTGGGAGACTGAGGCCAGGAGCAGGAACTGACATTTAATAGCAGAGCTCAGACTTAAACTCAATGGTCCTGACACCAACTTGAGAGCTCTCCACTTTAGAGGTGACCTCCTGATGCGATGAGCTCTCCAGGATCCCAAAGAAAGGGGTTGAATACGGCTGCAAGGGATGATGCAGAAATACCTCATTCACTCACTCAGCAAACATTTACCAACTGAAATCAGTGTGTTGACAGGGACAGGACTGTGGCCCCTGTATTGAGAGGATCTAGTGGGAATCTCTTCTTGCCTCTTCTGGCTTCTGGTGGCTTCAGGCAGCTCCAGGCATCCTTGGTTTGTGGCTGTGTAACTCCAAACTGCCTCTGACCTCACACAGTCTTCTCCTCTGTGTCTCCCCACATTCTCTTCTCTCAGGAGGACACTTGTCATTAGATTTAGGACCCAGCTTAATCCAGAATAATCTCAACTCAAGATCCTTAACTTCATTATATCTTCAAAGACCCTTTCCCCAAATAAAGTCAGATGCACAGATTTTAATGGATGTATATTTTGGTGAAGGGGCACCATCCAACCCACTGCCCCCACCCTGTGTTAGGCTGTTTTAAACCCTGGGTGCTACAGAAAACACAGCAGACAGGGCCTGGTTCTCTGAAGTTTATAATCCAATGAAGAAAAGACAATCTACAGATGGTCACCAACTTATGATGGTTCAATTTAGAATTTTTTACCCATAAGAGGATCCAAAAGCAATATGCATTTAGTAGAAACAGTACTTCAAGTACGCATACAACCATTCTGTATTCACTTTCAGTACAGCACTCAATACATTACATAAGATATTTAGCACTGGATTACTAAATAAGCTTTGTGTTAGATGATTTGCCTAACTGTAGGCTAGTGTAAGTGTTCTGAGCATATTTAACATAGGCTAGGCTAAGCTATGATATTTGGTGGGTTAGGTGTATTAAATGCATTTTCAGTTTACAATATTTTTAACTTATGATGGGTTTATGGAGATGTAACTGTGGGCATCTGTATAATTTAATGTAGTTTCAGGTAATGATAACTACTCAGAAGAACAGTTACAAAGGGCAAAGCAAGACTGGGCATGGAGTGGGTTCTCTTTTAGATGAAATGGTCACAAAAGCTCTCTTGGAAGGGGTTTCGGATGGCTCAGCTCACTTGCACATGCGCCAGTTTCCACCTATCCAAGTTCAGGGACCTGGGAGACAACAGTATAGTACCGAGGAAAGAGCAGAAACTTGGTAGCTTGTCTTTCGTTGCGCTTGCATTGGAGGGGCACGACATTTCCTGCAGTCCTTGTGGCTGTAAGCTGAAAATGCATTTACTACACATAACCCACCAGATACCATAGCTTAGCCTCGCCTACCCACGCTCAGAACACTTACATTAGCCCACGGGGGGCAAATCATCTAAGCCTATTTGGTAATCAAGTGCTAAATATCTTATGTAATGTATTGAATGCTATAACTGAAAGTGAAAACAGAATGGTTGTATGGGTACTTGAAGTACTGTTTCTACTAAATGCATATGGCTTTTGCATCATCTTAAAGGTGAAAAATCCTAATATCTGCTAGTAGCATGCATGAAAGGAAATGGCAGCACTTTGGAACTGCAGTCATTGGAACCTGGACTTTCAAGACTGCCATTTACCAAGGGTTTTCTATGAACGAGGCACCTCATCCACCAACCAGGATGCTGAATGGAACTTCTCCATTGAGATTTCCTGAGTCCCCAGAAGTGAAGTCAATGGGTTCTCACACATTTTAAAAGGAGGCGTTAGACACATGACCACAGAAATGCCCAAATCTGCAAAAACCTGTGACCCTTGCTCACCGCTCACTTCCAACCTACACAAGAGATAAGAAATTCAGAGAAGATTGATCAGAGAAAGCTATCCCTTAAAGCAAATGCACAGATGTGGAGCTTGTGACAGTGTTTGTCCTCCTTTTTATTATTTTTAGAGGCAGAGTCTCGCTGTGTCACCCAGGCTGGAATGCAGTGGCACAATCATAGCTCACTGCAGCCTTGAGCTCCTGGGCCCGAGGGATCCTCGCAGCTCAGCCTCTTGAGGAGCTGGGGCTACAGACCCACACCATTGTGCCTAACTTGTTTCTCCTTCTTTTCTGAGAGGAAAGAGAAAAGCCAGGGCTCCTCATCCTAAATGAGGGGAAGGGGCAGGAGAATCTCTGGGGAGGGGAAGGGGTGTCCATGGGCCAGTCTGGTTTCTGACTACGTGCTGAATGTCTCCTAAGCTGCTAAACTGTGCACCCAGGGCCACTACAAGGCCAGAGCAGAGTGCAGTGACAATGCTGGGTGACACCTTGGCCTCCTGAACTTTGGAGGTCACACACTAGAGTCAGCTTTTTTCCTGAAGATGTCCAGGATGCATGAGGAGGATGGTCAGGCAGCCTGGGGAGCAGCCTGCACCCCCAGAGACTGGCTGGGCAGAGGGAACACCAAGGAAGGGGCCGGACTAGAGCCACCCTGGAAACAACCCTGCCCAAGCAGGCTGCCTGGCAGAACTCCAGGGCGGGCCCCTGGGGCGGGAGATGAAGAGATGAGAAGGAGCTGGGAGAGGTCAGAACAGAGGGTGCATCTATCATGCCAGCAGGCCCCAGGTGGGGGCAGGGGTGGAAGTGAGGCTAGTGGATATCTCTGAAGAACCCACAAAAGGTACCTCTTGGAAGAGAGAAAAGAAAGAGGGCTGTTATGGGTTGAACTGTGTCCCTCAAAAAGATGTGTTGAATGAATTCCTCACCCCTAGAACCTGTGAAGGTGACCTTATTTGGGAATGGGGTTGGGGCTGATGTAATCAGTTAGAATGAGGTTGTAGTGGACCAGGGGGGGCCCTTAATCCAATATGACTGTTGTACTTATCAGAAAAGGGAAATTTGGAAACAGACACAGAGAAGAGAGCACCATTTGAATAGATGCAAAGATTGGAGTCATGGTATCACTATCTAAGGATAGTGCTTCGGGGGCTGCCAGAAGCTGGAAAAGGCAAAATATGACCCTGCCCCAGGGGTTTCAGAGGGAGGCTGGTCCTGCCAACACCTTGATTTTGGACTTCTAGCTTTCAGAACTGTGAGAGAATAAATTTCTGTTGATGTAGGACACCCAGTTTGAGATATGCTGCTATGGCAACCCTAGCAAACTAATATAAGGGCCAACCTTTGGGCATCTGCCACATAGAAGACCCATGGCCAGATACTCCAAGAGTCAGGTGAGGCAGCCTTGAGTTCACATCTCCCCTCCGCCACCCACCCCTTCCCCCAGCTCCAGGTGCAACAGGGCATATGAGGGACACACCGGGTCCTATTCCTGGGGCTGTCCTTGCCTAAGCTGGGGAAAAGGCAACTGCTTTGAATGGGACGTGAGATGGAAAAAAAAAAAAAAAAAAGCGAAACAGAAGATCTGAGTGGCTTAAATTGGACTTCAATCTTTTTACTACTAGAACATGCTATAGGATCTACCTAGACTGTGAGAAGTTTCCCCAAAGAGTCCACAGGAAACATATAGGTAGGAATATCTGATGGGCTCTGGCCCAAAACTTTCCTCTAAGCCTCAAGGAGAGCCAAAGCACTATTCTGAAAATGTTGGAGGCAGAAGAAAGTTTTCTCAGATTCCCTGGCATCTCCTGGGCTTCTCCATAAATGGAAAGAAGGCTCAGTTCAGCTTCACTGAAGTCTTGGATTCTTGTCCCCCAGGGACTGAAACCAAACCTGGAGCCCAGGTCACTACAGGGAAATGATCCAGACCTCAAGGAATTTCAAAACACTTACTCAGGCAACAGCTTTACCTGGAAGCTGGCCAACAAAGGCCATATAATGGACAGAGCAACATTCTGTGGTTGGGGAAATGCTTTCAGAGAGGCAAGCCTTTGGGACTGTAGATTAGGATCCAAATACCAGTGTAAATAGAGTAGAGCTTCCTGGTAGAGGGCTTGGTTGCTCAAGGTGAACAGTGTGTGTCTTTGTCCATGGTCAGCTCCACAGTCCAGAGTAAGTTACTCTATCATCAGAGTTAATGGCAGGAAACAGAAAGTCCCCTAGTGGGTTTTAGGTATACAGAGAATTAATACAGTTAATTAGGTGCTTCCAGAAATCATCTGAAAGCTGTCAGGAAGTTGGGTGGCTCTAGACTGGGTCTCTAGGAGTGTTTAAAAGGCATCCCAAATTTGTTTTAAGCTGTTATGGTGAGACATGAAAGTGACTGTCATGAAGAAGTTTGCTACTCACAGGTCCCTAGAAGCAGGGCGTGCAGGGCCACATGGAGAAGCACCCATGTTAGTCCTTTACTGAGGTTTCCACAGGGAGGAACAGGTGAGGTAGTGTCAGCAGCTTTAGGATTGTCTAATTTGAATAATCTTAGCAGGCTCTTGGGCACAGGGGCTGCCCCTGGTTGTGTGTCCCTAATTGTCTTTCCCTAGGGCTGACCCCGGTTGTCCAGCCCTGGGGTGATTAGAGCAGGCAGATAGTGGCCTGGAGTATGAGAACAGATATAGGAGGTGGTTGGGGTATGGCTCTGGATTGGTTGGTTTGCATATGAAAGGCACATTGGCTCACACACCAGACATTTGCTATTCCTAGGAATTCGCTAGTCCAGTAAGGGGTGGTCCCTCCAGGGTCAGCAAAGCCCCAAGATGTCAAAGCATCAAAAATACAGAATAAAAACACAAACTGGGCAAGGAATTGCTTCTGCAACATTTGAGAAGGCAAGGAAATGGGGCTACAAGGAAGCTCATGAGTGCCAGAGGATTAAGATAGTGTCTGTAAACCACTAGTAGAGTTAAAGGCATTAAATCCTCAATTAATAGCGACTGCTACAATTCTTAGCATTGCTTTCAGTTCTGTAACTTGGGCTACACAGACAATGATCACATTATTAGGTTTGCACTTAAAAAGAAAAAAAAGTCCCCTGTCATTTGACTATCTCTGAGACATCTGGAGTTTGAGACTCTCCGGGAGCACAGTACTAATCACACGTACACTCCAGCAATACTGGATGCACTAAGTTAAACTGGTGACCTGGAGCATATTTGAGGTGCGTAGTTCTGAACCTTACCTTTTGATAAAGGTTTGGTCCTTGCTGGGGGCTGACATTGCCTATAAGAGGACCTAACAAAGCTCAGTGCTCTTTCCAGCATCTTCCTGTAATACCCTTAGAGGTCTTCTAATCGTGTAGTGCTTTCTGTTGCCCACTAGCCAAGGAGCAGAGTGAAGTGAGACCCAAACCAGAAAGTAAACCTGAAATGCAGGCAGAGAGGGCCAATCCCCACATGCACAGAGCAGAAGTGCAGAAAAGGGGGGCAGAGGACACAACTCTTGTGAGCACCCTGGACAGCTGTTTTGCATTTAGCCATCGGCAACGCCATGAGGCTGAGATGTGTCTCAGTTTTATAGAGGATGGCAAAGCTCAAGAGGTTATGCACTAGCAGAGGTCCCACAGCAGGGTTCACACCCAGGTCTACCTAACTCTGCAGGCCAGGAGGCTTCCAACCACACTACACAGCCTGGAGAAAGAACTGCACATGAAGAATGAGCTGTGGAGGAGGCTGCCATCGCCATGCCCATAGAGGGCAGCCAGGTGTGGTTGGGGAAACGGTGGAGTGAGGTCAGAGCCTCAGAGAACAGCAATAGAGGCAGGCTGCAAAGACTTCCCCCCATGTCCCTGTTCTCCCACAGATGCCCACCCAACTTCCCAAACTGGAACTGCATTTCTGTGCACTTTTGCTAATGGAAATCCCAGCAGAGGACTTTGTGACTTTTATGGTTTGTTTTAATAACACACCCCTCACGATTACTAAAGTAATACACATCATTGTAAAACAGAGAAATGGACCTTGTATGAAAACAAGCCACCACACCCACTAGGATGGCTGTCATAAAAAAGACAGATAATAGCAGGGTTGGTAAGGGTGGGAGATATTGGAACCCTCATAGTCTGCTGGCTTCTGGTACAGCTACTTTACAAAACAGATTGGCAGGTCCTTAGAAAGTTAGACAGAGTTACCATGTGACTCAGCAATTCCACTCCTGGGGATATGCCCAAGAGAAATGAAATTATAGGTCTACAGAACAGTGTGTACATGAATGTTCACAACAGCATCTAAAGGTGGAAGCAATCTAAATGTCTACTAATTAATGTGTAGGTAAAGAAAATATGGTGTATCTATACAATAAATGTTATTCAGCAATACAAAGGAATGAAGTGCTGATATGTGCTGTGACATGGATAAACCTTAAAAATGTTATGCTAAGTAAAAGCAGCCAGTCACAAAAGACCACCTGTTGTATGATTCCACTTTCATGAAATGTCCAGAGTTCATAAATCTATAGATAGACAGTAGGTTAGTGATTTCCTAAGGCTGGGGTGGGTGGGTGGCTACTAGTGAGTATAGGGTTTCTTTGGAGGGTTACAAAAGTGTTCTAACATTGATCATGGTGATGGTTGTACAACTCTGTGAATATACTAGAAATTATTGACTTGTACACTTTAAATGGGTGAATTTTATGATATATGAATTACATGTCAATAAAGATGCTATAAAAATTATAAAAACTTGCATGTGGACATTTTTAGCAGCTTTATTCATAATCGCCAAGATTTAAAAGCACCAAGATGTCCTTCAACAGATGAATGAGTAAATACACTGTGGGACATCCAGAATACGAAATATTATTCAATGCTTAAATGAGCTGCCAAGCCATGAAAAGATGTGAAGGAAGCTTAAATGCGTATTTCTATGTGAAAGGATCCAGTGTGAAAAGCTACACACTGTATAATTCCAAATGCTGTATATGACATTCTGAAAAAGGTAAAATTATAGAGACAGTAAAAAGTTCAGTTGTTGCTAGGGATTGTGGGGAAGGAAGGATGAAGAGGCAGAGCACAGAGGATATTTAGTGCAGTGAAACTATTCCATATGATACTATGATGGTGGATCCATGTCATTACTCATTTGTCAAAGCTCAAAGAATGTACAGCACCAAGAGTGAACCCTAACGAAAACTATGAACTTTGGATGATAATGATGCGTCAATGTAGAATTGTCATCAGTTCTAACAAATGCACCACCCTGGTGGGGGACGTTGATAGTGGGGGTGGCTGTGAGTGTGGTGGGTGGAGAACATATGGGAACTCAGTACATTACACTCAATTTTTATGTGAACCTAAAACTGGTTTAAAAAAATAAATGCATGCAAAAATACAGTTAGGTAGAAGGAATAAATCCTATGATTTTATAGTATAGTAGGGAAATTATAGCTAACGATAATTTATTGTACATTTCAATACAGCTGGAAGAATTGTAATGTTCCCAATACAAATAAAAGATAAATGTTTGAGGTGATGGATATACCAATTGCTCTGATTTGATCATTAAGCCTTTTACACATGTGTCAAAATATCACACGTGTTGCGGGAAGTCAGGGACCCCGAATGGAGGGACCGGCTGGAGCCGCAGCAGAGGAACATAAATTTTGAAGATTTCATGGGCATTTATCAGTTCCCAAATAATACTTTTATAATTTCTTATGCCTGTCTTTACTTTAATCTCTTAATCCTGTTATCTTCGTAAGCTGAGGACGTACATCACCTCAGGACCACTGTGATAATTGTGTTAACTCTACAAATTGATTGTAAAACATGTGTGTTTGAACAATATGAAATCAGTGCACCTTGAACAAAAACAGAATAACAGTGATTTTTAGGGAACAAGGGAAGACAACCATAAGGTCTGACTGCCAGCGGGGGCGGGCAAAAAGAGCCTTATTTTTCTTCTTGCAGAGAGCCTATAAACAGACATGCAAGTGGGAGAGATATCGCTGAATTCTTTTCCTAGCAAGGAATACTAATACTAATACCCTGGGAAAGGAATGTGTTCCTGGGGGGAGGTCTATAAACGGCCGCTCTGGGAGTGTCTGTCTTATGCGGTTGAGATAAGGACTGAGATACGCCCTGGTCTCCTGCAGTACCCTCAGGCTTACTAGGGTGGGGAAAAAACTCTGCCCTGGTAAATTCGTGGTCAGACCAGTTCTCTGCTCTCGAACCCTGTTTTCTGTTGTTTAAGATGTTTATCAAGACAATACGTGCGCCGCTGAACATAGACCCTTATCAGTGGTTCTACTTTTGCCCTTTGCCTTGTGATCTTTGTTGGACCCTTATTAGTAGTTCTGCTTTTTGCCCTTTGAAGCATGTGATCTACTCCCTGTTCTCACACCCCCTCACCTTTTGGAACCCTTAATAAAAAACTTGCTGATTTGAGGCTCAGGTGGGCATGACGGTCCTACTGATATGTGATGTCACCCCCAGTGGCCCAGCTGTAAAATTCCTCTCTTTGTACTCTTTCTCTTTATTGCTCAGCTGGCCGACACTTACGGAAAATAGAAAGAACCTACATTGAAATATTGGGGGGCAGGTTCCCCCAATAACATGTACCTACCAAATATGTACAACTATGATATAACAATAAAAAAACACAAAAGCCTAGTTTTTAAAAATCGCATAATGAAAAAAAAACACGTGGGAGTCTGACCACACACACAAATATGATAATCACTCAACAGTTCAACCAATGTTCTTGGCTCTTTGTAAAGACTTAAAAATATAGTTTCCTATTATAGTTTTTCGCCTGTTTCTCCTTTGCTAGGGTGAAAGGAAAATAAATCTTGGGGCCCCAAAATCACTAAGCTAAAGGGAAAAGTCAAACTGGGAACTGCTTAGGGCCAACCTGCCTCCCATTCCATTCAAAATCATCCCTCTGTTCACTGAGATAAATGCATATCTGATTGCTTCCTTTGGAAAGGTTTATCAGAAACTCAAAAGAATGCAACCATTTGTCTCTTATCTACCTATGACCTGGAAGTCTTCCTTGCTGTTTTGAGTTGTCCCGCTTTTGCTTCAAGTTGTCCTGCTTTTCTGGACAGAACCAATGTTCAACTTACATATGTTGATTGATGTCTCATGTCTCCCTAAAATGTATTAAACCAAGCTGTTCTCCAGCCACCTTGGGAGCATGTCATCAGGCCCTCCTGAGGCTGTGTCATAGGCACACATCCTTAACCTCGGCAAAATAAACTTTCTAAATTGACTGGACCTGTCTCAGATATTTAGGGTTCACACTAGCGATATGATAGAAGCATTTTTCTATGTCAATAAAGATGTTATATTTTAAAATATCTCTATGGAAATGTATTATGTGGATGAACTATAATTAATTTAAACACCACATTTTTTAGACATCATCATAACTTGTGTTATTATAAAGAACATTGTGAACAAATCACATGTTCCTAAAATAGATTCTTAATGACAATAAAACAGTGAATATTTGTTGAGCGCTTACTAAAAGTCAGTGACTAAGTGAAGTGCCTTGCAAATGTTGCTGCAATTAATATTCAGAGAAACTCATGGTGGCAGGTGCCTGTAGTCCCAGCTACTTGGGAGGCTGAGGCAGGAGAATGGCGTGAACCCAGGAGGAGGAGTTTGCAGTGAGCTGAGATCATGCCACTGCACTACAGACTGGGTGACAGAGTGAGACTCCATCTAAAAAAAGAAAAAAAGCATTCAGAGAAACTTAGGAAGCGGGCACTAAAATTAATCCCATTTTACAGATAAAATAACTGAGACTTGGAGATTCAGTGACTTGCCTAAAGTTAAGCAGCTATGAACAGCAAATACTGTGATCAAACTTAGTTTATCTGAATCTAGAACTTGAGCTGTTAATCATTCTGAACCCCAAAATATACTGAGTTTATGTATCTTTTAATTCTTTTGATACCTTCTGTCAAATAGCTCTGGGCCCAGAAAAGTCATATTAATTTATACTTTCTACCAAAAATGCAGAAAGTGCTCATGATCCCAATCAGCATTGGTTTTATAGTTCTTCATTATCTTGTATTAATTTAATATGCAAAAACTAGTCTCTTGTTCTTGTTTCAACTTGTAATTTTTAAGTTACTTGAGAGATTGCATATTTTTATGCTTACTGGCTGTATGCATTAAATTTTTTCTGGAATCAGTTTTGCATATCCCTTTCTTCTTTTCCATTGAGCTCTCTTTTTTCTTATTGATTTTTTTATGGCAATATCACCTTTGTCATATAATTTCCAAATATGTTTCATGCTTTATGATTTTTTGGGGCAGGGGTGAGGATGGGGTCTCGCTCTGTTGCCCAGGTTGGAGTGCAGTGGCGCAATCTCAGCTCACTGCAACCTGCGCCTCCTGAGTTCAAGCAATTCTCCTGCCTCAGCCTCCCGAGTAGCTGGGACTACAGGTGCATGCCGCCACACCCGGCTAATTTTTTTGTATTTTAGTAGAGACAGGGTTTCACCATGTTGCCCAGGCCGGTGCTGAACTCCTGAGCTCGGGCAATCCACCTGCCTCAGTCTCCCAAAGTGCTAGGATTACAGGTGTGAGCCACCGCGCCCAGCCACGATTTTTTCTTGTAACTTGACATTCCATTATTTTTTATTGATTATTGATTTTAGACTAAAATCAAGTGTGGGCTCCAGTTAGAAACCTTGGACATAGAGAGGGGTGGCAAAGCACAGGAGAATGGTTTTCAATTGTTTTAAAGCAGTAGAAAACTTTTTGTCTGATAAAATTTTATTCAGAACCTAGCGTGAGATATAAAATATTTTGCAACCCAAAGGCATAGGCACCAATTGGAATAGACTCAGGCCTTAGCCATGCCAGGTGTTGTCCTTTGAATGGGGAGAATCTTGGGACATAGCAAGTGTGCAGGTGTCCTCCAGGAGTGGGCCTCTGAGAACTTGCTCTTTCAGGGGTCTGCCTTATTACTCCAAGGTGGAGTGGGAAAAGGGATATTTAGGGAACTTGGCTTCCTGGGCTGTCCCGCCAGCTTCGGTAGCTCTCCTGGCCTCCAGCCCCAGAGGCTGTCTCCTGAGCAGGGAGACATGTAATGCTAATCTCCCCAAATGGATCTCATCTTTTCATGTAGGTCTTGGCAGTTCTTCCACTGAAGAAGGGTGGGTCAGAGGTTCCTACAGTGGGGAAGAGGGCAGGTGTGGGTAAGGGCAGCAAGGGAGACATGACCTGTCCTCCTTATTCCTTGGACCTCACAGGTGGAGGTGGCCTCACAGAAGAGACTGTGTCTGAATGAAGAGAGTGGGGAACTCACCTTTCCCTAGCCACTCTTCTCATCCTGTCCTTCCAGTCGCTCTAGGAACTACACCCTCCCTCTACCATCTTGCTTTGTGTGTTTTGTCATCTTGCTACCACTGGATGCCCAGGTATCATGAAGGGGAGACCGCAGGGTCTTCTGAATGTGGGTCAGTCTGAGAACTGGCTGAATTCTGCATTATATGGAAGGAAGCAGGACATGTCAACGTGAGTCTTGATTTTTCTCGGAAACAACTGAGTCTGGCTCCCCTAAGGAAAGCATGTTCCATCTGTAATGTGTCTTGGATCTTGATCCTTGAGAAACAAAAGCCCTGGAATTATTGAGGTTTTAACTAAGGAGCCTTTGACACTGCCTGAGCCTGGTTTATACTGCCAGTTACAACATTTAGCTGCCAATGGCTCTTTCTTAATCCTCTTTGATGACTGGCACCAGTTGCACCTGGGATTGTTTCCTCTGATTCTGAATGGGATGATGTTGCCACCCTTCCGTCTGCCATAGCGGAATGGTCTTTTGCATCAGACAGACTGGGTTTAATTCTCATCTCCCCACCTGCTGCATGATTTTAGGGGGTTCACTTGGCCTGCCTAGATCTCAGGCTCCTCAGCTATAGGCCTGAGATATTACCCTCCTTGCTGTGAGGATTAAGACAGGATATGGCAAGTACCCATCCCTCTTTCCTCTGTACCCTTTGGTCCCTGTGTGGAATCAGCTGATGTGCATGTCATCTGGAGGGGCCCATAGAAGAGGACAGTTCTAGCACCTTTCGCTGCTCTGCTGGTCTTGCTCCTTCTACGGACTGGACCTGGTCCAGCTATCAAACACTGCTCTCAGCACCGCAGAAAGGCTGCAGAGGGAGCGGACCAGACAAGGGTTCAAGTAGGGTCTGAAGCCAGCCTGCCTGGATTTAAATCCTGCCTCTGCCACTTACTGTATTACTTTGAGCTTGCAGCTTCTCTCTAAATCGCAGGGTTGATGAGTTGTAAATGGCTATTTAAATGTAAAAGCTTGATGTCATTTGATCATAACAGTAGCGCGGGAAAATGAACCACTCTAGGACGAAACCCAGGGGTGAGGAGGCTGCCTTTGTGTTTGTAGACAGAGTTCACGGACACATAGAAGACTCTAATTCCCAGTTAGGATGCTGCTTCTGCAACGAGATAAGACCTCAGCTTTTCAAATGGGGTCAGGAGCTTGCTAGGGGGATTATCCTGTGGCCTAATTAAGTAGTGGGAAGCAAAAGGACTTTTGCAAGTGAAGGAAAAGACTACATTGGTATCAGTGATCTATGTTAAAATGACAGAGCTAATTACTGCCATTTTAATTAGGAAATCATAGGAATGCAATTTATTGTGGCAGTAGGGTGCTCTCTTCAAGCAGTGGGGTGGGACAAATCCACAGCTGTGGGTCAGAGACTTGCATTTGGGTGGGTCTTGACTTCATGGCTAGTGTGTGATCTGTGACCTAGGCCAGGCTGTCTAGCCTTTGCAGGCCTTTCCTGCTCTGAAAAATGAAGATAATTAAACCGATTTAATCTAGTAGAGAAGATAGTTGATGAGAACACAGTACAGAAAGTTCCAGGCTCTACAATATGCAAAGATTTATTATCATCACATCTTGATCATTTCTCTCATCTCTCAGAGCAGGGGAGCCCTACCTTATCGGAAAATGGAGATTTTGTTTCCTGGCTCATTAGTTATTTGTCCACAGCCTTTACCCACAAAAACTCAATGTATAGAAGTGTATGTATCTATTTTTAAAATTACTTATAAGAAACAGCCATCTGAAACTCTCTGTGGTATTTGTGGCAATCAGTATTTTAATAAATATGATAAGGAGTTTCAGATGGCTATTTCTTTTTTTCTTTCTTTTTTTTTTGGAGACAGAGTCTTGTTCTGTCACCCAGGTTGGAGTGCCAAGGCACAATCTTGGCTCACTGCAACCTCCACCTCCCAGGTTCAAGTGATTCTTGTGCCTCAGCCTCCAGAGTAGCTGGGATTACAGGAGTGCACCACCATGCCCGGCTAAATTTTTTTTGTATTTTTAGTAGAGACGGGGTTTTGCCATGTTGCCCAGGCTGGTCTTGAACTCCTAAGCTCAGGCAATCTGCCTTCCTCAGCCTCCCAAAGTGCTAGGATTACAGGCGTGAGCCACAGTGTCCAGCCTACCATGGCTATTTCTTATATGGAATGCAGAGCAGTAAAAGTGATCCTCTGAGACTCTTCTTCCCACTTAGTTTGTTGAGTGAATGAATGAGTGAATGGAAGATGATGAGTTAAGAATCCCTTTAAATAAGATCCCTCTTCATTCCCTGAAGACTACTTTATACTTTTGCAGTACCCATGATAAGCTGTTAGACATCCCCTCCCTTACGAGCATAATCCAGTCATAAAGGCATTGTGGGCAAAGGACCTCTTCCCTATCCACCACCCTCTGACCATCACCGACTGTCACCTTTATGACAAAGGAAGCTGATGCTGCAAATGGTCAGGAGCCAGTGTCAGGACTTTCACTAATATCAGGATGTGACACATCAAAGGTTTGGTGGCACACTCATCCAAAGGAATGGAAAAGAACCACTAGGAAAGACAAAATGCTTTCTTTCTGAACACAAAGGAGACTGAGCAAAGCCCTCCTTTGGGGGAGAAAAGGGATCATTTCATACCCAGTTGCTGTGTCCTCAGCCTATGGGGCAACAATGGTGGAGAGAAACAAGAGGATGCAGAGTGCTGAGTCCCACAGGCTGGGTTCAATCCATCAGATGCCCTATGCACCCTGGCTCCAACGATGTGAGCCCCATCGAAAAATGACTCATATTCTGCATGACACAGTTGTCCAAAGTCATTTGGGGAAATATCCAGATGAGTTTAAACAAAATCTGAGGAAGCATTTGTGACAACTGTGAGCTTAAAAAGACATGAGGACAGTTTATCTCATATGAGAAAAAGAATGCTGAGAAATAGTTGTAACTGGAGCACACCTGGAGAATATCCCCGGGGTGGGGTAGCTTGTGTTAGAGAAGTGAACCCTGGGAAGAAAGGCACTGAGGAGCTGAGAACCCTGCCTAAGTCTAACTCTTCCAGGAGGGTTCATCTGCAGCCTGGCAGCCAAAGTCTTCTGTGGCAGGCAGAGCTCAAACAACTCTTCCAGCCATACCTCTTTCCACACATCCCAGAGCTCTGCTGACCTGGTGCTCTTAAAGCTGCTGGAGTTGGGTTTACTGTCACTTGCAGCTGAGTCTTGCCTAATAGAAATCCAGTTCAAATGCCTTCTTTTCCATAGAACTTGGCACAGCCTCCCCTCCCTCTGACCCACCATGGCAATGATCTCCATATGCCCAATGGTTCTTACTGCATCTGTTCTGCAGTACAGTGATGGTGACATGTTTGATTCACCTTGGGTTTCGCCATCAGTACCTAGCACCACGTTTTGAATACTGCAGGTACGTTTGTTTGTTGGATGAATTGGACAAAATGGCCAAAATGTGAAACCATTCACCTCTTAGATTAGAAAGCGAGGGAGAAAGGAAGTGTGACTTGCTGAGATACTCACGTACATTATTTCACTTAAACATGCAGCCATCCTGGGAGGTTTGTATTATTATTTCCATTTTACTCAGAGGGGATTGCCTCTGAGAGGTAAGATTGTTTCACCAAAGTTACTTGTTAAGATAGAGGCAATGCCTTGATTCGGACTCAGGTCTTTCTGATTCCAAAGTGGAAAGCTTTTTCCGCTTTTTCCAGCAGTCTTCCAGAAAAGAGGTTGCTTTTGTGAAAAAGAGACTGAGTTTCCCAATGTCTGGGTTGCTCCTTAGCAAATCGCTTTAAAGATTTCTGAAATTTCCCAATATAATATGGGCTACAGGACAACTCCCTCAGGCCCACACACTCAGCAACCCCCAGGAAAGGGGACTAGACTATGGTTTACAGAGCACTAGGGATGAGAAGGCATCCAAGGGTCACCTAAATCTGCTGTCCAAGGAGAGCACAATTCAGTTCCTTCGGTTTGTGCCATCTTTCCACCTTATTCCATCTTCTCTAAAACATCTACCCAAGGAAATTCTTGGTCCTTTGAGCTCACTGGAGTGACTCCTAAAAACAGAGAAGTCTTCAGTAGCTGCCTCTGAAGCCCCAAGTCCAGCATTGGCTCAACTGACCAGAAAGGTTATTAAATGGAAGACAGAGAAAAAGCAAGCAAAATGTACGTGACCATAGAATGACAGGATGGAAAATCCTTCAGTAAATTCATTGGTGAATGCATCCAAACATCAATTCTCACTTTACAAGCAGACAAAACGAAGGCCTGAAATAGTTAGGGGATCCTTCCAATACTTCACAGTGGAGCTTCACTAGAATCCGTTTTTTTCTGAGTCCTAATCCAGAGACTTTGAATATACATTATTTTTCTATCCATGGCAGTTTTTTCTCATAGACACATCACATAAGAGATGCTTCATGCATCCCCTTTTTGGCTTCTTACCAAAGGCCTTGTAAGTATTAAGACATTAACATTTCCTTTCTTTCTTCCTTCTTTGTAGGTAGCATATTTCAAGAGTAAAAACTGATTTCCAAGTCTCACTGAGGACCTGGCCTGATTCCTTGGGTGGGACAAGGAATTTCCATCTTTTAATGGATGCATTCAGATCCTCTAAACAAGTGGATGACCTTTAATTCATTAACTTTTTTAAATCATTAAGAAAAACATTGACATCAAAAAGAAAAAGATACAAACATGTCACTAAAAATGTACTGAAAATATCTAACTAATGTTAATAATATGTTTAATATAAACATATTAATATGTTAATAATTAATATGTTAATAATAATATGTTTAAATATTCATTACATTCTTAAATATTTAAATATTTCATTACATTCTTAAAACTGGGTACCTTTTTTAAAACATCTGTAAGCTTGGCAAGCCTTAGGAGGCCACTCATTCAACCCAGGGCTGGTGAAAGTGTGGAGACTTCAGGCACGCTTCTACACTTGGTGCCTCTGGAAAGCAATTTGGCAACAGACATCAAGACTTTGTCCAACTAATTCCGCTCTCAGAATGCATCCTAAGGAAATAATCAGAGAATTTGTCCAGCACAAAGGAAGCGATTAAACAAATGAGGACTTGGCCATACATGGGAAGTCTACATAGCCTTTGAAAACATTTTAAATTATTGACATGGAAAAATGCCCACTACATGTAAAGGGAATGAAGCATGTCACAAGCCAACATATATGGTAGAGTCTCACTGAGGTATACTTACATGTAGAAACCTATATCTATTATATATTATCAGAAGGAGTTGAAGAAGTATGCACCAAATTAGATGGTGAAATTATAGGTATGCTGGGGTACACGTGCAGGTTTGTTATATAGGTAAACTAGTGTCACGGGCGTTTTTCTTGTACGGATTATTTCATCACCCAGGTATTAAGCCTAGTGCCCAGCAGTTATTTGTTCTGCTCCTCTCCCTCCTCCCACCCTCCACCCTTAAGTAGGTCCCAATGTCTGTTGTTCCCCTCTTTGTGTTCGTGAGTTCTCATCATTTAGCTCCCATTTATAAGTGAGAACATGTGGTATTTGGTTTTCTGTTCCTGCATTAGTTTGCTAAGGACAGTGGCCACTTATTACTTACAGAATGAAACAATAAAAGCTCTAAAAATGTGTGTTAATCGCCATTGCTTAAGCCAGGAAGCAGGCTACTCTCCCCACTGTCCCCTCCTCAGGGCAGAACAGCAGTGCTGGAAGCCCTGTGCTGGCCTACGGTGTGAAGTCCCACTTCCCAGCCCAGGCACTGCATCTGGACTCTCGGAAAACCAGGGCCTTGGTTTCCTGGTTGGCACATGGATATCCCCATTCATACTATGCCCACCTTGCAGGGTGGAATCAGAAGTCAAGGAGAGAAAAGAATTATCTGTACATGGTGGCACATGCCTGTAGTCCCTGATACTTGGGAGGCTGAGGTGGGAGGATCCCTTGAGACCAGGAGTTCAAGGCTGCAGTGGAGCTATTGTTGAGCCACAGAACTCCAGCCTGGGTGACAGTGAGACCACATCTCTGAAAAACAAAAGAAAAAAAAGTGCCAGGCATCACATAAATACACCTCACGCTGTCACAATTCCTTAGTGAGAAAATAGGTGATTCAACAATATAAAATATAAACAGGATAACCAGAACAATCTATTCATAATCCAAATGCTAAAAATAACACTCAGCAAAGCCAATCTATGGAGAATTAGAATCACATGAAAGTCTGGAAAATGTGAACTAAAAGGAGGGCAGGAGGAATGGAAATTCTGTTAAGTATGCATGCTTTTGTTAGAAAATGATTTAAGAAAAAGAATTTTGCAAGAGCTCTTGTGGAAGGCTGTCCTGAGGCCTATAGGCTGCATGATGGTTACGGGCCGGCACTCTGGGATCAGAAGGACCAGGCTTGAAATCCTGGCCCTGTTCCTCCCTAGCTGGGTGACTTTGTTGAGAAAAGAGCCTCCCGAGCCTCAGTTTCCACATGTGTAAAATGAGGACTTTTCAGGGACATTGTGCAAATTAAATAAGGTAATGAATTAAAAGGGTCTTGTATGATGATTTGTAGTAGATATTTAATAAGTATTGGTTTTAGGCTGGGTGCAGTGGCTCACGCCTGTAATCCCAGCACGTTCGGATGCTGAGGAGGTGGATCACTTGAGGTCAGGCGTTCAAGACAAGCCTGGCCAACATGGTGAAATCCCGTCTCTACTAAAAACACAAAAATTAGCCAGGTGTGGTGGCATGTGCCTGTAGTCCCAGCTACTTGATAGGCTGAGGAAGGAGAATTGCTTGAACGCGGGAGGCAGAGGTTGCAGTGAGCCGAGATTGCGCCACTGTACTCCAGCCTGGGCGACAGAGTGAGACTTCTCCAAAAAAAAAAAAAAAAAAGGATTGGTTTTAAAATTATTATTAATACTACAGCACTTATTTCAAGACAAAATTATTTGATAACTTCTCAGGAGTACAGGACAACAGCAGCCCTGGAATAGGGGTCAGATGCTTTGTCAGAGCTGCTTTAATGCTGAGATCCCATCATCCTAGGACCTAAGTCATCTTCGAACTCATCTTTGAAAGAGAAATGAACAGTGCATTTATATCCATAATAATTGCAAGGGAAAGTCATCTTATTTTCTATTGTGTTTTGGATAGAATCTGAACTTCAAAAAAATTTCATCTTGTCAACTGGAAAAAACATTTCCAGTTCTCAGCACAATTCCCTCACTGGGAGAGTGGAACTGTTTCCTGCTGCTCGGTGGGGAGCTTACAGATGCTCGGTGGGGAGCTTACAGATGCTTCCCTCTTGTTTCCCCCGGGCATCATTTCAGAGAGTAGCAGAACTGGAGGCCATTCATCACCATGATCATCCAATGAGAAACACAATTAGATAGAAGTTGACTTTGCCTACTAGGTGGTGTCAGCATTGAAGAAACAAATGGGTAAAGCTAGGTTCAGAATCCTCTGTCCTGCGTCTGTGTTGCCAAAGGAAGTGTTAAGGTTCCTGCAAGAGGCTACTGCTGCTTTGCCCTTCTGAGGTGGAGACAGAGCCAGGCCAGGCTGGGGGTTCCTGGCCCTGCCCTGGCATGAGTCCAGGCCTGCCTGAGCCTGGTTTATATCACAGAAACAGCCCTTCGCTAGCCTCTCTGATTTTATGCTACTTGCCCTGCAACCCGTTTTTCGGAGAGCAGAAGACAGTAATATCCTAACTCTTTATCTCGTCCTTGGACCAGTAGTAACCTAACTCCTCCGGTCCTGGGGCTTGGATGACCTGGACTTCCACTCCCATACCAATTAAAGCTGCAACCCATTCCCACCCCCATGTCCTCATTTCCCAGCCCTAATGAACTTCTTTCTGCTCCTAGGATACACTCTGTTCCCTCTCAATTCAGTAGCTTTGAACTTGAGGGCCTCTGCCACATGACATTCCCTTAGTTCAGGTCTCTGCTTGTATGTCACCTTTAGAGGCTTTCCCTGACCATGTGGTTTCAAGAAAGCATCATGTCCCTATCACCTTACCTTGTTACCTCTGTAGCACAGGTCGCCTTCTGAAATGCCCCGTTCACATTTTTATGATGTTTTCTCTACTGGAATATAAGCTTCTAAAGAGAGGGGATGTGCCTGCCTTGCTGGCTGCACCAGCAACTCCTAGATGGGTGGAGATGCTCAGTGAAAACAGACTGAATCCCCTACAAGGTGCTTTGGTGCTGAATCACGCCACTTAGTGGATTGTATATCCTTTCTCCCTTCCCCAACTCTTGGTGATTAAAGCTTTGGTATCATGAGTGCTCTATGATTTCTGCAGGACTCGTCTGAAAGGTACTATTGCCAGAGGATGGGGTGGAGCCCTGAGGATGCGGTAGAAGCAGCGCGGGGGTTTCAGGAAGATCTAGAAACCCCTGGTCCTAGCCTGCTCTGCCTCTGTCTAGCTGCCTGGCCTTGAGTGAGTGACAGCAATCATGGATTTTAAACAGAATGTAGTCATATGCTAGAGAACTTCTGGCCCCCAAATCGTGTTTTAGTCTCTCCAATCTTTACTTTGGAAAAAGTAGAGGTGAGTTTTTGGACCCATCACCCTGAAATCTAGATCCTAGAGGATGATGACTTTCCACGGTTCTCACACTTTAGTGGGGAGACTCGCCCAGGGGCCTGTTAAAACAGATTGTCCTGGCCGGGCGCAGTGGCTCACACTTGTAAGCCCACCACTCTGAGAGGCCGAAGTGGGTGGATCACTTGAGGTCAGGAGTTCGAGACCAGCCTGGCCAACATGGTGAAACCCTATCTCTACTAAAAATACAAAAATTAGCCTGGCGTGGTGGCGCACGCCTGTAATCCCAGCTACTCAGGAGGCTGAGGCAGGAGAATTGCTTGAACCCGGGAGGCGGAGGTTGCAGTGAGCTGAGATCGCACCACTGCACTCTAGCCTGGGCGACAGAGCGAGACTCCGTCTCAAAAAACAAAGGCTCTGTCTAAACAAACAAACATTGTCCAGCTCCACCCCTGAAGTTTCTGATTCAGCACATCTGGGCAGGGCCCAGGGATCTGCATTTCTGGTCTGTTCCCAGGTGATGTGATGCCACTGGCCCAGGGACCACACTGTGGGGATCACTGATGTGGGCTGCGTCATCATAGCTTAGACATGTGTGTTGCCTTCACAAACAGTTTCAGATGCATTATCTGATTTGCTCTTCACAACCCTGAGAAGTGGATATTCTCAACCCTGATTTGCAGATGAGGAGACTGAGGTTTGCTGTGTTGCACAGAGCAAGGGTCTTGACTGCAACATCACACGGCAGGCTAGCCCTCCAGAGTATCTTAGAGGGGTAAATATCCCAGAGCTCAGTACACCCTACATCCCTGAAGTCCTCGCACTCTGCTGTGAGTGGCTGCAGGCACTTCCCTCAAGGGGTTTCCTTATCTGGCTTCTCCCTTCTCCGTAAATAGCAGAAGGCAGAGAGCTTGAGAGCTCCAGTTTTCCAGTTCAGGAAGGCGGTTTAACTTTCTGCTGTGCTCCTTGCTCCTTGTGTGACCCTGAACAAGTTACTTAACCTTTCTAAGCCACAGTTTTCTACTTATAAAATGGGGTAAGTGTCTGCTTTAGAGAGACATAAAGGTTCAATGAGAAGAATGTAGAAAATGAGCTTAGCCCTGCTTTCACACGAACACAAAAGCGATTACACAATAATCCTTTACAAGGACACCACCCTGACTTTTCTAAAACATTGATCTGTTCATAGCACTTCAGAGTTTACCAAGTAGTTTTTTTTTTCATTTCTCATTTGATAATTACAACAACTTAAAATTCCACTTAAGCTCCTCCACCCTTTGTCTATAGGATTAACCGTCTAAGATTCTTAGCAAGGCATTAAGAGCGCTCTTGAGATCTAGCCCCTGCCTCCATCCTCCATCTCGTTTCCCCAGGGATGGGACGGAAGCTTCCCTCCTCATCTTCCCAGCAAGACAGCTGGCACTTAATGGGGAGTGAAGGAAACCTGCGCTGCAGCTTCCGCTGTGCTCTTTCCTCTTTTGTTCATTCGTGCCTTGCCCTTCCTCTCCCTTCTTATCCATCTAATTCCTACTTGTTTCAAGGCGGCCCAAGTGCACACCTTCTGCAATGGCCCCTATGTTTTCTTCATCCAATAAATGTTTATTGCCTGCCTGTGTGTGCCAGGAACGAGGTGCAAGGGCTACAGCAGTGAATGTGGTTGAATGTTTTGCTGCAGCCAGAGGCGTGGTTTATGGTGGTACTCATCACACAGGGCTGTAATTGCCGGGTCAGCCCCCCAGTCTTTAGTGCCTTGCTAAGAATCTTGGACTTTTCACTGTCAGATTACAGTTAAGCCCCATGGGCAGAAAGCACAGCTCCTTCATTTCTGTGCTCTGCTCAGTGAGTGCAATTAATATCTGTGAAAGTAAGTCCAACAAGCTTTTTATGCCTTTTCCTTGTTATACATTTCACTTATCTGGTTAAACCTGACATTATGGCGATTTCTAATCTTCCCAGTATTTACATTCTTATGTTGACATATTAAAAATGGAATGAGAATGTGCTTATTGAAAATAATTGCAGTTTCAAAATTAACCATCCACTTCGAAGATTATTCACACTGCAAGAGCTCATTCATTCTGTAGTCCCTGAGCTAATACCTCTAAAAAGAGGCCAAAGGGGCCTTCAAGACCTCCCTTGGTTTCCTTATAAGCCAAAAACAAAAAACAAACAAGAAAACCCAAGAAACAAAACATATAAATAAGCAAAACATATTGTATTGATACCTACCTTGTCATTAAATATCAAAAACCTCAAATACAACTTTACTACACTATGCATAACTGTGCCTTTTGCCAACTTGCTGATACATTTACTCTCTTAATAAAATTTAGAACAGCAATGCCTTGTTTGCTCAGCACTGCTAAGCAATAGTTCCTCCCTATAAGCAAACTTTTCAGATAACTCAAGGTCCCTGAGAACGCCATTTTTTTCTGAACAACTTCCCCTCAATTGTACGAACCTTAATTTGTATCAAACACAATCCTTAATAGTATGTAATGAACACAATCTAAATCATCCTAGATCTCACTTACTGCATACCACACATCACATTGACCTGTAACACAGTTTATTGGCAATCACAGGCATGGCATCACTGACGTCAGGTATATTTTTACTGCTCTCTTGATTAACTCCTCTTGCTTCTACTTCTCCTTGCTGTTAAGCTCTACTTACACTTTACTCTTTTACTATACACACTTTTCTGAGATAAAGGGCAAGAAATGTCTATTTGATAGAGTATATGGACAAATAGAACTTTGCCACTTATGGGCAAGTTTAATGTTCAGTTCAAGACAGCCAAGGGTGCTGAGAGTCTGACCTCTGAAAAAGTGGGGTGGAGTAATCTTTATCTTTTTCCATATAAATAATAAATAATGAGTATCCAGAGAGAATTTTCAGAAGAATGTGTTTTAGCAAGATAGGTCTAACTCCTTGCTCCTTTTATGTAAAGATCTCTAAATAGTCCCTCTCAGATTTCCTAATGTACTAATGTGGGCTAAACTTCATGAACAGAACACAGAACCTCCAGGTTCAGTGGCTTAGAAACAATGGCATTTCAAAAGTTTCTCTCTTATGTATAGTCAAGCGGAATTTTCCAAGCTGACCAGCAACTCTGCTCCACAGCGGCATTCAGGGACCCAGGTTCCTTCTCTCTCATGGCTCTGCCATGATGGGCACCTACTGGGACAAGGTCACTACCTTCTCTGGGTTCCACCTGTGGGAAGGGGACAGAGGAGGTGAGGGGGACTCACCCATGGTCTTAAGGGTCCTGGCCCAATAGCGGAATACACCCTTCAACTTACATCCCCTGGGAGAATGAGTCAGCTGGCTACAGGTAACAGCAAGAGGGGCTGAGAAATGCAGTCCCCAGCAAGCAGCACATGCCCAGCTACAACTCTACACAATGGAACAGGAGAATGGATTCTGCTGGACAACTAGCAGTCTTCAGGGAGAAAGTCTTTTCTTATTTCTATTTTATAGAAGCACTGTAAAATTGCTATACAATTATCTTATTTCAAGCTAATCCAATAGGAAAAAAATCAGACTTACACAAACGTTTTAAAGAACTATATTTTAGAGCTGAAATAAGCCTGAGAGATCATTTGGTCAGTGGACACTCTGTGACCAGCAGACATTATTTCATCGACTTGTTCCTATCAGTCTTCCACAGACGAACAGGGACTTATCTTGCTCATTGCTGATCCCACCACTTAGAACAGTTTCTGACACATAGGAAGTGATTAACAAATCTTTGTTGATAAAAAATAGTTGAAAACATGTAACAATGTAGAGATATTACATTATTTTGTAAATTTATCTCCTCCTCTGCTGAGTTACCAGGAGTGGCAGGATATATTTTGATGGCCTAATTATAGCAAGTTTCTTTCACTTTATGTAACATGAATATAAACTCTAAATACTGGCCAAAGTCCACAAGAAAATCTGGACAAGCGTATCAGTGACACTTGGTCTTTACACTTATTCTAAAGGAAAACCTAATAAGGGTCTGGCCTATCCTGTGCCTTCATTAGATTTTTTTAAAACCAAAGCACTGTCTTGAACTTGACTCCCAGATGTGAAAAATATTTTGTGTGACATTCAAAACACTTGTAAAATGCAAATACCTTCATTTGCTGAGAAATATTAAATGGTCTATAATCAAGGCCGAGCCTATTTTTTCCAAAGACAAAATTAAACATTTTGCCACCATTAAGACCAAAGCAATAATTCAAATTAAGATAGCTCTATCACTTGTGAATTACAAATAAATACTTATTATACAGTGGGAAATTCACTCTACCAAATACAATAGTAAATATTAAAATAAATTCAGTGACCTTTTTAAAAAAGATTACAAAACTGAATTTATTGAGATTCACACAAGATGCACTTATAAAATTAGTACTGAATGCCATTAAAACAGAAGAAATGAACATAATCCCGAACTCCCAACAGCATCTGCAAAGGAATGGAAATCTTCTGAAAATGACAGCGCAGTAACAGAATAATTCAAGCGGAACTGAAGATCTATCCAAACCATGTTCCTGCTCTGAAATCAGGGTTGTGTTTGGCAAAGCTTTCCCCAAACTATTCCATTCACGGTGGCATTGTTCCTTTTGTTGGTAAAGGGAGATGGAAAAAATAATTCTAAAATGGGGCTCCATTAAAACACACACAAAGCAATTAAAACCTTTTTCATTTTTAACTTAAAATACTTCCTGGTTTCACAAAGGCATGTCCATACAATTTCCTCAACATTAATCTTCAGATTTCTTTAGTTAATGCAAAACATTAAAATTCACTTACTTTTTTGTATTTCAAATGAACAAGTCAGAACATTAAAGCTTGCTTTATATTTCATCCAAGAAACAGACAAATCACCTAAAAATTGCTTTCTGCCTATGTATGTACGCCTGAAACATTTGCATGAGAGCTAAACTTCAAAATCAAAACATCAAAGGAAATAACAGTTAACAGTACCATCTTCTGGACAGTTCTGACACCAGAAGTTGTAGAAGTTTTACAGAAATGCAAACACGGTTGTCAAGATAAAATGGGGTGGGAAATAACTTCTATGATATAGACCACAAACTAGTAATTAAGCGGAAACACAATCTTCATCTCAAATAAAACCAAAAAGCACCTTTTGGTTGCTGTTCCCAACAGCCATACACAGATGCCTCCCCACACCAACAGCCACCCATACGCCTCAAACACCCCATTTACTTTCACACAAAATCCTCTCCAGACCCAGGCCTGCCCCATCCCCAGCACAGGCCCACCCTGATAGTCACATCCCCACAGACACCCTCCCACAGAACACACACCCTGCCCCAGCACAGGCACACTCGCTGTCGACCCAAACACAAAGACTAATGCATTTGGTAAGCCCAAGCAAGATGATGCTGTCTAACACACTTGGAGCATTTACTTTACAGTTAAAGTTGACAGTTTTGAATTTTGTACATTGACAATTTTTCAGCCTGTTCAACATCGAATCCTTTTAGCTGTAATAATTTATGAAGTAATTAGTTTTAAAGCAAAATCAGTTAAGTATACCTTAAAGTTAACACTGCTCTGCTTCCTTGGTGTAAAAAGTGCCCTTTTGTAAGGAAATTTGTTTTATCCACCAATTAAATGACATACAGCTCACATTTTGCTTTAAAGAGTAAACTGAAAAATTATGAAGGATTTTTCCCAGTAATGCATAGCCTTCATTAATTATTTTTTTAATAAATAAACTAGTTTAGCATTTTTTTTTAACCCTACAAAATGCTACTATTCATCATGTCTTATTTAAGGTAGCCTTTTATTCTGATTAATTAAGATACATCTTTAAGGGTTATTCTGGTGGTAAGAACATTTATCTTGACTTATGTTTAATTTTTTTAATGCTTTGGCAGATGAAGTAACGTTTGAAAACTGTTTGTGAAAATAGTATGAGACTGGAAAGATTACGTCGTGGTAAAAGTTTCACAGTTTTCCAGGTATTTCCTTATACTGAAGAGGCCTTGAGGCAAATTCAACATTCTGGAAGCCCAGACTGACAAAGCAAAACAGATTTTGATGTTGCCTTTGTTGGGTCCTGGAAATGATGCTGCTGCTTGGCCAGGCAGGAGGAAGTTTTATAATCCATCAAGCTTCCCAGACAGTCAAGGCCGGAGGTCGCTCCTGTCCTGTGGTCTGACCCTCAGCCAGGCCATATTACTGGAAGAAAGATACTAAGATTTGCTTGCCAATAATAATTTAAGTTTTTAAATAAATATTTAAGTGCCATGTTTAGCATCTATTTGTCCTGGCAACACAGCACTTGTTGCCCCAGGACCCAGCTTCTTCAGCGCATGAAGCCACAGATTCAGTCAATTCGGTTTCCACAAATTGTGAACCTGTCTATCTCTAACAAATCTTTCTTTGAGGATCTGTGTTTTAATTCAGAATTGTCCTGCGTTATGTCCTTCTCGTCACCATCTGGAGTTGTCAAAAACTGATCAGAATTGCTTGTCACAAGTAATGGTATGATATTTTCCTTTTGATGAATAGGTTGTTTGGTGATGGAGGCAGACAGGTTTTCTTCTGTGGAAAGGCCTGTGATAAAATAGATCCATTAAATTAGAGAAAGACTTTTCTCCAATTATTAATAAATACAAACTTACCAATACAGTGGTGCTGAAAAAAGTGCCCATTATCCATGCTTTCCGATAAAGCAAATGATAACCAAATAGCATGTTGTATAAGCAGCCATCATTTATAATAAAACTTAGAGGCTAATCATCTGTTTGTTCAACTTTATGGAAGGGTACATTACATTGCTCGTATCACACAAACAATGCCATCACCCAACTGCAGAAAGATCACAACTCCTACATTACGGCTCCTCTCTATATAATCAAGACCTAACATGACTGTTGGCAGTCCTGAAACATTAACACTTGCTCCAATACAGAACATCAGGGAGTGGGCCAAGAAGACTTTACTACATTCCACCTGTCATCTGTAGTCACTTCAGCTACAGATGGTTTAGCATCATCATCTCTGGGAAGTCCAAACCAGAGGTTAAAAACAAACAAACAAATAAACAAAACCCCCAATGTTCATTTTAGGCCACAGAGATCCTGGAGCCTGGCTTTGGGGACAGCTGGGCTGGGGCCTGGAGAGACTCATCTGAATCATACATTCAATCCATGTAAGAACAGCTTCTTTGAGGCAAAAAAGACACACCATCAGCTGTACACATTTAAAATGTATAATCTGATGAGTTCTGACATGTGCATACACCTGGTCACACTACTGCCATGATGGAGGTAATGACACATCCAGCTCTCTTGTAGTAATCCCTCTCTCCTGCCCTCACCCCCAGAACCGCTGTCTTTTGTCTCTTTTACAACGTGATGAATCTGATGCAGCTTTGAGAGACAGCCCCCTCCCTCTCTTTAGCTTGACTTCAACACCCTCCTGCATGTTCTCCAGTCTGTGTTCTCCTGACCTCCAAGACATTCTGAGCAAACACTCAGGTCGTCATCCTGAATGTACTTCTCATAACATGACCCCTGAGTCAATGGCCCTGCCCTGCAGTACGTGCTTAAAGCTTTTATCCCCATTAGACTGGATCCTCCTTGAAAGCAAGAGTGACGCTTACTAACTTTTTGTTTTTATATTTTTTGTAGAGATGGGACTCACTAGGTTGCCCAGGCTGGTCTCGAACTCCTGGGCTCAAGCGCTGCTTCTGCCTTAGCCTCCCAAAGTGCTGGGATTATTAAAGGCATGTGCCACTATGCCTAGCCTAACTTCTTAACTAATATGCGTAACAAGAGAACACGTACAGGCCCCACTATGAATTACCTAGTTGGTTGAAAAAAATGCAATCCTTATTACTAATAGTGTTCTTATAATGAAAAAAATAATTTCCCAGTGATTATACACATTGTTATTTTACTTTATTTTCGCTTCCGGTTAAGTACAGATGATGAGCACAGACCCACTTTCAGGTAGGACTCCAGTCCAGCCCAACTCTCCTCTCCTCCCTCTTTCTGAAGCACACTCCACACTTGCCATATTGAGCTGCTAGTTCTCCAGACGCTTTTCCAGGTCTCCATGATCTAACTCATGCTGGCCCTTCTGGAGTGCCCTTTCCACCAGTCTGCCCTGGGCCAGTTTCATCCTTCAAGCTTTTAGTTTAGAAGAACCCCCCTCTCCTGTCCCTCCAAACCCTCTGCTCACCTATTTGGACCCCTGTAGTTACATGAGGCCTTGAAGGACATCCTTTATTTTTCTCTCTTCAGCATCTCCTCTATGACCTTGCACACAGTTATTCCACACATTTAAAAACACATCATTTAGGCCAGGCATGGTGGCTCATGCCTGTAATCCCAGCACTTTGGGAGGCCGAGGCAGGCGGATCACGAGGTCAGGAGATCGAGACCATCCTGGCTAACATGGTGAAACCCCGTCTCTACTAAAAATACAAAAAATTAGCTGGGCGTGGTGGTGGGCGCCTGTAGTCCCAGCTACTCGAGAGGCCGAGGCAGGAGAATGCCGTGAACCTGGGAGGCGAAGCTTGCAGTGAGCCGAGATCACGCCACTGCACTCCAGCCTGGGCGACGGAGCAAAACTCCGTCTCAAAAAAAAAAAAAAAAATACATCATTTAAACTAAAAGTTATATGAACAAATACCTCTGTGAACAGGGAACTGCCACCTAACAACAAAAATTAAGTCAACGTCCCAGTTCTTCCTCCAAATCTTCCAACCCAGAAACCCTGGAATCATCCTGAACTCACCTATTCTTCTCACACTGCATAACTTCCTCACCAGCAAATACTTCACGCAAACCTCCCAGGTCTATCCAGAACCTGGCCAGGTCTCCCTGCTCACACCACCTACCCTGCTCCTGGCCAGATAGCTGCCTCTCTGGTCCCTACCTCTGGGCCCACCCCTCTGGAGTTTATTTTCCACAAAGCTTGAGAATGATCCTTTTAAAATGTCAGCTGCACCATGCCACTGCTCCGCTCAAAGCCCCGCAACAGCCCCCTTCCACCTGGAAGGTTCTCATAACAGCCTGCAGCTCTCCATGGTCCCCAAGACCCCCTCTCCAGTCCTTTTCCCTGGGATGGGCCACTGCAGCCATCTGGCTTTTAATGTCCTTTGATGCGCCAAGCATCTTCCTGCCTTGGTGCCTTTGCTGGGCCTGCCGGGCCTCTGCCTGGGAGCTGCTCCTGGAAGGCTGGATGTGCTGTCTCGGGCTCCAGGACTCTGTGCAGTGCCATCTCCTCACACTTGGGGGAGGGCCCAACTCCCTGTTGTACTTCCCTTTCCCCGTCCTGCTTTTGTTTTCTCTGCAGTTCCCCGTCACTTGACATAGTGCATATTTATTTCTCTCTACCCCTCTTCCCGACAATCTAGAACAAGCTCCATGGGAGCAGAGAATTGCCTTTCCACCCCACTGCTGTATCCACTGGAGCTGATGTGTCGCAGATGCTCAATGTTGAACAGCGAATGAGTAAATGGAAAAACTCAGAACACTGGGCCAGGTATATATGGGATGAAATCTAAAACACAACCATTAAAAGACCCAAAAATCTATGCAAAGGGAAACCAATCTTTAAAGCGTTGCTTAACATTGATCAAACTGTGATTTAACTCTTTGAAAATGATCCAGGGAAGTGAAGAAAGGGACCAAACCTACCTTGAGAGGGTTTACATTTGTTCTGTGATTTACTGGACGGCTTGCCTGGAGTGCAGGTTGCGGGAGGATTCGACAGCTTCTCTTCCATTTTGGCTTCCTTCACATACTGGCACGATTTCCCCAACAGCACGATGCTATTAAGTACTTTCAGGGATATCAACCTAAAAACAGAAACAAAACAAACCACATCCGTTGGAATTCATCTAAATCCCTGTGAATGCCATCTACTACCATGGCTAAGGAGAAGGTGGGGGGGCATGGGACGGTGACAGATTAGGGATTTAGAGGAACTTACACAAATCTTGAGTTTTCTGAGGCCTCCTTGTCACAAAGAAAAACTTCGGAATTCCTTAGTTCTCTTTTTTTTTTTTTTTTTTTTTGAGACAGAGTCTCACTCTGTCACCCAGGCTGGAGTGCAGTGGCACAATCTTGGCTCACTGCAACCTCCGCCTCCTGGGTTCATGCAATTCTTGGCCTCAGCCTCCCAAGTAGCTGGGATTACAGGCATCCGCCACCACCCCCGGCTATTTTTGTATTTTTAGTAGAGACAGGGTTTCACCATGTTGGCCAGGATGGTCTCAAACTCCTGACCTTGTGATCCACCTGCCTCGGCCTCCCAAAGTGCTGGGATTACAGGTGTGAGCCACCATGCCTGGCCTCCTTAGTTCTCTTGTAAGAAATTATACCATTTAGAAATTTTTCCTGGTATTAAATATTATAACATTTATTCTTTTATTACACAACAAATACATTTAGCACATGCAGTTGAACAAAAAAGAACATAATAAAATTACATGATTCCACACCCTTATGATAATCACTGTGACATTTAGTATGTTATCTTTCCGTCGCTTTCTCTGAGTACACCTCTATTTGTACTTTCTTGCTGTATAGAAATGGTCTATTTTACAAGGCAGTAGGCGAGTGGAGTCAGGAGGCAGAGCATGGACTCTGGGGTGAAGTGTGTCTGTGTGGAGTCCTGAGTCCACTGCTTAGAACCTGTGTGCACCTGGGCAAGCTACTTAATCAGCTAATCTGGAAAGGAGAGCAACAGGTAAGGTGCTTAGAGCAGTGCTTGGCACACAGAAATGGCAAGCAATTTTGTTATTATTGTTGTTATTTATATAACACTGTATCATGAATTTGTTCCATATCAGTTAATGTTCCTCAGTGACATTATTTTAAATGGCCTTATAACATCACTATATGGGTTATCAAATAACAAAGCCCCAAACAACTCCTATTTCTGGATATTTAGATTATTTTCAATATTTTGCTTCTACTAAAAAGTTTCTGATTAAGAAAACACATTAAATCTGTATTTCCTTAGGATACCTAGATACCTATGACTACAGAAATAAAATTTCTGGGTCAAAGAATATGAATATTTTAAGGCATTCAATACAAATCTGGAAAAAAGTATGGGAAGAAAAAAGTCTCACATTAACCTCAATGCCAGTTTTATAACCAGTGAAGAAGTTGGTTTTCTTTTTTTTTTTAAGAAGCAGTCTTGCATTGTCGCCCAGGCTGTGGTGCAGTGGCATGATCATCGCTCACTGCAGCCTTGAACTCCTGGGCTTAAGCAATCTCCCACCTCAGCCTCCTGCACAGCTGGGACCACAGGCGTATGCCACCACGCCCAGCTAATTTTCTTTTTTGTAGAGATGGGGTCTTGCTATGTTGCCCAGGCTGGTCTCAAACTCTTGGGCTCAAGCAATCCTCCCACCCAGCCTGCCAAAGTCCTGGGGCTACAGGCATGAGCCACCATGCCATCTTCTGCTCAGCTCCTTTCGTAGTCTCCCGTCCCCGGGCCCTCCTCCCCCATGGCTGCTCATGGACTACTGCAGCTGCCTGGTGCCTGCTGTTCCTCCATCAGGCCTGTGTCCCCATGCCCTTCTGCTGAGCCTACGCTCTTCCCAGGTGGCTGCACAGCTCCCTTCCTTACTGAAACACCAGCTCACCAGAGAGGCCTGCCCTGGCCACCCTCTAAGGCAGCTGTATCTGCCTCTCCCATTCATCTCCTCATACTACTGTGCTTTTCTTCCTAATGATTCCTACCAACTGTCAATAGAGTGACTTGTTTTTCTAGTTGTTGTCTATTTGTTGTTGGGAATTTCTGTGACATCAAGGCAGGGCACTTGTCTGGCTTCTTTTTGGCCAAGCCCTAGACCAGCCCAGGCCCAGGCCCTGCTGCTAAGCAGCTATTCCCTGAGGGGCACTGGGCAGAGAGCAGTAACGGCAGAGGCTGGCAAGTCCTCCCACCTTAGCTGGCAAGAGTGAGTCTGGAGGGAAAGAGGAGAAACCGGGTGTGGTGGGGGAAAGTTCAGCATTGTATGTCAAAAAGCCCAACTGAATTCTGATTTTATTTTTTTAACTGAAGACACATTCCTGGGTTTGGTGTAGTTAATTGATAAAGAAGGCATGGACAAGGTAGTTTTGAGAAAGCTTCTGAAGGAGAAGAGGATAATTTAGGAATCATCCTGAGATGAGGATTAGAGTAGGTGAATAAAGTAGAAAGGTGAGTAAGCAGATCTGGCTGGCTGCACTATCCAGGTGGAGAAGTGAGGCGACATGGGAGGCTGGGGCACAGGTGCCCTGAATTCTAAGTAACTCAAGATTAAAGCACATACCCCTGGATGAACTATGCACAGGCAAGTGTAACTAAACAAAGGTTTTCAGATGTAGCATATACATGCTTCATTTCCTGATTATTATGTAAAAAACACTAGAATAATTAGATTGTCTAACAATTATTCCCATTGAGATTACAGCAACACCACTTCGTAAACACAGCACAATGTTAAAAACATTGAGGGGCGGTGTGAGAATCTACATTAGAAAAGGAAGGTCTTAATGTTTTTTAATGTCAAAAAATGAAAAGAGTTACATTAATGTAGTAAACCATTTACATACTCATTCAAACAAACAACAGGCAATGCTGTACAGTGTGATCAGAACCTCCTCCTCCTCTGTGAAACACTGAAATTAGCCACATGACCTACACACAGCTCTGCAGGACAAGGGCCTGAGCCCGCTACTGCAGGAGCTGGGAAGCAGGCTCACGACTCAGGATACTTGGTGGAGAGGTGGAAAGTGCAGACAGTAAGTGACTATTCTCATGCTACTTCAACAGAAGCTTCCTGAGCACGTGCTAGGTAGTGTGCTAAGCCCTGGGCAGGAAACAATGTGAAAAACACACTAAAAATACCATGAAACTGGAACTCTAAGCCAATCCACCGCTCAAGTTGTGACTGCTATGCTTACCCTCCAACCTTTTTCCTCTGGAGGGATTCAAGTTCGAACCCTCTCAGACCACCCCTCCCTGAGTGAAGCTCCTGATGCACACCACCTAGGCGAGGGTGGAACAGGTTTCCCGTTTCATTTTTCAGTAAGTTAATTGACTGCCAGGTCTGGGTACTTTATCATCGTTCACTTCTTGAGAAAAGTAACAATGGCAAAATCATCATTTTACATTGTTATTTTCTTCATACCATTTATTTCTATCTTAATTAGTTGTTAATTTACTGTATGTCTCCCCCAACCAAAATGTAAGATCATGAGACCAACAAACCTGCAGATGGATTCCACTGGTCACAGACAGAAAACCTAAGCTTGTGCATTACATTTGGGTTTACGTGATGCCTGCCTACAGTGTGCTGAACAATTCAATGTGGCAAACATATTGGAGGGTCAAAGATGTTTTTAAATATGAAAACATGTCTGCAATGGCAGTCTTTTATTCATCAAAAAAATGTGAGTGAAACCTAAATCTTAAGCAAAAAGGGCTTTAAGATTTTGCTAAAAATTAAAATAAAATCTAAAGTACTATTAATACTACTACCAAATAGCAGCGTAGTTAATCTAACTGAGTCACAAATAAATACACTTGGAGGTATAGCTGTTGAATGGAAACCCCTGGCATAGACTGGGAGTAGTATGATTGGGATGCTACTAACTTCCATTACATCTTGCATTTATGCTTTACTGTATAGCCAAAAACATATTCAAGAATAATCTTACCCAAAATAGAAGAGTATGACACAGGCATAAGACAGGATTCCTTGCACTTTAATTGAGCTTGTTACAACTCTGATGAGCTAGCCAGAAACAAACCAAAACAACAAAAACACACAAACAGAACACACAACCACAGAGTTATTAGTTAATACTTAAAAAGATTTCTCCATGCTGACTTTAACATTTTAGGCATATATCTATGGCCTTTGTCTAAAAATCCAAGAAGGCAGATTTGTTGATTTGTATCAAAATCTGCCTGCTTGTGAAACCTTCTGTGGTACATTTGGATTGGTTCAAGCAAATCTGGGATGCCTGTGGCTAGTGCAACAGTTTGACTCCTGTGGACTCTCTAAGTTCGGCCCTATACTTAGGTCATGAATGTCACACTTATACCTCACAGGGATGCAAAGCAGCTGATTTTTATAAAATATTATTCTGCAAAGTACAAATGATTTCATCTTGCTACACGTGTCCACACCAAAGCTAGAATTATTTGGTGGGTGTTTCCTTATTCCTGCTTTTTTTGCCCTCCGTCCTTTCTTCTTTGACTCTTTTATGAACCCCCAGTAACTCACAGGGAACACAGGAAAAATGGAACCTTAAAAGTTTTGTATTTAGAAAAACTAAACACTATTAAAAAATTAATTAAACATTGAAACAGTTCTCTCTTTTGGATACAGTTAACTATCCATTTTCTTACTTCTTTCACAGAAATAAAGGAATAAAAGCATTATCCTTGGAAGTCTGCTGAATAAATCTGGTGGAATCAGTTAAAGTAAAATGTCCACATGTTACAAGTGCTGCTATGCCCATATGTTAAAAGAGAAATAGAGAATTAGGGAGAAGTCGTCTTATCTAGTAATGTCAAGTTATCCAAAGTCTATTAGGGTATCTTAAATAAACATCATAATGGTACACATTTAAAAAGACATTTAAAAATGCTTTTAATAAAAGAACAATTGGGAAGAGCTGGGGCAATGGCTTGTCATATGTTCAATAAACTCTCACTATGAGAAAAGTGACAATGGAAGCCCTCAACCGTGTCACAGTCTCTACAGGGTAATGTCTACTGTATAGGCAATTGTGACTGAAGTTAACATGACTCCAGGATTTTATTCATTAATATGAAAGGCAAACCAATGATCACATTTAAGGCTTAAATAACTATACTTTCACCTAGCATATTATCAGTTAACTTTTACTCAGTCTAATTTCCATGAGACTTTAATACACATTTTTTCTTCCTTTTTTCGGATATAAAATCATTTTACGACCCAATGTAACGCTTAGAAGAAAAAATTGCCATCCTTGTGCCTTAATTAAAGAATTAACTTGTCACAGAGGCCTCGATGTATTTCTCAAGGCTCCTGGATGCCCGCCAAAGCTGTGGCACACGACGAAGCTCTGTGAGCAAAGTGCTATGGAAGGAAGCCCACTAGATCTCTGCCTAACTATATGACCCCCTTTCAGCACACTGCAGGTGTTCCAAAAGTGTTTTGTCAATTATTAATTATTCATAAATATTTTGGTATAACAGCCATAAAAACTCATTTAAAGAATAAAACAAGGATTGAAGAAAAATTTTTAAATACTATTTCAAAAAAAGTTCATACTATGAGTTTTCTGACAAGTTACTAGACAAATAAGTCAATTATTATTTGGCAAAGCAGGATCATATTTAAATCCAACCATCTGACCAATCCTTACAAAAAAAAAAAAATTCAGGCCTTGTAGGTTTATCCTTATATTTGTATGTTTCATATTTCTAGTTGTAGTAAACAAATGCGGAAATATTTAATATTCTATTTTATCAATCTCTTAAGCCTTTAACAAACAATTTTATTATTTAGAAGCCTCCATTTTTCCAAAATTCTAGGAGTTCCTTTTCCGAAGCAAAAGAAAGCTATATTATGATGTAATAAGCAAGCTATTAATATAATTAAAAATGTTTAGGGATGTGGTTGTCTGTAAAGGCACACTGAAATTTAAATAGCATTAAGCCTATTAATCATCTGTCATCTAAAAAAAAGTCAAGGAAGCTGGTCTAAAACATAGCTGGTATGACCTTCACTTTCTTTACACATTTCTTAGCTGATTTGCATGAGACTGCAGCTATAGAAGTCTAGATATCCTTTCGCAAAAAAGACAGTTGCATTTGTTTGTTTTGTTTTGTTTTTGTTGTTTTTTTTTTTGAGATGGAGTGTTGCTCTTGTTGCCTAGGCTGGAGGGCAGTGACGCGATCTCGGCTTACTGCAACCTTCCCTCCCAGGTTCAAGTGATTCTCCTGCCTCAGCCTCCTAAGTAGCTGAAATTACAGGCGCCTGCCACCACGCCTGACTAATTTTTGTATTTTTAGTAGAGATGGGGTTTCACCAAGTTAGCCAGGCTGGTTTCAAACTCCTGACCTCAGGTGATCCACCTGCCTTAGCTTCCCAAAGTGCTGGGATTACAGGTGTGAGCCACTGTGCCCAGCTGGTTGCATCTGTTTTGATGTTAGAATCGGTAGTCAAGAAAGAACATAATCAAATACAAGTGCAGCCAGCAAATTTTTTTTTCTTGCCTCAGCCTCCTGAGTAGCTAGGACTACAGGTGCATGCCACTAAGCCAGGCTAAACAAATCGTCTTAATTAACATTATTATAGCCTAACCTGGCTAGAAACTATTTGCAAGCCTGTTGTGGGCAATTCATTAAAATATTCAAAGTTGATGACTTGTTGAGGGTTGATTTAGTAAGTTTCAGTAGTGCTTTTGAAAAAAATACATATTTCTTTTTATTCTTTCTTTTTTGAGATGGAGTCTTGCTCTTTCGCCCAGGCTGGAGTGCAGTGGCACGATCTCGGCTCACTGCAAGCTCCACCTCCCAGGTTCACGCCATTCTCCTGCCTCAGCCTCCCGAGTAAAAAAAAAATACATACTTCTTGGGTATAAAAGCAGGAATTTTCATTGCAAAAAGTTTGGACAATTTTTAAAAAGTATTAATTACCACTGATAGAGAATATGTCTTCATTTGGGCATACCATAATTTTTTAACCTATTTCGTTTGTTTCTAACTTTTTATTATTACAAATGTCACTGAAATGCAAAGCCATGCCCATAAATCATTGTGTGTCTTTTATAACTATTTCCTTAGGATAATTCCTAGAAATGAAATGACTGAATTAAAGCATGATACTGTCACATTGCCTTGTAGAAACACTGGATTAATTTATACTTCCACCAATATGTGTTGCAGTGGCCACGTTAATGACCATGCTCAGATATTTCCATTAAAAAATGTTTTTTACTAAATGAATAAGCAAAAAAGAGTATTCTCATTGTTAGGAAAGCCATTTACATAAAACAGCTAAGCGTCACTCATCTATTGGATGGCTCAACCAATAGATATTTGGATATATAAGCTACTGCTATAATTTAAAACAAAATTTTCTTCCAAGTTATTTACCCTTAATTTTTATATCAAGTCCTTTTGAAACAATCATATTAATAATCCATTTATTAATATTCTATAATGATGGCTACTTTGTTACAAAAAACATTAAAAAGTATGCACTTACTAAAACAGCTAGTGGGAGAGGAATAAAGCCCATCCTCCGTGCTACAGAGTCACTGTAATCAGTGTATGCCTGAACAGAGAAAGAAGCAAAAGATTCAGATTTATGGGATTTAAACAGCATTTTAAAAGTACTATTCACTTATTACCAGCAAATGTTCTAAACAGGTGAGGCTATGGAGCAAGAACAGAACCTGGCACTTATAAAATGATGTGGAAATCCAAATGTTCACAAGTCTTAAATACAAAGTTGAATAACTTAAAATGCTGCAAAGAGCATATACTACTTAATGTTAAGTATTACTATTATTCTTAATTTGTAAATGTTTATTTAGTGTTGAGAATAGAGATCAGTAGGCAGTTTATGTAGCTTTCCTTTAGTTAATATTTCATGCTAAATTAATCATTATTCAGTTAATTTCAGACTATGCCTTTGTTAATTTCAGACTACGCCCTTGATAAATGCTCACATTTTTCTGTCGGCTGCTAACAAGGTCAAAAGCAAGACTGGCTCTATATTCACTGTAGACCTAAAAACAAACAAGAATGAAATATCAAGTAATACAGTAAAAATATATAATGTGGAAAGACTGCAACTTTATTAATAAAAACATTTAATAATTAACCAGGAACAAGTGCTAATAACCAAGCTGACATCTGGGCATAATTTCTTATTTGTTTTCCTACAGTAAAGGTAAAATGTAACCTCAATTCCACCGAACTGTTAACATTCATAGATCTTCTAAAGGTTTTTCTTTAAAGGGGAATAAATATCCAACGACTATGATCCTGAGAGTTTAGAATTTGGGGAAAAGTGACTATTTTAAGTAGTGTAATGTATATAAAATAATTTTGAAATTTTAAATTAAATGAATAGTTTAAAAAAATTACTGTTTGTCTAACCATAATAATGCCTTCTGAGAAAAATGAATGCTGAAAAAGACATAAAACTAAGTTAGGGAACATAGTAAATATGAAGGCACTTGTGAATGATCATTACCACTAAAAAGTGCACAAGTGTCTCAATCAAGCCTATTAATTTTGACTTCAGATGCTAAATAAATGATCCTATGAAAAGGGAATCATTCTGCATTAAGAAAGCTGAGAAAGTAAATGGTGAAATTACTTTATCAATGCTTTACAAAAAAGTACAAAACTGTATTTACTTTAAGTATATTAAAACATTCAGAAACTCATAATTGAATCACAGTTGTTGCAACTGCATTTTATTTTAAATAATTGCCTTTTGAAACAAAACAAATATTACTGTGAGACTGTTATTAAAAGTACTACCCAGTAAAATCTAGAAAACTGTGGAACTATTATTTATTTTGGGACTGAGACAGGAATGAGAACTACATTAGGAAACTTTCTTATGTTTTATATGCAATAAATCTATAGCCACATATCTATTTCTAGAAATTATCCAGAACATCTGGTTAGAACATAAAACAAATTTCTCAAAGTTTAAACACTTTCACCAGAAAAATGTAGGCTCTCGTCTTCTAAAACTTAGCAGGAACCTATTCATAATCGTGGAAAAAAATCAACTTTTAAATATAAAATATTTTAAAAACCTAGCCAGAGAGAAAAATTTTGATGGTCTAAGTTTTAAAATAGAAACAATGTGATTTTAAAGTCTTTAAACAGATTATGACAGTGTTAACTGATCAGAATGATTTTGAGTTAGTGACACTGTGACTTCGACTACTGGCTGGTCTATACTTCTACCCCAAGAATATGGAATTATCATTGCCTAATATTAAAACAGAATACTTTCAATAGTGTAATAATTTTTAGAAACTTAAAATTACAATTCTGACCTTAAAGTATTAACAAACTCCTATTATTCTACAACTTTTAAAAATTAAGCAACAGAAGTAAACTTTAAACATTGAAGTGCATATCAAAATACATACATCTGCAGTAATGTCATTGAATTTAGTAATAAAGGCATGTTTTACAATATCCACGGCAATTTCTGATGCAATTACCATACAGACATCTGGAAACAACACCCAGAGATGATCTGTAAATAGAAAAAAGAAAAACAACGAAATATCTTAATATGAACAGAATCCATATCACAGGCTACCAGAGAAATATGAAATCTCTAGAACAAAACTGTAGTATTTTCAGTAAATGATGAACTAGCATTCAATTATAACCTTTATCAAAAGAGCTATACTGTATCAAGTTAAAGGATACTTCATTCAACAAACGTTTACTCAGGCCCGGCGCAGTGGCTCACGCCTGTAATCCCAGCATTTTGGATCACCTGAGATCAGGAGTTTGAGACCAGCCTGGCCAAAATGGTGAAACCCTGTCTCTACTAAAAATACAAAAATTAGCCAGGCATAGTGGCGTGCACCTGTATTCCCGGCTACCTGGGAGGCTGAGGTAGGAGAATTGCTTGAATCCAGGAGGTGGAGGTTGCAGTGAGCTGAGATCGCGCCACTGCACTGCAGCCTGGGCGAAAGAGCAAGACTCCGTCTCAAACAACAACAACAAAAACCCAAATATTTATTCAGTACTTTCTAAGTGCCAAGAACTGCTTTACATGTGGGCTCCAGTGGTTTAGCAGAGAGCCTCTGCCTTCACGAAGCCTACGTGCTGACATGCTGATGGGATGACTAGATTAAGCAGGTTCCTTAGAAAATCCTTTAATTCCATAGCTGCCTCAATGTGACAGTAAATAGCTAGAAGAGATGTGCTGTAGTCTTTGTAGATGAGCAGTCTTCTCCTTCTTTGATCACTACAATGTAAAGATATTAATCAATCCTTTGTTTCACTGTCATACAGATGTTAGCCTGATATATTTGCTCACCATTATGACATTTAAATGTCTATTCAAATAAGACCTAGTGATAGATAGATAAGTAGGGTAACCATAGTTTACAATAATCTACTGTGTATTTCAAAATAGGTAGAAGAGAAGAATTTGACTGGTTCTAACAAAAAGACAAATATTTAAGGTAATGGATATCCCAAGTACACTGATTTGATCTTCACAAATTATATGAATACATTAAATTATCACTTGCACACCCAAACTATGCAAATTATGCATCAATAAAAAAATTTTTTTAATGCCAATTCAGTACCAGGTACCTGATGAAACACACCTACAGACAACCTCCTAAGAACTTGGAAAAGAATGTAAGAGTGGGACACAGCAAGAAAAAGATAGGGAGAAATGCTGACAAGGACCCACAGCAACTCAAGACTCAGGTAGCCGGAAGGTGGGATGGAGATGACACAGCTGGGCTATCCCGGCTGACAGTGTAGACAGCTTCTGTGAGTCTGGCATCACATCAGGTTTTGGAAATCAAGGGACCTCTTTCGCCGATAAGCTCTGCTACTAACTGCTATATGACCTTGGACAAGTTTTTTTTTTAATCCACATCACTAGCAAAGGGCAAGTTTCTTAATGAGCTAAATTCCAGCTTCCTCAACCACAAGGTTAAGGATAGTAAGTGTCTACACTTAATTATTATGAGAACTAAATGAGATAATGGTGCACAGCAATGTGCCTGGCATACAAAATGGCTAGTGCTGTTTTTATGTTCCTCATGACCCTGAGAACTTAGAGCAACCTTCCATAAATGGCACTTTGTTGGTTTTTTTTTTTAAGAAATTTTAATAAACCTAAAAAAAGAGTGAAAACCTAAAACAAGAGTGAAAATGGTGAATTCATCAATAAAAGCAAGTGCTCCATTTATCATATTATCTGCCATAGTACTAACAAAGGAGGCAAGATAATTTATTAAAAGTCACAGTATAAATGAGAATATGACTTCAAATATCCAGCTGTCTAGGAGGCATAAAGACTATTTGTCTTTTGGTTTAACCACTCAGCTTTGGGAATTGCTGATCTTACATGTACTCTACCGGAACCAGTGACACATACCCCCTCTGCCCTTCATGGACACCCTGTTAGGTGACTTAGTTATAAAGAAATATACCACCATTCACTAAAACAAATTTGGGTACACAAAGAATCTAGCTGTGTGTGTGGAGGAAGAGGCTTTTCCACCACAAGCCAGGTAGCCTGCTCGAGCTGCTGTGAGATGTCATTTAATCTTATGGTTTCTCTATGAAAAAAACTTCTGAAAATGTATCTCCAAGACCGTATCTCTCATTTTATATGTTTTTGATTTTTCACAGTTACTTGAAAATTACCAATGAATTAAAATAAATTAAGAAGTTAATAAATGCCTATAACATATATAATACTGGGAGTAATAAATGAAATCCAAAACATGGTTGCATCCTTTAAGAATGAGATTCCAACAAAAACGTCAGACATTCAAACAAAAACTCTAAATTACTTGAGATACCTGAGAAATTGATCATTTCCCACTTAGCTCACTTAGCATTATAATTACCCACTTCCCCTTAATTAGCCTGTTAAGTCCTACAAATGTCGTAGTATTTTTTACATTGCCACAGTGCCTGTCCTTGTGCCTAGAAACTAGCATATGCTCAGTGAATGTCTGCTAACTGAATGGATAATGAAAATTCATGGAGTCTTGACAATTTCCTGTCAGCCTGAATTCAGAGACGCACCTAAGTAGCAAAATTTCCACCTTACTTTATATTTAATTTATCCCTATTTAAAATGCTAATCAATGGGTAAAAGATAATGTTAGGGAAGAGCAAAGGTTCTCCTGGTTAACCCCTAAGATGAAAACAATCTTTCTGGATTTAGGTAACTAAAGTACACTACAGTTAAAAACCGAAAGGCTCAGAGCTGCCAGGCATAACAGGGCGCACTCACCTACTGAGTGTACAGCTCCAGAGACACTGAGGAGTTTATGGAAAATGACAGCATCCCACTACACCACAGAAAACATACCCAATCCATTCTACTGAAACAGGTACAGTCATGTGTCGCTCAGCAACAGGGATACATTCTGAGAAATGTGTTGCTAGCCAATTTTGTCACTGTGTTAACATCATAGAGGGTACTTACACAAACCTAGATGGTATAACCACACACCCAGACTATATGGTATAACCTATTGCTCCTAGGCTACAAAACCTGTACAGCACGTTACCATACTGAATACTGCAGGCAAACTGTGACACAATGGTAAGTGTATCTAAACATGTCTAAACACAGAAAAGGACACTAGGAGACCAGGTGACAGGAATTTTTCAGGTCCATTAGAATCTTATGGGACCACCATCGTATATGTGGTCTATTGTTGACTGAAGGTCATTAAGTGACAGATGATTGTTTCACCAATACCCAAACAGTAAAACAGCCAAAGTCTTTTGGAGTTTTCTGCAATATTCATTTTATTCCATGTAAAAGAATGATTTTGGCTTAGAAGTAAAATTATAAGACACTGTTTTGTTAAGAGTGAGTTACCTGGATTCCAAGAAAACTGTTCCATGTTTCTTAGACACACTATCAGTAAAAGCACATAATTTGTGAATCGTTCCTTAATATCTAAAAGAAAAAAAATCAACATAAGTACTGTAGTGTATATAAACAACATAATAAAGTACATATATAATTATTTTAGCCAGAACATGATGAAATTATTAGACGATGTATAAATGTCTATAAATATACAACTTTATATATATATATATGTGTGTGTGTGTGTGTGTGTGTGTATATATAGGCTGGTGCTACCATGGTAAGCCATTGACTTCTTTTGCCAACATAATTCTAGTATGGAAATTCCAGTTTTCTATAAACTTCAAAAAGTATTCAAACCATCAAACTGCTCAGATGAGGTCATTAGGTTCCTCCAATGGGCTTTGGGGACATATGACAACTGTTTCCATTTTACGGAAGAAAAAATAGAAGCAAAGAGTAAAATGAAAGACTTTGGGTAACAAAATCCTTGTATAAAATCCCAGACTATTTCCAATCTGGTAAATAGTACACAATTACTGAACTGATGAGTCCTTTAGCTGAGAGAATCCTGCTACTACAATAGCATTTCCGGGGGTGTATGTAGAACTTGAGGTAAAATAACCCCAAATTGGGCTTCATAATATTTACCATAAACTAATAACTGTGTGCTGAGATTAGGTGGAAGGAATTTAATAAAAGCAAATCACTGAATTCTTGCTAAAGGCCAGTGTACACATTTCACTTTTTAAGCTGTTAACTTTCTCATAGTCTAAGATACCGTGTAACCAAGAAATGGGACAAAATAAATTTGTCTGCAGTTAAGAGTGGCACACCCATGTATGTGTGCCGATGCAATAGTGGGGGCTGTGACTAGAAACAATCACTCATATAACAACCCATCTCAAAAGCTTTTTTACAGTCTGCTGTCATTTCCCTACTTTCCCACTGCCTCAGTAAATGCAAGCCTCACCCATATCATTCAGCCATGGCGCACCTCCTGTAAGCGCTCTGAATTTCAATTTCATCCTGATGTACTTCATGGGACTGTCTTTGCTTCTCTTTTTTTACTTCCACCTTTCCCCATTATTCTCTAGCAACATGATACAAACTTTTATTCCACAGCAAAACCTTATTCTCTGTAAGCGAGTTGGCCTTTATTCTCTGTACCTTCCCTACATCCTTAAGCTCTTCCAGTCAGTTGCTGGTACCTTCTTTTTCAGGGTAGCTCACCTCCTTATTAGTGATGGGTCTGAGCTGTGCCTTCACTCCCTCAAAGCCCAGTGGGCACTACTCACTTCCTATTTCCAAAGCTGAAGCACTATTTATTATGAGTGTGAGCTCAGGGCACAGTGAGTCTCAAGGTACCAAGCACTGAGATGCCTCTTTAGGAGGCAGGGCACCTCCGGAGCAAGGCCATGTGGATTTTCAGGTGCACCTGTTTTGATTTGTCTAGATCACATGTTTAATTTATTCTGTGACTTCAAAAGAGGATACAGGTTAAAGGAAACTAAGAAAAGTCTGCCCTAGAATAAGTTCCATCAAAGTCTGACACAAAATATATTCTTTGTTACTACAGCTAACTGTGGATCTTAATTCATGGGGTTAAATTTACCAATGTATCTTTAATTGGAATTCTGTAGAATTATTCACCAAGCTGTACCTATATGTGTGCTAAGTCCTTTCTAATTTCCATAAATGAATTTAACAATGAAATGTATTTATTTTTGATACTTCCCAAACATGTATAATATAGACTTGCTTCATTACAGAATTATCTGAAAATAAATGGCCTTGAGAAATTTAAAACACTATCTGAAATGAGCCAAAGTAACTTTTGTAAACTCTAACAAAGCAAAACTACCATCGAATTTAAATTAATTGTATTTGATTTTTGGACATATGGCAGCTGCAAGTATAGAGAAAATCTGCAATAATTTCATTTCTAAGGATACTGATGAAAGGGGGAAAAACTTATCTCATTAAAGGTGTATTTAAGGCAAAACAGATTTTATTTTTTAAGATTTTTTTATTTTTTTGAGACAAGAGTCTTGCTTTGTCTCCCAGGCTGGATGCAGCCTCCACCTCCCGGGTTCAAGCAATTCTCCTGTCTCAGCCTCCGGAGTAGCTGGGATTACAGGCATGTGCCACCATGCCCGGCTAATTTTTATATTTTTAGCAGAGACAGGGTTTCACCATGTTGGCCAAGCTGGTCTCCAACTCCTGATCTCAGGTGATCCGCCCATCTTGGCCTCCCAAAGTGTTGGGATTACAGGCGTGAGCCACTGTGCCTGGCCCAAAACAAATTTTAGAAAAGCAGACTATTTCAAAATATGATAGAGATTAATAAAAATGGATAAATTTGGTAAATGAATGCGATTTTATAAGATGAAGGATGTGAAGGATGGCAAGCTTAAAGATTAAAAAGTGACACCATAAAAATTAACTCTATCTTTATTTGATAAGATAAAGATACAAAACTATATCTAACTATAAAAATGAGGCTGTTATGTGAAGATTTTTTGGAAGTTTTATTCTTACACTTTCACAACTTTTACATTTAAATGTTTTACATAGACATTATAAAATCAAGATTTGACTTTTAAAATTTGAGTTAAAAAATACCCAAATTTTAAGTTTCTCCAAAGTAAGATATAAAAAGAAATAAAATTTTTATGAGAATAACAGAGTCTGATACTGATAATCAAACATATATTAGATAAATAATGCAATCAGCAACATATTTATACCATCTCATCTTCAGAATAGTCAGGGTTCGGATTAGAACTGAACTCTTACATTGATTAAAAATTAAAATTTCTAGGAATGTTTTCTCCTAACCTTTATTAAGAAGCTTAAAAACATTGGTATTAATGCTTTTAAAATATTTCTGACATTCAGGTTATTAAGCTTTTTCCTTGCTATATTACCACTAACAGGGATATACTTTAACATACTTGCAGTCACATTTTAAATATAAAATGAGTGACTATTTCCAACAAACATCCACATTTATTGCAGATATGCAGGCTTCTAAGAGTGCTAAGTGAGCTATAAGCTTACTCCAGACAACCTAACTCCTGAAGGACCTTTCTAAATGCACAGTTCACATTACCAATGCGTAAAAAACTACCTAAAATTCTTCATCTCAAGAATGCAAACCAGAAAGGCTGGGGTTCCACATTCAGCTAACGCTTATGTTAAAATGAAGTGAAGAAAAGGATAATTTGTTAAAAATCTGGTTTTGGTAACTAAACTACTTTTCACATGTCCTCAGGCAATTCCTCCAAAGAAAATATACAGTGAGCTACCACTGAAAGGGGTAAAGTTACTCTCAGATTTCTCCATGAAGTCTTCTATATTAAACCAGCATGAAGGACTGAACCTTACACTACGTATCTGGCAACTCAAATTCTGATGGAGAAAAAATTCATAGGAAAATTCATAAGAAAAAAATAGCCGATATGAGTATCCCTCCTGACTGGCTCTCATTAAGTAGCTACTACTGAAGCATATGAAGAAGGCAACATATTCATATAAAGAGTAAAAAGCACCTCTTGGTGACTCCTGATCTTTCCATTTTAATAGCTGAACGTTGCCTAGAATATTTTTTTTCTTACTTGAGAAGGGTCTTAAAATCTGCCTTAGGGTAAAGTTAATTTCTTATAAAACTCTTAAAGGGTACAATGCGGACCACCTTGCATTGTAACATGAGCTACTTTGCTTACAGCAAAAAGTAATTTTTTTTTTGGTGCTAAGTAGTAACCATTTTAAGCCAAAATAAAGTCCAAATTTCTTGTAGACTGATATGCATACCTGATCATTATATCATTTTTTTTCCCAGAGTTTTCTTAAAACTCAAATATTGAATACCTAATCTTTCTAAGCTAAGAGGTTGGAATTCTGGGGAACCCGTTTATAAAAATGAAAAGGGGTATTAATTACATCAACATGCTGGCCATAAGGTTAAAAACATTCACAATTTCCCCCTCATAATTTTGAAGCTTTTATACACAAGGATTGAAAACCTTTAAAACTTAAGATCTGCGTGTCTAGTTTAAGGCTCTATAAAGAGCACTTACCCAAAGGAGGTTACTAATATGAATTAATTTAAAAAAAACATGGTTTCCACAACAAACGAAATTCTTACAGTTGAATCAATTTACTCTATGGTTAACTACTGAAGCAAAGTATTCTATAATTTAGTACCTTCCCTCCTTCCTCTTTCATTTCTAATTCATGACACTTGGCAGTCTGCACTTGAAAGGTGAGCAACATTAATAAGCAGCAAGAATATGAACTGCTTCTCAGAGCCTTGAGAGTCAGGTCCAGCATGGCCTCATAGAATCATCTAGGCTTTATGTTCAAGTTTTCCATTTGTTCTTTTTGTTCCTTGCTTAGTTTTCAAATCTCCTATAACTTGTTTAACATATTCATATGCCATTATTTTCCTTGTCTAATATACAGGTAAAATTTACATACAGTGAAATGCACAGATCTTAAGTACATTATGTGATGAGTTCTGATCAATGCATAACTTGAGACACCAAGCCCTTAATACAGAAAGAAGTTCCATCATCCAGAAAGCTCCTTTGAGTCCCCTTAGTCAATCCAAATGCCCAACAAACAACCTCTTATTCCTATCATCATAAACGAATTTTGTCTGATCATAAACTTCATATAAATGAAATAATACATCATGTACACTTTTGTGTCTGGCTTTTCTGCTCAACATAATGCTTCTGAGACCTACATAGCTGACAATATTAGGAGTTCATTCTTTTATCTTTAATTGCTAAGTAGTATTCTATGGTATGGATATACAGTTTGTTTATTTTCCTACTGATAGCTATTTGGGTTGTTTCCAGTTTTTGGCTAGTATGAACAAAGCTGCCATAATAATTCTTGCAACAAGTCCTACTGAGGAAATATATTTCCTGAATTACAGGGCAGGTGAACATTTAACTGTAAAAGAAATGGCCAAAAACAGCAGTTGTAATACTTTACACTCACGCCATCGATGCCTGAGTGCCAGTTAATCCATATCCTAACTTGTGGCACTGTCAGGCTACAAGAGCAGTCACTCTGGAGGGTGTGCAGTGCTATCTCATTATGGCTTTGTCTTTCTCCAGTGACATTTTCCCTAATAATGCCGAGCAGCTTTTCATGACCTTATTGGACATTTATAGATTTTCTTTTGTGAAATGTCTGTTCAAGCCTTTTCCCCATTTTAAAACTAGATTGTCCTTTCATTATTGATTGGTATAGTTTGTTATATATTCAGAAAACAAACAAACAAAATCTATCGTCAGATATATGCATCTCAAATCTTTTCTCTTAGTACTGTGGCTGGCCTTTTCACTTTTTAAGTTTTATGATCACATATTTTAATTTTGAAGAAGTCCAGTTTCTCTCTTTTGTTTTACATTTAGTACTTTTTGTGTGGTCTCCAAAAATGTTTGCCTAGACCAAGGTTGTGAATGTTTTCTCCTATATTTTGTTCTAGAAGTTTTATAACTTTAGCATTTATGTTTAGGGTTATGAACCACTATGAATTAATTTTCTTGGGCAGGGAAGGGGCCAAAGTTCTTTTTTTTTTAACCTTTATCCAACTGTTCCAGCATTACTTGTTGAGAAACTCTTCTCACTAAATTTTGTTTTATAAAATATCTTTTTTATTGAAATGTTATTTTTGTAAGCATGTAATATTTTTATTAAAATTTCTCAGTTTTCATTTCGAATATGGTGAATAGGGAGAGACATAATCCATATAAATAAAAGTCCTTTGGAATCATCGTAATTTTTTTTTTTTTTTGAGACAGCGTTTCACTCTAGTCACCCAGGCTGGAGTGCTCTAGTACAATCTTGGCTCACTGCAACCTCCGCCTCCCAGGTTCAAGCAATTCTCCTGCCTCAGTCTCCCCAGTAGCTAGGATTACAGGTACCCGCCACCACACCCAGCTAATTTTGGTATTTTTAGTAGAGACGGGGTTTTACCATGTTGGCCGGGCTGGTCTTGAACTCCTGACCTCAGGTGATCCACCAGCCTCGGCCTCCCAACGTGCTGGGATTACAGGCGTTAGCCACTGCGCCTGGCTGATCATCATACTTTTTAAAGTGTGTAAAAGGGTTCTCAGGACCAAAAAGTCTGACAAGCGCTGCTTTGGATGAGCCATGTGTGCTCTTATCTACGACAGGACTGCAGGCCTCCCCATAACACACCCCTCCTTCCTCAAGGACATCATCAAGCCAGGTTCCTTTAGGGGTCCTCTCTATTGTACATCTGTCTGGATTCATGCTAAAACACCACCATTTCTTCATGACTTGTGCAAATGTCACCATGGCAGAAGAGATGAATAATGTCTTCATATTCTTGTGAAAACACTTTTGACTCTGAGCATACTCCCTGGCAGAGCCCCTGGGACTGTTCTTGGGGGCTCCATGATCCACCACGCAATGTGGCTCTGGCTTTCAAAAACTATGTAAGACAATGACTCCAGGCACAAAAATTTTGTGCCTTCACACTTTTTAGGATTAGAACGAAGGCAGTAAATAATAACTAAATAATAACTAAAAAAGCTAAGGACTTAGAGACAATCTGAGATTTATAGACATAGTTCTCCTAGAAGCTATGTGACTGTGGAGAAGTCAAATTATTTTCTGTGTTTCAGTTTTCACATCTATAAAATGGAAAAATACCACCCACTTCAGAGAAATTTCTAGACTATTAAGAAGCTTCTCAAAGTAGCGTATGGTGCTACACAAATGTTTCTAATTTTTTTATCTCAAACATCTTGTGATTACAGGAACCAAAAATAAGAAAACCTAGTAAAGATGTTGATAGCATAAGAGAAGGTACAGTTTAAGCTGAAGAGTGGCCCAGAGAAAATGTGCCATTAGGATTTCAGAATGAACTGCAAAATAATACTGCACAGAACTTCAAGTAGAATCTAATTGTACATACCGCTATTTGACATTTGAAAGAGATTGTTCTTTTCAAACTTCTTGAAAACACTTCCTTTAATTTCAACAAACTGAAATAGTAAACAGAAATACCATCTTTATGATTATAACAGTTTAAAAACTGGACTTGCTACTTATAAAACTTCCGGGAGAACAACATATAGAACAAAGAATTTTATCCCACCCAGAGTATTGCAGCTGAAATGCCTGTATAACTTCAAAAATGTAAGATAAATCTCATACTTACATTATTAGACATCATGATAGTAAGCAAAGACTTGTTGTGTGAGTTAAAAGCTACATTGAGAGTTGTTGCTTGAACCATTATAAGAATTGCATGCAAAACTAATAGAAGGTCAAGGAAAAAACTTAAATTTGCTTTCATATTATTACTGATAATACTATAAAATTTTGAAAGTGAATAATAAAGATGACTTTCTTTTCTAAATTGTCTTAATAAGTATTGTATTATCTTCATAATTTCCCTATTAGCTATAGTTGATATAAGTTTGACAGGATATGTGCAATCCACATGAAACGAACAAAAGTGGAAATGTACCTCTATGCATTCATTTATTTAGACCATGAATCCTTTGCAACAGGGTTGTTTTGTTCTTTCTGTATCTCTGGCACTTGGCACAGTGCTCAGGAAATAGGCCCTCAAAAAAGTTTGTTAAGTAAATGGAATAAATTATGGTAAATACTGAAAGAAGAGACTAAGAAATACACATTCTGAATTAAAATAATTTGCATTCTAAAAAAGAAAGCACAAAATATAATTCTGGAAGTGATTTTCTTCCCTGAGTCTTCAGGAAATGTGGAATGTAAGGCAGTAGGAAATATCTGATAATTAAGATTCTTCTTCATATGTCATTTTGAAGATATCCATAAACTGCAGAATTATATTTGTATTACATACAGAATAGTTAATTTATATCTAAGAGTGGTAACTGCTTTACTCCATTAAAACTGGAACAAGATTTTACCCTCACAGGTATCTTCCAACTTGGTTCTTTAACTTTCCAAGCATTAACCCAATTTCTTTCAAGTGTCACTGTTACAGAGATAGAAAAAAAAAAAAGTGACTCATTCTTGTGAATGAGTCCTGACTTCACATGGAACTTAAGAGCAGGAATGTGTGTATAAATATGTAGGGGTACACACAAACATGTACACTGCTTATACAGTAAAGCACTTACTCTCCAATAGAAAAGCTTAAAGCCAGGGAAGAATACACAAACACATAAAACCACCAAAACTCCTCCCAACCAATTTCACATTACACTTTTAGATAAATTCCATGCATTTTAAGCCCATAAAAAAGAATTCCTGGATTTAAAGATAACTTCAAGAAAAATTCTAACATAAGTACGAAAAATTATATAGATCTATATCAGGTATGTATAAAGATACACTGCCTTTTTATTATAAAAGTCTTCCTTATAATCAGTTACACTGCAAACAGAACTGTTTTCCAGCAGCTCAAAGAGTAATGCCTACATGAGGCTCTTAAATTAGTTAGTTATTATGACAATCAATTTCTCAACAGAACACAAATATTTCACATTAATCTTCAGGATACATACATTATCTATATATCTTTAAATCTATAAAATGGCTAACCAAATAAAATAAGGTAGACTATGCATTAACTGTCGGAAATTTCCAGTAGGTCTATAAGGATACAGACATAGAGAACAGCCATGAAAAAGTGAGGAATCACCCCAATGTGGGCTCTTTTTCTTTCTTTAGGCTCTGTTGCTGTCCAATAGAGAGCATCTAATATGTCTTGTCCAAAAGATGAAAACAGACGATCAGCTACCTAAAAAAAAAAATTATTTGTAAGATGTTTCTTAATATTCCATTTAAATATATAACTAAAATTGAGATATAGCTCAAATCCTGGAGATCTGTGTTTTAAATCCTAGTAGAAGGCAAGCTAAAGAGGAGTGAGGATCTTTGTTTACTTATTCACTCACATTTCTTTATTCTTTAACAAATAGTAACGGCTAAAATATGTATAGAATTTCAGTTAGACTAATTAGCTATGTTTGTAACAAAGAAAGTCTTAAATAGTGGCAAAAATAAAAGGGGTGGGCACATCTGGCCGGGCACGGTGGCTCATGCCTGTAATCCCAGCACTTTGGGAGGCCGAGGTGGGCGGATCACGAGGTCAGGAGATTGAGACCATCCTGGCTAACACAGTGAAACGCCGTCTCTACTAAAAATACAAAAAATTAGCCGGGCGTGGTGGCAGGCGCCTGTAGTCCCAGCTACTCGGGAGGCTGAGGCAGGAGAATGACGTGAACCCGAGAGGTGGAGCTTGCAGTGAGCCGAGATTGCGCCACTACACTCCAGCCTGGGTGACAGCGCGACTCTGACTCAACCAAAAAAAGAAAAAAAGGGGGTGGGCACATCAAAATCATGGTTCCTCTGGTTTTAGCACTTTAAATTCAAACTCAGGATTCAAATTTAGGACAAATATATCATTTGACCTACTCATATCTAATATTTGTAAATAATGGTAACTATTTTTTTGAGGTTTATTATATGGAATAAAATATGCAGATTTACTTCCTAACCACATTTTCAGGTATCAATCTCCTTGAATACAGTATAACAGGTAAAAATTGACACATAAAAGAGAGAAAAGGAGGGCATGATATTCAGGATTCAGTCTGAATGCCACATCCTAACAGAGGCCTTTTCCAGACCATCCAATCTCTTGTGGCTCCTATGGTCTCTACTGCCTTAGTCTGTTCTTTTTCATCATAAGATATATCATTTCCTAATGTCTCCTTGTTTATTGTCTATCTCTCACCTGTAGAATATAAGCTCCATGAGAATAGGCTGGTTCACCTGTGAGTCTTCAGGGTCTAAGATGCTTGGCATGCAGCAAGTGCCAACTAAAGATGTGCTGAATGAATAACAGCTACCATTTAGGGAGCTCCTACCATGGGCCTGATATTGTGCTAAACCCTTTCTATGTGAAGTCTATTTAATCCTCATAATCTCCCTAGTATCTCCACTTTACAGATGAGAAACTGAGGATTAGAGATATTCAGCAACAGTAACTATGTCCAGGATAACAGGTAATAAAGGAAGGACTAGGATTTGGTCAGAGGTGGTTTGCCTCTTCCAGAGCATGGACTCTCATCCACTGTGTTTAAGCCACCTCATCAATTATAGTCTGCAATGTGAATACGTATATAAATCATTTTAGTCAGCAATTCATGGATCCTTTTTCTCGGCCTATTTTCTAGTAACAATAATAATACTACCTTGAGAGGGCTTTGTAAGTCAGGGGACAGGGAGAAACCCTCGCACTTTCCAGTGTCCTAAGATGGAAAGCCTACGAAGGAGAGACTAGTAGGGCAGCAGTGAAAAGAGCAAGGCAGAGAGCAGAGGGGAACAGGGAATGAGGCCTAGGCTCTTTCTATGAGAAGGAAGGGAGAACAAGATGAGCTATTCTGTTTCACAAACTTTGTCCCCATCCACCCCTAGGCAACCTACTTGGTGGGGCAAAGTGTACGCGCAGCAAGCCTAGAATCAGGTAGCTGGGGTATGGTTTTAAAACATCTTGGTCTTGAATTTAGGAGGTACCAGGAAGGCTAGAGCTCCATGGCTTCTGTGAAGAGATGGAGAGTCCTTGTCTACCACAGCGATGCAGCTTCAGAGCAGAAAGGCCAGCAGCCCCCACCCCATCTGTCCTCTCACTAGGAAAAATCTCTTCATGGCTAATTAGAAAGATAAATAGACCTTATTGTATCCCCCCAAAAATAAAATATAAAAACGCAATTTGAATTTCTTTTTTTTTTTCCCCGAGATGGAGTCTCGCTGTGTTACCCAGGCTGGGGTGCAGTGGGACGATTTCAGCTCACTACAACCTCCACCTCTAGGGTTCATGTGATTCTCCTACCTCAGCCTCCCAAGTAGCTGGGATTACAGGCACGCGCCACCAGGCACGGCTAATTTTTGTATTTTTAGTAGAGACGGGGTTTCACCATGTTGGCCAGTCTGGTCTTGGACTCCTGACCTCAGGTCATCCGCCCCGCCTCAGCCTCCCCAAGTGCTGGGATTACAGGTGTGAGCCACCGTGCCGGCCTGCAATTTGAATTTCAAAGTTTATTATATAACTTAGGGTAGCTTACTATTTAAAAAACTTGTGAATATCTGGCTTATAAAGCGAAGCATTTTTTTGTAAAGTGAATGTATATCAGCTCAACTTATTTTTTATATAAATGCAGATTTTCATACGCTGAATGCTTTGAAGTGAGACATATTGTACTAAAAACATTACTTACAAAAATTGGGAACTTATATTTATTTACCCTATGTAAAGATCTGAATTTAAATGTGCAACTTAAAATGTGTATTTCTTACAGCAAACATATACATAATCATAACATTTACTTCATAATTTAAAGTTCTAGCATGGGTTTCTAATGAAGTTGTGAAACTAATTTCCCTAGCACTTGACAATTTGGATACTCAAGGGGGTACTGGTTCTAAAATGTCTGGGCAGCAAGAATCTTCCCAGCCTACATGAGGACATGCCATGCCTGCAGGCTTGCCACCAGAGGTGTGTCCCAGACCAGCAGCATGAGCCCCACCGCCCTGGAAATGCAGATTCTCCAGACCCAGCCTAGATCTCCTAAATCAGAATCCATGTTTAAGAAGAGCCCCCAAGTGATGACAGCACAGTAAAGGCCAGAAGCACCATAACTAGAGTCGGTAGAGCATTCTTGACTCTCAGGTACCTTCAGAACTGAAGACTTGAAGCTGAGTGCCCTGGCCAGGCCTGTGCGGGGTAAGCAAGGCCCTTACCTCCAGCATGTTGTAGATGATGTAGAGCTTGATGACGGACTGCCCCCTTATCAGGTGGTACATCATGGAGTAGTCAACATAGTGCATCATAAAATAGCAGATTACCAAAATGACACCCTTCAAAATGTCACACACCTGGGCAGGCTGAAGCAAACGTCTGTCCCTGAAACATACAAGAAGTAATAAAAATATAATTTTTACTCTGTATGTTCTCACAAAAACAATAATCTTTACTCGATATACACTGGCATACAAAGGTAAAAATAAGAATTATGTTGATCTTTTAAAAACTTCAAACAAGGGAGGTTAAACTAAATGACTACTCGACAGTGTAAAATTTTCTGTCCAAGTATAGAATATAAAGATTTTAAGTAAGAATTACTATTAGATGTTGGCAATCTTAACAAATGAACACAGAGGGCAGGTATCTACTGATAGGGTGCTTTCCAGCAACAGATTTCCACCATTATGGCATAAGCTTTTAACCTAATCATGAATCCCTGCACATAGCCTGCTGGATCAGCCCTTTTCACACAATGCTACATTCTATGCATACTGCTCTGCATTTTGTACTTTATTTAACGGCATGATATTCCATATAAGTTCATCAGGAGTTCATACTTTTTTGGCAGCATAGTGTTCCACTATGTGGATGAACCATAATTTATTTAACGTATAACTGACAGATTTCTAGTCTTTTGCAATTATGAGCCATGATGCAATCTACATGCCATGTCACATATATGAAAGTGTATCTGTAGGATAAATTCCTGAAATTGGAATTCCAAGGTTATATTCACTTGAAATTTTGATAGAAACAGCTGAACTGCCCACTGTACTGGGTACAGTTTATACCTCAACTAGCAATGTCATGAGAAAGCCTGTAGCCCAGGGCACTGATACAGTGTTTGATCAACTTTTGGATCTTTGCCAGTCTCACTGATGGAAAATCGTACACAGTGTAGTTTCACCGTTAATTTCTATCATTAGGAAACTAAACATCTTTCCACATATTTAACAGTTATTTATATTTCATATGAACACTCCCTATCTTTCTTGTACTGGTTTATAGGACAGCTTTTGTATTACAAATGTTAGACCTCTGTGACTTCAGTTGAAATATTTTTTTCATAATTAATATGAGCAGAAGAATCACTCCTTACTTCTGAGGTTAGAGTAAAAGGAGCTAAACCTAAATTGTGAAAGGAACCATCTTAACAAGACAGAGCAAAAAATACATTAGAAAAGAAGAAATTTAAGATTTCTTCCACTGGATTTAAAATTCTTGTGATAAGAATGGGAAAGATACGTTCTCTTTGCCTGTTGCAGGCTGATTCCTCAGGACAGAAAATGCTGTCTCTTGTTTTGTCAGCTTTTATGCATAGTGCAATCAATAAAACGGCCCGAGTACTTTTTTTTAGGAGCTGCAGAATCTCTTCATTTCCACCAATTGTGACAATGTTCTAAGCAACAATACAGGGGTGGGCTCATTTTCTAAATGGCCATTGGCCATCTGAGTCACCTATGTATTTGATATTCCTTGGCTACATATTCTCCAGAGCTCTTTCCTAATGCTTTTCCTCCAAAGATCTTTGTGGAGTTTAAGAAGGAATTTGTAAATCTTCCAAACTGTTACTTGAAACATTGCTTTATAAGGTCACAATGATGCTCTACCAATTCTGTGAGCAGTTGTTACAGAAACTCATTCTTGTTTTCTACAATGTGCACTGTATGATGTTTTCAGTTAGATATTAATTTGGCTGATCTATTTACAGACAGAATCTAAGATATTGCAGAAATTCTGAAAGCAGACAAATTCTGTGAAGACTGTTCACGAAGGGCTAAAGGTGGCTGGAAATACACTGGGCTGGACCAATGAGCCTAAATAAGAGAGAGGTCAGAATGTGTCTAAGTCAGATCACATGACTTAAGATGGGTATGAAAAGCCAAGTAAAACTACTCTTAGCAGTTGAAGTTAAGGCTTCAGGAAAGATTGCATCACGGCCAAAGTTGATCAATCTCTGTCATTATTTCTTTTTCACCATGACTTTCTTTTATCCAATGATGTTCCTCTTTCTCCCACAGAGAGAAAGAGAGACCTTTTTCTCCTCAGGGAACAAAGAATGTCCTTCATCTCCTGACTCCCAACCAACCAGCCCAGAGCACAGATCTCTGCCAAGGGCTACCTGAATATCAAGATAATTTCCTGCCCTTATCCCTACAAGACTGAAAATGGAAGACCTATTATATCTGCCAAGAATTGGATCTTGATCACTTAAACATATTTCTCATTCAAACACTGAGAAGAGGAGACGTTTTGAACACTTGTGAGCTCCTGGCCTTGGTGTGACTGTCTCCACTTGGGCAGCAGGGAACAAACGTGAGCCACCAGCCCCCACTCAGAAGAGTAGCACAGCTCAGCATATACTGAAAGTCACACATCATCAACAGTCATGGGCTTTTGTGTTTAAAGACTGTAAGTCATGTTTATAAATTAAAGAAAATGATACGAGCTAAAAGTAGGGTAGTATTAATTTGTGTTAATTATGAAAATAATTTTGATAACTAATTAAAGTAGAAAACTATACTTAGAGCTTTTCGTATTAGATGGCATCTACTTAGTTGAGTGATCTCAGTCAGAGCAATTTTATTTGAGACAAAGGGCTTTTAAGTATATATCCAATTGTGTTTCTTTATATACATATTTTGAATCAAAGAACAACGTGTTAGTATATCAATGAAGGAATAGTATATTTAATACAAGCCATAGTTAGAAATTAGATCTACCAAACATTGGAAACACATATCCCAAAATGATATAATACCACACTTTTTGAACCAAGCTGATAAATTAACAAAGAAAAGTTGTAGAAACACCTAATGCTACAATTCAGTTACTACGTGGCAAGCACTGTTCTAGACACTCCACATATATTCCTTTCAGTGTTCACAATAATCCTATTTATTTAATCATCTTGGTTTTACAAATGAGCCAAGGGACAGTCAGGAACATGCCTGTGGTTGTACAGTGATTAAGTTCCCACACGGTGCAGCAGGGATGGAAACTTGGCAACCTGGCTCCAGAAGGCATGCTCTTCAGAAACATCTGCACTCTAGACTTTTTAAAACAGAACTTCTAAACTTGCAGGAATCAACAACTCAGAACCTACTATCTTTCTGTAAAATTTTACACTGGATACTTTATCACTGTACCGCAATCTCATCTCAATAAATTGCTGTACAAAAAAACAAACCTATCTATCATTTGGTATTTCTAAAAATGAACGCAAAAAAAAACTGGACTATTATGATATATATACGATATACACATATTGAATTCACTGCTTTCTGTGCACCCCCTGCTCTGGTGGAAGCGTTCCATCCATTGCTAACATCATAATTGGTTGCTGCAGGAATGACTGTGATTTTCAGGAGGAATATTATTCATATAAAGAATACAAGAAGCAGAACCTTTAAAAAACAAGGGTCTTGATTTCTGTCTTCTTCTTCTTCTTCTTCTTCTTCTTCTTCTTCTTATTTTTTGTATTTTTAGTACAGACAGGGTTTCACCATGTTGGCCAGGATGGTCTTGAACTCCTGACCTCAGGTGATCCACCGGCCTCGGCCTCCCAAAGGGCTGGGATTACAGGCTTGAGCCACCGTGCCCGATAAGGGTCTTGTTTTCATATAAATGTCCTTGTTAATAAAAAAGAAAGGCTGCCAAAATAAAAAATTGTTTCTAAGGTGGCATCTTAAAAGACAGCTGTATGTACCACAGCCTCTTTCTAAGAAAAGACCTAACCTCACAAATAAGTTTACCTGGTTAAAACAACTTGAACCAATCAGTTTATTTGTTCCTTCTCTGCCAGGATATTTTTAGATGACTATCTGATAAGCACTTCAAACTCCCTAAGAAGCTTATCCAAGGCCCTGCCATTCAACCCCGAACTGGCTTTTGAAAAATACTTTCATGCTACAGTTCTTATAAATGGCTAAGTGGTGGTTACTGGCAATTCACCTTGCAAATGATGAAAACCCCATATGAAAGCATAAACAAGTGAAACATACTGTTGGGCAAAGTGAAAAACCCACTAATCTAATTTGCAGGTTTGGGTGTATGTCATCACACAAGTAATATTACATCAGGTATTTAACAAAACTTAAACATTTTTCAACATAAGACATTTAAACAGAATTCTTTTAAAAATTTCTAGTAAAACCACCCTTACAGAAACCAAATTAGCTAAATTTCCAAAATTTTACTTTTTATTCTTACAAACATTTCCATTTCCATTGTATTTCTGGTAACTGTACAATTTTACATTGTACAATTTACCAGTTAGAGCATCTCTAGTTGTTTCAAAGGGCTCATAGACTTACAGAAACTGAATTATACAGTAGAGAAAGACGATCAAGGGTAAGCTGTTTCCTTTTCCTCTTTAGGGGAAGATAATATGCTAACTATGATTAAAGTAACATCTAGTAGTGGACAGAAAGATCAAGAAGGAAGATGTGGCACCAAAAATGAGCGAGAAAAATGGGAGAATCCCTGCATAGTTATTTCAAATCAGTGTTGAAACATGCCAGAGTATTAGCATGAGTTATTTCATTACAAAATACATAGACTAGATCTCTCGCTCTCTCTCAATATTTTCAGCCATTTGTGGTATAATTGGAAGAGTGAAGAAACACAAGCACTACTGAAATAAAAATGCAAAATAATATGTTTTTATTTTTGAAAGTGAAATCCTTTTATAATTTAAGTAAACTGGAATAAAGTAGTGAAATCAAGATGTTTTCCTGAATTAGAAAATTAAGTATCTTAAATCTTCAGTTTGACTCATATGTAACAGAAAAATAAATACTTAAACGGAATGATTCAAACCATTTCTTAAACTTTAATTTCAAACTATACTGAAAAAAATAACTTATTTATAAAGCTATGTTCACAATTTTAGTAATGCAAAATAAAAACTGCTTATATGGAAGGAATTAAGCTCAGCCAATTTCTGTGGCTTTGGGGATGAAGTATTTGCTAAGTCTAAGCTAACATGTGTAAAGATGACTTTTGAGCGGATTTTCATGTTAGGTGAAATCACAGTCAAATCCTTCACAAAGAAATGTGGACAAAGCTTTAAGACCAAGTAAAGATGCTATTTTAAAAAGGACAGGGATCCACATTTTCTTCAGTATGTTTCTACCCCCTAATGGCTATGTCTGCCTATCCTGTTTACTTTTGCATTTAATGAATGTCAATTTGGCCAAGAGTATAGAAGGAAAAATCAGGGTTTACTCACCACAAGGAGTCCCTGTGCCACCACATTCCATTCTATAAAGGAAGTGAAAGTGCTCCTCCCTTCGGTCTGATTTACGAGAGAGAAAGAAAGAGAGAAGATTGTAATGTTGCTACGCTACTTAGAGCTCCATGGTGAGGAAACGGGACAATAAAACCTGGTGTTACGAAGACTTTCTAATAACAAATATATTGCTCTCAACAAATAAGCCACATAGATCAGCCCTGGTAAAAGGAAGTAAAAGGCATATTTGTTTCCCCAGAGAAAGTTACCAAGAGCTCTCCCTACTTGTGCTACAGTGGTGGCATCAATCACTTAGGCCAAAATCAAGGCTTAATTTTGTCTAAAAAGAGAAAAATCTATTATAACATATAGGTGAGGTTAATCTTGGGCAGAACTATTTCGAAAGAGGTAAGGCATACGAAGGAAACTCAAAAGGTTAGGAAACTCTCAAGCATCTGAAATTCATAATTCTGGGAGACAAGAGCTCTCCCATGGGATAAACTCTCAAAAGAAAATGATACTATTGCCTCTTCAACCAAGAAAAATAAAAGCCTGTGAAGCCTCATGTGAGAGTTATGCCTAAAGCCGGGCCAGGGGACAGAACATTTGCTCACACATATTTTAGTTGCTCTAATAGTAAAAAACAAAAACCAAAAAACACTCCGGCATTTATTACTTAAGCCTGTTCAACTCATGTATCACTTTCTAAAATGTTTCAGTAAAGTTTTTTCAACAATAACTCAATTCTTGGTACCAGGCTATATCATTTTTCTCTACAATCTTCTTTAACTTTTAACTTACGTGACTGAGAATTCTAAAGCACAAAACGAAGTCACAAATTTCAGGAGAATAGAGGGCTGACAAAAATGCCAGGTAAATCAAATGTACATAATTAGCTATTTTTCATTCAATTCTACAAGCAAATTTGGAAAAAGGATGTTTCGTACCTCTAACATAATATAGAGCAGTCTGCTTTTCTGAAAAACAAAAAATTCTATCATTCTTCCAAGGAATAGACACTTCATATAATAAATCAAAACTTAGTTCTGTTTTATATGTCATGAATCATTAAAAAGATTATCCTCGTTCAAGAAGTTTCTCAAATGATTTCTAAAATGACACTACTCTTATCTGGGAAAGAGGGAAGATATACATAAGTGAATCTGCTTTTAAAGAATTTAGATGCATTTTCTAATTTTTTTTTTAAGTCTACAACAAAATATTTGTGGGCAAAGATTTTTCAAGGTTGTTAATTCATC